>NC_000001.11:185059587-185684587 GCF_000001405.40 Homo sapiens | reverse complement strand
TGCAAATCTGATCATGTCACTCCTCTCCTGAAAATTCTTCAAAAGTTCCAAATCAGTCTGCTTAGCACTGGATGAGCTGGTCCCTAATTAGGTTCAGTCACATGTCCTACTATCACCTTGATTCTATGCTCCAGCCATACATATAATGGATAGTTCTGCAGATGCATTATGATCTCACAGGTCTTCAGACCTTCACACTCACACTGCTCCCTCAGCTTGAAATGCCTCCCTACCTCATTCTTTTATTCATCCTTTCATACAACAAACATTTTTGAGCACCTATTATGTGTTAAGCACTGTTCTAGGTTATAAGTAACCAAAGCAGTAAACAACCATGACAACAACAATAACGAAACAGTGAATGAAACACAAAATAAGCACCTGCCTACATAAGGCATACACTCCCTTGGATAGTTCTTCATGCTATTCAAAACACACTCTGATATGATAGTAACAAAAGGTAGGGTGTGGGCCTTGTTTAAATCTTGTTTCAAGCACACTACCTTTTAAAAAATCATGAAACAACAGAAGAAATTTGAATCTTACTGGATATTTGAAAATATTAAGAAATTGTTATTAATTTCTAGGTGAGAATAGTATTGTAATTATTTGTAAAAATGAGATGATCTTTTATGGATACATACTAAAATATTTATGGATGAAATAATATGAAATAAGATGAAATTGGATTTAAAATAGTCTATTTAGCTGGGCTCTATGGCAAGCAACTGTGGTCTCAGCTACTCGGAGGCTGCGGCAGGAGGATCATTTGATCCCAGAAGTTCAAGTCCAGGCTGGGCAATGTAGCAAGACTCTGTTTCATGTCATCAAAGAAAAGAAAGAAGGGAGACCTGAGCTAACACAGTAGTATGCTCAGCCCCCTTACCATGTGATACCCCCTTGGACCACCTCAGGACTCTGCAGAGTCCCCACCAGCAAGAAGGCTTTCATTAGATGTGACCCCTTGACCTTGAACTTCTCAGGCTCTAGAACTGTAAGAAATAAATTCCTTTAAATTAATTAATTAAAATAAAGTAGCCTATTGAGGGGTTGTAGGGAGTGAGGAAGTATAGATAAAACAAGATTGGTTATGTGAGGATAGCTGTTAAATTATCTCTCTACTTTGTATATGTTTGAAAATTTCCATTACAAAAGGTTTTTAAAAAGGAAGAAAAGAAAAATGTCAAGATGCATTTGGACTCCTGCCCTCCATCAAGTCTTTTCTGGGGTCCCTACTCCCAGGCCCATTCTCTGGAACTCAAGTGGCCTGCTTGCTTTCCCAGTCACTTGACTCATTCCATCATCACATCATTTTGCCACTGTTGGTCTATATCACCCCAATGAGACAGCCAATTAAGGGCAAGGACTGTGTGTGTCTGTCTAATCATTCTTTCATCAGCTACAATTACAATGCCTGGTGAAAAAATAGACACTGTACATCATCTCTGCAAATGAAAAACCAAAGCCTATGAAAATCAGATTTCAATGAAAGCAACATTAATTTCAGCAGAACAGAAGCTTGGTAGCTGCCTTCTCTACTAAGCAAAATGATCTGACAGATGCAATTCCACTGGTTCAACATATATTTGTTGAGTCCCCCACTGTGTGAGAGACACTGTGCTGGGTACCATATGCTCCCTATTAACAACTGTCTTCATTCTTTGGGGTCTCCATGAAAGACCAGGAGAAAACGCAAGGATGGCTATGCACATGTGCGCACACACATAAAATTATTTTCTTATTATTATTCCCTTTAGGATCCAGTTGAAATAAACAACAAAGTTAGTATCCCTGTAGTAATCTAGCATTTGTGTGTTCATTTTACATACCGTATTCATAAATGAAATTAAATGCATTGATATTTTAAATGGTTGCTAGGCCCATTTAAGTTAAATATTAAGTTAACTGAAGATAAAACAACTTTTGTTTCTTCCCTGGGGCTTATTTCCATTTTTAAAAAGTTAAAAGCAAAATATATATGCATATTATTTGTTCTACTAATGATATGAAAGTTGTAAATTCTGACAGGTTTAAGTAAGTAGTAGGTGACATGGGTCTCTACTCACCTTCTCCCAATCCAAAATTAAGTACAGATAAACAAATCAACCTCATGATAAGGTAAGATGAATAATATGCTCTAGTTTTGTGGCATTTTTCTCTTCGAGGCAGATTACGACCTCAATTTTGAGTAAAATTACATTGTCTGTCAAGAAGAATTCACATCAAATAAAGAGTATTTTCAAAGAATATACACTTAACTCACTTTGCTCTTTTACCATAACTTTGAACTTAATTTTATTGGTGCCACTGCAGTGACAATATTTCAGAACCTATGAAAATCTTGCTCAGTGATGACACAGCCCAATAGCTAGAGCTATCCTTCAACACATTTAATTCCATCAATTTTAAGGTAAAGTATACTTTGCAAAAGCTACTAACAATTCATAGAGCATAACGAAGCAGAAGGGAAGATCACTGTTGCAAATTTTCCAGTATAGCCGCACTAGATAGGCCCAATTTTATATGATCTTCACCATCATGGTATTACACAGGGCCTGCACCTTGAAGAAGCCGAAAACGTTCTTATGAAATGAACACGTGAATAAATCTCATAAGTTTGGACTAATGAAACAGGGTCAAATACTAAAAGCCTATAATATACAAGGGCATCCATATATAGTTTCATTTTTCTAAGAGTACATTAAAGCCAAAATATGTATCTTGATCAATGACTTTGGATGACCACGGAGGTCTACAGAAAAAAAAAAAAACTGGGAAAACTCTTTTAATGGTGGCCAAAATAATATTTTGATCAATTACCTGAATGTAAATGACACTTATAAATATTCAACTATGTGTTCAAAATATTTAAGAATATTTAAGGCTAGTAATTTATAGTATTAGTAGTAATTTCCATTATCTATGAAGTATCATATTAAACCAAGATAAGTACCTACCAACTCTAAACTTGCAGCTTTCTCTAATATGGGGCCGGCACCTAGCTGCTGAAGTCAGAAACCTGGCTTGAACCCTATCTTGGACTCCCTTTTTTCCTGGCTCCATTACCCTAATTACCAAAGTATATTGTCCTATGACCCAACAATCTTTTCCTTTTGTCTACCTGGAAACCTCCCACTTCTCCTTCCAATTCACAATTCTGTATAGCTAACCTGACTCTCCCAGACAGACTTAGGCCTTCCTTATGTGTAATATACCTTAGCCATACTTCTGTTGTATCATATTACTATATCATTATATTATAATTATTCAAACCTCTCCTTGCTTGGGAAGGGGCTGTTCAGAACCAATTCGGCTGAATACATTGGTGGAGCAAACCCAAGCCAATATCCACAAGAGGGAGCCATAAATCAGGAATCAGAGGTCAGAAACAAACACTAGCTCCAAGAGATCAGATTAAAAGGGTAAATGACTAGTTAATGGGTGCAGCACACAAGCATGGCACATGTATACATATGTAACTAAACTGCACATTGTGCACATGTACCCTAAAACTTAAAGTATAATAATAATAAAATAAAATAAAAAAAAAATTTTCAGGAAAAAAAAAGAAAGGGTACCTGGAAGGCTGAGCTAAGTAAGATCTGGGAAGTGAGGGGAAGGATAGAAATGCGAGCAGGTTAGCTAAAGGAAAACAGTTCAGAATAATTGCCACAAACACTGATGGGTCTGAAACTCACATTTACTCAAGGGAGTTCTGTTGCATGGAGATTATTAAGCTATTTTAACACAGCCAACACAAGGAAATCAGTCAGGGTGTTCCATTATTTGCCAGATGAATGGTCAGCTATTTCGGAGGGTAGAGGTCTGATCTCTTCTCCCAGGTAAAGTAAAGCCAGGGCCTTGGCTCAGCTGGGATTCCGGAGCTGAAAGTACATAGGAAGTGAGTCTGTGGGGCACGCTGGTTGCTGTAGGTGACAGCAGAGGGGAAGTGACATCTGTGGCTCAGAGAAAGGGTAGAAGGAGCCAAAGAGGCTCCAAGGCCCTCATTCATTTATTCAATAAACATAGAGTAAGGGCTTAATGTGTGCTAAGCACTGTGCCAGAGCCGTGTGACCTCATGGTGAAAGAGAGCCTTCATAAGTGAGAGAGTGTTAGAGAAGTAAAAAACAGAATTTTGAAGATCATGTTCATCAGGGGTTGCTCAGCTAGTGGTTAAGTTCAAGGAGATGACGAAGACAAGAATGGGACCCAAACCAAGGGTAGGAGCAAAGATTCAGTGAACTGATAAGAAGAGCCAGTGGCATTCAGGAAGCCAGCCTGGGAAGATAGGCAGAGGTAGCAGTGCATGCAGCGAAGTGTGTGCTTCAGGTGTCTGAGCCCAAGGGGGAGGGCAGGTGAGGAGCTGAACCTGTTTATAGAGGAAGGAAAGAGTCATGGACACAAGTTCACCTCTAGGCTGTAGCAAGGACACAGTGGGCGATAAAACATTCATTTGTTGAGTAACTTAACAAATGATGAATGAATGAATGAATGAATGAATATGACTGTCCTCCCTTTCACATTGTTTGATTTAATTAGTTTGATCCTTGAAGAGTATTTGAAGCAGTAAGTCTTAGAAACTTCTGTCCTGATTGCCCAGGTTGTATAAAATCTAGCACCTTTTCTTCTTTTTACTGCTCTATTTCCTGTCCTGTTCCTTCTGACTCTCCTTAACATTCTAGAGCTCTTTGAATCTCATGAGTCAAAGAAAGGAAAGGGAGTGAAGCTGAGCCATCAAGTTGCATATTTGGGGCAAATCATAGCAAAAGACTTGCTGCAGAAACAATCGATTGTTTTAGATTTTCATTTGGCTACATTATCCTTCTATCTATACCACAGGTGTAATAAAAACTGTTATTTTACTTTGCCAGTGGAGAGTGTATCCAAGTGGTTTACAGTTCACAGCTAAATAAAACACTATTTGGGTTCTCATTAAAACCTTGTTAGGATGTTATATAATAGAGGAAGAAGCTTAGAGGGACAGCAAGGCCATTTGATGCTTTGGAGCACGTATTGTCTTCCCACTCATTACCTTGCCAACGTGAGTGTGCACAGTTGGTCCTTCCAGCAAGCTCCGGACCTGCCTCTTCACATCCTTGGCTGCATTACTGAGAATCTGTCAGCTCATTCTCCTCACCCCTGGGGGGAATCACACAAGGAAGTTCAGTCAGGGTCAAGGTGCCTTGTTTCTCTTCCTCTTCAATGGATTTACTCTATAATCCTATTTGTCCTGCCAAATGAAAGGAAATCCTCATTGTCTTTTCACACTTCAGCTTCCCTAACGCAAGAGCTATCTTAAGAGTTATGACTAAGTTACCAACTTGCTTCACGTAGGTATTTGTTTTTTCCTGGAATGGTGATGGGATCAAGGCCCAAATCTATGAAACAGTTTGTGAGAATTTTTGGAACTATAAGGCATTTGTCAGGATGGATAGTGGTGGTTTGATGTTGATCTTACTCATTTTCATTTCTGTTATTCTCTGAGAATTTTAACCATGTTATTTGAAACTTCTTCACAAAAATGACTTAATGATAAAAATTTCAGAAGAGCAAAATGTTAATAAGCCCCAGTTCCTAATCTGGTCTGTGTCTAGTAATAGTTAATGCCTCAAAATTTCAGGATTATTAAAAATAAGTCTTCTTAAAGTTGAAATAAACCTTTTTCTGTTTCTTCAGGTAATTGAAAGGATGCCATATGTTATTTTAAATGCAAAAATATTGTATCTCAAAGGATCAAAGGATCCAATTGGATCTCAGAAAAATGCTATCTAGAGAAAAACTACCATTATAAATCATAGAATTATAAAATAATAAGGTGAAAATGGTCTTAAAGGTCAGTGCAATAATTGATAGTCTTGTCCCTTTGCAGATGAGGAAGCTAAGGCTGCTCAAATGACATGATGTGTACATGATGACAAAACTCATGAATTCATGAATTCAAACACGAATCTTCCATTCCCCAAAGTCCAAGCCCATGTACAGAAAATTCTAGGCCACTGCACATCCTCCCTTTTATAATTGCACATTTAGTAATACAAGCTTCATATTAAATTTCCAAGCTCATATCTGGATTGAAGAATATGTCTCCATGCATATCGTTAAACATTTCCAACAGGTTTTTTTTTTAAATTTATTGCATTTGGCCTTTATTCTCAACTCAAAAGCTTGGTATAAGTGCAAGCCTTTTGGAATTTTTTAAAAGATAAAGATTTCCTTTGTGTCTGAGATCTAGATTTTCCTCAGACCTTATTTCAACTTGGTTAGTTCAATTTTCCTCTTTAAAACTCCTTTATTTTCATTTAACTAAGGAAGTGTGTTCATCATGTACCTTCTTACCTCTTGAAATATTTGTTTTGTTTAGCCATAAAAGTCCAAATGCAATTTAACACCTAAAAAGAGAAGAGGTGCAATTGTAAAACTGTAACAATTTTGCTAAATTGAGCAGTACTTCTTTAAAAATCTTAGGAAATATGAATTCTTCTATTATGAGCTATACACTTGTTATCACTGAAAGATAATTACTACTTTTCTAAACTCAGCCAGTGAGGTATATAATCCTAATGTCCTTTCTCCAAGGTAAGAAATGGTCATCTTTCTGGATATTAAAAGACAATAAATACATCAATTAAATTAAAAAGATGAAGATTATTAAAGTGATTTAACAGATTTAAAGATTATTAGAGTTCATTTGGAGCTGACTACAGCTCCAAAGGATGAATATTAAATGAAACTTATTAAATAATTTTTAATTCAAATCAATTTCATATTCTTGAGTTGTTCATCAAAAATAAATGCTGACATGTTATCATCCAACAAGTTCAAAGCACTTCCTGTTTGGTAAAAAAGGAGACCTAATGTTCTGCATAATCACGTTGTCTTGAGAAAAGACTTCGGTTTTACAGAAATTATTCTCTCTCCCATGCCAGGAATTGAAGGAGGGAAAAGAGAAAAAAAAAAGTTCTTGGGTAGAAAAATAATTCTTGTAGTATCATTATTAAATTTGGCTACAAACAGTATTGGTATGCTTTATGTCTAAAATAGTACCATTGGAATTGCTTTAATGGATGAATAATTATTTTACAATGTAACCATGGATTTTATCAAAATACCTCCCTTACGTAAGGCAAAAGTGAGCAAGTTTAAAAACAGTAACTCATGATCACCTGCTACTGTAAAAATCCAGTGATATGCATACCTTTCATTCAGAAGTTAGTAATGCCCTCTAGATCTCTCTTTTTATTCTGCACCTTTGTCAACCAACCCACTTTATGGCTATTAAGTCCCTAAAGCTTCTGAATCCTCTACAGCTCATCTCAAAACAAAAGCTAACCACCTGACATGCAGGGCTGGTTGTATGAAAATACAACAATCCCTCTCCAAGACCATGATAACCTGAGTCAACAGCGAACACATTAGTGAAATACAATTGTTGGCTTATGGAGTAATTCCAGTTAGCCACTGAGCATGAGGTATCTTCTAATTCTTCCATTGTTTAAAGATTAATTCCATTTGTTTGCCAGTAAGCCAAGTGGACATAAAAGATGAAACAATGAAATCATGAGTTGATCTGGTCCACCTAAAATAACTCCCACTACTTAAAAAAAACTTAAATTAATTCAGTTTTTGCTTTAATAAAACATATTTAAATGGAAACTTCGAGCTATAATAAGCAGTATTCTTCAAACTATAAAAAAGACTAAAATTCTTTATATCAAAGTTTTTCACTGATGTATAGGACAGTCTAGATTTCCTGAAAGAAAACAAATAGACCTCTATAAAGGTAACATAAATGTATACCACCACTACTGCCACCAAAGTAAAAAATACCATACTTTTTTTCAAAACAAAATAGTTAAAGACTAGGATAGCTGATCTAGAAGGAACCCTAGAAGGTATCTCACCTTGCCCCCTGACATTTGATGGAGAAAAAACTGGGAAGCAGATAGTTCACTGATTTAAGTTAGACACAGGTCAGTGGCTAAGCATGTAACTAAACTATAAGTAGACTAATAGTTGCATGAATCTCTTCTCTGCTCTTTTTATGTAGGACAGAGTTCACTGTCATCCTCTTGCCTTCCCTTTTAGGATCCTCTCTGCTATCCACTTGTCACAAGTGCCTAATCTATGCTCTATTCCTAAAGAGTCTGACTTTCCCAGTTAACTATTAAGTTTGGAAAATAATCTCTTAAACTAGAATGTAGTCTTAAACCAAAATGTAACTATGGCATATTAACAGATGTTGTCTAACAACAGTAGTCTCTAGTCAAATTGGTTTGGAAAATTCTAGGTTAAGCAAAGGTTTCTTTTCTGTAGAATAGTTTCAGAACTTTAATATGCTGATGTGCATTGTGAGTCTTCAGGTATGCATATCTCAACCTTATTAGATTATGGCAACTTTTTTTTACAAAGCAGATATCATAGATAGTATAATAAAGTGAAACACAATTTGAAAAACACTGTGACACAGCTAATTCCTAATAAGCTTATCTTGGATGTATACTTTCCAAAAATATAGGTACTTTTAGTAATTATTAATAAAATGAATTGTCATTTTGATCATTTAAAATACATAGTAGAAAATTAAACTGACCTCTATTTATACTAGCTAATGATAAGAAGAGATCCAGAGCCTTTTAAAATTGACTTTTGGAAGATTAAAAAGGCTTTAAGATGTGAAGAAATTAAAACTTAAGATGGCACTTCATATACTGTGAAATGAGATGCTGAGGGTGGATGACAGGAGAACTCTACCAGTTAACATCAGATTACTTCACGTCGGTATCTGCTCCCTTGTGAATAGAGGTACCATTTATTCAGCACTTGCTGCATGCTACACTGTGCTAAGCACTTTATTTACACCAGCTCTAGAAGGGTAGAGCCTATTACAATTCAAACCCAAGCTGGTCAAGTTTCAAAGCCTATGCTATTAATCTGACTATGACACACCTTCCCCAGCCTATCCCAGTTAGCAAAATTCAAATAATTCACATGAACTCTGCTTTTTCTTCCATACTGCAACTCCTGAAAGTGCCAAGATGTAAGCCAGAATTCTGCCCATATTTCAGAACCATTTCCCTCTCCTTCAAGCTGCCTGCTTGTCATTTTGTGTAAGTTTTATGATTTCATTTTAGAACAGCACTTCCCATATATTCTCAGGGTTTATTACTATCATTCCTTACCAAGGTGTGCTTAGGCAGAAGAACGGATACACTCACCAGCACATTGTTCATTTTTAGGTACTTAGTTTTAAATAAAATGTGCAGTTTAAATAAGAATGAAGCAGAAAGTTAAGTAGAGAATAAGAATTTTTATCATTTCGCTCAATGAATGCCTACCATTTAAAAATTTTTAATGCAATCTAATTCTAAATGCATCTACTCAGCACAATGAGAAGAGACAGAGAGAAATAAGTGGACCCTTCTTAAAGTGTTTACCATCTTTCTACAAATCCTACCTGACATGCCTCTAGGAATATTTTCTCAGACAACAGAAACTGAGATGCAATGAATTCAGTTACTTTACATAGAAAAATTGTTGCCTAACATCCTATATAGTTTGAGTGAGTTAACTTTCATAGCCCATTATTTTCACTTATTAAAAGAGAGATAAAAGAAACTTCTTTCATGTTCTGTTCATTCCTCTGTTTTTCAATTTCTCTACAGGAATTTTTGTCCACATCATGCATGAAAGACACAGTAGAGAACAGAGCTATCGTCCAACTGCATCAGATCTTACTGACTGTTGCTTCAATTAACTAAAACTTTCAGAAAAACAATATCTGTCCTCAGGAACCTAAGCAGTTGCCTCCACTTCTCCCATTTATTTTGTAGGAGTCTATACATAATTCCATAATCTTTAAAACTGAGACCCCTTGAGATTGCGTTTTTAAAGTAATGTTGAAAAAGATTCTACTGCTGAACATTTATTTTCGGTCTCTAATGAAGGGAGAGAGTAACCTTCATTCCTGAAGAGTTGTGACAATGTAAACATAAAACATTTATCTAGAATTTGGTCAGAGGAGCATATATGAAAGTCACCAGAATGTGCTAAATCATGACCATGACCATAACAATAGAAACGGGAGAAAAAAAGTTGTCAGAAGCTTAGAGCCATGTTTTCATAGGGGTGGAGGGGCACAGAGAGGATGTATTGCTCTTCGTCTATCTTGAGCAAATGTTTGCTTTGGTCTATTTTTACTTCCTCTCCCACTTCCTACTAAACATGTCGCACTAGAGTCAGTCATGTCAATATTTAAAGGGACTCATTTAGCAGCTGCATTGTCTCCACTTCCCGTCATCACGGAACACTAATGTTAGCTGTTGTCTACTTTCAAAATAAGTTTTAAACATAGTTATCTCCATCCTTATGCCCTCTTCCCACAATTGACTTCCACATTTTCAAATCAAACCACTTCTAATAATAGTTCATCAGTTCTGAAGTTCTACTTTGTGTTTCATATTCAGTGTTCCAAAGAAGCTGAAGGAAAGATACAAAATTAATGTATTAATTCAATTTACTGACCTTCTGAATCAGATCTCTCCAGTAGCAAACCCTGGGCATCTGCATTTTCTTATTTTTTAAATAATTGCCTTTCCTTATTTAAAACTTTTATAATCAGGGGCCGTGCGCAATGGCTCATGCCTGTAATCCCAGCACTTTGGGAGGTGGAGGGAGGTGGATCACCTGATGTCAGGAGTTTGCGACCAGACTGGCCAACATGGTGAAACGTGAAACTCTGTCTCTACTAAAAAATACAGAAATTAGCCAGGTGTAATGACAGGTGCCTGTAATCTCAGCTACTTGGGAGGCTGAAGCAGGAGAATCGCTTGAACCCAGGAAGCAGAGGTTGCGGTGAGCTGAGATTGCGCTATTGCACTCCAGCCTGGGTGACAGGAGCAAAACTGTATCAAAAAAATTAAAATTGAAATTAAAACATTTATTAATCAGATTTAAATATTTTGAACTGACTGTTTTTATTTCTTAGTGTTCTTTGTGTTTTTTTTTTTTTTTTTTGGCCTTTTGTTCTGCTTTCCAGGAAATGCCTCAATTTTGTCTTCCAAACTTTTCACTGAATTTCTTATTTTGCCATCATATTTTTAATTCCCAATGTCTCTTTTCTATTCTCCTAATGTTTATTTCCTCATAGTACCCTGTACTTATTTTCCTCCATAGATACATTATTTTCTCTACAAGGGTGTTGAAATTATAGTTCCTTTGACGTTTTCTCCTTTTCCTTGCATTATCCGTAATGAAATTTGAAAATTTCAGTGGAGAGTTTCTTTGTTCCTTGTTTGTCCTGAGGAAGGAAGAAAGTGGAAGCTTTCTTGAAATATATGATGGACAGTGCAATAAAAACTCTAATTCTCCCCCACTTCCTGTAGTCAACCCATTGTCATGTGACTTTGCAGTTCCCCTAATTGGAGGCAGAATCTGTCTCCCGAACCCTTGAATCTGAGCCAGTCTTAGGACTTCCTTTGGCTAATACAACTTAGCAAACATGACGATGTGCCAATTCTGAACCTAGGCCTCAAGAAACTTTGTATATTTCTGCTTATGCTCTCTCTTGCATCTCTGTCATCCCCATTAACCATGCCCAGGCTAGTCAGCCAGAGGACAAGGAACACATAGAGCAGAGCCAAGTTGCCCCAGTTATTCCAGCTAAGTCTACTCTAGACCAGCCAAGGCCAGCCAACCTCCAGACATAAGAGCAACTCCAGCCAAGATCAAGCAAAGTCCACAGCAGACCAGCCTAGACAAGGGAATAATAAATGTTTCTTAAGTATGTCCTTGAGATTTTGTGGTTGTTGGTTACACAGTGTTATCAGGGCAATAGACAACTGATATAGAGAAGTGGTCAGTAGCCAGATGTAGAGGATCATGTATGATGCATCAAGAAATTTAAATTTATGCTTACAAAAAAAAAAAACACACAACAACAACCCTGAAGTGTCTTAAAAGGGGAAGAACATAGGCTGGGCATGGTGGCTCACACCTCTAATACCAACACATTGGGAGGCCGAGGCGGGCAGATCACCTGAGGTCGGGAGTTTAAGACCAGCCTGGCCAACATGGTGAAACTCCGTCTCTACTAAAAATACAAAAATTAGCCAGGCATGGTGGTGTGTGCCTGTAATCCCAGCTACTTGGGAGGCTAAGGCAGGAGAATCACTTGACAGAATGAGACTCTGTCTCAAAAAAAAAAGAGGGATATGGGGAAGAACGTGATTTGATTTGCATTTAGGAAAAGCAATTCTGGCTACAATGTGTTTGTTCAGTTGAAAGTAGAATCTCTTATAATAGTCCAGGTAAGAGATGAGTGCCTCAATGAGGGCAACAGCAGTGAAGATGGTAACGAGAAGACGAATACCAGAAATGCCAAAAAGGTAAATATTATAGCATATAGTAACCGGTTGGTTGTGGAAGAAGGTAAGGAAAGATTCTGGTATGTTTCCCAGATACGGGGTTTTGAGGCCATGAAATGAACTGGAACTAAATTCAGGGAGAAGATATATTAAGCTCAGTTTTGCTATACTGAATTTGAATCCTTATGGGACATTCAAGTAGATGTTGGGCAGCCCATTTTATGTATAGCTCTGAAGGTCAGGGTACAGCTCAATTTTAAATAGCAATATTAATTTAGGAAACTACAGTGATGGATAGTAAATACAGCCATGAGTTTGGATGAGAACACTCAGAAGGAGGGTATATATTGAGAAGATGGCCAAAGACAGAGGATGGGGGATAAACAATGTTTAAGATGCTTGTTGAGAATGGAGGCACAGCAAAGTGGGGGGAGGTGGGGTGGGGAATCTCAAAGAGGAACACTTTAAAAAGAGAATGATCCGTGGTATCTATTTGGTGTGAACTGTATCTCTCCCGTTAGCAATGCCCATCTAAAATTTTAAAAGGATTTAAAGATCAAGAACTCAACATTGCAATGACCTCTACAGAATTATTTTTCAAACGAAATAAATAATTTTGTATGCATTGGCTCCTATGAATCTGACACCAAAGTGCTAAGTTAAAATATTTCTGGGCCAGACACAGTGGCTCATGCCTGTAATCCCAGCACTTTGGGAGGCCAAGGAGGGTGGATCATTTGAGGTCAGGACTTTGAGACCAACCTTGCCAACACAGTGAAACTTGTCTCTACTAAAAATATAAAAAATTAGCCAGGCATGGTGGTGCATGCCTGTACTCCCAGCTACTCAGGAGGCTGAGAGAGAAGAATCACTTGAACCTAGGAGGTGGAGATTGCAGGGAGCCAAGATCGTGTCACTGCACTCCAGCCTGGGTGACAGAGCGAGACTCCATCTCAAAAATAAATAAATAAAATAAAATATTTCTAAAAATATTTTAAAGAATCACGTCAAAAACTGTAGAATCACCTTTTAAGTCTCATGAAATTTAAGAGAGAGAAGAAGAATTATCCTTAGCATCCATAATGTGTTCTTTTCTTTCTATTACTAATTCCAGGTAACTTTCCCTAGCAAGCACTAGAACAATGGTCAGCAAACATACAGGTCGTCTCTTTCTAGTACAGGGCACTCTGATTGTCTGATTTTTTAAAAATAACTTCTCATTCACATCAGCTGATTTAAAAACGAGCTAGGAAGCATTTAGGCCAAATGTGCAGGGACTTCAAGGAGCCTACATGTTTTGATCTTCTGTGACGTACCTCCATTTTAATCTTGCTATTTTACAAGACAGATTAAACATAGATAAATTAGTCTGCTGTGTTAAGGTTGTTTTGTTCTTATTAATGTATACTCCTGAGAAGCTTATTTTATGAGCTTCCCCTTATAAATGAGGGTGAAAGTAACACTCCCAGAATGTAAGGCAATCCATCCAATATTTAAAAGTCATTCACACTGAGGATTTCTTGAACGATGCGGTTATACAGCTGTCACTGCACTCTAAGTTGTGCAGATTTTACCAAAGCAGTAAATTTCAGAGAACAGTGGGCTTTACAAGCAATAGACTAAGTAAGGTTCATTTTAGGTCTCCCACCTTAAGGAGGAAGGAGACTATAGCAGCTGCTCTAACCACCGGAGGGGGCCATTTCATCAAATTCAAGCCTGCCTATATTTAAGCAAAACTATTTTTTGTTATCGGCAGGCTTCCCATCTAGAAGTGAGAAGTGCTTGCTTACCATTTTCAAATGAGAAGAGCTAGGACCCTCCCTTGGTTGGGGCTTGTATTGAGAGGGTGCCTCAAACCCTTGATCACCCCGTTAGGACTGAAATAGTACTAGCAGGACCACAGGGGATGCACTTGTCCACAAGGAAATAAGTGCTACTTGCTTTCGTATGGACAAACTAACACATTGCTAATCTGCAATAGTAAGCACATTCCTTATGGAAAACGTACCCTTAAAAAAGCTCACGAAACTTGGGGGCAGGTGAAGAGGGATTCCTTTTTAAATTTACTCACATTATTTCACCAGCATTTCTCCAATATCCTTGGAGATATTGGTCGTTAAGAACAGGAGCTTTTTAGTCATATAATGGCTCTGCCTGTTTCAGCAGCCAAGAACAAAAGCCCAACTCAAAGTAGTTTTGTAAAGATAGAGACATATATTGGATCACATAGCTGAAAGGTCCAGATACATACTCTCTTCAGGAACAGCCAGCTTTGGAATTTAATATATTGAGGATGCTATTGCCTTGTCTCCATCTCCTGGCTCTGCTTTCTTGTGTGTTGACTTCAATATCTGGCAGATTTTCTTCTCATGGTACCAGGTGGGCTCAGCCCGCTCCAGATTTAAGTGGCTCTTATACCCAGGGACCTCTTTTCCAATAGCTCCAGCAAAAGTGCAGGCCTCAGTATGGCTCAGACCACTTTAGGACATGTGCCCACCTAAGCCAGGCCTGCGTCCTGTGCTGTCCCATGACTACCACCACTATAAAGCCTGGAGAGAGAGAAGGGTAAAACTGTGAATGCATGGAGTTGACTGCGTAGAGTGAGAATGAGAAACGGCTGGTCTCCTAAAAGCAAAACAAACAAACAAACAAAAAAAGACATTATTTCTGAAAGAAGGAAGGGAGGCTAGACATACAGAAAAGCTTTATGTCTCTTACAGTTTGTAAAGCACTTACCACAGTGCTTGGAACATAAAAAGAACTTTAAAAAATAGTAGCTAAAAGAATTAATAAAGTAATTATAATGATGATGATGTTTTTGAGAACCAAATAGATGATGATATACTCTGAAGATAAGATCATTGCCACTTATTTCAGTATAGAACACACCGTTCTTTGTACAACTTATTAACTGATCTATTTAACTGCAAACTTGGATATAAATGATGTCAGTGCTATATGATTATTATTAAGAAATAATGAAAAGGCAAAGAAAGCATATTCAGTGACTCAAAAAAAATTGGCATTTGAATGCAGATAATTTTGTGTTCTAGCAAATGGCTGGTTGAGTGGGGACCTGAGGAACCTGTTTTGTCTTCCTGCTTCAGTTATTAGGATGTGCCATTGGGTAAATTTGTATCTCATTTGCCTTTGAGGAGAAATCCCTGTTTCAGGCAGAAAGCCCATCAAAATGACTGCCAGCCACTGGGCATTTTTTCAGGGGGTCTTCCCAGACTGAAGTCGATCCCTCCACCTCTCTGGCTATCCAAAGCACTCCGCAATATAAGGCCATCTCTGCTTTGCATACTGCTCCAACTAGGGTTGACCTCCTCTATCTCACAGCCTATAAAGTCACTGACAAAACCAGAAAACTTACTTTAGGGAATTTTGTTTCTATAGCACAATGTTGACCCTTCATCTTGCTCTTTTGTATTGTCCCTGTATATTTTTCATGGTGTACCTTATTCTCCACATCTACCCCCTTGCAGTTTGTGTTTGGTGATTCTGAAGTACCTATGCATCTTTTAAATATGCTATACTTTATCTTCTCTTTGCAAAACCACTTCTTGAATATGGAATGGGATCCTACACTCTGCCAGCCTTTTCCCCACTTTCAATCTTCACCTGATTACATTCTACTTATCCTACTTAGCTTAGATGTCCTCTCCTAAGTCTTCCATGACCCTAAAAGTTAGGACAGGTGCTCCTATACTTTTCCAGAGCCTCTCCAGCAGTTCAGGTATACATTTTCTCTGTGAATATTACCAATGCAAAATCTTCAATAAGGCTTTGATCTACTTAGCAAGTCAAAAATAGATCACAGGAGAAAAATTAGAGAACAATTTAATCCTAAATGTCATTGTACTCACTAAAAGTACATGAGGAGTTCAACAAAAGAGAAAATTAAGGAAGGTTTTAGGGAATGGTGTGTTTTATTCATCACAGTATACTTAGCCCTGGGCTCAGTGCCTAGAACATAGAGATAACACATATCAATACCCAGACAATCAAATAGAATAATGTGGACTTGGAAAAATGCCCAAGGGATGGAGGGAAAAATAGAGGGAGGAATGGAGGGCAGGGACATCTAGTGCAATGCTGAGTGTGAACTGCATTTGAACACACAGGTCTGAGTAGATTATTATTGTATCTGGTTTACATTTGTTATAAAACTAGATGAATTATACCATCTTTGCTCTAAAGCAGAGGTAAAAAACACCTTTTAAAAAGAGGATAGGAAAAAATCAACCACAAAGTGGTATATGCGCCTGTAGTCCCAGCTACTCCAGAAGCTGAGGAGGGAGGATATCGTGAGCCCAGGAGTTCAAGACGAGCCTGGACAAAATAGCAAGACCCAGTCTCTTAAAAAAAAAAAGCGTGTGGAGGTTTACAGCAAAGAGGATAAGGGAAGTAAGAATGATAAGCCACATCTACAGAGTAGTATGTTTTATAGTCTTACTCCTAGAATGTCTAAGAACAAATATCTGAAATTGTCTGCAATGGATTCTGTTTTAAAGAAGAATGGTTTTTAATCAAGTCAAACACTTTAAACTTTGATCGGGAACTGAGAAATCACATAACTCTTATCCTAAACAGCATCTCTCAGACAAATCTGGGATGTATTTCCTATGAAACAGAAAACAATACATTAGCGGTGTGAACCATAATAGAGTTCTGGGTGATCTATTGTTTATCAAGCCATCAGTCTGTATACATCGCTTGTAATGAAATAATCACTCCACAGGAACTTAATACAGTCTGGGAATGATCTTTGAGTGTTGTACCCAGGGAACCTAATAATGAGACTTGAAGCAACTGTGTAAGAGAAACAGAAAAACAACCCAAGCTGTTATCTCTTATTGAGTCTATTTTCTCATAGAGAATCCTGAGAAAACAAAGGACATTTTGTTTGAAGTGTTTTTGCCTTCTTCAAGTCTGAGAAAAAAAATTTTTTTCCTTTGAAGTACTTTCAAATTAAACATTGTGAAGCCTATTTCTTCCTTTACATCTGAAATATTTACTAATTCTGAAATCAGAAAATTTCGCCTTTCAAAATATATTTAATTAGCATCTACTTGTTCATGAACTAGACATTGTGGGGAATACAAGAGAAATAAAATTACAACAGCATCAACTGAGAACTGGTTAAAAATGCAAGTTATTAGGGTCCACCCAGACCTATGAATCAGAATCTGCATTTTAGCAAGATCCCAGGTGATTTGTATGTGCTTTGTAATTTGAGAAGCAATATTATAACTGCATATAGGGTTTTGTTTTTGTTTTTTAATACTGTTACCTGGATCCCAGTCCCAGAAATTTTTATTTAATTTTCATGGGGGTGCAGCCCAGCCATCATGACTCTTCTAAAGTGCAACAGAGTATAAGAACAGCTGCCCTTCAGTCAGTGAAGCTACCCAGCCATTTTGATCCTTGCAGCCTAGGCTCTTGCTAAAATGTGGATTCGGAGTCATTTGATCTGTGCTGGATCCTGAGAATTCGCTTTTCTAACAATGGTGTGATTTTATTACTCTTATATCTTCCACAATGCCTAGCTCCAGGCACAATTAGATGCTCAGTAAATAATTTTTCAAGGCCTACCTACTTTTTTCCTCAATATAATTATATGTTATGGCTACTTTTCACACTTTTTTTTTTTAATGACAGCACAAACTCAAACCTCTAAGGAATCACAAGAAGGAAAATTAATGTTAACATAAATGGTAGCAGGCTGTTACGTGTTGAATTGTGTCCCCTCAAAAGATATGTTGAAGTCCTAACCCCTGGAACCTCAGAATGTGATCTTATTTGAAAATAAATGTAATTGCAGATATAATTAGTTAAGTTAAGATGAGGTCATATTGGAGCAGCGTGGGCCCTTAATCCAAATTACATTTGGATTTCCTTACAAGAAGAGGAGAAGAAACACAGAGACACACACACAGGGCCATGTAACAACAAAGGCAAAGATGGTACTGATGCATCTACAGTCCAAGGAACGTCAGAGGCTAAGGAACCACAAGAAGCTAAGAAGAAGCAAAGAAAGATTCTTCCCTAGAGCCTTCAGAGGAAGCCTGGCCCTGTCAATACCTTGATTTCAAACCGCTAGCCTCAAGAACTGTGAGGGAATAAATTTCGGTTGTTTTAAGCCATGCTGTTTGTAATAATTTGTTATGACAGCCCTAGACAGCCTATCTTCTTATACTTTTACATAGGCTAGGGTTTTTTGGGGGCAGGTTTGTTTTATTTTGATTCATTTTTGCATCCAGGACATGCAGGCCACTGCCTATATATAAAACTAAATTGGTCTAACCACAGCTACCTCAAATTTGGTGCATGGTTTACTATTACAGATAGCAAGGAAAGGAATTATAAAGTAAAAGAAGAAACAAATGAATGAAAAGAGTTCTGAAAAATGAATGAAGGAAAAGAGGGAAACTTAAAACCCCAGAAAAGAAAAGAAAATATACAGACACATAGTTTATTATGAATAATCTCAAATTAGAGGGAAGGCACAGGAGTTTGCAGAAATGAAGTTATTTCTTAACAGAAATACATCACTGTGATCATACTGATCTAAATTTAAATCCCAGTAACATATGTGTGATTTTAAAGAAGTCATATAATGTTCATGAATCTGTAAAATGGAAACACTACTGATAATACTTGCCTACAAAGGTTGGTGTGAGGATTATAAAGAGCTCAGCAACCTGTCAGAAACATTCAGTATATGGTAACTATAATTATTAGAAGACGGCCGGGCACAGTGGCTCACGCCTGTAATTCCAGCACCTTGGGAGGCCAAGGAGGGTGGATCCCCTGAGGTCAGAAGTTTGAGACCAGCCTGGCCAACATAGTGAAACTCCGTCTCTACTGAAAATACAAAAAATTAGCTGGACATGGTGGCTGGTGCCTGTAATCCCAGCTGCTCGGGATGCTGAGGTAGGAGAATCACTTGAACCCAGGAGGTGGAGCTTGCGGTGAGCCGAGATCGCGCCACTGCACTTCAGCCTGGGCAACAGAGCGAGACTCCGCCTCGAAAAAGAAGAAAAGAAAGAAAGGAAGGAAGGAAAGAAAGAAGAAAGAAAGGAAGGAAGGAAGGAAGGAAGGAAGGAAGGAAGGAAGGAAGGAAGGAAGGAAGGAAGGAAGGAAGAAAGAAAGAGCAGCAAACACCACAGAGAAGAGGAGCCCTCGAGCTACCCCAGCCTGCGCCATTGCAGTCAAGCCCAGGACACAGAGCACAAGGGAGTAGCGCCTGGCGGGAGGGAAAGGCTTTCTTTTTCTTTTTGTTTTTTTTTTGAGAAGGAGTCTCGCTCTGTCGCCCAGGCATGTTCTTGGCTCACTGCAAGCTCTGCCTCCCGGGTTCACGCCATTCTCCCGCCTCAGCCTCCTGAGTAGCTGGGACTACAGGCGCCCGCCACCACGCTCGGCTAATTTTTTGTATTTTTAGTAGAGACGGGGTTTCACCGTGTTAGCCAGGATGGTCTCGATCTCCTGACCTCGTGATCCGCCCACCTCGGCCTCCCAAAGTGCTGGGATTACAGGCGTGAGCCACCGCGCCCAGCCAGGAAAGGCTTTTAAAAGCCGGGACAGGGTCCGTGTACAGTGGAACTGAAAACAAACTTCCTTTCACAATTTTCCCATGGGACTTCAGCAACTAAAACGTATTTCCTTTCAGTATATTAAAAACATGTCTGATCTTATTATTTCTAATATATATGTCTGAGCAAAGACCACAATTGAAGAATATTTTATTACGTACATATCTTTGTACAGAAAGAAAGAAAAGAAAAAGTGAAAGTTTACTTTTAACCTTCATTGTTAAATTTCAAGATAAGAATAAAATAAATCCAAATTTATATTTTCAAACCAAGCAAATTCACTACAATCCAGTATTTTCATTTGTTAAATGTTTATTGGACAAGAAGAGAAAAATAATAATGTTTATTCTACCAGGCATGAAAATGAGAAGTTTATTTCCAGTAAGAATACAATGCCTGTTCCTCTAGGGTGTGTGTGTGTGTTTGTGTGTGTGTGTGTGTGTCAGAACTCCTAAACTACTACTAAGCAGACAAATAACTATATAATTTATTTAACCTAGAAAATTATTGTAGAATAATTTAATTTCCTGGGTAACTGGAAGAATATAGTCTATTTACTAGATTAGGGAGGAATTTACTTTCTTGAACCATTGGCTCATATCTGTATTACTACATTCTTTCAGTTTTATTATGATTTATCTCTTTACAGGGCTGAGTATCCGTAAGATCCTGAAGAACAGGAAGTACCTCATTGATGGTTATATTCTCAGAACCCTCTAGCCTCTCAATAAATTTTTGTTGAATGAACTATGTATAAAACCATAAAGTGAAGCTCAGGAAAACTGCAAGACAAGGGACCTGGTATACTGGACATTTATCAATTTTTTTTTTATTTCCAATCATCTAAACCTTCTTCATATGTTTAAAGAATGTCCCTCTGTATAAAGCTAGATACTCACCTCTCTGAGCCCCTTGTAACCTGATCTCCCAATAAGCCACAACTTTCAAATTGGGATATCATGACACTGACCAGCAGAGACACGGGGGAATCCATCATGTTGGTGGCAGAGGCAGACTTGACTGACACATTCATTCTCCAAGAGGGGCAGTGCCACCAGCATCATCTACCCCACAGGGTCCAGAGGTCTGTGAGAGTTACACCAGTGACCTCACAGGACTGGTTGTGAAATGTGGTGCTGTCTGTGGCTCAGCAATCCCTTCTTTCTGATCCTGGCTCTCTAGCCTTCCTGGAGATGTGAGCTGTGAGTTGCCAATCTTTTTTTCTGCCTAAATCACCCAAGATTTATTTCTGTACCCATAACTAGAATCCTTCTGAGTCCAGTTGGGCTTCACCACTTTTCAATAGAATGGCAGGCTCACCTAAGTACTATGAGATTTTAAAAGATTATTTCTTTATAAACATCACCATTTTTGACTATATGTCTAAACTTCCTTCTGGCTCTAAAATTATTTGATTCCATTAGGGCAGTTTCAGTAAAGCATATAAATACCATGTTAATCCAATAGCCGCGTTTCTCATTCATTTGTCAACAAACATGTATGTGTGCCTTCCAGATGAAAAGATCAGACACCACGATTTTTACAGTGCTGCTGTTGTCTTTTAAGAACTTTGGTCAGTAGAGAAGTTCTGGATTTTTTGTGATATAAATTATATTAAGGCCAACCCTGAGAATTGTAAAACATCCATAGACCATCAGCTGACTGCATCACATATACCACTAAATGTGTTACTGAGTTGAGGGAGAAAGATGTTCTTCGAACTTAACTTAATAATGATCTGTAGAGCTATTTGCTAAAGTGCCCTCAAGGGAGTTAAGTGTACCAGAGTGTATTCCCTTCTTATTCATGACTGTCACATGAATGAGAAGTCGTTCTTGTCTAAGAGAGAAAGACACTGGCAATTCAGTTGCACAATTGCCAAGAGTTTTTTGTTTTTTGTTTGTTTGTTTGTTTAGCATTTATGTAAAAGGAAATTTCAAAGAAAGCCAAATTACACAGGGCTGGTTACCTGTCATCAAGCTGGCTATGGTTATTTTGTTTCCCTAGACTTTATGCTAACAAAGGGCTCATGTACTTTGACGCTTATTGAGAAAAGGTGCTAATTTTCTTTTCACTTACACATAAGCTATTTCTTCTAGATGAGATTTAAACACGAGATTAGCATAAAATCCTTGGCCTTTCTTCTATTTCTATGATCTAGAAGCATTCAACGGATCTGATAAGAGCACTTTCTTTGCAATTTGACATTGAGAGAGCACCTTGGAAGGGTTATTATGAAGACCAAGCTGTTCTCTAAGTTTCATGCAGAGTGAGTTATATTCTGTGACCTGTAATTAATTCATAGGAGCGCCAAGAAGACAGAATCATATATTCTAAATAGCATATTTCCCAAACTTTTTTTACATGTAGAGAAGAATATTATTCATTTAAAAAATGTACTTCCCCCTTTTTTCATTTTTGCTCTAAAAAGGGTTAGGAGGAAGTATGTGAACTACAAAATGCTAGTCTATTCAGATTCTCATCCCCAGATTCTAAAGAATAACAAAACAACCAGCTTTGCATGACAGTCAATGACCAGTTAGTGGACATCAAGCAATGTTATGCCCATTTTGTTTCAGCACTAGCTTTAGTGATATGAAGAATAACCTTTACAATTAGGATTTAAAGCCCTCGAAAATCTTGAGTTCAAGCCATAAATGCCTGTAGGAAGAAGAGCCTGGCAGTTGCTACAGCCTGTCTCCTCTGGAGCCCTCTGGGAGTGCAGAAGCAGAGGGACAGAAGAAGAGACAGAAGGGATGGTGATAGGCCCTGTCATTCCCTGTTATCTCCAGTGGTCAGCACCCAAAGACATTTTGTTGTTGTTGTTGTTGTTGTTGTTGTTGTTATTTTGAGTCAGAGTCTCACTCTGTCGCCCAGACTGGAGATCACCGGCATGATCTCGGCTCACTGCAACCTCCGGCTCCCAGGCTCAAGCAGTTCTCCTGCCTCAGCCTCCCAAGTAGATGGGATTACAAGCATGTGCCACCATGCCTGGCTAATTTTTGTATTTTCAGTAGAGACAGGGTTTCACCATATTGGCCAGGCTGGTCTCGAACTCCTGACCTCAGGTGATTGGCCCGCCTCAGCTTCCCAAAGTGTTGGGATTACAGGCATGAGCCACCACGCCCGGCCCAAAGACTTTTTAAATTGACCTTTTTTTCTGCCTGAGTAAAGGCAGAAATCGAACACAGAGAATCTGAACACAGGTTAAAAAAAAAGGTTCTGAATGAATCGAACACAGGTTAAAAGAAAAGGAAGGGGGGAATATGCAAGGGTGACTTTATTATCCATCTGAAAAGTTGGAGTACAGAAAATACAGAATGGACAGCACTCAACAGCTGAACAGAAAAAAATAGAAATAAATGAAATAATCTTAGGTAGGGTGCAGTGGCTCATGCGTGTAATCCCAACACTTTGAGAGGCCAAGGCAGGAAGATCACCTGAGCCCGGGAGTTCGAGACTAGCCTGTGCAATGTAGCGACACCCCATCTCTACACAAATTTTTTAAATTATGTAAAAAAAAGAAAGAAAGAAAGAAATAATCTTAGGCCTGGGAGACTTATTTCTGCACCAAGCAGGAACCTATGGAATTACTAGATACTTGATTACTTAGGCCAATAACCCTGACTACATTTACCATTTATTTGGGTAGAAGCTGTGTCAATCTTCTATGATCCTGCATTAATCATTAGCTATGTCTGTCACTCCCGACACCACCCACCACTCTTAGGTTGCACCCTCTGCATTGTTGCCCATGTTTCTCCCCTATATTGATAATCTAACCCGGTATTTCTTCAGAACAGATGTAGGCCATTATTAAATGAATGGCCTACAAGTTTAGTCTATGGGTATGAAAAATACCTGGTTTTATTTTATGGCATCAATTTGTGATGTTAGAATCATCTTCAACAACAATCATTTTTTGAACATCATAAGACTTCAAAATGCAATAGAAAGAATGAGGGGTCTGGATCTGATGGATTTAGGCTTGAATTCCAGCCTCATCATTAATCAATTTATCTGCACCTCTTTTGTTTTTTTCTGTCCAGGGATGTTGTGGGCAGCCTCTAAGATAGTTCCCAATGCATACCTTCTGGTATTCATGCCCTTGTGTAATTCCCTACCACTGTGGGTTGGTTGGACCTAGTGCATTCCTTCTAATGAATAGAATATGGCAAAAGTGATGAGCTATCACTTGCAAGCTTAGGTCACATAAGTAATGTAACTTCCATCTAGTGCTGCCTCTCTCTCTCTCTCTCTCTCTCTCTCTCTCTCTCTCTCACACACACACACACACACACACACACACACACACACACACTGATGTCTCTGACCAATAGCCAGTAAGGACCTGAGGCCTGCCAACAGCCACATAAGATGGAAATACAATTTACTGAAAGCTTGGAAGTGGACCTTCCCTAGTTGAGCCTTGAGATGGCTGCAGCATCAGCCCACATCTTCGGTGCAGCTTTGTGGGAGACCTTGAAGCAGAGGACCCAGCTAAGCAGGGCCTGCATTTCTGACCCACAGAAGCTGTGAGTTTTAAGAATGTGTGTTGTTTAAGCTGCTAAATTGGAAACTGGGGAGTGGGTGGGTGTTACATAGCAGAAAATAACTTAATACAAATAAAAATAATAACACTTCTATTCCAAGATTGTTGTGAGGGTTGGAGATGATGTATGTATACCTTATGTCTGTCACAGAGCCTCTCCTTAAGAAATGGTAGCTCTCACTATTACCAAGCCTCCTCTATGTGGGGGGGGCTACTCTCTGCATCACTTACATATCTATATTTTTTAATACAGCATAGGTTAGAGAAAAAATGGTCACCTTCAACCTCAAATTAAAAGAAATTTGAAAAGAAGGGAATTGTTTTGTGTGGAAAGGCCAACTGGCAGATATTTGAAAAGTGTAGACTCCATTGAGGCAATAAAGGAAGAAAACAGGGTTGTATGGAAAATGGGAATGTCCAATTGGACTAGTATTTAATGCCTTAAGAATAAGATCCTTGGGGCCAGCCAAGGTGGCTCACACCTGTAATCCCAGCACTTTGGAAGGCCAAGGCGGGCGGATCACGAGGTCAGGAGTTCGAGACCAGACTGTCAACATGGTGAAACCCTGTCTCTACTAAAAATACAAAAATTAGCTGGGCACGGTGGTGGGTGCCTTTAATCCTAGCTACTCGGGAGGCTGAGGCAGGAGAATTGCTTGAACCCTGGAGGCGGGGGTTGCAAGGAGCCAAGATCACGCCACTGCATTCCAGCCTGGGTGACAGCAAGACTCCGTCTTAAAAATAAATAAATAAATAAGACCCTCAAACATCCTTCACTGACTTAACAACCTTTCAGGGCATGGTCATTTTCAAACCGTTAATACAGTAGTTGAAAATATTAATGATAAAAGAGTTAATTATAATTTACTTGAGGTAGTAAAAAATTAAATTTACAAAAGGAAAACTGAAGGAGAGATAGTAAAAATGTGAAAAGGGCTACTCAGAAAGGCAGTATAACATCAGGAAAACATCCCTGAATTTGGAATGAGAAGTTCTGGGATTTGCTTTGCTTTCATTCTTTCAAAAAAGATGTATTGAGTACCTACTGTATGCCAAGCCCTTTTCTAACTCTCTAGTTTCTGGGCCTATCATTGGAAGTCTGTTTTGTTGTGGACAAAACAGACTTAATTGTTGCCTTCATGGAGCTAGTGGAACATGAAACAAAAGCATATTTAATTACAATTATAGTAAGTACCACAAGGAAAATTACAGGGTGTAATTAGAAAATGACAGGAGGTACTTACACTGAATTGGAGGGTTTAAGGAAAGCCTGTCTGAGGAAGTGACATTTAAACTGAAGGATGGACATGAGTTAGCCAGGCAACTGGGTGACGAAGAGCAGCGGGGAGGAATATTCAATCAGAGAAAACAGCATGGCAAAGGCTTTAAAGCCGAAAGAAGCTTGGCACGTTTGAGGAACAGAGAGGTTCATGGGTTAGAACATGGTAGACAGAATGAGGGTGGAGAGTTGAAGAAGTAAACCACACAGACTTTTGAGCATATCAGGCTGTGAGTTATTGTGGCATGGAAGGATTTAAAGTATAACGATGAGATTTATTTTTAGTAAAAGAGCACTCTGGTTGCAGTACAGTAACAATTAAAGGTAAAAAATAAGGAAAACTGCAGAAGAACCTGGTGTCTGGAACTACAGTGGACACAGTGGAGATGGAAAGAAGGAGATGGAGTAGAGATATTATTGTAAAGATAGAATCCAAATGACTTGGTGATAGATTGGATATGGGAAGTAAGAGAGAAGGAAAGGGTAGTCAGGGAATGCTCCCAGGTTTGTGGCATAAGAAACTGAGTAGGAAGTGCTACTTAATAGATGACTAAAAGTTGGAGCAGAAAGAAATTGAGGAGGAGGACAGAGAAAGAGAAAATTTTCCATTTTGTACATTAAATTTGTGATGTCTGCAGGACATTCAGGTAAACACTAGAAAGCTGCTGAGTATGTGTACCTAGAAAGAAAAGTCTGGCTCCTTTTCAGTTGGAAACTTTGGACAAATCACTTATAACTCTAAGCCTCCATTTCATTATCTGCAAAATGAAACCCATCATCTGTCTGCCTCAATAGGATAGAGGGAAAGACAGATGAGGCAGCATCTATGAATGGCCTCTCTAAACTATAATTCAGTATAGACATGCAAGAGCACTTAGTCACAGATAACTTTTCACGTTGATAAAGGAAATGTGAAATAAGGGCATACATTAAGTTTCAGCATTTCCATATGCCCCAATTGGCAAATATACATTCATTTATGGAAGGAAGGGAGGAAGGAAGGAAGGAAGGAAGGAAGGAAGGAAGGAAGGAAGGAGAAAGAGAGAGAGAAAGAGAGAGAGGGATGGAGAGAGAAAAAAGAAAAGAAAAGCAAGGCAGGAAGGAAGGGATGGAGGGAGTGAGGGAGGGAGGAAGGGGAGGGTAGGGGAGGAGAGGAGAGGGGTGGGGAGGGGAGAAGGGGGAAGAGGGGAAAGGGAGAAGGGAAAAGGGGAGAGGGAGAAGAAAGAAAGGCGGTAGGCAGGAGAAATAAGCAAAAAAAAAGTATTAGCAATTTTTATGCTCACATATTTGTTAAAGGTTGACTTTTAAGAAAAAAAGGAAAATTGCTGGGCATGGTGGCACGTGCCTGTAATCTCAGTACTTTAAGAGACCAAGGAGGGAGAATCACTTAAGCCCAAGAGTTCAAGACCAGCCTGGACAACATAGTGAGACCTCTTCTCTACAAAAAATCAAAAAATGAGGGGGGAGGATCACTTGAGCCCACGAGGTCGAGGCTGCAATGAGCCGTGAGTGCACACCACTACCCCCCAGCCTGACCGAGAGTGAGACCCTGCCTCAAAAAAAAAAAACAAACACAAACAAACAAACAAACAAAAACAAAGTAAAATCATGACTCATATGCAAACATAAACGTGTCAAAGATTTATTTTAGCCCATTAATGAGGAACTAGGAAGGCAAAAACAGTAACAGCAATACCCAGTTCAATGGAGAATCCAAAGAACAGACAAATATATGTATATAGGTGTCCAGAAAAAGGTTAACACAGCAGTCTTGGGTTACTCAAACCCTGCACATTCAAAAAAAAAAGGACTGGTCCTTGGCTGACATCCAGGAGGTGACCTCTGAGCTCTCTTGAAATCTCCTGCCTGCCAGGAGTGTTTTTGTCGTCTAAGTTGTTGAACCGCACTGCATCAGTTGTTGAACCACACTGACCTCTGGGGGCTGGAGACTGAGTAGTTAATGTTGTCCCATAGCCGCTGCATGCCTTTGTCACTAACCCCAATAAAAATCCTTGGACACCAAGGCTCAGATGAGATTCATAGGATGCAAAAATTTACATGTGTGTTACATTGTTGCTAAGATAATTAAGTGCTGTTCATGCAACACCTTTGGGAGAAGCCAACTGGAAGCTTGTGTCCTGTTTCTCCTAGACTCTGCCCTACCCACCTTTTCCTTTTGCTGACTCTAATCTGTAGTCTTTCACTCTAATAAACCACAAACATGAGTATGACAGCTTTTTCTGAGTCCTGTGAGTCCTTTTAGTGCATGAAGCCTGAGGGTGGTCTTGCAGACTCCTGATCCGTGAGGCCATCAGAAATGCTGAAAATGAATTTACATCTATTAAAGATGCAAATGAGATGCCTTTTACAGGATGGATGAAGTTCATTTTCATTTCCATTGGACAAAATAATTTGCATTACTATCAGTTTTTTTTTTCAATTTACAGAGTTGTAAAATGGATCCAAAACAATGAAAGATATAGACCTTTATAGACTCAAATAACTCTGGAAAGATATAGACCTTTATAGACACAAATAACCCTTTTTGCTCATTTTAAAGACTTTCATAATTTTTTCTGACACATTTATTTAACCAATATTTCTTAAGGAAGTCCCTGGTCCAGGCAATGAGGACTCTCTCGAGGCTTAAATTAAGTAGAGTAGTTATTTTTTAAAGGTGATTCTCATTGTAATGTATTTGATAAAATCAATGCCATTTGATTTTCCAGTTTATAAACCATACATTTCCTAATGTAAAATAAAAATCTATTCACTGTATTTTTCTTGAAAAGGAGTCAGTTTTAGGTTATTTGAAAAAGAAACGTGTTTCTAAAAGAGTAGCATATATATATATATACACGCACACATATATATACACATATATACACACATATATACACATATATACACACATATATACACATATATACACACATATATACACATATATACACACATATATATACACATATATACACATATATATACACATATATATACACACATATATACACATATATATACATATATACACACATATATATACACATCTATATATACACACACATATATATATACACACACGCACATATATACATATTCAAAACTGAAGAGACTTAGAGACTAAATAGACTTAAGGCTTTACCTTTATTATCAAACAATTATTGAGGTTTAGGAAACTTCTTTAATGGTATAACTTAGAGAAAGTCCTGAATAGAACAAATCATGCTTAATGGAGATGCCACAGTAGGGCATACTAACAAGACTACCAGAGTTTAAGAGACAAGGGAGGGAAGACAGAATCAAAATGTGAAAGCGACTGCAGAAATGAGAGCAAGCCTGCAAATTGCAGGATCATGAACTGTGGGGGCAACACTTGAAGCCTGCTGTTCAATGCTCCCCATGTCAATCCACTTTAAAAACTAACAAAATTATGGCACTTATCTGTCTACCCCAAAGGTTGACCATTACCTACAGGATAAATTTCTTCACTTGATATACAAAGTTTGTCCCAAACCTCATTTTGTGTCATTACTTAATAAATGTCTTCTACTCCAGCTACCAATGGTTCCCAACTTGGAATTACCTGTGGAACTTTTAAAAATTTACTGCCCAGGCCTTCCTTTGGATTGATCAAATCAAGACCTCTAGGAGGTGCAGCCCAGGCATCAGTGTCCTTTTGCAGCTCTCCAGATAATTCCAGTGGGCAGCAAAAGTTGAACACTTCTGAACTAACAGTTTTGAAATCCACATTTTGGAGTGCCAAGAAAATGTAGCTCTACTGATTCTTCTCTCTGAAAAAGAAATGGTAGAGTACAACTAACTTAGGTTAAATTGTTCCTTTTGTAATATTATTTCCAAATTATTTAAAAGGCTTTGCACATAGGATTAAAAGTTAAGAACATAGTTTAACCTCTCATTCAACAACAAATTCCTTTTCAATCAAGTCACATTCTTTCTATCTCCATACCCACATGGACTCGGTAGAGTAGAAATGACAACATTGCTATGCGTCACTCTTGTTTACTTCGGTTCCTATCAGCAAGTACTATACAGAGTTATCAGGTGTCTGTTAAATTTAGGCTTAGGAAAATGACTGCTATTTCCCTGACAAAGACTGGCTAGGAAAATAACAAGGGAAACTGATATTAAGACATGGCATTTAAAATAGTGTTCATGGACATTTTCTTCCTCACATTCTTTATCATTTTTTTAAATAGTACATAGGTGCCCCTAAACCTTCTTTAAATTTTTTTGAGGAAAAAAAAAGGAAAGAGGAGAGAAAGGAAAGAAGGAAAGAAGGAAAGGGAAGGGAAGGGAAGAGAAAAGGATAGGGGTAAGAAGGGAGGAAGGAAAGAAGGGAGGGAAGGAGGGAGGGAGGAGAGAAAGAAAGGAAAGAAAGGAAGGAAAGAAGAAAAGGAGTGAGGGCAAAAAAGAAGGAAGGAAGGAAAAATGGAAGGAATGCGTTGCAATAATTCAAGTGTTAATCTTGGATTTTACTGTGTAAATTATTGCAAAGAAATAGGCCTTGGGCTGGGCACAGTGGCTCATGCCTGTAATCCCAGCAATTTGGGAGGCTGAGGCAGCCTGATCACTTGAGGTCAGGAGTTTAAGACCAGCCTGGCCAACATGGTAAAACCCTGTCTCTACAAAAAATACAAAAAATTAACTGAGTGTGGTGGTGCACACCTGTAACCCCAGCTACCCAGGGGGCTGAGGCAGGAGAAGCACGTGAACCCAGGAGGTGGAGGTTACAGTGAGCTGAGATCATGCCACTGCACTCCAGCCTGGGTAACAGAATAAGACTCTGTTCTGTCTTGAAAGAGGAAGGGAAGGGATGGGAAGGGAAGGGACGGGAAGTGACAGGAAGGGAAGGGAAGGGAAAGGACAGGAAAGGAAGGGAAGGGAAGGGAAGGGAATGGAAGGGAAAGGAAGGGAAGGGAAGGCAAAAAAAAAGAAGAAATAAGTCTTGGGCAGTCTCACAGGAAAGGCTCTCTAGTTTTTTGGCTATCTCCACCTTGATATCTGTCCCTTTTGCTTTTTTTTCCTCTTAAATAACCTTCCTACCTGAGGTCTTCCATAAAATGTTTCATAGGGCAGATAAATTGCAAAAATCATATTATCTATTAGCATGAAGAAATACAGGGTACATATTATGTATAAGTAAGTAAAACAATTGACTAATTTAATTTATTCAAGGCTGAGCTCTTGCAATCTACTTCTACCCTAAGCCAATTTAAGTACCTTCTTTTAGTTCTACTACTGCTAAAGTACTAAGTGTTTATCTAGTCTCTCCAGAATAAACATTGAATTTCAGGCCCAATTTGTACCCTAGTCATCTCAACATGTTCTTCCAGAGGTATTCCTCTCAGTTAGTTCTTTTCCTTTGGGGGTTTGCAGCTCACAGACATTTTTCCTAAACTACTTCAATGGTAGATTTTTAAAAAATATATGTTCTTTTCAGCCTTCAGTAATAGGGTTGAGTCAAATGGCTTCTGCCTTTTCCCATAACACTCCCATCTTTAAACAAAATATCCTACTTGAAGATTTCTGCTTTCACAAACTTTCCATTTGTTCTTTCTCAATCAACTCCTAGATTTTGTCCTGAGGGCCTCTTCATGATTTCAAGTTGTATGTGACAGTAGCTTTATCAAAGCCCACATTTATTAGGTCGGTGCAAAAGTAATTGTGCCTTGTTGCCATTGAAATAGCAAACACCGCAATTACTTTTGCACCAACCTACTACATCAGAAGAGGATCCTGCCTTCTTTGACAATTCTCCCACACTGTGGAGATAGGAATTTTTATTACAGTCTTAAGACGAGTAGAATTGTCTGAATAATTTGAAGGACATAAAATAAAAAATCTAGTGTTGATTTTTAAATTTTTTTAAATGATGGGGAAGAGGATAGAAGAAAGCTTTAATAACATTGGATAAAAGAAAACAGAGGTAAAAAAAGTATTAAAATGAGGGTGATGTCCTTTTGAGATTAGAAAACCTTGGAACAAGAGGAAGAAATCAACTATAGTTCCAATAAGCTTTTTCTTTAAAAAAGCATTATACGGTAGGCAATGTATGAGATTCAAATGGAATAAAACAGACACATAGAATTATTTGTGATTTTTTTTTTTAAAAAAAGCTATTTTAACAAGTAGCTTAAGAGTACTTCAACTTCACCAATGGAGGCAAGTGAGAAGAAAGGCAACCATAAAAGTCAAGCTCAATTCTGCCATCTACTGCCTGGCAGCAAAACCATGCGTGGGGAGACCTGAGTCTATTCCAGTACCCAAGGTCATTGCTAGGGCACTGACACCCATTTAGAGAAAGATGGGATGAAAGCCACTGAGATTATATCCCAGAGATGCAGCAAGGTTTCCATCAACAAATACAGACACTGGGTTTGATTTAACCCTGTTAATAATTAGACCAACTCAGGGTTTCTAATATGGTGTATGTATAACTAATTATAGTCCACCCCTTTTTAAAACTTCAACACTATTGAAGTAAAAGCTCAATTTATATAGCCCTTTTGAATACTCAACAACATTATGGAAACACAGCTGCCCCTATTTTAGTTTTCTCAGTATCTCTTGGACCTGAAAGTGACAAACTATGTCCTCTTTATTCATTCTTCAAGGGAAGATGGATCTTTAGATGTCAGAGTAGGAGGTGAGGAACAGTGTTCCAGCGTTTCTGTGCTCTATTCTTCTTAAACAGTTTTGTCAATAAAGGACAAAATAATAGAGAACATAATTTGAAAGACTGTGTGGTTTTGCCTCCCTAAAAAAAGAAATGAATTTCATATTAAACTATTCCTCAAGTCATATTTTGACAACAAAACTCAGAGCATATTTTATTTGTAGTCAACAATAATAGCTCGTGTTCATATATAAGAAAAAAAAAGGGATCACATTTTCTATCTGTAGATTCCTAGTTCTGATAGAAGGAACATGAGAAACTTCAGCCTAGTAATTCTGCAATGATGATGTGTTGATAATTTCTTGTCAGTTGCCTAAACTTTAAAGTAAAAAACAAGCATTTTGAAAAGATTGATTCAACTTAGGAAGCCGTGGTGGGAAAATCACTTGAGCTCAAGTGTTCAAGACCAGCCTGGGCAACATAGGTAAGACCTATCTATAAAAAAAGAAAAAAAAAATGAAAATAAAAGATTGATTGGAAAAGTAGTGATTATAAGCCCAGGCTTGTAGTCAGCAAAGTATGACTTCTGATTTCTGGCTCTATTGCTTATGAATTGTTCAACCTTGTCAAGCCTTAGTTTCCTTCTCTGTAAAAACCTCCCCTATAGGATTACTATAAGAATTATAAGATCACATATGTAAAGAATTTAGAATAGGGCCAGCACAAAACAAACCTTCAATAAATAATAATCATTATTGGTATTTTTATAATCAGTTAGACTTCTACTTTTGATAGTTATAACCATAACCCCATACTTTTCACAATACTTTATGACATCCAAAAAATGCTTATATTAGCTCATTTAATTTTGTTTAATCCTCACAACCACCTCTGAAACAAATAGATATGATTATATTCCTCATTTTATAGTAGAAGAATTGAGAATCAAAGAAGTGACTTGCCAAAGAGTTCACAGCTGGTGAGGAAGCTTTAAACAGACCCTGGCACTCACATCTGAGTCTTGCTATGCTGCTACAGCTGCCCTGAAGAGAAAAGATCTGACTATTGAAATGTCTAATCTTGCTCAAACTGGTCTTGGTGAGAAACATTCTAAGCCTGATTACTTTTATCCTGCCCTTCCTATGTCCTGAGGCAGAAGGTTTCAGTTACTAAGAACTTTTTCAGTCTCTAAGAAATAATTGGCTCATAATAACCCATTATCCAAGTGTGTAAATCAGTTTATGAATCCACACCTACAACAAGGTTGGTTTACAAGCATTGAACAAACACTTGGATGCCTCACTCGTAAAATTCCAAATGGCACCTGGCTGTGATTATGCTACTTTCTCTGAAGACTCCTATCTACAGAAGGAAGTCCAAAGTTCAAACCTCATGGCCCTTCACTATGTCCACCTCTTTCTCTAGCCACTCTCCCCTGACCACTCCACAGAAGTACCGTGTTCTCGCAGCATCATGCCTTCCTCCTTCCAAACTCCACCTCCCTAACATGTGATTCAAAGCTCTGCTCAGACATCTGTCCTCTCTAAGGCTCACATTTACTAATCTCCATTTCGAGATGAATTGCTTTCTCATCCACGCTCCCATGGCAGCTAAAGGAAATAAAAATATTTCAGCCCCAAATATATTTCTTTGACATATTTTGGGATGGCTGTCAGGGGGTCAGTAAACAGAACTGGTCCTGCAAAGCTGTCTTTTGTGGGGGAAATTTGCATCATTAGCAATCTGCATTAACGCAACCAGGCCTTCCCTAATCCAGATCTAGGAAAGATTAACCAAGAGTCTGACACATTTAAATATCCGAAAGAAACATTGTCCATTTATCCTCTCTGAGGGCTGCTACCTGTGAGGTTTTATCTCCATACCAAGACCACTTTTAATAGCCAAGCCTCCCCTTCTCTCCCTCCCATAACCTGTCTCTTCACTAAAATCTGATTTACCACCATAACCTGGTTTTGGCCATGCTCCAAGCTCCTGTTCTTTCTGTAATCTCAAGGTGATATACAAGCTCCTGTACCCCACTGGGGAGTTGAATCTTCATTCTGAAGGCTCCTGTGTCATGGGAAACTATGATCAAATAAACTATGATCAAGTAAGTTTGGTCAGTTTCTTTTAGTATCCTTTTTCTCCTATTAATCTGCCTTTTGTGAACTGAATTTTTCACGGAACCTTCTGAGAGTGAAGGGGAAGCTTTCCCTTCACCCCTACACAATTTGCCACATTCTTCTTTACTACACTTATATTTCATCATCAATGTTTGTTTGTGCATCTGGATTCTCCACTGGACTGAGGACTCCTTGAGGGCAAAAATCCTAACCACTTAACTTTAGAGCTCCAGCAGCTGGAATGCAAGCATTTGATCTGTGAACTATGCTGGGCTTACAAGCTGCAGGTGGCATGCTAAAATTAATTAATATTCCTCCTCGGACATCTAAGTAAAACAGATCTTTGCAAATCTCCGTGTGTCTACTCAGAGAGTCCCACGAAACTGCCAAGCGCCAATCCAAAGGTAGATGCATGATCAAGAGAGAGAGATGATGCCACACAAGGATAGGGAACTGAAGTGTGAAAGAACTGATTCACTTATAAATTACATAAACCAAAAATAAAATTCTAAGACCCCTCAACCATCTGGATGGACTTCCCCCTCAGTTAGTGAGAGGTGACAACGTGCTAGCAGCCCTCACTTGCTCTCAGCACCTCCTCGGCCTCAGCGTCCGCTCTGGCCATGCTGAGGAGCCCTTCAGCCTACCGCTGCACTGTGGGAGCCCCTCTCTGGGCTGGCCAAGGCCGGAGCTGGCTCCCACTGCTTGCTGGGAGGTGTGGAGGGAGAGGCATGGAAGGGAACCGGAGCTGCACACAGCACTCGCGGGCCAGCGCAAGTTCGGGGTGGGCGCGGGCCCGGCAGGCCCCGCACTCGGAGTGGCTGGCCGGCGCCACCGGCCCTGGGCAGTGAGGGGATTAGCTCCCGGGCCAGCAGCTGCGGAGGGGGCACTGGGTCCCCCAGCACTGCCAGCCCGCCTGCCCCACACTTGAATTCTCGCCGGGCCTCAGCCACCTCCCCGCGGGGCAGGGCTTGGGACCTGCAGCCCGCCATGCCCGAGCCCCCCCACAGTGAGCTCCCTGGCGACCTGAGCCTCCCCGACGGGCACTGCCCCCTGCTGCGTAGCACCCAGGCCCATCGACCACCCAAGAGCTGAGGAGTGCAGGCATGTGGCGCGGGACTGGCGGGCAGCTCCACCCGCAGTCCTGGTATGGGATCCACTAGGCGAAGCCAGCTGGGCTCCTGAGTTGGGTGGGGACTTAGAGAACTTTTATGTCTAGCTGGAGGATTGTATATGCACCAATCAGCACTCTGTATCTAGCTAATCTGGTGGGGACTTGGAGAACTTTTATGTCTAGCTAAAGTATGTAAATACACCAATCAGCACTCTGTATCTAGCTCAAGGTTTGTAAATGCACCAATCAGCACTCTGTGTCTAGCCAGATTGTAAATGTACCAATCAGCACCCTGTCAAAACAGACCAATCAGCTCTCTGTAAAACGGACCAATCAGCTCTCTGTAAAATGGGCCAATCAGCAGAATGTGGATGGGGCCAGATAAGGGAATAAAAGCAGGCTGCCAGAGCCAGCAGGGGCAACCTGCTGGGGTCTCCTTCCACACTGTGGAAGCTTTGTTCTTTTGCTCTTTACAATAAATCTTGCTGCTGCTGACTCCTTGGGTCCGCACTGCCTTTATGAGCTGTAACACTCACGGTGAAGGTCTGCAGCTTCACTCCTGAAGCCAGTAAGACCATGAACCCACCAGGAGGGATGAACAACTCTGGACACACCACCTTTAAGAGCTGTAACACTCACTGCAAAGGTCTGCAGCTTCACTCCTGAGGCCAGTGAGACCATGAACCCACTGGGAGGAATGAACAACTCCAGATGGGAGGAATGAACAACTCCGGACAGGAGGAACGAACAACTCCAGACGTGCCGTCTTAAGAGCTGTAACACTCACCGCAAAGGTCTGCAGCTTCACTCCTGAAGCCAGCGAGACCATGAACCTACCAGAAGGAAGAAACTCCGAGCACGTCCAAACATGAGATGGAACAAACTCCAGACACACCATCTTTAAGAACTGTAACACTCACCGCAAGGGTCTGCGGCTTCATTCTTGAAGTCAGTGAGACCAAGAACCCACCAATTCCGGACACATTAGGACTTTTAAAACTTAACCTGAGAGACTGTTTCAGGCCATGACAGGAAGTGGGGGTTGAACAGGCTTCATTATACCTCTCTGGCATTAACATCAACACAGATTTTAAGTCTGATAAGAAGCATTTTACAATCTATTTTCTCTGATGCTTGCTAGCTAAAAGCTTCATCTGTATAGTAAAACTTTGGTCTCTACGACATGTTATCACAACCCAGACATTCCTTTCTGTTGATCCCAGGTCTTTAAACAAACTCAACCAATTGTCAACCAGAAAATGTTTAAATTTCCCTACAGCCTGGAAGCCCCTATTTTGAATGGCCCTGCCTTTGTAGACCAAACCAATGTATTTCTTAAATGTATTTGATTGATGTCTCATGCCTCCCTAAAATGTATAAAACCAAGCTGCACCCCAGCCACCTTGGGCCCATGTTCTCAGGACCTCCCGGGCCATGGTCACTCACATTTGGCTCAGAATAAATCTCTTCAAATATTTTACAGAGTTTAATTCTTTCCATTGACAATTGCATTACAAAAAAGCAAAATCTTTCCATTCAAGTTTTCAGCAAGTAATAATAAAAATTTAAATAAATCAGGGTGTACAGTATATTTAATATTTTGGTTTTTTTATCATTGTACAGCTTTGAGTGAACTAAAGGAATTAACAAATTTATCTTGTTTGTAAGTCTCAAACATTTGTTGGTGTCTCTGTTAAATACATTTTTGGACAATCATTTTAAATATTACAGTCGTGTGGGTAGTGTAGTTCCAGAATAATTTAGAAAACATGGTATCTAGATTTACAGTATGGACCTCTCAGGTAAGATAATAAAGAAGGAAAATCTTTTTAGATGCCCCTGTTTTTAGGAGCTTAGAATTCTCTCTTTTACTTTCTTCCGACCATGATGAATGGGTAGCTTTTTTTTTATTTTTGTTTAAACCTCTTAATTTTTTGTAAACTTTAAATCTGTTATTCAGCACCTCAAAATTTAAAGTATATATGCTCCTATCTTTGAAACTGCAAGTCTTTTTCTCCATTTTTTTTTTGAATTACTGTTAACCTAGGCTCTCACCAATCTATTTGGCATTTACCCACATATTTTGCTTAAGATTTAATTTTAAAAGTTCTGTAAACTTACTGTATCTCCAAAATAACAGCACATCCATAGCTGTCTATTGAGTCAGTTGTATTTCTAAAAGAAACATGTTATTTCATGGCAGCTTCCTTGGTAAATTTCTGGTAGTCACTACGAAATGAAAGGAAGTGGAAAAGGTCGGGGACGGTTAGAAAATAGTTGGGGAGAAGAATCACAGGTTATCACATACTTGAAAGGAATAATCCTGAAGACTCAAAACTTCACAACTCTTTTTGTCCCTGTGCTCCCTAGTGAAAACAGTCTGTGTTAGTCAGAAGCAAGCTCACAAAGCTCATGAATAACTTGCATTCTTATGCTGGAGAACAGCCAATTACCCTGGGACCAAATTCCTGTTTGCTTTGTAGTGAATGTGGGAGACAAGCTGCCTGCCAGTAGCTGTTAAGGCAGTAAAAACACAGCCAGAGGCTATCACAAGGAGGAAATCACAGAGCAAGTTAATTTGTGAACTTCAAGGACAGAGATTAAATATTGTGCAATGAAGCTAATATGGTGGGCTTGTCTGAAAGTAGAATAATCTGGTCTGAAAAGCACCCTTATGAGTTAGCATGATATTTGCATAATGAGTGACACATCATCGTTTCCAGACTTGCTTTTTTTAATGATTGATATCCTTTAAAATTTTCTTCCAAAAAGATTATTGATTCTCTGTTTGGGAAATGCAAGTTTGTTTTACTCTTGATTCTCTCATTCTGATATATCTGGTACAGAGAGTATTAAAGCCAAAAGGACAGTATTTGGGGTAAAATTTGGAAAATCCCAGACCCAATTTGGAAACCAAGATAGCTCATTATACCCTGTTGTTTTATAGAGCCATGTTCAGTGTTTTGAGTACTTGAGGCTGCTCTGAGATCTCTTATTTGCATTCAGAACTTGAGTAGTTTTTGACCAAGGGGAAAAAATGAGAACTGCCAAATCTATTAGCTTGCCCATAACCCCAAATAGTATACTATAGTGTCATTCTCCACAGAGAAAACAGCTTACCGTTTAAATCCTAGAAATTACACACTGACTACTAGGTCACTGTAACCTCACTATGATACCCTTAGGTCACATGTTGTGAGTTTTACAGTTGTTTGGACATAGAGTTTATAAAAAATTAAAATAAAATAAACCTTTGGATAGAGTATAACGTTGGGGCTCAGAAAGCAATAACCCAAACACTGGTGCTATGACAGGCTAAGAGGCCTTAGACGCAGCCCGCAAATCAAGGTCCCTCTAACTTTGCCTTGTCCCTCAGCCCTTGCCTCAAGCACAGGGAGGGACTCTCTCTGGAATTTCCTTATCTGACCAAGAAATCTTCTTTCTAAGAGAAATACAATTGTTTTCCTCCCTTCTCTGAAATCTCATTATCTGTCTCAGAAAAGAAGACTAAGGAATGCAACTACAGGGAGATGGACTTTTTCACAACATAATTCCAGCCTCTAGGGCTCATTCAAATTCCAAAGAGAATCATTTACAAGTTCACTGTTCTCCCTAATAATCATCTGTGGTCCCTCAAAGGAATTGCCTACATTCCCCATCTCTCCCCTCCCCTATGGAAGAGAGTATATAAGCTTCTGTACCACATTGGGTTATTAGGCAATCTTCCTCCTTAAGTTCCCCAGTGCTAACCATGTTAAAACAAACTTTCGTATGCCTTTTCTCCTACTTATCTGTCTTTTGTCAGTTGATTATTAGTGATCCCTTGGAGGGTGAAGGGGAAGTTTTCCCTTGGTTCCTACAATAAGATGGACCAATATTACACTGATTTTTGATGCCATAGCTAATCATATTATATTGAGGTTTGTAAAACTAATGAAGCCTACCAAGATTAGGATTATGGGAGGGCCCTGAATTCTGCTAAAATGTAGATGCTGTTTCTACAATCCCTTACTGCTCAGGAGTTATGTGGCCAGAGGTCATAAGATTCATTGCTTCCCCAGCTGCACCTATAGGTAACATCACTATTGTAGAACTAAGATTGCTCTTTTGAGATGTTTTTCAGACTTACCCAACCTGGACTAGTCACTGATGACTCATCTGTCCTGTGGGCCCCCACCCACCCCACAACCACCCATCCAGAGACAGACTCAATGCACAAAGACTATTTTCCACACCTCTATAATTGCATCCCCAGCCAATCAGCAGTACCCATTCCCTAGTTCTCTTCCCACCAAACTATGCTTGCAAAACCCTAACCTCTGAACGTTCAGGAAGACTGATTTGAGTGATAACTCCAGTTCTTCTGCATAGCTGGCCTTGTGCTAATTAATTAATTATATACCATAGTACCATGGTCTCAGTAAACTGGTTTTGTTTGTGCAGTGGGCAAGAAGAACAGTCAGGCAACTACAGTTGTAATGCCATGGAAAATTGAAATACATCTTGCACATGTCCCATGATGGAAGAACTTAGAGATGTTTTTCAATGTTTATCAGAGAACATGAAATAGCCTGCCAGGCCCAGAATCCAGAAGTTTTATCCACTAGCACTTTAAATCTAGTCAAATGGAACATAGTCACTGGTGCTGAGAGACCTAGGTGCTCAGGGAAAATGAGCACAGCAATATACTAATAGAAGACAAATATTCAACCAACTATAAAGCTTAAGGCTTTAGAAAGACACAATCTTTTTATGGTTTCATTGTTGGCATCATTTTGCATTCAGATTTATCAATTAAAATATGTGTCATTTTTATGCTTTAGTTCAAATGTTGTTTCCCTTCTTTTTTTTTATTTTATTATTACTATACTTTAAGTTTTAGGGTACATGTGCACAACATGCAGGTTTGTTACATATGTATACATGTGCCATGTTGGTGTGCTGCACCCATTAACTCGTCATTTAGCATTAGGTATATCTCCTAATGCTATCCCTCCCCCCCTCCCCCCACCCCACAACAGTCCCCGGTGTATGATGTTCCCCTTCCTGTGTCCATGTGTTCTCATTGTTGAATTCCCACCTATGACTGAGAAAACGCAGTGTTTGGTTTTTTGTCCTTGCAATAGTTTGCTGAGAATGATGGTTTCCAGCTTCATCCATGTCCCTGCAAAGGACATGAACTCATCACTTCTTATGGCTGCATAGTATTCCATGGTGTATATGTGCCACATTTTCTTAATCCAGTCTATCATTGTTGGACATTTGGGTCAGTTCCAAGTCTTTGCTATTGTGAATAGTGCTGCAGTAAACATACATGTGCATGTGTCTTTATAGCAGCATGATTTATAATCCTTTGGGTATATACCCAGTAATGGAATGGCTGGGTCAAATGGTATTTCTAGTTCTAGATCCCTGAGGAATCACTACACTGATTTCCACAATGGTTGAACTAGTTTACAGTCCCACCAACAGTGTAAAAGTGTTCTTATTTCTCCACATCCTCTCCAGTACCTGTTGTTTCCTGACTTTTTAATGACCGCCATTCTAACTGGTGTGAGATGGTATCTCACTGTGGTTTTGATTTGCATTTCTCTGATGGCCAGTGATGATGAGCATTTTTTCATGTGTTTTTTGACTGCATAAATGTCTTCTTTTGAGAAGTGTCTGTTTATATCCCTTGCCCACTTTTTGATGGGGTTGTTTGTTTCTTGTAAATTTGTTTGAGTTCATTGTAGATTCTGGATATTAGCCCTTTGTCAGATGAGTAGATTGCAAAAATTTTCTCCCATTCTGTAGGTTGCCTGTTCACTCTGATGGTAGTTTCTTTTGCTGTGCAGAAGCTCTTTAGTTTAATTAGATCCCATTTGTTAATTTTGGCTTTTGTTGCCATTGCTTTTGGTATTTTAGACATGAAGTCCTTGCCCATGACTATGTCCTGAATAGTATTGCCTGGGTTTTCTTCCAGGGTTTTTATGGTTTTAGGACTAACATGTAAGTCTTTAATCCATCTTGCATTAATTTTTGTATAAGGTATAAGGAAGGGATCCAGTTTCAGCTTTCTACATATGGCTAGCCAGTTTTCCCAGCACCATTTATTAAATAGGGACTCCTTTCCCCATTGCTTGCTTTTGTCAGGTTTGTCAAAGATCAGATGGTTGTAGATATGCGGCATTATTTCTGAGGCCTCTGTTCTGTTCCATTGGTCTGTATCTCTGTTTTGGTACGAGTACCATGCTGTTTTGGTTACTGTAGCCTTGTAGTATAGTTTGAAGTCAGGTAGTGTGATGCCTCCAGCTTTGTTCTTTTGGCTTAGGATTGACTTGTCAATGTGGGCGGGCTCTTTTTTGGTTCCATATGAACTTAAAGTGGTTTTCTTCCAATTCTGTGAAGAAAGTCATTGGTAGCTTGATGGGGATGGCATTGAATCTATAAATTACCTTGGCCAGTACCTTGGCCATTTTCACGATATTGATTCTTCCTACCCATGAGCATGGAATGTTCTTCCACTTGTTTGTATCCTCTTTTATTTCATTGAGCAGTGGTTTGTAGTTCTCCTTGAAGAGGTCCTTCATGTCCCTTGTAAGTTGGATTCCTAGGTATTTTATTCTCTTTGAAGCAATTGTGAATGGGAGTTCACTCATGATTTGGCTCTCTGTTTGTCTGTTATTGGTGTATAAGAATGCTTGTGATTTTTGCACATTGATTTTGTAACCTGAGACATTGCTGAAGTTGCTTATCAGCTTAAGGAGATTTTGGGCTGAGACGATGGGGTTTTCTAGATATACAATCATGTCATCTGCAAACAGGGACAATTTGACTTCCTCTTTTCCTAACTGAACGCCCTTTATTTCCTTCTCCTGCCTGATTGCCCTGGCCAGAACTTCCAACACTATGTTGAATAGGAGTGGTGAGAGAGGGCATCCCTGTTTTGTGCCACATTTCAAAGGGAATGCTTCCAGTTTTTGTCCATTCAATATGATACGGGCTGTGGGTTTGTCGTAGATAGCTCTTATTATTTTGAGATAAGTCCCACCAATACCCAACTTATTGAGAGTTTTTAGCATGAAGGGCCGTTGAATTTTGTCAAAGGACTTTTCTGCATCTATTGAGATAATCATGTGGTTTTTGTCTTTGGTTCTGTTTATATGCTGGATTACATTTATTGATTTGCGTATGTTGAACCAGCCTTGCATCCCAGGGATGAAGCCCACTTGATCATAGTGGATAAGCTTTTTGATGTGCTGCGGGATTCAGTTTGCCAGTATTTTATTGAGGATTTTTGTATCAATGTTCATCAAGGATATTGGTCTAAAATTCTCTTTTTTTGTTGTGTCTCTGCCAGGCTTTGGTATCAGGATGATGCTGGCTTCATAAAATGAGTTAGGGAGGATTCCATCTTTTTCTATTGACTGGAATAGTTTCAGAAGGAATGGTACCAGCTCCTCCTTGTACCTCTGGTAGAATTCGGCTGTGAATCTGTCTGGTACTGGACTTTTTTTGGTTGGCAAGCTATTAATTATTACCTCAATTTCAGAGCCTGTTATTGGTCTATTCAGAGATTCAACTTCTTCCTGGTTTAGTCTTGGGAGGGTGTATGTGTCAAGGAATGTATCCATTTCTTCTAGATTTTCTAGTTTATTTGCACAGAGGTGTTTATAGTGTTCTCTGATGGTAGTTTGTATTTCTGTGGGATCGGTGGTGATATCCCCTTTGTCATTTTTTATTGCGTCTATTTGATTCTTCTCTCTTTTCTTCTTTATTAGTCTTGCTAGCGGTCTATCAATTTTGTTGATCTTTTCAAAAAACAAGCTCCTGGATTCATTGATTTTTTGAAGGGTTTTTTGTGTCTCTATTTCCTTCAGTTCTGCTCTGATCTTAGTTATTTCTTGCCTTCTGCTAGCTTTTGAATGTGTTTGCTCTTGCTTCTCTAGCTCTTTTAATTGTGATGTTAGGGTGTCAATTTTAGATCTTTCCTGCTTTCTCTTGTGGGCATTTAGTGCTATAAATTTCCCTCTACACACTACTTTGAATGTGTCCCAGAGATTCTGGTATGTTGTGTCTTTGTTCTCATTGGTTTCAAAGAACATCTTTATTTCTGCCTTCATTTCGTTATGTACCCAGTAGTCATTCAGGAGCAGGTTGTTCAGTTTCCATGTAGTTGAGCAGTGTTGAGTGAGTTTCTTAATCCTGAGATCTAGTTTGATTGCACTGCAGTCTGAGAGACAGTTTGTTATAATTTCTGTTCTTCTACATTTGCTGAGGAGTGCTTTACTTCCAATATGTGGTCAGTTTTGGAATAGGTGTGGTGTGGTGCTGAAAAGAATGTATATTCTGTTGATTTGGGGTGGAGAGTTCTGTAGATGTCTATTAGGTTCTCTTGGTACAGAGCTGAGTTCAGTTCCTGGATATCCTTGTTAACTTTCTGTCTCATTGATCTGTCTAATGTTGACAGTGGGGTGTTAAAGTCTCCCATTATTATTGTGTGGGAGTCTAAGTCTCTTTGTAGGTCTCTAAGGACTTGCTTCATGAATTTGGGTGCTCCTGTATTGGGTGCATACATATTTAGGATAGTTAGTTCTTCCTGTTGAATTGATCCCTTTACCATCATGTAATGGCCTTTTTTGTCTCTTTTGATCTTTGTTGGTTTAAAGTCTGTTTTATCAGAGACTAGGATTGCAACCCCTGCCTTTTTTTGTTTTCCATTTGCTTGGTAGATCTTCCTCCATCCCTTTATTTTGAGCCTATGTGTGTCTCTGCACACGAGATGGGTTTCCTGAATACAGCACACTGATGGGTCTTGACTCTTTATCCAATTTGCCAGTCTGCACCTTTTAATTAGAGCATTTAGCCCATTTATATTTAAGGTATTGTTATGTGTGAATTTGATCCTGTCATTATGATGTTAGCTGGTTATTTTGCTCGTTAGTTGATGCAGTTTCTTCCTAGCTTTGATGGTCTTTACAATTTGGCATGTTTTTGCAGTGGCTGGTACCGGTTGTTCCTTTCCATGTTTAGTGCTTCCTTCAGGAGCTCTTTTCGGGCAGGCCTGGTGGTGACAAAATCTCTCAGCATTTGCTTGTCTGTAAAGTATTTTATTTCTCCTTCACTTATGAAGCTTAGTTTGGCTGGATATGAAATTCTGGGTTGAAAATTCTTTTCTTTAAAAATGTTGAATATTGGCCCCCACTCTCTTCTGGCTTGTAGAGTTTCTGCCGAGAGATCCGCTGTTAGTCTGATGGGCTTCCCTTTGTGGGTAACCCGACCTTTCTCTATGGCTGCCCTTAACATTTTTTCCTTCATTTCAACTTTGGTGAATCTGACAATTATGTGTCTTGGAGTTGCTCTTCTCGAGGAGTATCTTTGTAGTATTCTCTGTATTTCCTGAATTTGAATGTTGGCCTGCCTTGCTAGATTGGGGAAGTTCTCCTGGATAATATCCTGCAGAGTGTTTTCCAACTTGGTTCCATTCTCCCCGTCACTTTCAGGTACACCAATCAGATGTAGATTTGGTCTTTTCACATAGTCCCATATTTCTTGGAGGCTCTGTTTGTTTCTTTTTATTCTTTTTTCTCTAAACTTCTCTTTTTTTTTTTTTTTTTTTTTTTTTTTTTTGAGACGGAGTCTCGCTCTGTCGCCCAGGCTGGAGTGCAGTGGCGGGATCTCGGCTCACTGCAAGCTCCGCCTCCCGGGTTCATGCCATTCTCCTGCCTCAGCCTCCCAAGTAGCTGGGACTACAGGCGCCCGCCACTACACCCAGCTAATTTTTTGTATTTTTAGTAGAGACGGGATTTCACAGTTTTAGCCGGGATGGTCTCGATCTCCTGACCTCGTGATCCGCCCGCCTCGGCCTCCCAATCTAAACTTCTCTTCTTGCTTCACTTCATTCATTCCATCTTCCATCGCTGATACCCTTTCTTCCAATTGATCGCATCAGCTACTGAGGCTTGTGCATTCGTTGCATAGTTCTCATGCCATGGTTTTCAGCTCCATCAGGTCCTTTAAGGACTTCTCTGCATTGGTTATTCTAGTTATCCATTCATCTAATTTTTTTTCAAGGTTTTTAACTTCTTTGCCATTTGTTCGAACTTCCTCCTTTAGCTTGGAGTAGTTTGATCTTCTGAAGCCTTCTTCTCTCAACTTGTCAAAGTCATTCTCCCTCCAGCTTTGTTCCATTGCTGGTGAGGAGCTGCGTTCCTTTGGAGGAGGAGAGGTGCTCTGATTTTTAAGAGTTTCCGGTTTTTCTGCTCTGTTTTTTCCGCATCTTTGTGGTTTTATCTACCTTTGGTCTTTGATGATGGTGATGTATAGATGGGTTTTTGGTGTAGATGTCCTTTCTGTTTGTTAGTTTTCCTTCTAACAGTCAGGACCCTCAGCTGCAGGTCTGTTGGAGTTTGCTGGAGGTCCACTCCAGACCCTGTTTTCCTGGGTATCAGCAGCAGTGTCTGCAGAACAGTGGATATTGGTGAACCGCAAATGCTGCTGCCTGATCGTTCTTCTGGAAATTTTGTCTCAGAGGAGTACCCGGCCATGTGAGGTGTCAGTCCACCCCTACTGGGGTGTGCCTCCCAGTTAGGCTACTTGGGGGTCAGGGACCTACTTGAGGAGGCCGTCTGCCTGTTCTCAGATCTCAAGCTGCGTGCTGGGAGAACCACTACTCTCTTCAATGCTGTCAGACAGGGACATTTAAGTCTGCAGAGGTTATTGCTGCCTTTTGTTTGTGCCCTGCCCCCAGAGGTGGAGCCTACAGAGGCAGGCAGGCCTCCTTGAGCTGTGGTGGGCTCCACCCATTTCGAGCTTCCCAGCCTCTTTGTTAACCTAGTCAAGCCTTGGCAATGGCGGGCGCCCCTCCCCCAGCCTTGCTGCTGCCTTGCAGTTTGATCTCAGACTGCTGTGCTAGCCAATGAGGGAGGCTCCGTGGGCATAGGACCCTCCAAGCCAGATGTGGGATATAATCTCCTGGGGTGCTGTTTGTTAAGCCCATTGGAAAAGTGCAGTATTAGGGTGGGAGTGACTGGATTTTCCAGGTGCCGTCTGTCACCCCTTTCTTTGACTAGGAAAGGGAATTCCCTGACCCCTTGCACTTCCCTGGTGAGGCGATGCCTCACCCTGCTTTGGCTCATGCAAGGTGCGCTGCACCCACTCTCCGGCACTCCCCAGTGAGATGAACCCGGTACCTCAGTTGGAAATGCAGAAATCACCTGTCTTCTTCGTCACTCACCCTGGGAGCTGTAGACTGGAGCTGTTCCTATTCGGCCATCTTGGCTCCAACCCTCTATTTCCCTTCTTGAAGGACACTAAAGACTCTAATCAAAAGATTATTCAAGTCTATGCATAGTTCAGATAATAAATAAACCACCCTCCAATTTTTCTCAAAAGTATTCTTTTCCTTTTTGCATAATTTTCTCCCCTAAAAGGAACATTTTTTAAAAATGTCACCATGTCACAACCAGAAAAAAGTCAATTAAGTTTCCTAGTATGGAAGCCCAACCTGATGAAGTACACTTGTTTACATATTTATTTCTCCATTTCTTTCTTTCTCTTGTTACTTTTGAAAAATAAAAGCAAAATCCTAAACTGCCCCCCAACACCCAGCTGACTAAAAGGACCCCCTCTCAACCAAGGGGACAACAGAGAAACCTTAAACACTGAGTTTCCGACCATGATGGGATGAGAGGTCAGACATGCCTTAGCATGCCCCTTCCTTATTGATCTTTAACCAGAATTCTTTTCCAAGGAGTAAGCAGAAACCAGCTCTAGAAAACAAGAAACAGACAACTCATTTCTTTACCATCTTCTGCCAGTTATCTGAGGCTGCTACCAGACTCTACCTGCCTCTTTGCAGTTTCAACATGACAATTCACCAGTTTCACAATGCACCTCTTCCTAAAAACTGACCACCATGTCTAGACCAGTTTTGAGTCACTCACAGAGGATGTGCAGTGTGGGTTTTTGTGTCTTCTGCTTCACCTGTTGACATCAGAGGGCTGAAAACTGCACCCTCAGATCATGCTAACACCACCATTTTTTCAACATGTTACTCATGAAAAAGCATGAAGCTCAATTGCACATTTGCATATTCTCCCTTCATAAATATTCATGACTTCTCCTTTACCTTATTGAGTATGTATGTTTGGCTACCCTATTCAGCATGAATTCCTGTCTTACACTTTCCCTTCTTGAAGGGCCTGTTACCAGTGCTGTCATAGACTACACTTCCAAGCCTGTCAGAATGGCTACCTGTAGGCTACAATCCTTTATAAGAAATAAAGCTCTCCTTTCCTTTTATGAACCTCCTCATTCTTCAATTGACAATCTCAATTTTCCTGGTGACAGTGATTCCAAAGTATCATAGAAAGCCTTGGTTGTTCTTGCCATAACTTTCAGAAGTCAAAGTGTCCTAGTTTTTATTTGGAGCCAACTATGAATATCAGACATGAATTTATCTTAACTCTTTTGTTTTTGTTAAGCTGTTTGTTTATATTTTTAGCTTGTGACATGTCTTGAGATAATGAGTTCCATGTCCCATATAAGAGAAAATCATTTATCTCTTACAGATAGAGTAAATAGGCTGGGAAAGGAAAAGTCCAGGATAAAGTTTTCAGTCTTGGGAATCCAGACCTGGACCTGGCCTTGAAGCCAAAGGACTCTGGGCAGCTGAAGAATATTCTGTAATTTTTGGTTCATTTGCCTTCCCCCTCCAGGGTAGAACCTGTGTCTTCGTACTTTCAGCACACAACAGTACCTACCATATACTAGATCCACAATAACTGTGCTGTGAAAAACAATGAATGAATAGATGGATAAATGGAGGGAGGGAGGGAAGGATGTCTGTTATGAGGAACTGGAGGGAATGTGAGTGGGACAATTTTCCTACTTCATAATTTTGGCAATAGAATATGTTTCTGTACTAAATTCTCAACTCCCGAATTTCCCACAAAGCTCATAATTTTTATATATATATATATACACACACACACACACATATATATTTATACACATATATATACACACACATATATATATTTCATTCCAGAAGTCTGCTCTTCATATTTTACCTATAAAATTTGCTTATTGTTTTTTGTATGTTCCTTTGCTTTAATAATTAAAGTAGAAATATTGTAGCTGAGAATATAAGAAAATGTATGGTTAAAGTGAATTTACAGAAATAACAACTGATTGCAAGAAATACATCATTTTAGCCTGTAATCCCAGCAGTTTGGGAGGCCAAGGTGGAAGGATTACTTGAAGCCAGAAGCTCAAGACCAGCCTGGGCAACAAAGCATTTCTACAAAAAGTTAAAAAATTAGTCAGGCATGATGGTGTGCACCTGTAGTCCTAGCCACTCATGAGGCTGAGATAGGAGAATCACTTGAACCTAGGAATTTGAAACTGCAGTGAGCTATGATTATACAACTGCACTCCAGTCTGGGCAACATGAGACCTCATCTTTATTAATAATAATTATGAATAAAATAAAAAAAATTCTTAAAGAGATATATTATTTTAGTTACTGGGAATAGCTATAAACAGGAATATGCAAGAAAACAATTTAGAGAAAATAAAAAAGAAGCTGAGTGGGTTGGAACAGCAGCAGGGAAGCACTGACAAGGGAAAAATTTCCATCACTAGCTACAATATTGCCTAGCTTGCGGAAATCAGTTAAGTTATAATTTCCAAGTTCCTCATTAACAAAATAATAAAAATAATATCTATTTTGCAAAACACACAAAATTGGAGTAAGGATCCAAATTAGATGATGTTCAAGAATTAATCTATTAGCTTCCCTTTTTCATGTTTCTCAAGAGCAAGAATTCTGTTTCATTTACCTTTCTACCCACAGTTTCCAACACTTGCTATATTAGTCTGTTCTCACACTGCCAATAAAGACATACCCGGGACTGGGTAATTTGTAAAGAAAAAGAGGTTTCGTGGACTCACAATTCCACATGGCTGGAGAGGCCTCACGATCATGGCAGAAGGCAAAGGAGGAGCAAAGGTATGTCTTACATGGCTGCAGGCAAGGGAGCATGTGCACAAGAACCACCCTTTCTAAAACTATCAGATCTCACTATCAGGAGAACGGCACAGGAGAAACCTGCCCCCATGATTCAATTACCTCCCACCAGGTCCCTCCCATGACATGTGGGGATTATGGGAGCTACAATTCAGGATGAGAGTTGGTGGGGGACATAGCCAAACCATATCACATGCCCAGTATGTAAATGCATGAAAGTTGTTTAAGGTGTTTTAATCATTAGGCCATAGATTGTCAAGTTGAGATCAGAGAAGAAATGCCAAAAACGAAAGGCAAATTTTTCCAAGTCAATGTTCGTCTCTTTCTGTGTGTGCATGAGTGTAGTAATAAAAGAGAAAGGAAAAGAGAGGAAATTAGGGCAGTTTCAGTAGGGTGGTCAAAGCATTATCAAAAAGAGATATAGCCAGCCTAAGCAACATGGTAAAACCCAAACTCTACAAAAAATAGAAATATTAGTTGGATGTGGTGGCATGCACCTGTAGTCCCAGCTACTCAGGAGGCTGAAGTGAGAGGATCACCTGAGCCCAGGAGTTCGAGGCTGCAGTGAGCCATGATTCTGCCTCTGTACTCCGGCCTGGGTGACAGAGTGAGACACTGTCTAAAAAAAAAATAGAAGACACATAGTTGCCTGATTTCTTATGACAGTGGCATTAAAGACATTGTGAGGGGAAGACCGATTCCATTTGTAAAGGAGGAAGATCCAGCTGTCTGAAGGTAGTGAGTTATCTCATTTGATTATTCAGTCAGTTACAGATCCAACTCCTTGTTCTACTCTTTCCCCGTTTCTCAGTACTACACTTGACTAATTTTAAAAAAAAGGAAAAGGAAGAAAAACAGAGAAACAAGGGAAAGGCATCCCCTCCCCCACTTGTCATCTTTCTTATCCATTTATCCAATGTATGCTCTTTTGTCCCATCATGTCCCATCTCCTGAGTGATGCTCTTCCCAATGGCTTTATTCCATACCGATTTCTATGTTCTCTCAACTCCTAAATTTTTTTTAATGATTTCCACCTCTCTGTTTGGCACGTACCCCCTGCTATTTTCTCATTGCTTCACCTCTCTGACATTTTTTCAGGGTCTGCTAATTGTCCATCAAACTCCATTTTTCCCTTCTTTTATGGTTCCTATACCCTCTTGCAGTTAGGCACCTAAAAGATTATGTTCTTTACAATGGAAGGAAAGTGGAAGTAATGTATGCCACTGCCAGGCTGGGCCCATAAAACCTCCCAGCAGTATCTTTCCATGTTGTTCCCCCTTCCTGAAAGCTGAATGATGTCAGTGAAGACCTGAGTAACACGTTGAAGATGGTGGCTTTCCAGCAGCTTGCGTTCCTGAATGATTACAATGAGTGAAGGCTTCTACCACCCCAGAATAATCAATAATAACCTTAACAATTACCCAAGGGAGAAATAAACTTCTACTCTTTTTGAGACATAACACTTTGGTTCTATTGGTTACAGTCTACCCTAACTAATAAAGACAGGTATAGCTCTTCTCTCTATCCTCCAAAAGACCACCAGGGTGGCTAAATAGTAGAAAGGAGAGCGTTATTAACAATGTCAGTTTGCAGACCAGAAAGAGATAGTCTCCAGAACGAAGCAAAAATGCTGTCTTCAAAACAGGAACAGGTAAGTCGGGCTTTATGCCTCACAGCATCTGTATTACTCAATAGAGTCATACATACTCAGCAGCTTTAGGGAACAAGATAAACATATTTATTAAAGGAGTCAAGCACATGTGCAATGGGGACACATATATGTAATATACATCCAATGTTCACTTTTGGTGGGGTTTTAGCATTAAAATGAGGTGGAATTTGGCTTTTTGCATCAAAAGGTGAACTATAGGACACAAAGACAGTTTGTTCACAGCCATTATAAATGGACTGAAACTGGCTTAAGTGCTGCAGTTGCTTATTAGAAAAGAATGTTCGCAAGACCAGTCCCCTGTCCAATCAGAGTTGTAGTGGTTTGGGTTGTAAGTGAGAGTTAGGAAAGCTCTGACAATTTGGCTGATATTTCCTATTGTTGGGTAATTTAGCAAGAGTGTGGTTTGTTCTTGTAGCCATAAGAATTTAGGAAGTTGCCATGCCAGCCAAGCCCTGAACTGTCAACCTGTAGACAACTTTTGTTTCTTTAACCTTAGGCTTCATTTCAGTTGATAAAGGGGTGTCTGTTTGGGTCTGTCAGATCACATCTCCAATTAGATAACATTTCTCAATCACACCACCCACTCCAGCACTATGTACATAATAGGTAAATGATAAACACTAAGATTATTGATATTTTAAAAATTAAAAATAAATATTGCCTGTGAACCCAGAAAATCTGAGACAGGTCTCAGTTTATTTAAAAAGTTTATTTTGCCAAGGTTGAGAAAAGTGTGCCTGTGACATAGCCTCACGAGGTCCTGATAACATGTGCTCAAGGTGGTCAGAGCACAGTTTGGTTTTACACATTCTAGGAAGACATAAGACATCAAGCAACATATACAACATGAACATTGGTTTGGTCTGGAAAGGCAGGACAACTGGAAGCAAAGGCAGGAAGACTAGAAGTGGGGAGGGGGTTTCTAGGATAAGTAGATAAGAGACAAATGGTTGTATTCTTTTGAGTTTCTGATTAGCCTCTCCAAGGAGACAATCAGATATACATTTATCTCAGTGAGCAGAGGGGTGACTTTGAATAGAATGGCAGGCAGGTTGGCCCTGAGCAGTTCCCAGCTTGACTTTTCCCTTTAGCTTAGTGATTTGAGGGCCCCAAGATTTATCTTTCTGTCACATGCCAAATTAAAAATCAGTGAAACAGAGAAAAAATAGTATCATAGCTACACATCTAGGATGGAGAATAGCATTGGTGATGAAGCGGAAAATATGGGAGACAGGCATACTGCTCTGGAAAGATAGAATTTAGGAGATGTTAAAAATAACTATTGTTACTATCATTTAAGTAGTATTACTGTGCTTCCTAGAACTGCTAATAGAGATTCAAAAAAATTCAGGTTTTTGGTAAAGCATATGGGTCCTTTAAGAAAAAAATTATACTTCTTCTCTTAAGTTATTTGTTATCAGAATCTTTGAAAATGAAATATTAGACATGTGAAAAACCATAAACAGCCATAAATGTTATAGAAACTACTGAGCTGGATTTTTTTTCAAGTACCATTATATAGGCCAGAGGCCTTTGTGCCTGTTGACTTGTATTATTATATGGATGATCTTAGTTTCCATTAATGTTTATGTCATAATTTAAATTGGGCTTTTACCTGTAAATGTTATTTAATTAAAAATGCCTCTGGGCACAGTGCTGCACACCTCTAGTTCCAGCTACTTAGGAGGCTGAGGCAGGAGCATCACTGGAGACCAGGAATTTAAGCTGTGGTGCACTAAGATTGTGTCTGTGAACAGCCACTGCACTCCAGTCTGGGCAGAATAGCAAGACCCTGTATCTTAAAAAATATAAATTATTGAAGATCTACACATTCTCAAATCCTTGGCAGATATGATGAGATTTCTACAAACAAAATATAAAAATTGCCAGCAGTATCACTGTAAAAATCTACTGAAAAGCAATTGGTAAGAACTCTTCTTAAAGTTGAAACAGATTTAATATTTAAATTGATTTCTAATCTATTTAGTCAAATATCACCCAGCCTAAGAGTTGTATGTTGAGAGGTCTGTAACCTATCTGAAAACAAGCAAAATTGAGCATCCTGTGCAGCTACTATAGGGCTCTTGACAATTCATTGGCTCAAACACAGATCTTCAACTTCTCACTGACGTGCTGGTAAAACAAATTGGCTTGAGTGCCAAGAAAGGGAAAACTAAAAAAACAAAAACAAAACACAACAACAAGCTGAAGTACAAAGAGGTTTGTTTCCTGTCCTTAGTGGAGGCAGAAGGAGGTCTTCTAGATAAAGAGGCAGAAGTGAGATATTAGGGTCCACCGTATTCAGAATATTTCTAGTAAGAGATTGGAAATGGGAAGAGTGGCATTTGTTAGCCAATCACAGAAGAATCCACTTATCCAAAGAATGTTTAAAAGGCTAATGTGGCTCCAATACCTAAATCCAGCAAATTTGATTAATTTGTGAGATTGTTGAAGGTCAATTTCTCCAATGTTGTCAACAGCGTGGAGAAAACATTGTTTGTATTGCAGAATTACCTTCATCATCCCAGCAATCTAATGTTGGAGATTTCTCTGATGATGCATTTCAAGATTACCCACTGCAGTTGATGCTTTTGTGTCCTCATGTTCCCCATCTACACAAATTCAACCAACCATGGATCCAAAATATTGTTTAAAAACTAAAACAATAAAAATTAAGAATACATCAATTAAAAATAATACAAATAGGCTGGCCTGAAAGCAGTGGTGTTTACAACTAACTGATCACAACCAGTACAGAGTTCTTTGTTTTTTCTCCACTCCCACTGCTTCATTTGAGTAGCCTTAAAAAAATAAAATAAAGTAAAAATAATACAACATAACAGCTATTTATACAGCATTTACACTGCATTATGTATTACACGTAATCTAGAGGTGATTTAAAGTACACAGGAAGATGTGCTTAGGTTACATGCAAATATAGCCAAGCCCTGCATGGCAATATTTGGGTCAAGGACAGACCGCATATCGTATGGTGGTCCCATAAGATTATAGTACCATATTTTTACTGTACCTTTTCTATGTTTAGATATGCTTAAGTAGATAAATACTACCTACATTTGTGTAAGTATACTCTATGATGTTCATTCACACAACAACAAAATTGCCTAAGGACGCATCTCAGAACAAATTCCCATAGTTCAGTGACACTATGTACTATGCCATTTTATGTAAGGGATATGAGCATCCTTGGATTGTGGTGTCTTCACGGGTCCTAGGACTAATACGTTGTAGATACCAGGGGATGACTCTATATGGAATTTATATTGGAGCCCTTGTACTTCTCAACTAAATCAAATTTATTCTTTTAGTAGCTCAATAAAATATGCTTTCACCTGAAACTATAACACATCATGGCACAAAACTTAAATTGCTTTCACTATAAATAGTGGGCAAAGTACACATATAAGATGTGTGTTGATAGAAACTAAAAAGCACATCCTTTCTATGTTCTGACCTGCTAGGTTTTTTTTAATTCCAGAAAGTTATTTGATAACCACATAACATCTCAAGAACTAGTTGGGTTTGAATTTCAGCTCTGCCTTATATTAACTCTGGGATCTTAGGTAATTTATTCAACTTTTCCTTACCTCAGTTTCCCATTTATAAGATGATTAATATATATGCAGTACTGCTTTGCATATAATAATAGCTCAGTGAACCACAGAGATGACCCCCCAAATAGATATTCTATTCCATACTTTGTCCTGTTGAGCCAATTGCTCTACCACAACCACAGCAACATTTAAATATTTTGCGGGAATCTTAAACACAGCATGCCCCAAATCACACTTATCATATTCTGACTGAAAACTGGTTCTTCCATTGTCTCCATTTTATTTTCTGAATTTGCTATAATTCTCCAATTTAAGCTAATTGGAAGCTCAAGTTGCTTCCCCAATTTTGGTACAGTTACCACATAGCTTTCTTACTCCATTTTAAGGGTTAAAGGATTTCAAATCTGAAATCTTGCACAGAATTCTGTCTGCAAAGAAAACTGCACAGAAAATTTATAATGGGATATTTGAAGAAAAAAATAGCTTATCCTGAACAGCACCAGAAGTTTCATTTTTTTCTGTACTGTTGTAACTCAGCAGATAATGTTTACATTTGTGTATATGTCCTCCAACACAAATAAGTATGGTTGCTAAATAATATTATGTCATTAAACTTCTTGTTTAATGCTTCTTCATTATGATTCATTATGATTGTTTAATGCTTCTTCATTATGATGTGTTAGAAGTTTTTCAAAAGTTTATACTTTGTCTCTTAGTGGCAATTAAAAAAGAAATAAACATGAACTCCCCAAATGAGCCACAAAAATAAATCAGCATGTCTAAATTTCAGAATGAGAAACAAAGATGCAATTCTCTCCTCAGACCAAACGAAGCAGAGATTTTCAAACTGCAGAGGTGCCACAGAAAAGGCTGAATTCTCAAGCATAGTGAGCTTAGACTTTATAGCTAAAATAGAAATTTCAGCTTTTAGAGCTGAAATAGAAGGTCTGAGCATTAACAAAACATTAGAACCTTGCATTTAAAAATTAGTATGAGAAATTTTTGTTATTGTGCTGAGACCCTTACACACATGATTTCTTCTAGCCAATACAGGCACAGATTCAACAAAGATGGTGCTTTATTGTGAAAATAGAATATTCACCTTGTCTTCTGACATCATAAAGACCACCCACATTTGCACAGATGCTGCTGCTATAGTACTTTCAGGCAAGGCCAAGGCTTCTTGAAAGGCTGGTCATGCCCCAGTGATCAATGAAGAACTCAGGGATATCCCAAAACTCAGGACTATAAGGTAGGAGAAAGACATTAACCCCTGGCCTGAGAATGAGATTAGAAACTTAATATGCCTCCCCTAAGACTTAATTCAAAGCAAGACTGAACCCCAGTGAACCAGTCACTGAATGGAAATTACCATACTTTCCCTTCCCCACTCACCTTTACTACTTTCTGCCAGATATTCAAATGAATTCAATCATAAAGCGATTCTCCCCTTTAACTCTTTTTCTTTTTGGGCTAATTAACATTTAGATTTTTTTTCTCACAATACATAAATTTACTTGTTTCTTGAGGCCCATCTAGAAAAATTAAAATTCAGCCAAGGCATCAACATATCATAGGAACTGTTTCCCAATTTCCATGGCAGAGGATAGAACACAGAAAATTCTTAGGAGCTGTAAGCAATTCAGATAAAAGGCTAAAAAGAGGGAGGCTGGATTCATATATTCCTCTTTGAACCTCAAGGGCACACAGTTGAGTTAATCCTGCTTCTTTGTCATCGCATGCTATCTCCACAGGCTCACAGAAGCTCTCATCCTTGTTTAATATATTTTTTTCTCTTCACCCCCATCCCCATTCCCATTTTCCTTCCTCCTGCAGAGGCACTCATTCCATTTTGTTTAATATATATCAGGTATATATGTATCTCTAAAAAATTGTAATATTTGCTTGCATCTTTATACATTTTAATCCAGACAAATGATACTACGTCATTGCTCAAATTCCATTTCTTATTTTTTTCACTCAGCACTGAATTTTTAGATGTATCCATGTTGCTGCATGTCTATTTAAGTCATTACTTCTGGCTGCAATGGAATATTCTAATGCATTCTTCCAGTGTGTCCTTTATCCATTTTCTAGTAATAAACACTTAGTTGCCGGCTACCAGAAAGATGGATTGAGTATTCTAATATATATGATGGGTTTCTCTGGAGTAAATAAACAGGAGTGTACATTTTGGCTCAAATAGTATATACAGATCAAATTTCCCTCTATGCTGCCAGACTGCTTTTCCAAATAGCTGTGCCAGTCTGGACTCTCTTGGGAAGTGTATTCCTTTTGTTGTTTACTTTTGCTTTTGTTTTTGAGACAAGGTCACACTGTCACCCAGGCTGGAGTACAGTGCTGCAAACGTAGTTCACCCAGCCTCACCATCCCAGGCTCCAGCGATCCCCCACCTCAGCCTCCTGCCTCAGCCTCCCTAGTAACTGTGACCACAGGCATGCACCACCACACCTGGCTAATTTTTTGGTTTTTTTTGTAGAGACAGAGTCTTGTTGTGTTGCCCAGCCTGGTCTTTGACTCCTGGGCTGAGCAATCCTCCTGCCTTGGTCTCCCAAAGTACTGGGATCACAGGCATGAGCCACTATGCCTAGACAAGAATGTATTCTTAACCAGCATTTGTATCATCTAACCTTCTACTTATTGTCAATCTGATCTGTGTAAATTAGGAACTTTAAAATTATCATTTATCTAATTGTAACCATAATAGGTTCATTTGCCCGATGTGCAGTGAGTCAATAAACTGAGACACTTGGGATACAGCAGAGACAGAGTTTAATACCTGTAGGGCAGCTGAATGAGGAGACCAGAGGAAACTTCAACTATGTCTCCCCAAGAGTTTTGGGGTTGTTTTTAAGAGGTATTAACTGGGGTTGAAGTGTGGGAATCACTGATTAGACGAGAAGCTCAGAGTGATACCTTGGGACAGGGAGATGAAGAAACTACATTTTTTGTTCTAAGTCTGTTTCTGGGTGGGTGGGGGATCTTCACACTGGTTGGCCTCAGACCTGCTGGAATTTGAAAACGCCGTAAGCTCTTGAGCAAGAAGCTCCTATCATTCTAACATCAGAAATTCTATCTACAGGCACAATGGGGGAGCAGGTACCAGGTGGCCAGCATCCTAAATGACTCTCAGCAGCTGCAGAGAAGTGAGTCAAAGTGCACCAGTGCACTCTGAATGATGCCTAACTATAATTCTGTCTAAAGCCTGGCTTATAATTCTTGTTAACCCAGTGAGAGTGGTTCCATAACTACTACTGAACTTGACATCTATCTATCTATCTATCTATCTATCTATCTATCTATCTTTTTTTTTTGGAGACAGGGTCTCACTCTGTAACCCAGGCTGGAGTGCAGTGGTGCAGTCTCGGCTCACTGCAACCTCCATCTCCTGGGCTCAAGTGATCCTCCCACCTCAGCCTTCAGAGTAGCTGAGAACACAGGTGTGTGCCACCATGCCCATTTAATTTTTTGTTTTTTGTAGAGATGAGATTTTACCATGTTGCCCAGGCTGGTCTTAAATTCCTGGGCTCAAGTGACCTGCCATTTTGGCGTCCCAAAATGCTGGTATTTCAAGTGTGAGGCACTGTGCCAGGCCCTCATCTCTTTTTACACATGCTAACAATTTGGGTTTCCTCTTCCATGACTTGCCAATTCATATATTTCCCCCATTTTTCTACTTGTTTTCTATCTTGTTCTCATTGATTTACAGGTATTGCTCATGTACTCTAGATCAGGATGTCCAATCTTTTGGCTTCCCTGGGCCACACTGGAAGAATAATTGTTTTGGCTTACACATAAAATACATTAACACCAACAATAGCTGATGAGCTAAAAAAAAAAAAAAATCACAAAAAATCTCATGTTTTAGGAAAGTTTATGAATTTGTGTTGGCCTGCATTCAAATTGTCCTGGGCCACATGCAGCCCATGGACCACAGGTTGGACAAGTTTGCCCTAAATAGTAATAATCCCTTGACTTTCTTAGACATTTGTTGGAGTGCAGAAAATGATTCTTTAAAACATGGTACTTGGGCATGGTGAGTGCTTCTGAAAATTGAAAGGCCTCAGAAATAAGCCTCAGAATCAATTTAAAATTGTCTTGGGTCCCCCGCCCCCAGCACAGGGAAACAGGGAAAGACTCTCTGGAATTTCCTTATCTGACCAAGAAAGCTTCTGAACAACAGCAAAGCAAAACAAGAAATCTCCTCTTTCTGTCTCTCTCTGTTTCTCTCTCTCTCTCTCTCATACACACACACACACACACACACACACACACACACACCCACAAATTGCCTTCTCTCCCCCACCCTCCACCCCACCCTTACCTCCTTACCTATAGTGGAAAAGACAGAAGAATGCAACCACATCTGGATGGATTTTTCCACAAGATAATGCCTGCTTCTCAGGCTCATTCAAATTCCAAAGGGAATTATTTATAAGTTAATTTCTGCCTTGGGTCCATTCATTCTCCCTAATAATTGTTTACTGCCCCTCAGAAGAATTGTCTGTATTTCCCCATCTCCCCCTTCCCCTATGAAAAAGGATATAGAAGCATCTGTACTCCACAGCATGGTGGGTAATTACTCTGTGATTTCCCCCCCGCCCATGCACATTAATACATTTGGATGCCTTTTCTCCTATTAATCTTGGACTTTTGTCAGTTGATTTTCAGGGAACCTTCAGAGAGCAAAGGGAAAGTTTGCTCTTGCCCACTAAAACTTGCAACTGTCCACAGTCTGTCATCTATCTTTTAATTTTATGGTGTCCTCTGTTGAACAGAAATCTAATTGTGCTAGAGTCAAAGCTATGTTTTTCTCCTTTTACAGTGCATTTCGATCCTGTTGAAGTAAGGTATTCCAATCCTAACTCACAAACATATCTTTCCATATTTTCTTTATAAGATTTTAGCTTTACCTCTCACTTTTAGGTCTTCAGTTCATTTAAACTTTATTTTCATATATGGTATGAGCTAGGAATCCAAATTTATTTTTCTCTACCTAGTGATTCTGTTTTCCTCAGTACCATCTACTAATAATCTATTCTTTCCTCATGATGAGATACCACCTCTATCATATGCCAACTTCATATTAATATGTGAGATATTCTGAGTTCCTTTTCTCTTTCATTGGCAGTTTCTATTTCTATGAAAAACCTCACTTTTTATTTTCAATTGCTCATATCTGATAAAGTATCCCTCTTTCTCTTCTTTTGTAAATTTGTCTTTTCATGTACCTTTATTTTTCTGTATAATTTTATAATCAATTTGTCAAAAGCTCCAAAACAATTTTATCAGGAAATTTATTAAAAAGACTTTGAATACATTCCTTAATTCGAAAGCAGCTATCATCTTTAAAATTCTACAGCTCCCCATAAATGAGCATGGTATACGGTACTATTGATAAAGGAGCTAAAAGAAATTATTTAGACAGATAGTGAAGGTAAGAGAGTCCTTGGCAGAGCTTCCCTTTTAACAAAAAGTAGCCCCCAAAATCATTTCTTTTCTAACAAAGAGCAGCCTGAAAAATAGAGCTGTAGACATAGATAAGGAAGCTGGAAGCTTGCACGGGTGGATGTCAGCAGCAGCGCCGATAGAGAAGGGCTACCTGAGGGCCAGGTATGTTCAACATGGAGGCTCCATTTTCCCTTTTCTTTGTCACCACGTGTACAGTAAAGGAAGAGGCAACATGGCACCAGCCAGTTAGAGAACCCATCTGCATAATAAAAGATTAAGGTGGGGTGGCCAGATTTTCACATGCTTTGCAAATGGCACACCTAGTCCGAACCAGTTCTCTAAATGTATCTGATACAGAATCAAATTTTAAATTAAAATGTTTATCTACAATAAAAGAAATTGACTGGTTAACCAGTTTTTCACATGTTATGCAAATGGCACATTTGGTCCAACCAATCTTTCGTGCCCTATGTAAATCAGACACTCCTTCTTAAGCTCATCTATAAAACCCCTTGTATTTCGCCGCAGACCAGAAAACCCACTTGGAGAGAGCTTTTCTCTTTCTTTTGCCTATTGAACCTCCGCTCTTAACCTCACTCCCATTGTGTGTCCACATCCTTGATTTCCTTGGCATGAGACAATGAACCTTGGGTATTACCCCAGACAAATGATGTCACTTCACTATCTTATAATATCTTCTTTTGTATCTTTCAATAAATTTCTCCTAAAATATTCTCCATAAACGTCTTGTGCATTCTTTATCCTATTGTCTCCTAGATCTCTTAGAATTTTTTTGGCTAATATGAATGTGATCTTATTTGCTATTATCTAGTCAATTTCTTTTATTGTAGATAAATATTTTAATTTAAAATTTGATTCTGTATCAAATACATTTGAAGAACTTTATTAATTTGAATAGTTTATGGATTATTTCAGTTTTTTTCTATCAATGAGTATATCATCTATAATCAATGGTATTCTTTTTTCTTTTTTTGAGACAGAGTCTCGCTCTGTCGCCCAGGCTGGAGTACAATGGCCTGGTCTCAGCTCACTGCAACCTCCGCCTCCCAGGTTCAAGCAATTCTCTTGTCTCAGTCTCCCAAGTAACTGGGATTACAGGCATGCACCACCATGCCCTGCTAGTTTTTGTATTTTTAGTAGAGATGGGGTTTCCTCATTTTGGCCAGGCTAGTCTCAAACTCCTGATCTCAGGTGATCCACCCATCTCGGCCTCCCAAAGTGTTGGGATTACAAGTGTGAACCACTGCACCCAGCCATCAATGGTATTTTCAGCTCTTCCATTTACTTCTTATACTTTCATTTCTTTTGTCTTGTTGCACTGTCCAGGACCATAATGGATGGATATATAGGCTGACGTATATCAGTTGGCTTCAGTTGTTTGGTGATATTCACCAGATCTATATTTTGCTATTTTATGGATATTATTTTCAATTTCTGAGGTAAGTATAATAAATTCTCAAACTATAATTGTTAATTTACCTACTTGTCCACACAGTTCTGTCTGTGATTGTTTTCTATATTTTAACTACATGTTGTTTGCTGTATATTCCTACTGGTTCATATCTCCTTAGCCCCTTGTTCCTTTTACCAGTATATATATTTCATACCTTTATGATTTTTCTTTTTATCTTATAAAAATATGAAATTCTTGGAATATTTGAAAGAGCTGAGTTTTAAAATGATCTAGACTGATTTGTGTGTGTAATTTCATTTCTTTGATATTTATAAGACCACTCAGCTGTTCTATATCTTCTTGAGTTAGTTTTGGTCAACTTTTGCTTTTGTTTTTTTAGTAGACTTTATTTTTTAGAGCAGTTTTAGGTTCACAGCAAAGTTGAGCAGAAGGTACAGAGATTTCCCATATACTCCCCATACATGCTGATAATGGTTTGGATACTTAGGCCCTCCAAATCTCATGCTGAAGTGTGACCCCTATGTGGAGATGGACCAAGTGGGAGGTGTTTGGGTCATGGGGGAAGATCCTTCATGAATGACTTAGTACTCTCTTCACAGTAACAAGGGGGTTCTCACTCTATTAGTTTGCAGGAGAACTGGTAGTTAGGGAGTCTTGGCACCTCCTCCTCTCTCTTGCCCCCTCTCTGACCATGTGACACACCTGCTCCCTTTTTGCCTTCTGCCATGAGTAAAAGCTTCCTGAACCTTCACTAGAAGCAGATGCTGGTGCCATGCTTCTTGTATAGTCTGCAGAACAATGAGCCAAATAAACCTCTTTCCTTTATAAATTACTCAGCCTCTGGTATTTCTTTATAGCAATGCACAATGGACTAAGACAGATGCATACGTCCTCTATGACCAACATCCCCCATCAGAGTGACACCATTGTTACAACTGATAAACCTACACTGACACACCATCATCACCTAAAAGTTTGCAGTTTACATTAGGGTTCAGTCACTCTTGGTATTGTGCATTCTGTGGGTTTGGACAAATGTATATACTATTATAGTATCATACAGAATAATTTCACTGATTTTTAAATTCTCTGTTCTCTGCCTGTTCATGCCTTCCTCTCTCCCACTAAGCCCTGGCAACCACTGATCTTTTTACTGTTATCACAGTTTTGTCTTTTCCAGAATGCCGTACAGTTGAAATCATACGGTATATAGACTTTGCAGGTTTTTATGCGGACATGTTTTTTGACTCCTTTGGGCAAATACCAAGGAGCAAGATTGCTGGATCATATGGTAAGACTATGTTTAGTTTTATAAGAGACTGCCAAATTATCTTCCAAAGTGGCTGTACCATTTGACATTCTTAAGAGCAAAGAATGAGAGTTCCTGTTACTCTACATCTTCACTAGTATTTGGTGTTCTCAGTGTTCTAGGTTTTGGCTGTTCTAATAGGTGTATATGGTACCTCATTGTTGGTCTAATTCACATTTTCCTAATACTGTATGATACGGAGCATCTTTTCATATGCTTATTTGCCATCTATTTATCTTCTTTGGTGAAGTGTCTGTTGACAGCTTTGGTATTTTTTTGATCAAGTTTTTGTTTCCTTATTTTTGAGTTTCAAGAGTTCTTTGTATGTGTTGGATAGCACTCCTTTATCAGCTGTTTTTTGCAAATATTTTCTCTCCATCTGTGGCTTGTCTTCCCATTCTCTTGACAGTGTCTTTCACAGTATAGAAATTTTTAATTTTAAGGAAGTCCAGCTTATCAAGTCTTTCTTTCATGGATCATGCCTTTGGTCTTGTATCTAAAAAGTCATCTCCAACCCCAAGGTCATCTAGATTTTCTCCTATGTTATCTTCTAATAGTTTTTTAGTTGTGCATTTTACATTTAGGTCTGTGATTCATTCTGAGTTTTTGTGAAAGGTGTAAAGCTTGTGTCTAGATTCATTTTTCTTGCATGTGGATGTCCAGTTGTTTCAGTGCCATTTGTTGAAAAGACTACGTTTACTCCATTGAATTGCCTTTGCTCTTTTGTCAGAGATCAGTTAACTATATTTACGTTGGTCAGATTCTAGGCTCTCTATTCTATTCCACTGATCTATGTGTCTATTGTTTAGCCAATAGTACATTGTCTTGATTACTCTAGCTTTACAGTAAGTCTTCAAAAATTGTAGAGCCAGTCCTCCACTTTAATTCTTCTTGAATATTAAAGTAGCTCTTTGGCTATTCTGGGCCTTTTCCCTCTTAAAATAAACTTTAAAATCAGTCTGTCAATATTCACAGAATAACATACTGGGATTTTGATTGGGATTGCATTGACTCTATAGATCAAGTTGGGAAGAATTGGAATCTTTATATATACACACATATATGTATATGTATACACACATATATATGTATATGTATACACACATATATATGTATATGTATACACACATATATATGTATATGTATATGTATACACACATATATATGTATATGTATATGTATATGTATACACACATATATATGTGTATATGTTTGGCTAAAGAATAGACACATAGATCAGTGGAACAGAATAGAGAGCCTAGAATTTGACCCACATAAATATAGTTAACTGATCTCTGACAAAAGAGCAAAACACATATATACACACATATATACACACATATGTGTGTGTATATATATATGGAATCTTCATATATGTGTATATATATATATACACATATATGAAGATTCCATATATATATACACACATTTCTTTATAGCAATGCACAATGGACTAAGACAGATGCATACTTCCTCTATGACCAACATCCCCCATCAGAGTAACACAATTGTTACAACTGATGAACCTACACTGACACACCATCATCACCTAAAAGTTTGTAGTTTACATTCGGGTTCACTCACTCTTGGTGTTGTGCATTTTGTGGGTTTGTACAAATGTATATACCATTATAGTATCATACAGAGTATGTGTATGTACTATATGTGTATATATATGAAGATTCCAGTTCTTCCCAACTTGATCTATAGATTCATATATATATGTATGTCTGTGTGTGTGTGTGTGTGTGTGTGTGTGTGTCTGTAATATAGCTTAAGCTATCCTCCTGCCTTAGCCTCCTGAGTAGCTCCAATTACAGGCATGTGCCACCATGCCCAGCTAGTTATTTTATTTTTTGTAGAAATGGAGGCTTGCTATTTGCCCGGGATTGTCTCAAACCCTCTCCTCAAGTGATCCTCCCACTTTGGCTTTGCTTCCCAAAGTGGTGGCATTATAGGCATGAGCACTGAGCCCAGTCTAGAACTGAAATCTTGACAACATTGAATCTTTCTATCAATGAACATGAAATATCCCTCCATCTATTTAGTTCTCTGACTCCTTTCATCAGAGTTTTGTAGTTTTCTACTATAAATCTTGCAAATATTTTGTTAAATTTATATCTAAGTATTTTATTTTGTGGGGTACCAATATAAATGGCATTACATTTTTAATTTCAATTCCATTTGTTCATTGCTAATTTATAAGAAAGTAACTGGCTTTTGTATATCAATCTTATACCCTGCAACCTTGCTATAATTTCTTATTAGTTCCAGAATTTTTTTTTTTGCCTATTCTTGAAGATTTTCTACATAGACAATCACGTCAGCTGCAAACAAAGACAGTTTGATTTCTTCCTTTCTAATCCACATACCTTCTATTTCCTTTTCATGTCTTATTGAATTAGCAAAAACTTACAGCATAATGCTGAAGAGGAGTGCTAAGAGAGAACAGCCCCGCCTTGTTCCCATTCTTAATTGGAGAGTATCTAGTTTCCACCATTAAGTATGATGTTCACTGTAGGGTTCTTTTTCCAGGGGATTGGGGGTATTATTTAACAAGTTGAGAACGTTTCCCTCTATTCCTAGTTTGTCTAGATTTTTTATCACAAATATTAGATTTTGCCAAATGCATTTTCTACATCTATTGATAGAATTATGTGATTTTTCTTTTTTAGTCTATTGACATAATGGATTACATTAATTGATTTGTAAATGTTGAATCATCCTTGCAAACCTGAGATAAATTCCACTTGGTGATGGCGTATAATTCTTTTTATACATTGTTGGATTCAATTTGCTAATATTCTTTTGAGAATTTTTGCATCTATGTTCATGAGAGATATTGGTCAGTAGTTTTCTTGTAATATTTTTCTCTGGTTTTGGTATTAAGTTAATGCTGGCCTCATAAATGAGTTACTAAGTATTCCTTCTGTTTTTGTCTTTTGAAAGAAACTGGTATAATTTATTCCTCAAATGTTTGGTAGAATTCACTTGTGAACCTATCTGAGCTTGGTGCTGTCTGTTTGGAAGGTCATTAATTATTGATTCAGTTTCTTTAATAGATATAGGCCTATTCAGATTGTTTTTATCTTCTATGAGTTTTGGCAGATTGTGTCTTTTAAGAAATTGATCCATTATCAAATTTGTAAGCATAGGGTTGTTCATAGTATTCCTTTATTATCTTTTTGATGTCCATGGGATCTGTAGTGATGTTACCTCTTTCATTTCTGATATGAGTAATTTGTATCCTCTCTATTTTTTTCTTAGTTAGCTTGGATAGGGGCTCATTAATTTTATTTATCTTTTCGAAGAACCACTTATAGTGATTTTCTTTTCTTTCTTTCTTTTTTTTTTTTATTGAGATGGAGTTTTATTCTCGTCGCCCAGGTTGGAAAGCAATGGTGCAATCTTGGCTCACCGCAACCTCTGCATCCTGGGTTCAAGCAATTCTCCTGCCTCAGCCTCCTGAGTAGCTGGGATTACAGGTGCCCACCACCACACTTTTTGTATTTTTAGTAGAGACGGGTTTCATCATGTTGGCCAGGCTGGTCTTGAACCCCTGACCTCAGGTGATCCACTCACCTCGGCCTCCCAAAGTGCTGGGATTACAGGCATCAGCCACTGCAGCCAGCCAGTGGTTTTCTTTATAATTTTCCTTTTTCACATGTTTTGCACAAATTTTTAATTTTACTAATTTCTCTTCTAATTTATATTATTTCTTTTCTTCTGTTTACTTCGAATTTAACTTGCTTTCTTTTTCTAGTTTCCTAAGGTGAAAGTGTAGAGGACTAACTTTAGATCTTTCTTCTTTTGTAATATATTCATTCAGTGCCATAAATTTGCCTCTAAGCACTGCTTTTGCTCCATTCCACAAATTTTAATGTTGCATTTTCATTTGTTTATAAATTTTAAAATTTCTCTTGAGATTTTTTTCTCTGACCCATGTTCTATTTAGAAGTGTGTTGTTTAATCTCCAAGTATTTTGGGATTTTTTAACTATCCTTCCATTATTGATTTCTAGTTTAATTCCATTGTGGTCTTAGAACAGACACTATATTATTTCCATTTTTTTAAGTTTGTTAAGGTGTGTTTTTTTGGCCCAGAGTGTGGTGTGTCTTGGTGGATGTTGAATGTTGCCTTGAGAAGAATGTGTATTCTATTGTTGATGTCAATTATATCTAGTAGATTAGTGGTGCTGTTGAGTTCACCTATGTCCTTGCTGATTTTTTTGCCTACTGGATATGTCCATTTCTGAAAGAAGGGTGTTAGAATTTCCAATCGTAAGAATGCATTCATTTATATCTCCTTGCAGTCTATCAGTCTTGCCTTACATATTTTGATGCTCTATATTTAAGTGCATACACATTGAGGATTGTGATATCTTCTTGGATAATTGACCCCTTTATTATTATGCAATGCTCATCTTTATCCCTGATAACTTTCTTTGCTCTGAACATCTGCTCTGTGTGCAATTAATATAGCTATTCCCACTTTCTTTTGATGAGTGTTAGCATGGTATATCTTTCTCCATCCATTTATTTTTAGTCTATATGTGTCTTTATATTTAAAGTGGCTTCCTTGTAGACAACATATAGTAGGGTCCTATTTTTTTATCCATGCTGACAATCTCTGTATTTTAACTGGTGCATTTAGACCACTGACATTCAAAGTGATTATTGATACAGTTAGATTAATATCTACCATATTTGTTACTGTTTTCAATTGGTTGCACTTGTTCTTTGTTCCTATTCTTGTTTTATAGTCTTTTTCTACTTTTTGTGGTTTTAATTGAGCATTTTATATAATTTCATTTTTTCTTATTTTTTACTTTTTTTAGTGGTTGGCCTAGAATTTACAATACATATTTATGGCAACTAATCTATTTATTCACAGCTAATTCAAGATCACTTTCAAATAACACTATAGTGTTTCACATGTAGAGGAAGTACCTTATAATAATGAAATAATCTTAATTCCTCACTCCCATCCCTTGTATTAATGGTGTTATTCATCTCACTTATACATAATGAATACACTGTTGCTATTACTACTTTGAGCAAACTGTTACATGTCAGATTAATTAAAAATAAGAAAAATGAAAGTTTTTATTTTATTTTTGCCAAGTTATTCTCTGATGCTTTTTTTTTTTTTTTTTTTGAGACAAGTTCTCACTCTCTTGCTCAGGCTGGAGCACAGTGGCTTGATCATGGCTCACTGCAGCTTTGACCACCCCAGGCTCAGATGATCCTCCCACCTCAGCTTCCTGAGTAGCTGGGACTACAGGCATGTGCCACCACACTCAGATAATTTTTTTGTTTTTTGCAGAGACAGGGTTTTACCATATTGCCCAGGCTGGTCTCTAACTCCTAGGCTCAAGCAATCCTCTTACCTAGGCCTTTCAAAATGTTGGGATTAAAGGCATGAGCCATTGTGCCCAGCTTTGAATTTTTTTTTTTTTTTTTTGAGACAGAGTCTTGCTCTGTTGCCCTGGCTGGAGTGCAGTGGCATGATCTCAGTTCACTGCAACCTCCACCTCCCAGGTTCAAATAATTCTCCTGCCTCAGCCTCCCGAGTAGCTGGGATTACAGGCACACACCACCACGCCCACGCCTGGCTAATTTTTGTATTTTTAGTAGGGGTTTCACCATGTTGGCCAGGCTGGTCTCAAACTCCTGATCTCAGGTATCTGCCTGCCTTGGCCTCTCAAAGTGTTGACTTTTTTTTTTTTTTTAATGTAGATTCAAGTTTCTGGCCTAACAATTTTCCTTCTCTCTAAAGAAATTCTTTTAACATTTCTTGCAAAGCAAGTTTACTGGCAATAAATTCCCTCAATTTTTGTTAGTCTGAGAAACTATTTCTCTATCATCTTTGAAGGACAATTTCACAGAATACAGAAATCTAGGTAGATGCAGTTTTCTCTCAGAGGACTTTAAACATTTTACTCAATTCTCATCTTACTTTTCTGTTTCTGAGAAGTTTCATGTAATTCTTATTTTGCTCCTCAATAGGAAAATTTTGCTCCTTATTTTCCTTTGGCTTCTTTCAGGACTTTTTCTTTACTTTTGATTTTCTGTAGTTTTGAGTATGATACACCTTGGTGGAGTTTTCTGGACATTTATCCTGTTTGGTGTTTTCTCAGCTTCCTGGGTCTGTGTTTTTCTGTCTGATTAATTTCAGAAAATTCTCAGCCATTATTGCTTCAAATATTTCTTCTGTTCGATTCTCTCTTTCTTCTCCTTCTGAAATTCCCATTACACATGTTTACATCTCTGTAGTTGTTCCACAGCCCTTGGATATTTTGTCCTGTTTGTTTGTTCTGTCTTTTTTCTATTTGCTTTTCAGTTTTGGAGATTTCTATTGAAAAATCCTCAAGGTCAGAGATTCTTTCCTCAGCTATGTTCAGTCTACTAATAAACACATCACAGAAATTCTTTATTTCTTTAAAAATGTTTTTTAGCTCTAGCATTTATTTCTGTCTCTTTCTCAAGATTTTGGTCTTTTTGCTTACATTGCCTAACAGTTCTTGCATGCTTTTTAATTTGTCCACTAGAGCCCTTAACATGTTAATCATAGTTATTTTTAATTCTCGGTATTATAATTCTAACATCCTGCCATATCTGAGCCTGGTTTTGAGGCTTGCTCTGTCTCCTCAAACTGTTTGTTTTTTCCTTTTAATAGGTCTTGTAATTTTTTTTAAAAGCCAAACATGACGTATTGGGTAAAAAGAATTGCTATAAAGAGGTCAAAAAAAAAAAAAACAATAAAGCATGTCTACAAGATCTAGAAAATAGCCTCAAAAAGGCAAATTTAACAGTTATTTAAATTATGCTGAAGAGGAGGTAGAGAGATCCGGATAGACTATTTATTTAAAGGGATAGTAACAGAATATTTTCCAAACCTGGAGAAAGATATCAATATTCAAGTAAAAGAAGATTATAGAACACCAACCAGATTTAACCCAAAGAAATCTATGTCAAGGCATTTAATAATCAAACTCCCAAAGGTCAAAGATAAAGAAAGGTTCCTAAAAGCAGCATGATAAAGAAACAAATAACATACAAAGGAGCTCCAATATGTTTGGCAGCAGACTTCTCAGTGGAAAATTTTTGGCCAGGAAGGAGTGGCATGACATATTTAAAATGCTGAAGGAATAAAAACTGTATTTTAGGATAGCATATCCAGTGAAAAAATCTTTCAAACATAAAGGTAAAATAAAGACTTTCCCAGACCTGTTTGCTTCACTGCTGAATTTTATCAAATATTTAAAGAACTAGTATCAGTCTACTGAAACTATTCTGAAAAATAGAGGAGGAGAGAATACTCCCAAACTCATTCTATGAGGCTAGTATTACTCTGATACCAAGATCAGAAAAAGACACATTAAAAAAGAAAACTACAGACCAATATCCCTGATGGACATTGGTGCAAAAACCCTCAACAAAATACTAGCAAACCAAATTTAACAACACATTAAAAAAAAGATCATTCATCATGACCAACTGGGATTTATCCCAGAGATGCAAGAATGTTTCAAAATATGCAAATCAGTCAATGTGATACATTATATCAGCAGAATGAAGGACAAACCATATGATCATTTCAATTGATATTGAAAAAGCATTTGATAACATTAAATATCCCTTCATGATAAAAATCCTCCAAAAATGAGTATAGAAAGAACATACTTCAACATAATAAAAGTCATATATGACAGACCCACAACTAGTATTATAATGAATGGGGGAAAACTGAAAGCCTTTTCTCTAAGATCTGGAACATATCAACGATGCCCACTTTCACTACTATTATTTTATGTAGTACTGGAAGTTCTAGCTAAAGCAATCAGACAAGAGAAAGAATTAAAGGGAATCCAAATTGGAAAGGAAGAAGTCAGATTATCTTTGTTTGCAGATGATATAATCTTATATTTGTAAAAACCTAGAGTCTCCAAAAAACCTATTAGAACTGATAAATAAATTCAATAAAGTTGCAGAATACAAAACTCAGTATCATTTCTATATGCCAATAGTGAACAATCTGAAAAAGAAATCAAGAAAGTAATTCCATTTACAATAGCTACAAATAAAATAGTATACTTAGGAATAAACTTAAAGAAGTGAAAGATCTCTACAATGAAAACTATAAAATATTGATGAAAGAAATTGAAGAGGACATACCAAAAAAATGGGAAGATATTCCATGTTCATGGACTAGAAAACTCAATATTGTTAACATGTTTATACTACCCAAAGCAATCTACAGATTCAGTGCAATCACAATAAAAATATCAAGGACATTCATAACAAAAATAGAAAAAATTATCCTAAAACATATACAGAACCACAAAAGACCCTGAATAGCCAAAGTCATCCTGAGCAAAAAGAAAAATAAAACTGGAGAAATCATATTATCTGACTTCAGATTATACTACAGAGCTATAGTAACCAAAAAAGCATGACACTGGCATAAAAACAGACATGTAGACAATGGAACAGAATAGAGAACCCAGAAATAAATCCATACATCTACAATGAACTAATTTTCAACAAAGGTTTCAAGAACACTCATTGGGGAAAGGAGAGTCTCTTCAATAAATGGTGCTGGGAAAACTGGATATTCATATGCAGCAGAATTAAATGAGACCCCTATCTCTTGCTACGAACAAAATAAAATCAAAATGGATTACAGACTTAAATCTAAGACCTAAAACTACACAACAAATTTTGTATTTGTCATATACAAATACAAAAAGAAAGCTTTGAGGAAACTCTCCAGGACATTGGTCAAGGTAAAGATTTCTTGAGTAATACCTCCAAAGCACAGGGAACCAAAGCAAAAATGGACAAATGGGATCATATCAAGTTGAAAAGCTTCTGCACAGCAAAGGAAACAATCAACAAAGTGAAGAGGCAACCCACAGAATGGGAGAACATATCTGTAAACTAGCCATCTGACAAAGAATGCATACCAGAATACATACAGAGCTCAAACAACTCAATAGAAAAAAATCTAATAATCTTATTTTAAATGGGCAAAAGATCTGTATAGACATTTCTAAAAAAAAACACAAACAAACATACAAATGGTAAACGGGTATATAAGAAGATGCTCAACATCATTGATCATCAGAGAAATGCCAATCAAAACTAAAATGAGGTATCATCTCACCCCAGTTAAAACGGCTTATACCCAAAATACAGGCAATAACAAATGTTGGCAAGAATGTGGAGAAAAGGGATCTAAAAATCAAAACAATTGAACACATGGAGATAGAGAGTGGAAGGATGGTAACCAGAGGCTGAGAAGAGTAGATGGTGTGTAGGGGTGGTGGGGAGGGTATGGTTAATGAGTATGAAAATATAGAGAATGAATAAGATTGAGTATTTGATAGCACAACAGGGTGGCTACAGTCAACAGTAATTTGTTGTACTTTTAAAATAACTGAGAGTATAATTGGAATGTTTGTAACACAAATAAATGATAAATGATAAATGCTTGAGGAGATAGATACCTCCTTTACCCTGATGTGATAGTTATGCGTTGTATGACCATGCCAAAATATCTCACGTACCCCCATAAATACATACAACTACTATGTACCCATAAAAATAAATAAATACATGCTATTTCTTATTCTAAAAAAAGACTTTCTGTAACACTACACTAATAAAAACAGTATGATAATGGTATAAGAATAGACATATGTATTGATGGAATTGAATAGAGTCCTAAATAACTTACATACAATCAATTGAAGCCTAAATATTAAGTGTCTTTCAAGAGGGAAATGACAGGACAATGACAAGAGAAGTCCAAATGAGCAAGAAAAATTTCTTTTCAGGTGGGAGAGAAGTGAATACATTTAAATGCTGCAAGAGAAAAGGCAATCGAGAAAGTAAACATATAGAAGAAAACTGGAAAAATCAATGAATAACATTTTAGTGAAAGAGGCAGGATAGGAGGATCAAAGGTGGAGAAATTTTACTTAGACTAAAAAAGAGAATCCCTGCTCTGAAAATGGCTGTAAAAACAGATTAATCTGAGTTGGAGTCAGATAGCCTTGATAATTTTTTTCCAAAGAAGAAGCAGATCTTTTAGATGAGAGAGAAGAGTTGTGTGGTACAAGTTTCTAAAGATAAGGAGTTAACAAGGTGGAGAAGAGAGGAAGAATGTTCCAAATGAAGAGAAGATCATGAACAAAATCAGGAAAGAAGAAAACCTAGCACACAGAAGAGCCACAGCTTAAAACCTCAACTATTGCCATAGAAGCCTGGTGAATGATGCAATATGTCTGTGTCTATAATACACATGTAAATTATTTATATCATGATCAATGGAAGATTAAAAATAGAATGCAGCAGATATTCCAATGAGAAGCTCTAATTTGTGACTCTGAAAGTGTGATTAACATACATCCTTGCTCCATAACTATGCAGTAGGCTTTCCTTTTTTTTTTTTCAATAATCTAACCAATTATTTTTGAAAGATAAATCCCTTAGAAAACTAATGGTTACAAGGGCAGCATGATTTTTTTATTTTTAATTTTTGTGGGTACATAGTAGGTGTCTATATTTATGGGGTACATGAGATGTTTTGATACAGGCATGCAATGCATAATAATCACTTCATGGAAACTTGAGTCTCCATCCCCTCAAGCATTAATCCTTTGTGTTACAAACATTTATCCTTTGTGTTATTTTTAAATGTGCAATTAAATTATTATTGACTATAGTTTCTCTGTTGTGTTATCAAATACTAGGTCTTATTCATTCATTCTAACTATTTTTTTTTAATCCATTAACCATCCTTACCTCTCCCCCACTCACCTTCACTACCCTTCCCTACCTCTGGTAACCATCCTTTTACTCTCTATCTTCATGAGTTCAATTGTTTTGATTTTTAGATCCTATGAATAAGTGAGCACGTGTGATGTTTGAATTTCTGTGCCTGGCTTATTTCACTTAAAAAATGAACTCTAGTTCCATCCATGTTGTTGCAAATGACAGGACCTCATTTGTTTTTATGGTTGAATACTATACACAGTCCATTGTGTATACATACCATATTTTCTTCATCCATCCATCTGTTGATGGACACTTAGGTTGCTTCCAAATCTTGGCTATTGTGAACAGTGCTGCAACAAACATGGGAGTGCAGATATCTCTTCAATATACTGAGTTCCTTTCTTTTGGGTATATACCTAGCAGCGGGATTGCTGGATCATATGGTAGCTCAATTTTTAGTTTTTTGAGGAACCTCCAAACTGTTGTCCAAAGCGATTATATTAGTTTACCTTTCCACCAACAGTGCAAGATGGTTCTCTTTTCTCCACATCCTCAGCAGCATTTGTCGTTGCCTGTCTTTTGAGTATAAGTCATTTTAACTGGAGTGAAATGATACCTCATTGTATTTTTGATTTGCATTTCTCTGATGATCAGTGATGCTGAGCACATTTTCATATGCCTGTTTGGCATTTGTGTGTCTTGTCTGGAGAAATGTCTATACAGATCTTTTGCCCATTTTTTAATTGGATTTATTAGGTATGTGAACTTAAGCAAGTTATCCCTCAGGCCTTCAAAATCTTAATCCATAAAATGTGGATAATAATTCTACTCACTTCATAGGTGTTTTGTGAGGCTTAAATGAGATGATGTATGCAAAGTAAGTGTCATAATGTTAGCCACTCTGACAATTGCTATTTTTATTCTTGTGAAGAGTTTCTCCTAGAATGTCATTACGAAAAACTTTAACTCAGACAGTGAGCTTGTTTGAAAAGTTTTTGCCAAATTTTTTCTGCCTCTTGCTTTGAACAGTAATTGACAATAAATGAGTGTGTTTTCATTATATCTTGACTGAATAACATAACTAACACCAAAGGCTATGCAAGAAATTGTAACTGCCAAAAGCAACCATGAACAGAATGTGGCATTGGAACAGACTGACGAGCTGTGGGAATATTGTAATATAATTTTGAGGTATTTCTTCTTCTGTGGGACAATAACACTCATTAATCTCAGAGACTTTGCCAAACAGATCTACTATTTATAATTTCCACATTGACACTGGACTTTGCAGATAAGCCAATATGTAGTGAGTTAAAGAGTATCTATGCCAAAATATTATATGTTGTGTTGTATAAGTAAGGTTGGCAAAATAACTTCATTCTTTAATAACTCCTACAGCCTGGGCTATATATTAAGTCTCATGCCTTATGTGTAACTGAGTGATAAAATATGTCCTGATTTCTATTGTAAGTAGGGGCTGAAGTGTCTGGGCTTGACTTAGATTTTGAGATGGCTCTGATATCCTACAACTGTATAAAGGACATACAAAGGATTGCAAACATCACTGGCTAATTTGGAAGTCACAGAGAAATAGAAAACTTGAAGCACTTATTACTTAAAAATGTTTAAAATAATTATTGGTTGGATAATGTTCCAAAATCAGTTTTTTTTAAAACTTTTATTTTAGGTTCAGGGATACATGCGAAAGTTTGTTACATAGGTAAACACATGTCACAGGGGTTTGTCTTACAGATTATTTCATCACTCAGGTATTAAGCCCAGTACCCAATAGTTATCTTTTCGGCTCCACTCCCTCCTCCCACCCTCCCCTCTCAAGTAGACACTAGTGTCTGTTGTTTCCTTCTTTGTGTTCAGAAGTTCTTATCATTTAGCTCCCACTTATAAGTGAGAACATGTGATACTTGGTTTTCTGTTCCTGCATTAGTTTGCTAAGGATAATGGCCTCCAGCTCCATCCATGTTCCTGCAAGAGACATGATCTTGTTCTTTTTTATGGCTGCATAGTATTCCATGGTATAAATATATATGTTTTAAATCTAATCTGTCATTGATGAGCATTTAAGTTGATTCTATGACTTTGCTATGAATAGTGCTGCAATGAACATTTGCGTGCATGCGCCTTTATGGTAGAATGATTTATATTCTTCTGGGTATATACTCAGTAATGAGGTTGCCAGATCATATGCTAGTTCTGCTTTTAGCTCTTTGAGGAATCATACTGCTTTCCACGATGGTTGAACTAATTTACATTCCCACCAGCAGTGTATAAGAGTTCCCTTTTCTCTGCGAACTCGCCAGCATCTGTTGTTTTTGACTTTTTAATAATAGCCATTCTGACTCAGGAGATAGTATCTCATTGTGGTTTTGATTTGCATTTCTCTAATGTTCAGTAATATTGAGCTTTCTTTTGTATGCTTGTTGGCTGCATGTATGTCTTCTTTTGAACAAAATCATTTTAATATTGAATTTTTGTTAATTGATGTCTGGAAATTAAAATATATTATGTGCATATACATGCATGCATATACACATTTACATTTCGAATAAAAAGAGGAAACAATGTCTAACTCATATTTATTTTCTTGAATTCTTTAGCTTTTAAGAATTCTTCATTTGTTTTTACTTGCAGATACCATACCAGTCTTTACCTAATAGGTCATGAAATATTGTTTAATATTTAATGAGCACAGATAATTAGAAATTCTGTAGACCACAGAGATTTTACAGGAAATATTGTCAGGCTGTTTTTGCTAACATTTAAATTAGTAGACAGCATGCACCTTGACTTCAGGAATGGTGCCATCTCTGTTTGTATTTTCAGCACCTTGCTCAGTGTCTGGCAAATTGTAGATGAATGTATAGATGACTGAACAAATAAGTGCATGATTACATGAATGAAATGATAATGACAGGAGTGATTAAACAAGATGATAGATTTCTGTGGGTCTAAAAACATTTAATGAAAATAATGGTTGCAATGTATTTAATGAAGAATGTACCTGAGAGATGGAAATGAGAGGTCCCACAGTTCTGGACACCGGAAGGTATAAGGCAGTAGCCACTGGATGATTGAGCAGGTTGCCAGGCTGCATATTCAAACACTTTTATTGAAAGTGAATCTCTATGTGTCTATAAGAAGTCATTAAATTGAAGAGGATATAACATAATATTTGGTCAGGCTGATTTGTTTTTCGTGTATTCATTTGCTATTTTCTTTCTGTGTTTCTTCCTTGTCAGGAAAGAGGCATTACCATATCAAAGCCTTTAGCCTTCTTGCATCACGACAAAAATTCGAACTTGGTGTTTGAAGAACATGAAAAATGAGGAGGAATAAAATAATCATGAGTCTCCTGGTCATTAACTGCATGAAGTTGAGCTGGTCACTTAAGCCATTCCTAATATGTAACTTGAGAGTATAGTATTAGATATTCAGTAAATTCCCTTCAAAATTCATATTTAATGTTTCCTAATTAAATATATATTTGGGGCTAAATATACAAAGCATGGTAGTTAAGTTCTATATTTACTTCCTCCCTCACTAATTTAGCAGTTTTTTTTTTCTTTCTTTCTTCTTTTAATTAGAAATGGGGTCTTGCTCTGTCACTCAGGCTGAAGTGTGCAGCGGCACCATCCTAGCTCACTACAGCCTCAAACTCCTGGGCTCAAGTAATCCTCAGCCTCCTAAGTAGCTGGAACTGCAGGCATGTGCCACCATGCCCAGCTAATTAAAAACAATTTTTTTTTTTTTAGAAATGGGATCTTGCTGGATTGCCCAGGTTGAACAGTAGCTTTTCCAAAATAAATTCGCTTTTTTTTTCTTAATTTGCTGATTTATCAATGTTATCTATGTATCTAATGGGACTGAGAATTATTAACATGTCCATCTGGTCCTCTACCAGAATTGCAGTAAATATGAGAAGTGGTGCAGAGGACAAGAGCCCAAGAGACATCATTTCTCTAAGGAAAATATTTACAGATGACAAATGACATTTCAATTGATCTATGTCTGGTGGGGGAACATTTTGTATTGAGGAAGATGGAATTAGGAAAGGGGTGCAAGCAAGAAAGTGACCAGGGAGGCAGATGAAGATGAGGGATCAATGTGGATTTATTTGAAAGAAAGAGTTCACCAGTGAGTTTCAGAGAGCTGATTTACAGTAGTAAAGGGGATTGTCATAAATTTGCTATCAACTATATGCTTAGATTTCTTCTTCAAGGAAAAGCAAATGATTTACGTTATTTCTAAATTCCATTTGTTTGTTTGAGATGGGGTCTCGCTCTATCCCGCAGGCTGGAGTACAGTGGCACGATCTCCGCTCACTGCAACCTCCACCTCCCAGGTTCAAGCAATTTTCCTGCCTCAGCCTCCTAAGTAGCTGGGACTACAGATACCCACCACCACCCCCAGCTAATTTTTTGTATTTTTAATAGAGATGGGATTTCACTATGTTAGCCAGGCTGGTCTTGAACTCCTGGCCTCAAGTTATCCACCTGCCTCCACCTCCCAAAGTGCTGGGATTATAGGCATGAGCCACTTTTAAAACTTTTAAAATGTTAGAATAGTTTTAGGTTTAGAGAATAGTTGCAAAAGTAGTACAAAGAGTTCATTTATATCTCAAATCTAGTTTCCTAAAAGGAATTTATTTCTTACAGTTCTGGAGCCTGGGAAATCCAAATCAATGTGCCAGGAGATGCAGTGTCTGGTGAGGGCTTTTTCTCCTCTTCAAAGATGATGCCTTGTTGCTGTGTCTCTACATGGTAGAAGGGGCAAAGGGCCTAACTCACTTGCTTGATCCCTTTTTTAGGGGCACAAATTCCTTCCATGATGGCAGAGTCCCCATAAAGTCCCTACTTCTTAATATTATTGCATTGGGGATTAAGTTTCTACATGAATTTTGGAGGGACGCAAACCATAAAAAGAAGCATTGCTCAGGTTTTATAGAATACCCCTCACATTAGTTTTGTCTAATTTTTTTTATTATGATTTGGCTGGGGTGATGGCTTTGGAGAGGAAGATAACAGAGGTGAAGTGCCATTCTTTGATAAGGGTATATCACATCAAGGGTGCATGTTATGTATGAGACTTATCACTGATGGTATTAACTTTGAATACCTGGCTGAGGCAGTGTTTGCTGGGTTTCTCTCTTATAAAGTTATTTTCCCCTTTCCTTTCTGTGTTGTATAGAATCAAGACACTAAGCATAGTCCACATTTGAGAGGTGGAGAGTTATGTGCCACCTCCTTGAGGAGGCAGTATCTATATAAACTATTTAAAGTTTTTTGGTTTTTGTTCTTTTGTATGGGAGGTTTGTCTCTTCTATCCTATTCATTTATTTAGATTAGTATGGACCCATTTAATACTTTGGGTTAAAATCCCAAAGTCACTTATTTTGTTGTCTAATTTCCTTTTTTTGGTTGAATGTATTTTCTTGAACAGAACCTCCTGAAAAGCTCAGAATTCCTCAGGCTGCCTTTGGGGCCTTTTCTAGTAGCCCAGGAGACTGACTTGGAAGAAGTTCTTTGTGTGTTCTTGTTACTTTCTATACTCAGATACATTTTTGTTTGTTCATTTGTTTTGAGGGTCTCACTTCTGTCACCCAGGCTGAAGTGCGGTGGTGCGATCACGGCTCACTGCAGCCTTGACCTCCTAGGCTCAAACAATCCTCTTGCCTCAGCTACCAAGTGGCTGAGACCACAAGTGTGTGCCACCATGCTCAGCTAATTTTTAAATTTTTAGTAGAGACAAGACACTTGCTATGTTGCCCAGGCTGGTCTTGAACTCCTGGGCTCAAGCAATTCTTCCACCTCAGCCTCCCAAAGTGCAGTGAACAGTGTGAGCCACCACACCTAGTGCTAGGTACATACATTATATTTGGATCATAATTCTGAGACCAGGAAGCATCAACTGTCATAGTAAGCCACTGCTTAGACATTGTATCCAGAGAAATCACACACAAATGTCAAGAGTCCTTGATGCTAGGGATTTTTACTATAGGCCCTACCCTGTAGGGTTGCATGGCAGCAAGAAGGCCAGTCGGGAAAAGGCATGTGAGTCTCCTTGACGGGCTGTAACAGAATCAGGACAAGAGCACTAAGTGTATGCATGTACTAACCTTTTGTTCCATTATCTATTATTAGTCTGTTTTACACATAAATTTAAGATTTGGATGCCATTCCAATGATCCTGAAACTTATATCCTTGGTTCAAAAAACAGCAAATAAAATATCTTAAAAGATGCATACTGTTAGGATGGCTGCATTTTTAAAGTGTGTCCACAATGCCAAAAGAACAACTTAAAATCCCCATTTAAAAATATTTTTTCAATGTTATATCAATCAAAATGTGTTAATTTCTATAATAAATAATCTTAACATCTCAGTAGATTAACACAATACAGGCCTACTTCTCCCTCAAGTAAAGTCTGATGTGGATATTACCAGTCAGAAAGTTCTCCTGGCCGGGCGCGGTGGCTCACGCCTGTAATCCCAGCACTTTGGGAGGCCGAGGCGGGCAGATCATGAGGTTAGGAGTTCGAGAACAGCCTGGCCAATATGGTGAAACCCTGTCTCTAGGAGTGGTGGCAGGCGCCTGTAGTCCTAGCTACTCGGGAGGCTGAGGCAGGAGAATTGCTTGAACCCAGGAGATGGAGGTTGAAGTGAGCTGAGATCACGCCACTGTACTCCATCCTGGGTGACAAGAGTGAGACTCCGTATGGCTCCATACAGTCACATGGTGGGAAGGAGAGAACATGTACACACATCACCCACAATGCTGTAGGGGCTTGCTTGGAAGTAGACAACATTACTTCCACCTCTACCTCCTTTCTGTTGCCCAGTGCTTAGTCCCATGGCCCCATCTAGATGCAGTGGAAGACTGGAAAATGTCCTCCTGGTGTCCAGGAGAGAAGAAAAAACAAAAACAGACTATTAAACACAACATTATGTCTGCCACAGCTGCTTAAATTATTTTCCTAAAAGGAAAATAGATCCTAACAGTTCTCTTGTTTCCCTTCATAGCATTTCCATCCTCTCTTACCATTTTCCTTTCTTCCTCCCCACCCCTGAGTCTCTTCTTCTGCCTCATGATTTGATGTTTTCTGTGATTCTATCCTTGTGCAAGAACTCATCTCTTCTCAGCCTCTCTGTTCTCCCTCAGTGATCTTGTTCATTTCCCTGGCTTCAACTACTACCCATCTGCTGGTGATTTCTACTTTCATTTCCCTGCTGATTTGTATTTTCAAGTGCCTACCAGGCATATCCACCCAGATGGCTCAGAGGCTCTTTTTTTTCTTTTTTTTTTTTTTGAGACAAGGTCTCACTCTGCTGCTCAGGCTACAGTGCAGTAATGCCATCTCCGCTCACTGCAATGCAGCCTTTTGGGCTCAAGCGATCCTCCCACCTTAGCCTACAGAGTAGCTGGGACTACGGCACGCACCACCACACCTGGCTAATTTTTGCATTTTTGTAAAGATGGGGTTTTACCATGTTGCCCAGGCTGGTTTTGAACTCCTGAGCTCAAGTGATCCACCGCCTCAGCCTCCCAGAAGTTCTGGGATTACAGATGTGAGCCACCGTGCCTGACCAGAGGCTCTAGAACTGGGCAATCACAAGCTGAATCTACTGTCTCCTCCTAAATTTTACTCTAGTTTATCTCTCTTGCTATTTTAGGGAATGGACCAGCTCACAGTGGTTTCTCATACCATAAACTGGGGGTCATTCTAGATCCTTTGCCTTTCCTTTCACAATACATCTAATCTCTATGTCCTTTCACTGACACCTTCTAAATGGCCCTTTAAATTTCTCCTATTCTCTCTGTCATCACTGCTAAGTGCCTTAACTTAGGCTTTTATCATCTTGCATCCAGACCACCTAATTGTTATTACTCTCTTAAATACCTCCTCCTCAATTCCATCCTTCACATGGCCCCCAAAGTCATATTTTTAGACCCAGATTTTATCAGCTCACTCCCCTATCTAAAATATTTCACTGCCCCCCTTCTGATGAAAGCTGTGTCTTCTTCTCTCAAAGGAAAAAGTGAGACTGTGACAAAATAGCAAACATTCCCCATACTTTCAGCTACTATCCCCAGCTTCCCAGAATGGCTGTTGTGTCTCTTCCATAACCAGGACATTGAGGGAGAAGCTTTGCTCAAGCCAACTCATAATGTGAATGGTAAAAAGTAAAAACAAGGTAAATATCACTTAGGGTAAGCCAAGAGTAAGAAGCCACGAAAAGTAATTATGAACATTCAATTCAAAGGGCCAGTGGCAGCCCTGAAGTTGATGTTACAGCTATAAAGACAGCACTTGAGGCCAGTCAGTCAGAGCATGCTGGGAACAAGGAGAGAGAATCTGAAGAAACTGGCTCAAGCAACTCTGGGGCATCCACAGCTGGCTTTTTTTAGTTGGTTACCAGGCTTATGGCTATTTGAGGCAGAGATCATAGGAAATAAATGGCAGTCCTGGAGAAAGCTTTGAGGTGAGTGAATTTAAATTAAATTATAAGAGAATCCCAGTAAAAGCATTGTCATATCTCCCTAGGACAGAGAAAATTTTAAAGCCTAGATTACTTCAAGAACCACTCCCAACTGAAGTGGTGTGAGGCCGAGGACTACATTAGTCAGGGATCTCCAGAGAGACAGGATCAATAGGATGGATAGATAGATAGATAGATAGATAGATAGATAGATAGATAGATACATAGATAGATACATAGATACATAGATAGATTTATGAGTGGAGAGATTTATTAGCGAATTGGCTCCCATGATTATGGAGTCTAAGTTCCATGACAGGCTGTCTACAAGCCAAAGACCACAGGGTGCCAGTTGAGTGGCTCAGTCTAAGTTCGAAAGCCTCAGACCAGGGAAGCTGATGGTGGACTCTCAGAAGACCCAAGAACCTGGGGAGCTTTTGGTGTGAGGCCTGAAGCCCAAAGGCTAGAGAAGCTGAAGTTCTGATGTCCAAAGGCAGTCAAAGAAGAGTGTCCCATCTCCAGGAAAGAGAGAGAGGAAATCGCCCTTCCTCTGCCTTTTTTGTTCCATTCAGGCCCCCAGTTGATTGAATGGTGCCCGCCCATACTGAGGACAGATCTTCCCCACTCAGTCTGCTGACACACAGACTAATCTCCTTCATAAACACTCTCACAGATGTACCAGAAATAATGCTTTACCAATTCTCTAAGTGGTCCTTAACCCAGACAAGTTGACACCCCAAATGAATCATTATAGGGACAGATATAATTTGAAAGGAAACCCACTTCTGTTTAGAGATGAAAAGTCAAATAATTACCATCACTTTCACATTTGTTTCTCTTTTCTTACACTGTGGATATAGAAACTTAAATAACAGCATTAGAAATTTACCCAATGCTACACACTGACTTTCACTTCAACACTCAATCTGCTAGGATAATCAAGAGGCTTAGATCTTCAAGAAGGAGTCTCAATTTACAGAATTAAGTATAACATCACTTTAAGAGCAGAATACTAACATCAGCCTCCAAATTTCTAATAATTGAGTTCAGTCGGGATTTTTTTTTTGCAAGAAATAAAATAAATAATGGCCTAATCAAATTAAGAGTTTGTTTTTCCTCATATGAAAACCTAGAATTAGATTGTCCAGGGCTAGTCTGGAGTGCCACAGTGCATAAAACTAGGTTTCCATTCGCATATTCACCTCCTTGCCCAAGATGTCTCCAACCTTTGTTAGACAAAGAGAGGAACAAGGACATGACCTCCCCCACCCACCCCATACACACTTTAGGTATACTTGCTGGAAGCTACATGCTTTCATTTACATTCCACTGACCAGAAGCTGGGCATATGGCCACACGTGGCTGCAAATGAGGGTAAGAAGTACAATGTTAATTCTTAGCATAATGTGCTTATCTAAAAATAAGAGGTTCTATTGCTAAGAGAAGGAGAATAAATATTGGAGGACAATTAATAGCAATGCTACATTCAAATGCCTTACTGTCTTCTCCATATCTATCAATTACTGAATTTATTCTTATACTCTACAATTCTTCAAAATTGAAAAGAATAGAAGATAATTTATTTCTGCAATGGAACTATATGAAAATTCTGCTACACCATAGTTTGTTTCATTAACAGAATATGAATTTTTAAAGAGTAGAATATAAACTTTTAAAAACTAAATATTGACAATAAATCCATAGGGGTGCACTTTAACATAATATAAAATAAAATATTTAAAGACAAACAAAACCAAAAAGGAAATCAAAGAACTGAGAACAAAAGACTTCCAAAAAGATATGACAGTAAGCTCAAAATATAAATCAGAATTTCTATATGCACAGCTGAGATATTATTTTTCTTTTGTACCTAGACCTGTCTCCTCAAACCATTTCTCTGTGCATCTTACCACCATAGCAATTATCTCAAACCTTAGCTGCAAAAAAAATTTTTTCTTGAAAAAAATAAATACTATTTATGAAAAAAATGAATTTTCAGAATTTGAAATATTTTCAGTGTTTCTAATTTATTATCTTATTTCATCATTTAATACTTATTTAGTTAATTTAGTTTCTATTTTGCATGAGGGATTCTGCTATACTACAATGGGAGGAAAAAGCCAGGGTTGATATAAAGATAAGTCATGGCCTTCAATGATCAAAATTTGGAGAGATAAGATGTTTGAAAAAATAGTTTTAATATAATAAAAATGATAAATGCCCTAACTATGGAAGTTCAGAGAAAATTATGACTATATTAACATTTTCAAACATATGTTACCGATATGACCTTCTTTATCAGCTCAAAATACAAAGGTGATTATACTGCCATTATACTACTAACTAATTACTTATTAGCAAGTCCAGTATTTTCCTTTAGAAACCACTGCTTGCTGTTAATTATACAAGTATCTTAATGCTTATTCAGCCCCAAGTGATCGTTTCTACTTCCAAACGACCAAGTGGAGAGAACCAGAGGGTCTAATGAGACCGCTAGCATAATTCCTCAGTAGCAACCACATTTACACAGTTACTGAACACTAGAAGCCCAATGGATGCTTGTCCAGCTGCAGTGATTGCCTTGCTGATCCTTGCTGCAGTTGTTTTAAGTCATAATCACATATTCAGTCATTGCAGCTAAACATGATCCCAAGCATATGTCTGGCTTAGTAAAGAATACCTTCTACCATATCCACATATTGTGGATATGTGCCATCAACACGCCAACCCTGGTGTTAAGATTGGGACACTACTTCTACACATTTCTTAGGAGCGAACTTCAGTTAGCTGAAGTTAGTTGAACTCTGTCTACCAATGATGTTCTAATAATGTTAAACTCAAAAGGGATGAGGTCAGTTTCCTGATTCTTCAGTCGTAGGAGTCTCCTTGGCCCTTATGCCATGTTTCCTATGTCCTCCCCGCCAAAACAGCTCTGCCTACCAAGGGCTATTATAAGGGGCTTCCTTTTGCTAGCCATAGAAAGCACCCTTACACATAGTTATTATTTTCTCTAATATTAGAATTTGTTTTAAAATTACTTTGCATTTTTGTTGATTCCCTAGAGAATTTTAACGTGTTTTTGAAAGTTACATTTCAATATTACTTAGATGTTTAACTTAGAGTATATGGTCTAGGTAACACTAGCAATAAACCATATTAGATCATGAATGTGAGGGTCGCTATGGAATGTATTTGATGTACATTTCATTTTACAGGCACCCAGCTGAGCAGTTTGCCAAGGAAAAAGAAAAGTAGCTCAAAATTGTTTTGTTTTGTTTTGTTTTTTTGTCTGTTTGTTTTTTAAAGAAGGGGCAAATGAAGCTAGTAAGTTTATGCATAGTTGAGGGGGGAAAATGTGATTGCTAAGTTGGTATGCTACTACTGAGGAGAAGTACATCACACCTGTAATTTCTCTCCATCAGCAGTAGCTTTGTGAATAAAAATGAATTTTTACCCCATTTAGGAGAAAGTAAGAGACTAGGTACATGGAACTTAGGTTAACAAGAGAACTAAGTACTGATAACTGAGGAAGCTGAAGACAGTCAAAAGATTGCCTCAATAAGGAAGTTAAATCTTGTAACAGAAATGAAGAACTATCTAGAGATGTTATTAAAATTTCAGCATAGTGGAAAAGCCCCAGAAGAGTCTTTGGGCAAGTTAAAGATAAGCAGTTTCTTTCCAGACTAAAAATAGACTAGAGATGCAGTTTGATTGACAACAGCTAAGGATCATCAAGGAAGGTACAAAACGCTACTTAGGTTTTTATTAACATCTTTTAATGTTTTCTTAAGTTTGTTAATTTAAAAATAGTAACCATGTTTCATAATCAATGGTCAATGTTTCTACTTTGCTAAGTTAATAAAAATTACCTTTTTATACATTAATGTTAAAGTATGCAACTCTACAACATAAGGCATAATCCAGCACTCTTTGGCAAAATTTCTACTGGGAGGCAAAGCATACAGGATCACCTTTTGAGAATCAGTCTTTCAAATCCATAATTGAGCCAATGAAGGGGAGGCAAATGTTATGCAGATTAAAAGTAGAAAGAATTCCAAGCCTCATCAAAGGTTTATGTTTGCACTGTGGGTTTTTCTTTTTTTTGTTTTTTATTTTTTTGTTTGTTACATAAATATTGTTACCAGCAGAAAAGCAAACACATAAATAATGCGTAATTTATTTTTAAAAATTGATAACCAGGCAATTTTTTAAGGAATCTATAACAAACTCATATTTTTGAGAAATAAACATGTCTATATGTTTATCATACAGTTATTTCCATCTTTCTTTGCAGTCTTAATTTTTTAAATGCATTTTGCTTTACAATTCAACACTGAATTATTAGACTTTTGTTTGTGACTGCCAGTAATTCTGGTTGGTGTTGATTTAAGTAACAATATCAAAACACATTGCACTACAGCGGAACTAATAGGCCAAGTAGGACTACCCTCAAAATAATGATCTACAGGAATTATTTTTTGCCAAAGTTATTATTGCTTTTTAATGCTGAAAACCAAAACAAAGAAAGCAGGTGAAATAAAACGATAAGGTTTCAGTTATTACGGATAATAACAAAGGATTATTTCTAGGAAATGAATATTTGAGACAGATGAGCCAATTTGATAAGTAGCATTTCAATGTTCCTTTTTTATGAAAAATTTGTAGTAAAAACTCCTTCCACACCAGTCAAGGTGCTTATTTCACAAATTCTCTGGAGAAATATGGGAGTTGATACAAAGGAACTAAAGTACTTAACTGAAGCATTGTCATTAATTAAGAGGAATTGGCCGAAAGTCACACTTTTGCACTAAACAGGTCTTCCAAGCAAATGTATCTTTTAATATAGTACACATGAAAAAAATTATACCTAAGTCTGTGTCTCCTGAGGCACTTAAAAGTAGTATTGGGGACTCCAACAATTATTTTTAATGTTCCAAAATATCAAATGAAAATCACAGTTTTATCTTCGTTAGAATTGCTTGGGATGACTAAAACATCTGTTGCTTGTGGTTGGAATTCAGTCAGCTTGGTGCTTAAACAATGTGTAACTTTTAAGAATATTTTTATTTATAAATACTGAGAAATGATTTATAACATATTGTTTGTGGTTTAAGCAACAAAAATATTTCACGCTATGGGGTAGGGGAAAATAAAAAGGTCTCTGGGTAGAGCTCTGGGTGGTTCCTGCTCAACTTCAACAGCAAATGAAAACCTATAGCAGAAGCTGGGAGGAAAGATATATGTGATTCTCCAAACCCCAGGGGATTTGCAATCAATCACCAAGGAAATGGTAGAAAAGTAGAGATTTTCCCTGGAGTTCACAGATCTGGGATGGCAGGACCCCTTAGGAGCTGAAACCAACCTGTATAATGACCCTCAGTCTCCTTTTCATGAATGTGTATCATAGTTTCCAACAGCTTGAAGGCCAACAGTGAGATCTTACAAATTTTTGTTCTTTTTCAACAATTTTTAAATTAAATAAAATATATATGTGTATATGTCTGTATGTGTGAAAATATCTATCTCTATATAGAGATAGATATAAATATATCTCCAATCAGTGACTGGCATGGCATAAAACTTACAAAAAGATTTCTTCCATGTTTCTGCTTTAGCAAAATAATTCATTTTGATTACTCTCAAAAGAGTTAATGAGTTAATAAAATAATTTTTCTGCAAAGACTTTGAAAGTAATGTATTGCATGTTGAAGGGCAGAAATAAGAGAGTCAAATGCTACCCAAAGCAAGACCATGTCACCCTTCATATCCAGCTATCAATATCCACCTTCTCCATTGTTCTTATTTTTTACCCCTCATATCTTTATTACGTGATACTGGGTCTAGGACTCTGCAAATCAGCTTAACCTGCTGACTCCCTGTCAGCTTCTACCAATAGTGGCCGCTAGAGGGAGGTTAAATGGCAGACTCTTTGCTTTCTTCCTCTTCCTATCATCACCTGAGCAATAATAGCTCTGCATCCTGGGATGGGCAGTTGGCTTCAGTCTCCTCTTTTATTTTAGTATTCTAAGAACTAACCTGAATGTGCCCTCTTAGAGGTACAGGTACCAGCACTAGCTGGGAAGTCTTCCCAGCTCTTCTGAGCTCCTGAGGTACCAGCACGTGCTGGGCAGCAACCAGGCCTGCACCTCCTGTCCTCCACTCCCTGACACATAAGGTTCTGCATTATAGCTCTCTGAGCTGTGAAGATAGGACTTTGTGAGAGACTGGAAGTGAGAGAGAGAGGCAATGCAGACAAAGCTTAAGATTCTGATCTGGAGAGGCAGCAGCTTCTTATAGTCACTCTCTCTTTGTGACCTCAGCATCCCTTCTTTGGGTTTTTATTTCTCCAGTCCTGTTTAACCAACTTCTCATATTAAATTCTCACTGTTGAAATGCCCAATGCAGTTTCTGTTTTCCTGACCAGACTCTTATCGATATACCATATACCCAGAAAACACTTTCTTTTATTGTTTAAAAGAATCAGATGAACCAGCATCCACGTAGACTAAATCATTAATGAGTATAAATAAGCTCCTTAATGTATAGTTACAAGATACTGGGAAAATGACAGACCTAAAATCCAACCTGGCTCCTTTGGAGCTCTCTCTCTTCTCATTCAGCCATCATGCTCCAGCCACACTGGCTGTCTCTGAGGTCCTCAGATTATCCACACTTCCCTCCAGCTCAAAGTCCCCACACATGGTCTTCTCTTTGCCAAGAATACACTTCCTGACATTCAACTTGTTCACACCTATTCCTTTTTAAGATCTAAATTCATTTACCACTTCCTCAGGGGAACCTCCCCAAGACTTTCAGGGAGACACAGACATTTTTATGGCACCCTGTACTTCTGAAAAGATTAGTATTTAAATAAATAATTGGCTAATTAGTTATTAAATCCTAGAATGTAAATTCCCCTGGGGCAAAAACAATTTCTTGCTGTGCTTTAATTGACTCCCTTGCCCTCTGGCTCCCTGCTGGATTTGGCAGAGCAGAAACTATTTCTGTAGACTATTAGCTGTTTCATAACTGTTTCACCAGTTCCTTTAACTACATAGTAGTTAAATTACAAGTGTATAAAATATATTAATTATTGAACACTAACTATGTGCCAGGCATTGTACTAAACACACTGCATGTATTATTTCATTTAATCTTCCCAACAACTCTAAAAGATAGGTACTATGACTACACTGAACAGAGAAGGAGCCTAAGGCACAGCGATGGGAAGTGGCTTGAACAAGGTCGTACAGCTCACAAGTGATGGAGATAGGATTTCAGCCACTCTTACTCCAAGCCTATAAACGAGTGATGGTCTCATTGGGAAAACAAAGCTGATAGTCTCATTGGGAAAACAAAGCTTATACTTCACAGACAGGCAGCATAGGCTAAGTTTGAAAAAGCTAATGCAGACATTCTGTGTTACCAGAGCACAGAGAAAGGGCAAATCTCCAAGGCCAGGGTGATAAGAAAAGTTTCACAGAGTGGCTGGAATTTCAGCTGGACCTTGAAGGTAGGGCTGTACTAGATAAGGAGAAAGAAGGAAGGACATTTAATGCAGAGTAAACAGCCCAATAAAATGTCCTTCAACCCCTTCACCTTCAGGTGACCTTTAAAAGCAAAGAAAGCAATCTGGAAAATATTTAAATGTGTGTGTGTGTGTGTGTGTGTGTGTGTGTGTGTGTGTGTGTGTGTATGTGTTTTAAGGGCTAAGTTTCCTTTTTAAAAGGACTCCCTTTTCAACAGCCAAATAAGCACAGTTACCAATTTATTATAAAGCACTTCTAATCTGAAAGGGACAATCACAAAGAACCGCAAAACAGAGGGATATATGCCAAGGTACAGCTGAGCAAGTGGCAGGCTGCATCAGAGGGCACCAGGACATGATACCTACCATTGGCCACTGCAGATAAGGTGGAACAAAGCCACAGAAAAACTGGCAGAGCAGCATTTGTGCTGCAGAGCTAGGCAGGAAATTTGTCTTCCAAAACTGACACGGGGCTGGGACTCAGGATTCCTGAGCATTCTTAGGATAAAGCCCTGAATAAAAAGAAGGAATCAGGATTTAACTGACAAAATTATTCAAAGGCAGAGCCAAAATAACTTGCTTATAGAAATGGGTTAGGAAGTAGAGTTGTTACTATTAGCAAAGCATAGATGGAAATAGATTATGTTGAAGGATGGGCTTATAGAAAGTGACAAAGTTTAAGGCAGGACCAAAAGACACCTGGATCCAGCCTGATTTCCACCTTCACTTAGGAATAGTAGAAATTTCCTCATTAGCATGGTCCTTTATGGGTCCAGGCTCAAATAAACCAACCTAGGGTTTTCTTCTAGTAAGCCACCTTGATTTTGATATTTATTCCTTTACAAATGATAAAATTTGTCCTACCTTGGAGGAAAACTCATTATCTATTTTTGCATGGTTTTAAAATTTTTTTAATTTAGTTTTACTATTTTATATTAAGTTTAAAGAAACATAATTTCATTTTGATATTTTGTTAAAAAATTCTCCCAGACATTGGTATATGAAATATGATGTATGTACATAGTTCTATAAAAATGAAATTATACATTATATGTTGTTTTTTAAACTCCTTTTTCCACTCAGCAATATGTTTGGACGTCTCTCTATGACAGTAAACACATTTCTTCATCACTTACCATCTATTTTCAGAATGGGAAAATTGAAGCCCAGGGGACTAAAATGACTAATCAAAGCTCCAAAGGAAATCATTTAGAAAAAGCATTCATTAAACATCCATTTTTATGTAACACTACACAAAAAAAGTTAAAACCCATGTAGACCTTAATCAGCATGTATTTACTGTATAAGATAAACACAGAAGACCCACAAAAATTATAAAGCCTAGAAAAATCAGATACCTAAAAATACTCTTAAAGAGGTTTATGGTTTATAGAGCAGTTTTGGAGAAATCATTTGATTTTTCAAAACAATCCAGTGAATTAGCTAAATCTGTTTTTATTAATAAATAACATTGATAAGTGTCTTCCTGTCTATTATATAATTTCTACTTATAAAAATTCCTCATTCCTCTGCTCCCCACTCACAACAAACCTTATTAAGTAATTATTCAAAACATGCTATTTCTACTTCCTTATTCAAATATTCATCCTCCAACCTACCCCAATCTGGATTCCAACCTTATTACTTGACTGACTTCCACTTAGCTAAATCCAATAGCAAATTAGACTTTTCTGTCCTTATCTTTCTAAACCTTTCAGCAGGGTGCATTATCACCTTCTTCTGAAATCTTTCTCTTTCTTCTCTTGGTGTCCATGACACTACTTTCTCCTGGTTTATCTTCAGAATTACCAGCTGCTTTTTCTTACTTTCTTTTTCTAAATTCTACCCAATCTCTCAGTGTTTGAGTGCCTCTGGAATTTTTTCTGCTTTTCTCTATCTGTACTTTTGTCTAGTTATCTCCTCCAATCCAATGGCTTTAAAGGACACCCATATGCTGGTGACTACCAACGTTGTGTATCTAGCTTTAACCAATCTACAACCCAAGCTCCAGACTCATATTTCTGACAGCTGACTGAACAACTCCATTTGAATATCTAATAGAATCTCAAATTTACCAGATCTAAAATATCCTCTCCAACAATAAAATCTGTGTTTCTCTAGTTTTCATCAACACATTTAAAAAATTTTTTTTATTATACTTTAAGTTCTAGGGTACATGTGTACAATGTGCAGGTTTGTTACATATGTGTACATGTGCCATGTTGGTTTGCTGCACCCATCAACTCGTCATTTACATCAGGTACTTCTCCTAATACTATCCTTCCCCCAGTCCCCTACTGATGTTTCCCACCCTGTGTCCAAGGGTTCTATTGTTCAATTCCCACATATGAGTGTGAACATGTGGTGTTCAGTTTTCTGTCCTTGTGATAGTTTGCTGAGAATGATGGTTTCCAGCTTCATCCATGTCCCTGCAAAGGACATGAACTAATCCTTTTTTATGGCTGCATAGTATTCGATGGTATATATGTGCCACATTTTCTTAATCCAGTCTATCATTGATGGATATTTGGGTTGGTTCCAAGTCTTTGCTATTGTGAATAGTGCTGCAATAATCATACGTGTTCATGTGTCTTTATAGTAGCATGATTTATAATCCTTTGGGTATAAACTCAGTAATGGGATCACTGGGTCAAATGGTATTTCTAGTTCTAGATCCTTGAGAAATCGCCACACTGTCTCCCACAATGGTTGAACTAGTTTACACTCCCACCAACAGTGTAAAAGTGTTCCTATTTCTCCACATCCTCTCCAGCATCTGTTGTTTCTGACTTTTTAATGATCTCCATTCTAACTGGTATGAGATGGTATCTCATTGTGGTTTTGCATTTCTCTGATGACCAGTGATGATGAGCATTTTTTCATGTTTCTGTTGGCTGCATAAATGTCTTCTTTTAAGAAGTATCTGTTCATATCTTTGCCCACTTTTTGATGCGGTTTTGTCTTTTAAATTTAAGTTCTTAAGTTCTTTGTAGATTCTGGATGTTAGTCCTTTGTCAGACAGGCAGAGTGCAAAAATTTTCTCCCATTCTGTAGGTTGCCTGTTCACTCTGATGGTAGTTTCTTTTGCTGTGCAGAAGCTCTTTAGTTTACTTAGATCCAATTTGTCTATTTTGGCTTTTGTTGCCCTTGCTTTTGGTGTTTTAGTTATGAAGTCTTTGCCCATGCCTATGTCCTGAATGGTATTGCCTAGGTTTTCTTCTAGGGTTTTTATGGTTTTAGGTCTAACATTTAAGTCTTTAATCCATCTTGAATTAATTTTTGTATAAGGCGTAAAGAAGGAATCCAGTTTCAGCTTTCTACATATGGCTAGCCAGTTTTCCCAGCACCATTTATTAAATATGGAATCCCTTTCCCATTTCTTATTTCTGTCAAGTTTGTCAAAGATCACATGGTTGTAGATGTGTGGTGTTATTTCTGAGGCCTCTGTTCTGTTCCATTGTCTATATCGCTGTTTTGGTACCAGCACCATGCTGTTTTAGCTACTGTAGCCAAGTCAGGTAGCGTGATGCCTCCAGCTTTGTTCTTTTGCCTTAGGATGGTCTTGGCTATGCGGGCACTTTTTTGGTTCCATATGAACTTTAAAGTATTTTTTTCCAATTCTGTGAAGAAAGTCATTGGTAGTTTGATGGGGATGGCATTGAATCTATAAATTACCTTGGGCAGTATGGCCATTTTTATGATATTGATTCCTCCTATCCATGAGCATGGAATGTTCTTCCATTTGTTTGTGTCCTCTTTCACTTCATTGAGCAGTGGTTTGTAGTTCTCCTTGAAGAGGTCCTTCACATCCCTTGTAATTGGATTCCTAGATATTTTATTCTCTTTGAAGCAATTGTGAATGGGAGTTCACTCATGATTTGGCACTCTGTTTGTCTGTTATTGGTATATAGGAATGCTTGTGATTTTTACACATTTATTTTTTATCCTGAGACTTTGCTGAAGTTGCTTATCAGCTTAAGGAGATTTTGGGCTGAGATGATGGGGTTTTCTAAATATACAATCATGTCATCTGCAAACAGGGACAATTTGACTACCTCTTTTCCTAATTGAATATGCTTTATTTCTTTCTCTCACCTGATTGCCCTGGCCAGAACTTCCAACACTATGTTGAATAGGAGTGGTGAGAGAGGGCATCCTTGTCTTGTACGAGTTTTCAAAGGGAATGCTTCCAGTTGTTGCTCATTCAGTATGATATTGGCTGTGGGTCTGTCATAAATAGCTCTTATTATTTTGAGATATGTTCCATGTATACCTAGTTTATTGGGAGTTTTTAGCATGAAGGGCTGTAGAATTTTGTCGAAGGCCTTTTCTGCACCTATTATCATGTGGTTTTTGTCATTGGTTCTATTTATGTGATGGATTACGTTTATTGATTTGCATGTGTTGAACCAGCCTTGCATCCCAGGGATGAAGCTGACTTGATCGTAATGGATAAGCTTTTTGATGTACTGCTGGATTTGGTTTGCCAGTATTTTATTGAGGATTTTCCCATTGATGTTCATTAGGGATATTGGTCTAAAATTCTCTTTTTTTGTTGTGTCTCTGCCTGGCTTTGGTATCAGGATTATGCTGGCCTCATAAAATGAGTTAGGGAGGATTCTCTCTTTTTCTATTGATTGGAATAGTTTCAGAAAGAATGGTACCAGCTCCTCTTTGTACCTCTGGTAGAATTCGGTTGTGAATCCATCTGGTTCTGGACTTTTTTTGGTTGGTAGGCTATTAATTATTGCCTCAATTTCAGAACCTGTTATTGGTCTATTCAGAGATTCAACTTCTTCCTGGTTTAGTCTCCGGAGGATGTATGTCTCCAGGAATTTATCCATTTCTTCTAGATTTTCTAGTTTATTTGCATAGAGGTGTTTATAATATTCTCTGATTGTAGTTTGTATTTCTGTGGGATTGGTGGTGATATCCCCTTTATCATTTTTTATTGCATCTATTTGATTCTTCTCTCTTTTGTTCTTTATTAGTCTTGCTGGAGGTCTATCGATTTTGTTGATCTTTTCAAAAAACCAGCTCCTGGATTCATTGATTTTTGTGAAGGGTTTTTCGTGTCTCTATCTCATTCAGTTCTGCTCTGATCTTAGTTATTTCTTGCTTTCTGCTAGCTTTTGAATTCGTTTGCTCTTGCTTCTCTAGTTCTTTTAATTGTGACGTTACGGTGTAGATTTTAGATCTTTCCTGCTTTCTCTTGTGGGCATTTAGTGCTGTAAATTTCCCTTTACCCACGGCTTTAAATGTGTCCCAGAGATTCTCGTACATTGTGTCTTTGTTCTCATTGGTTTCAAAGAACATCTTTATTTCTGCCTTCATTTCGTTATTTACCCAGTAATCATTCAGGAGTAGGTTGTTCAGTTTCTATGTAGTTGTGCGCTTTTCAGTGAGTTTCTTAACCCTGAGTTCTAATTTGATTGCACTGTGTTCTGAGAGATAGTTTGTGGTGATTTCTCTTCTTTTACTTTTGCCGAGGAGTGCTTCACTTCCAACTATGTGGTCAATTTTAGAATAAGTGCGATGTGGTGCTGATAAGAATGTATATTTTGTTGATTTGGGGTGGAGTGTTCTCTAGATGTCTATTAGGTCCACTTGGTGCAGAGCTGAGTTCAAGTCCTGGATATCCTTGTTAACTCTCTCATTGATCTAATACTGACAGTGGGATGTTAAAGTGTCCCATTATTATTGTGCGGGAGTCTAAGTCTCTTTGTAGGTCTCTAAAGACTTGTTTTATGAATCTGGGTGCTCGTGTATTGGTTGCATATATATTTAGGATAGTTAGCTCTTCTCGTTGACTTGATCCCTTTACCATTATGTAATGGCCTTCTTTGTTTCTTTTGATCTTTGTTGGATTAAAGTCTGTTTTATCAGATACTAGGATTGCAACCCCTGCTTTTTTTTGCCTTCCATTTGCTTGGGAGATCTTCCTCCATCCCTTTATTTTGAGCCTATGTGTGTCTCTGCACATGAGATGGGTCTCCTGAATACAGCACACTGATGGTTCTTGACTCTTTATCCAATTTGCCAGTCTGTGTCTTTTAATTGGAGCATTTAGCCCATTTACATTTAAGGTTAATATTGTTATGTGTGAATTTGATCCTGTCATTATGATGTTAGCTGGTTATTTTGCCCATAATTGATGCAGTTTCTTCCTAGCATCAATGGTCTTTACAATTTGGTATGTTTTTGCAGTGGTTGGTACCAGTTGTTGCTTTCCATGTTTAGTGCTTCCTTCAGGATCTCTTGTAAGGCAGGCCTGGTGGTGACAAAATCTCTCAACATTTGCTTGTCTGTAAAGGATTTTATTTCTCCTTCACTTATGAAGCTTAGTTTGGCTGGATATGAAATTCTGGGTTGAAAATTCTTTTCTTTAAGAATGTTGAATATAGGTTCCCAATCTCTTCTGCCATGTAGGGTTTCTGCTGAGAGATCCGCCATTAGTCTGATGGGCTTCCCTGTGTGGGTAACCCAACCTTTCTTTCTGACTGCCCTTAACATTTTTTCCTTCATTTCAACCTTGGTGAATCTGACAATTATGTGTCTTGGGGTTGCTCTTCTCGAGGAGTCCCTTTGTGGTGCTCTCTCTATTTCCTGAATTTCAATGTTGGCCTGCCTTGCTAGGTTGGGGAAGTTCTCCTGGATAATATCCTAAAGAGTGTTTTTCAACTTGGTTCCATTCTCCCCGTCACTTTCAGGTACACCAATCAAACGTAGATTTGGTCTTTTCTCATAGTCCCATATTTCTTGGAGGCTTTGTTCATTCTTTTTTACTCTTTTTTCTCTAATCTTGTCTTCTTGCTTTATTTCATTAATTTGATCTTCAATTACTGATATCCTTTCTTTCACTTGATCAAATTGGCTATTGAAGCTTGCGTGTGCCTCATGAAGTTCTCGTGCCATGGTTTTCAACTCCGTCAGGTCATTTAAGGTCTTCTATACACATTTATTCTGGTTAGCCATTCATCTAACCATTTTTCAAGGTTTTTAGCTTCAATGGGTTAGAACGTGCTCCTTTAGCTCAGAGAAGTTTGTTATTACCAACCTTCGGAGGCCTACTTCTGTCAACTCGTCAAAGTCATTCTCCATCCAGCTTTGTTCCTTTGCTGGCGAGGAGCTGCAATCCTTTGTAGGAGAAGAGGTACTCTGGTTTTTAGAATTTTCACCTTTTTTGCTCTGGTTTTTACCCATCTTTGTGGTTTTATCTACCTTTGGTCTTTGATGTTGGTGACCTACAGATGGGGTTTTCGTGTGGATGTCCTTTTTGTTGGTGTTGATGCTATTCCTTTCTGTTTGTTAGTTTTCCTTCTAACAGTCAGGAACCTCAGCTGCAGGTCTGTTGGAGTTTGCTGGAGGTCCACTCCAGACCCTGTTGTCCTGGGTATCACCAGCAGAGGCTGCAGAACAGCAATATTACAGAACAGCAAATATTGCTGCCTGATCCTTCCTCTGGAAGCTTCATCCCAGAGGGGCACCTGCCTGTATGAGGTGTCTTTTGGCTCCTACTGAGAGGTGTCTCCCAGTTAGGCTACATGGGAGTCAGGGACCCACTTGAGGAGGCAGTCTGTCCATTATCAGAGGTCAAACCATGCTGGGAGAACCACTGCTCTCTTCAGAGCTGTCAGACAGGGACATTTAAGTCTGCAGAAGTTGTCTGCTGCCTTTCATTCAGCTATGCCCTGCCCACAGAGGTGGAGTCTATAGAGGCAGTAGGCCTTGCTGAGCTGCGGTGGGTTCCACCCAGTTCAAGCTTCCCAGCCACTTTGTTTACCTACTCAAGCCTCAGCAATGGTGGACGCCCCTTGCAGGGCTGCACCCTCGTAGATTGATCTCAGACTGCTGTGCTAGCAGTGAGCAAGACTCTGTGGGTGTGGGACTTGCCAAGTCTGGCATGGGAGAGAATCTCCTAGTCTGCTCGTTGCTAAGACTGTGGGAAAAGCACAGTATTTGAGCCAGAGTATACCGATTTTCCAGGTACAGTCTGTCACGGCTTCCCTTCGCCAGGAAAGGAAAATCCCCTGACCCCTTGTGCTTCCCAGGTGAGGCGATGCCCCACTCTGCTTTGGCTCACCCTCTGTGGGCTCCACTCACTGTCCAACCAGTCCCAATGAGATGAACCAGGTACCTCAGTTGGAAATGCAGAAATCACCCATCCTCTGCATCGATCACGCTGGGAGCTGCAGACTGGAGCTGTTTCTATTCAGCCATCTTGGAACAGATTCTCTTTCATCAACACATTTTATCACCATTTATTCCACTGCTCAAACCCCAAACCTAGAAAGCACTTATATTCTCCCCTTTCCATCACTCCCTCATACCTAATCTCTCCATGTCTTGGAGAAATTGTAATTTCTTCCAGTTTTCACATCTGTCCTCCTGTTTCTGTGTAGGGGATCAGTCAAGGTGGTGGGAAAAATTATAAAGTTATAAGAAATAGACACAAACCTTCTTGGAAGGCCAGGAGGTTTGCATAGCTTCAGTAAAAGATTTGGCTGAAGGCAGCCTAATCCTCTTTATCTTGAGTTGATAGCAGAAGAGCAAATAACAAAGGAATGTGGGGGAGCTTACCTAAATAGCTTGTTTACTTATATGGTTCTAAGACTGACCTTTGATCTTCCACGGGTGCATGACTGCTCTCTCCGGGGGAGGGCGACCAGATTAATTATCCACAGGTGTGTTGACTCAAAGTCTTTGTCATCAAATCTGTGCTGAACAAATGCCCACAGGGCCAGCTAGTTGGGGCACACGGCTGCTACAACTTTTTTCTGTGTACAGCCCAGCCCCCAGCCGCTCTTTCACTGAATATCAGTGTCTGAGTATGTTATTCTTCCATCGTGCAGCCTACGTCTGCGGGTCAGACCCTGGCAGGTGGTGCCCCATGTGAGGAAAACTACAAAGGATCATAATGGAACCCTCAAAAATAGGGGTGAAAAGGACGGCACAGTCAGTGAGTCAGTAAGTCATTGGTGCCCGCTTGGGATTTCCAAGTTGTGGGGGCATTGTTCAGGCTAGGGTTTCACCATGGGACAACAGTTATCAGCTCAACAGAAACAGTATATAAAAGTATTGAAAGAGCTTCTTAAAAGCTAGTGGAGTCTCGGTTTCTCAGGCTCAATTAAGGGACGTAATGCGAACTGTTGTATTCCATAACCCATGGTTCCTGGAAAAAGGTACACTAGATGTAGAGCTCTGGGAACAAGTGGGGAGAAATCTTAAACAACACCATGTGCAAGGGTAACAGGTCCCAGTAACAGCTTTAATGCTACAGGCTTTAGTCAGAGTGGCTGTGGTCTCATTATACACAGAAGAGCCTAAAATGGGGAAGGAGGAGGAACTGTCACTTACCTTACCACCTCTTTGTCCCTCAGCCCCACTATCACTGGGGCCAAAATAACAAAGAGGAAATGGAGGTCTTGGCTGAGCCTCCTCCTCTAATTGATAGGAAAAAAGACAAGGGATATGCTACAGCTATGGGACCCCATCTTAGGCAAGCAACATTAGAAGGGGAGCTCTTAGCCTGTCCAGTAATGCAAGATCAACAAGGCAATCAGGTATAAAAACACATTTCTTTTAACGTTTATAAAAAGATAAGAAAAGGCATTAGAGGCTGGAGCTGCATGGCTAAGTGGGCAATGGGTGGAAGTAAAGGCTCAGCAGCCGGGAAGCTTGTGGTGCCCCGGGCCGACAGGGTCCTCCCGGCCGGCAGCAGCCACACAGCGGTGGGGGAAGGGAGCAGCACAGACAAAAAGTGGCACAGACAAAAAGCGGTGCCTAGGAAAATGCAATGTGGCCACTGCCCCGGGATCCATGCCACTGCTCTTTGGCTCTGTGGGCATCCCACAGCAAAATTCATGTGTTCCTTGTATACAAGCAACATCCCAGATTATAATTCTCTGCTAAAATATAAGTAAAACTTAAGAATTTAAAAGACCTCTTTCTAATAATGGCCACTGTTATGTATCTCCTACCCCTAACGTGGCTCTCTCAAAATCCAATTTAAGTAGAACAGTAACCTTTAAAGGGGGAGAAATTACAAGGAGGCCAAGAATTAGTTGAGGAGCAATTAAAAACAGGTCATATAGAATCATCAAACAGCCCTTGGAATTTGCCCATTTTCATCATTCCCAAAAAGTCTGGTATATGGAGACTTTTGCATGACTTACATGCTATTAATGCTAATTTACAACCTATGGGGCCCCTTCAACAGGGCCTTCCCTCCTCCACAGCAATTCCTCAAGATTGGCCTATAATTGTTATTAATTTAAAAGACTGCTTTTATACTATTTCACTTGCAAAGCAGGACAGAGAAAAATTTGTGTTTACAATACCAGCTATCAATAATGAAACGCCAGCTTGCCAATTTCATTAGCAAGTGCTTCCTCAAGGAACGCTGAATAGTCCTACCATGTGCAGGTATCAAGTAAATCAAGCTTTGCTCCCCAGTAGAAAAGAATTTCCTGATTGCAAGGTTATTCATTTTATAGATGATATTTTACTACCAGCCCCAACAGAGCAAATGTTTTTAAGTCTATATACCTCTGTCGTAAAAAATACACAGTTAAGATGTTTAATCATAGCACCTGAAAAAGTACAGATGTCTTCTCCTTGGAAATTTCTTGGATACATACTAACTTCCTGGTCAGTAAGACCTCAAAAGTTTAAATTAAATACTAGCAACTTATACACCTTAAATGATTATCAGAAATTGCTAGGCGATATTAACTGGCTTCACCCCACCTTGGACATGTCTACAGATAAGTTGCAAAACCTGTTTTCTATCTTAAAGGGCAATACAGCCCTGGATTCTCCCAGGTATTTAACCCCTGCAGCAAAAAGGGAAATTGAAAAAACAGAACAAGCTATCTCTCAAAGGCAACTAGATTGCATTGATCCATGGTATTCAATTCAATTGTTAATTTTTCCCACTAAACACTCTCCTACAGGGTTAATAGGACAGATGACTCCAGGACTGCGCTTTCTAAAATGGGTTTTTTTGCTCACATACTGGAACTAAAACACTTTCTCCCTACATCCAGTTAATCAGTAAAGTAATCTATTCAGGCCACAGACAATGCAATCAGTTGCTAGGTTATGATCCTGATATCATCAGGATTCCTTTAAGTAAGAAGCAATTCAAAGCAGTATTGCCCTTATTGATGGACTTGCAAATAGACATCTCTGATTACACAGGCCAAATAGAGAATACCCTTCCTGCTGATAAACTCCTTCAGTTCTTGTCTCGTACTCCTGTGATTTTACCTACAAAAATAGTTCACTACCCCATACCTAATGCTTTAATGCTGTTTACTAATGGTTCAGGTAAACATGGAAAAGCAGCTGTCTGGTGGAGACCACATAATTCCCTCACTCGATCTGGGTTTACTAGCACTCAAAGAGCTAAGGTGGACCCTTAATTAATATTAGCTTTGGAGACTTTTTCCACTCAGTGCATCAATATTGTGAGTGACTCTGCTTACTCTGTTTATTTATTCCAAAACCTTGAAACAGCACTAATTAAGTCCACTCTGGAGCCCACCCTGTGTGCTCTTTTTCTCCAGCTTCAGCAATTGCTAGATCAATGTTCACATCCTATTTTTATCACACATATTCAACCCCTCAGCTCACTGTCTGGCCCATTAGCTTATGGCAATGATCAAGCAGATCTTCAGGTTATGACATCACTGCTTGACCAAGCCACCCAATCACATCAATTCTTCCACCAAAATTGGAGAAACTTATCTGAACAATTTCCACTTACCAGAGACTAGCTAAATAAATTATCCTGCAATGCCCAAATTGCCAGCTCACAGGCACATCCCCTCCTTCTACAGATGTTAGCCCTAGAGGACTAGAACCTAATCAGTTATGGCAAACAGATGTTACACACATCCCTGAATTTGGAAAATTAGATACGTACATGTATCCGTTGATACCAATTCTCACTTAATTAGTGTATATGCCCTTCCTGGAGAGTCCACCCATATGTCATTAAACATATTCTTTTCACTTTTGCATTTATGGGGTGGCCCACAAAAATTAAAGCTAATAATAGTCCAGCTTATGCCAGCTCACAATTTCAACAATTTTGTCACATGTGGAATGTCCAACATTCCACAGGCATCCCGTATAACCCCCAAAGGCAGGCCATAGTAGAATGTACCCACTCCACCCTTAAAAATATGCTCAAAAAACAAAAAATGGGGAGTATGAGTAAGGACCCTGCAACACTATTAGCACAAGCCTTATTTACCCTTAATTTTTTAAATTTAGATGATAACTTTCAATCATCTATAGAAAAGCACTTTGCTAAAACCTCTCAAGACATAAAACCCTCAGTTTTATGGAAAGATGTAAACAGTCATGCATGGTGTGATCCAAAAGAATTGCTAATGTGGGAAAGAGGATATGCTTGTGTTCACACCCCCTCACATCCTCTTTGGATTCCAGCATGACACATCAAACTTTACCATAGTGTGGCTAGGACCCAACCCAGTACCAAAAATAAAGAAAATGTCCCTGCAGGACCTAGAGCTCCAGATGATGCAGCTTCCTTGGGTGGCACAAGCCCCAGACAGAATCCTGAAGAAGACAACTCAGACTGAGCGAATCCTGCTCCAGACACAAACACCATTCACTGCAGATAATTTGTTCCTTTCTATACTTTATTAACATTTTTATTCTCTCACTTTGCCTGCTACCTGTACCTACAACACTCTATTAAGCCCATCTTCTAAATCCATCTTTTCTCAGCCCAGTTACTTAGGCGAACACCCCCTTCCCAGCTTCTAACAACATGACTGCTTGGCTAAGAGGAATTAATATACCCCCAGTGGGGTTCCTCAGTAACAACCATGTGAAAAGATATGCAAAAACATCTCTCCTGGATAGACCCTGACTCCTGGGGGTCACTCCTTGGTTGGAAAAGAATGTTGCTAATTATACTCATGTTTGTCTTATGTTATTTGCTAATTCTAGAATGCAAAGCCCGAATAAGAGCAATGACCACCTCGCCTAACAGACCTGTTGCTGCACACAACTGTACTCTTCAAACAACCAAGCCTGATGCAAAAAAAAAAAAAAAATACAGAAAAGAGGGAGATGTAGGGGATCAGTCAAGTCAAGGTGGTGGGAAAAATTATGAAGTTATAGGAAATAGACACAAACCTTCTTAGAAGGCCGGGAGGTTTGCATAGCTTCAGTAAAAGATATGGCTGAAGGCAGCCTAATCCTCTTTACCTTGAGCTGATAGCAGAAGAGCAAATAACAAGGGAATGTGGGGAGTTTATCTAAATAGCTTGTTTACTTATGTGGTCCTAAGACTGACCTTTGATCTTCCACAGGTGCATGACTGCTCTCTCTGGGGGAGGGCGACCAGATTAATTACCCACAAGTGTGTTGACTCAAAGCCTTTGTCATTAAATCTGTGCTGAATAAATGCCCACAGGGCCAGCTAGTCAGGGCACATGGCTGCCACAAATCTTTCTGTGCACGGCCAGGCTCCCTAGCTGCTCTTTCACTGAATATCAGTGTCTGAGTATGTTATTCATCCATCATGATGAATAACATGATGAAAAAAAAAGAGGTTATTTGAAACTAATAAGAACAAAGAGACAATGTACCAGAATCTGTAGGATACAGCTAAAGCAGTGTTAAGAGGGAAATTTATAGCACCAAATGCCCACATCGAAAAGCTAGAAAGATCTCAAATCAACAAACTAACATTACAACCAAAAGAACTAGAGAACCAAGCACAAACTCCAAAGCTAGCAGAAGACAAGGAATAACCAAGGTCAGAGCAGAAGTGTAGGAGACAGAGACCAAAAGTCCTTCAAAAATCAATGAATCCAGGAACTGTTTTTTTGAAAAAAAATTAATAAAATAGATAAATTGCTAGCTAGACTAATAAAGAAGAAAAGAGAAGAATCAAATGACACAATCAGAAATGATAAGGGGGATATCACCACTGACCCCACAAAAATAAAAACAACAATTAGAGAATACTATAAACACTTCTATGCACATAAACTAGAAAATTTAGAAGAAATGTATAAATTCCTGGATGCATACACCCTCCCAAGCCTTAACCAGGGAGAAACTGAATTCCTGAATGGACCGATAACAAGTTCTAAAATTGAAGCAGTAATAAATAGCTTACCAACCAAGAAAAGCTCAGGACCAGATGGATTTACAGTTGAATTCTACCAGAGGTGCAAAGAAGAGTTGCTACCATTTGTACAGAAACTATTCCAAACAATTGAAAAGGAGGGACTCCTCCCTACCTCATTCTATGAGAAAAGCATCATCCTGATACCAAAACCTGGCAGAGATACAACAATGACAAAAACACTTCAGACCAATATCCCTGATGAACATCAATGCAAAAATCCTCAATAAAATACTGGCAAACCAAATCCAGCAGCACATTGAAAAGCTTATCCACTACAATCAAGTTGGCTTCATCCCCAGGATGTAAGGTCGGTTCAACATACACAAATTAATAAATGTGATTCATCACATAAATATAACTAAAGACAAAAACCACATGATTATCTCAACAGACACAGAAAAGCCTTCGATAAACTTCAACTTCCTTTCTTGTTAAAAATTCTCAATAAACTAGGTATTGAAGGAACATACCTGAAAATAATAAAAGCCATGTATGACAAACCCACAGCCAATATCATACTGAATAGGCAAAATCTGGAATCAGTCCTCTTGAAGCCTGGCACAAGACAAGGATGCCCTCTTTCAACTACTCCTATTCAACATAGTATTGGAAGTTCTGGCCAGGACAATAATACAAGAGAAAGAAATAAAGGGTATTCAAATAGGAAGATAGGAAGTCAAATTACCTTTGTTTGCAGATGACATGATCCTATATCTAGAAAACCCCATAATCTCAGCCCAAAAGCCTCTTAAGCTGATAAGCAACTTCAGCAAAGTCTCAGGATACAAAATCAATGTGCAAAAATTGCTAGTGTTCCTATCCACCAACAACAGGCAAGCAGAGAGCCAAATCATGAATGAATTCCCATTCACAATTGCTACAAAGACAATAAAATGCCTAGGAATACAACTAACAAGGGAAGTGAAGAACCTCTTCAAGGAGAACTACAAACCACTGTTCAAGGAAATCAGAGAGGACACAAACAAATGGAAAAACATTCCATGCTCATGGATAGGAAGAATCAATATCATGAAAATGGCCACACTGCCCAAAGTAATTAATAGATTCAATAATATTCCCATTAAACTGCCATTGATGTCCTTCACAGAATTAGAGAAAACTATTTTAAAATTCATCTGAAACCAAAAAAAGCCTGAATAGCCAAGAAAATCCTAAGCAAAAAGAACAAAGCTGAAGGCATCATCCACCTGACTTCAAACTGTACTATAAGGCTTCAGTAACCAAAACAGAAGGTGCTGGTACAAAAACAGACACATAGACCAATGGAACAGAATAGAGAACTCAGAAATAAGACTGCACACCTACAACCATATGATCTTTGACAAATCTGACAAAAACAAGCGATGAGGAAAGGATTCCCTATTTAATAAATGGTGCTAGGAGAGCTGGCTAGCCACATACAGAAAATTAAAACTAGACCCCTTCCTTACATTTTATACAAAGATTAACTCTATCGGGGGAACCCACCCCCAATATTTCATCATAGGTTCTTTCTATTTTCCTTAAGTGTTGGCCAGCTGAGAAATAAAGAGAAAGAATACAAAGAGAGGAATTTTACAGCTGGGCCTCCAGGGGTAACATCACATATCAGTAGGACCATGATGCCCACCTGACCTTAAAGCCAGCAAGTTTTATTAAGGATTTCAAAAGGGGAGGGGGTGCAAGAACAAGGAGTAGGTCACAAGATCACATGCTTCAAAGGGCAAAAAGGAGAACAAAGATCACATGCTTCTGAGGAAACAGGACAAGGGCAAATCCAGAACTGCTGATAAGGGTCTATGTTCAGCTGTGCACATATCATCTTGATAAACAACTTAAACAACAGAAAACAGGGTTTGAGAGTAGAGAGCTGGTCTGACCTCAAATTTACTAGGGTGGGGTATTTTCCCCACCCTAATAAGCCTGAGGGTACTGCAGAAGACTAGGGCGTATTTCAGTCCTTATCTCAACCGCATAAGACAGACACTCCCAGAGCAGCTATTTATAGACCTCCCCTGAGGAATGCATTCCTTTCCCAGGGTCTTAATTATTAATATTCCTTGCTAGGAAAAGAATGTAGCAATATCTTCCCTACTTGCACATCATTTATACGCTTTCTGCAAGAAGAAAAACATGGCTCTATTCTGCCTCACCCCACAGGCAGTCAGACCTTATGGTTGTCTTCCCTTGTTCCCTGAAAAGCACTGTTATTCTGTTCTTTTTCAAGGTGCACTGATTTCATATTGTTCAAATACACATGTTTTACAATCAATTTGTACATTTAACACAAGAGTGGTCCTGAGGTGATGTACATTCTCAGTTTATGAAGATAACAGGAATAAGAGATTAAAGACAGGCATAAGAACTTATAAAAGTATTAATTTTGGAATTGATAAATGTCCATATTAAAATGAAATCTTCACAATTTATGTTCAGAGATTGAAGTAAAGACAGGCATAAGAAATTATGAAAGTATTATTTGAGAACTGGTAAATGTCCATGAAATCTTCACAATTTATGTTCAGAGATTGAAATAAAGACAGGTGTAAGAAATTATAAAAGTATTATTTGGGAACTGATATATGTCCATTTTAAAATGAAATCTTCACAATTTATGTTCCTCTGCCGCGGCTCCAGCCGGTCCCTCCGTTCAGGGTCCCTGACTTCCTGCAACATAACTAAAGACAGATTAAAGACTTATATCTAAAACCCAAAAGTATAAAATCCCAGAAGAAAATCTAGGCAATTCCATTCAGGACATAGGCATGGGCAAAGACTGCATGACAAAAATGCCCAAAGCAATTGCAACAAAAGCAAAAATTGACAAACGAGATCTAATTAAACAAAAGAGCTTCTGCACAGCAAAAGAAACTATCATCAGAGTGAACAGACCACCTACAGAATGGGAGAAAATTTTTGCAATCTATCTATCTGACAAAGGTCTGATATCCAGAGTCTACAAGGAACTTAAACAAATTTACAAGAAACAAATGAACAACCCCATTAAAAAGTGGGCAAAGGACATGAACAGACAATTCTCAAAAGAATAAATTCATGTGGCCAAGAAATGCATGAAAAAAGCTCAACATCACTGATTATTAGATAAATGCAAATCAAAAATGCAATGAGATACCATCTCACACCAGTCAGAATGGCGATTATTAAAAAGTCAAGAAACAACAGATGCTGGTGAGGTTGTGGAGAAAAAGGAATGCTTTTACACTGTTGGTGGGAGTGTAAATTAGGTTAATCATTGTGGAAGACAGTGTGGCAATTCCTCAAAGACCTAGAGGCAACAATACTGTTTGACCCAGCAATCTCATTACTGGGTATATACCCAAAGGAATATAAATCATTCTACTATAAAGACACATGCATGCATATGTTCATTGCAGCACTATTCACAATAGCAAAGACATGGAGTCAACCCAAATGCCCATCAATGATAGATTGGATAAAGAAAATGTAGTACATACACCATGGGATATGATGCAGCCATCAGAAGGAATAAAATCATGTTCTTTGCAGGGACATGGATGGAGCTGGAAGCTGCTATCCTTAGCAAACTAACACAGGAACAGAAAATGAAACACTGAATGTTCTTACTTATAAGTGGGAGCTGAATGATGAGAACACATGGACACATGGTGGTGAACAACACACACTGGGGCCTGTTGGTGGGGGTGCAGGGGGAGGGAGAACATCAGCAAGAATAGCTAATGGATGCTGGGCTTAATACCTAGGTAATGGGTTTATTTGTGCAGCAAACCACATGGCACATGTTTACCTGTGTAACAAACCTGCACATCCTGCACATGTACCCCAGAACTTAAAAGTTGAAGAAAAAAAAAAGAAAATGTGATACATATATGTCATGGAATACTACTCAGCCATAGAAAAGAATAAAATGGTTTTTTGCAGCAACACAGTTGGAGCTGGAGGCCATTATCCTAAGTGAAATAACTCAAACAGAAAATCAGATACCACATGTTCTTACTTATAAGTGGAAGCTAAACGATGGATACACATGGGTACAAAGAAACAGAAAAATGTGAACCATATTTGAAAGAAAAGGCAATCAACAGAGACTACAGATCCAGATGTTAAAATTAGCAGACAAGGATTTTAAAGTCACTATTATAACTATGCACAATATAGCAAAGGAAAATATCTTTATTATAAATAAAAGACCAGGAAAATTTGACAGAGTAACATAAACTATAACAAAGAACAAAAATAAATTCTAGAGCTAAAACACAAAACTGAAATTAAAAAAATATATATATCCCTTGGTGAGATTAACAGCAGATTGGAGATGATAGAAGAATGTAAATTTGAAGGTAGATTAATAGATTATCCAAACTGAAGAACAGAGAGAAAAAAGATTCAACAAAATGACAGAGCCTTAGGGACCTGTGGGACAATATGAAAAATTCTCACAAAGTGTCACTGGAGTTCACAAAGGAGAGGAGTAAAACAGCCTGGATCATACTTGAGTGTGTGTATTTGTCAAACTCACTGAATGGTATATGTAAATCTGTGCATTTACAATCATCATTCTCAGTAAACTATCGCAAGGACAAAAAACCAAACACCGCATGTTCTCACTCATAGATGGGAATTGAACAATGAGAACACATGGACACAGGAAGGGGAACATCACACTCTGGGGACTGTTGTGGGGTGGGGGGAGGGGGGAGGGATAGCATTAGGAGATATACCTAATGCTAAATGACGAGTTAATGGGTGCGGCACACCAGCATGGCACATGTATACATATGTAACTAACCTGCACATTATGCACATGTACCCTAAAACTTAAAGTATAATAATAATTAAAAAAGAAAAAAAAACACAATATGTATGTTTGATGACAGAAGAAAAAAAGAGAAATCATAAAAAACATGGATCCCTAGTAAATTGTACTCATGTTGAAGTGTTTAGAAGTGAACTGTATTGATGCCTGCATTTACTTTGAAATTCATTAAAAAATAAGGTGGATTGATAGAGAGATAAGTAGAGGGATACATTTGTGGCAAAGCAAGAATAGTAAAAGGTTGATTGCAGAATCTTGGTGATAGGTACATGGTCTAATACTATGATTATTTCAATATTTCTATATTATGAAAAATTTAAAAATATCATGATGGAAAACTGTAAATTGAGTAATACATTTGTAGTGTTTTTTGTCCAAAACTTGCCTCAAATAAACAATCCATGAAAATTTGCTTACAAGTCTATAAAGAGTTTCTATAAGGCTGGGCGTGGTGGTTTACGGCTGTAATCCCAAGACTTCGGGAGGCCGAGGCGGGTGGATCACCTGAGGTCAGGAGTTCAAGACCAGCCTGGCCAACATGGCAAAACCCTGTCTCTAGAAAAATACAAAAATCAGCCGGGCAGGATAGCAGGCACCTGTAGTCCCAGCTACTTGGGAGGCTGAGGCAGGAGAATCACTTGAACCCAGGAGGTGGGGGTTGCAGTGAGCCGAGATCACACCACTGCACTCCAGCCTAGGTGACAAAGCGAAGTTCCATCTCAAAAAAAAAAAAAAAAGTTTCTATGCATTAACTATTATTATTTAAGACACTTTTATTTTTCTTGGACAACTGCAATAGTCTCCTAGCTAGTCTCTCTCTTGTCACTTTCTCTCTAATTCATGATCTCCATTCAACAGCTAGAATGATATTATGAAAATGTAAATCTGGATCTGTTGTTTCCTTTGCTTAAAATGCATGAATGGCTTCTCTTGCTCTTAGAATAAAACTTAATCTCTTCACAGCCTGGGGTTCCTGTTACTTGGCCCACCACACCCTTTCACACTTGCAGGCTTTGCACTTGCCTGGAATGTTCTTCCCCCAGCTTCTTACTGGCTGACTAATTACCATTCTTTAGCTCTATCTCATCATCCTTTTTTTTATTTCTTTCATGGCATTTATCACAGTTTGTAATTATCCGGTGTTTCTGTATTTCCTTATTGTCTCTCTTCCGAACTAGAGTTTCGTAAAGGTAAAGATTTTTCATTCTCGATCACTGTTGTCTTCCTAGAGCCCAAAATGTAGTGGGCCCTGAATAGACATTAAGTATCTTCCTCATACTGTATCAAAGTTAATAAATTACAGAGCTGACCTTCAAACTCAACTGTTCTGTGGGTTCTTTCACATACAAAATGAGTAGGGAGAAATTAGACTGCAAGATTTCTACCCTTCTGGAGTTTTTAGTCTAGAAAAGTTAGAATACAGAACCAGAGTAAGAACTGGTTCCAAGCTCCAGAAAACCCCAACATTTCATTCTCCCACTATGTCTTTCCTTGAGGATCCATGCTCATCATCAGTTACGACTTATCATGTCCTCTTATCTCCCACACAGAGTCTGTCACTAAACCCTGTGTTATTCTACTTCCTATGTGTATCTCTGTTCTGCACTACTACTGTACCATACCAGGCTTTGCCATTTGTCAAGGCTACCACAACCAGTGGTCACCTTTCCTCCATGTTGCCTCTATTCTCTATGCTGCATTCGATGTAATCCTTGTGAAACACAAATCTTGCTATGTCATTTCCCCACTCCAAACCATATAACTTCCCTAGAATGCAGTCCAGTCTCATTAACATATCTCTCAAGGATCCTTGGGAGGCACCTTCCTCTCAATGCCTCCTTCCGTCTGGAAGCCCATCTCCTGTTACTCTTCTCCCTGAATTTCAACATTTCAGTTCCCCACATGCTCTCTCCCTCTAAAGTATTTCTTCTGCCCAGAACACTACTCCACTAGCTTCTTTGGCTGACTTCCTCCCACTTTGCCTTCCTTCCCCTCCACCTCTTTACCTTCTATGACTCTATATTATTGCACACATACATTTAGGAAAATCTCTTGGCATCTTGGAACCTCACTTTCTTCATCTACAAAATGGAGATAATAGTGGCTATCTCAATGGATTTCTATGCTGCAGAGTACTTACCACGGTGCTTAGCTCAATGGCATGATTGTCAAGTTTTCCCCTCTGCCAGTGTTTTCTTTTTTTCTTGAAGACTGTCCCACTCCTGACTATAATTGGAGATTTCAGCTAAATGCATAAGGACACAACTCACTGAGCACCAGGCACTCATTTGCATTGGGAGAAGGAGGGGAGCAATCAAGAATAAAAGAAAATTCACAAAGCTATGCTAAATGTGGTACTGCAAATGATGAGGTTGATCGGGCCTTTAAGACGTTTCATTTTACAGTCTGAGATTGCAATAACAAGTGTGTACCAAGTTTCATGCTAAACCCTTATCCATGAACTCACCATTCTGCCATTTTGATGGAAGGCTAGACATGTTCCAAATAGAGGAGTGAACTACAGCCCATTTCTGATTAATGAAAGACAGCTGATCTGATCTGGAACTCCTCTGGGGGTTCTCCAAGGCCACATTTCTGTTACATGCACCATTTTAATGTCAGCTTCTCTGCTTCAGAGCTGAGCCTGAAAAGGAGCCATAAATTACTTTTGATCATGCATATGCTGTAAGCTGGCTGGAGGAGATGGGATGCCAATCTGCCTCTTTTTTGGGGGAGCATGGGGAGACCAGATGTAACCCAAAGCATCCTGAGATTCTATTTTTAATCATCAGCTTTTATTTGTCTTCTCATTGCTCTTCCCAGGTTCCCCTTTATCCTCCAGATTATAGCTGAGGAATAGGTAGTGCTGCTAAAGAGGTTTGGGCCTGGATAGAATGAGGGCAGCAGGGACATAACTGTAATTAAGGACTCAGCTTCTACCTGGACCCTGATTTATTTATTCATCCAATCAAGAAGGCATTTCATAAGTACCTACTGTCTTCCCACTTATCCAGAAAGCACTAAACTCAAGAAAACTTTCTTTTATTGGAATAATTTCCAGCCATAGCTGTGTTTCAAAATTTCCTGTGGAGTTTGAAGAAAATGCATATTCTTGGGCCCAACTCTCCAAAGATCCTGATTTGGTATTTCTAGTGGGGTTCTTAGCACTCGTATTCAAATGTACAGCACAATTCCTTCCATTTCATTACCATCTGCCTATCATGAATGTTTTCCTCAAGCCTCACTCTCTCTGGTTGTGATGTCTTTTCATATTAATTAGCTAATTAGGCAAACTAAGTCAGGACCTCTCTTCTACAAGAAATATCCATCCATTTGACAAACACATACAAGGCCTGAGCCAGGTGCTCTGTGTAGACCACATAAAGATGAGCCGTCCCGGCCCTGCCTCAATGTTTTAACAATGGTATTCTAGAGACAATCGTGTGCATGTAGAGTACGCTAGAAGGGATTTTCAGACCAAGTTAAACTAGTGATTTCAGGAAGATTTACAAAGTCAGGCAGTTTAGCTGCCACTTAATCTGACCCAGGGTAGAGCTGGCTTTCACCACGGTCTTGTGATTCAAGGGTCTCAGAGGATTTTTTCCTACTCCCTTTGGAAGTTCTAGAAGCCTGGAACCTGAGCTTCTGTTTAAGCCCAGAAATATGAACATGAGGACAGAACATGACCTTAGGAGACTCCCGGAGAATCTGAAAAACAGATCAGCAACTCCCACATAATCAGGAGTTAGCAGAAAGCGTTGGATAAGTTTAGAAAGATGATTAGTTCATGTCTGACTTCAATGTTCTGCATAATTTTCATTATACAGTTTGAGTTTGAGATTATCCATGTCAAAATTTTTTCTTAGTAAGTCTGGAGTTGGTCATATTTCATCATTTAAAACATGCAATTCTATATTATCCACCTCTAGAATGAACTACTTACTGAGGAAAAAAAAAATCTATGTGATCTTGAGCCCAAGAGGTCTAAGTAAGTATGGGATCTAAGCCTTCCATGAACATAAGGTTTGAAGGTGATATTTTCTCAAGGGCAGTTTCATTCCTACGGAAACAGAAAATCAGCAGAGATGCCAAGTTTGGTATGCAGAGGGTGAACAATAAATGACAGTAGAATTTAACTTAATTCTAAATGAAAAGGAAAAGATGGAGGAGAATTTCCAAAGAGTATAGGCACTTAAATGATCTCAAGACTTGGAAAGGAATATCCAAACAAATGCCTGTTCGACTAAATGGAACGTTTAAATGAGTTGAAGAGAGTTTGAAAACATGTTTTTTTGCTTTGTTTTCCATAGTACTCCATCCCACCTCCAGTCATTCCAAGGCAGTAATGGAATAACTTGATAAAGTAAGCAAGCCTTGCATCACTGGAAAAGAACACATTTCTGGTGAATGAATAACTGGCTAGATTATAAAATCAGAATACAGCCTTTTTTTCCCCTCTTAAGTCAAATGCTTTTGGAAAGTGACCTGAGGCTATTTTTTTATTCCACTGACAGACTTTAGGCTTTACCTGTTTTTCACTTGACTGTGATGCGATGTGATAGCATCACGTGGCTTAGGCGTGTCACAGGTTGCCTGCTGTGTACGTGGAGTCAGACACTCAGACCTCAGAGCCGGGAGTCAAGGTTCATGAGACAAAGCTCACTTCAATGTCTGGTGTTCTGAATGTCAGAACAATTAGAGATTAAATGGAAGGAAATTTGAGGCCAAAAATAAAGGAAAATAAAACTTGTGGTCACAAGTATAGAAGACCAAGTTTTATTTCATGTACATCTCTTATTCCTTCATCTTGATCTCTCTCCCATGATTCTTCTGTGCTCATGCACATATACACTAGATCAATTCCCCAATGTTCTTCCTCTATTAAAATAGTCATACAAAGCCTGCTTATGTAGGAGGAGGCTGAAAAAGTTAGAATAATAAAATCACATTTTGTTGCAGGAGGACTATAGCTCAGGGACATTTATTAGTTGGAAACCAGAAATAACTAGAGGGAGAAGAGCATTACGGTAATGAGAGAAAAGTCTTACATGCCATACTCAGCCAAGAATGTATTTTCCCCCTTCTTAAATCCAAGGTGGTCCATAAAACCACCCTCACTGAAGCTGCAGAGAACACTTTGACTGGAACATTTGGTGCAGGGAGGGAATAGGCATTCAATGAACTGGTTAACAGAAAATATAACATTGGAGGAGCCTCTCATCTCTAACATTTCATGCATTTGCCTGGATTCATAAAATTGGAAATAGGAAAATAAGTAACTAAGTAATCATATAATAGCTAACTATATTTGTGAAGCCAAGCAGAAAGTCTGAACTTTAAACAACTGGAGACTGAAAAATCAAAAGCTCTGAAACTACATATGCACTGCAAATTTAAGAAGAAACCAGTTTGACAGCAAACCAATATGAAACAGAGTTTGATGTGGAAAGAGATGAGGCCCGAGGAGAAAAATAAAACCATGAGAAACTCTAAACTAAGGAAAGATGGTCCCTAGCAAGGAAAGGCTGGTAGTAAGAACCAGAACTGTGGCTTTTCCTCGTGATCTTGCCTGGCTCACTCATTCACGTATGGACGTCCTCTCACATCTCCAGAAGGCAATCCCTTTAGCCCTATGATACCCAGCCCTCTCCTTGGCCTCTCAAAGAACACCTGGTGGATCTGGCTGCAGAACTCCTGCCAAATGGTAGAAATCTGATAGGCTGTAACTTCAATTAAGTCGATCAGGTATTTATTTATTTTCATAACATTGCCTGAGCCAAATCCATTTTCGTTTACATATTTTTCTTCCAACTAGACTATGAGCTTGAGGGGGAAATCACTTTGTCTTATTCATCCAGATATCCTCCACTGCACGTAGTAGATGCTCAAAAAATGTTTATTGAATGAATAGACCAGGCTGCCACTCAAACCAAATGATTTCAAAGTAAATTGTTGAAAGTCACATATTCAGTATGTATTTACTGAGTAACCAGCTATCGTGCTAGCTAACTAGGTATAAAAAATAAGACAACTCATGCCCTCAGGAAGCTCACATTTCAAGGAGACAGGAACTATGATGGAGTGGCAGTAGGATGGAAGGAAGAGGACAGGCTCAAGAGACAGTAAGGGGATCAAATCCATAGGACTTGGTGCCTATTTCACACTTAGGTAGTAAGGAGATTAGGAGAAGAGCTTGGATTAAAGGAAGAGACATGAGAATGTCCAGCCTAAGGGAACGTGCCATTGGAGATAGTTGATGCAGTGAAAATCCTAAAAGGCCCCCTCAAAAAATGGCTAGTTTTCTATGTCTTAAAGCAGCTGAGTCTATTTTTAGCAACTCTGAGGACTTGAATATCTACTATGATATACCTACTGCCCACTGGTCATAGTTGGTTCTATGAAAGTCACACGGAAAAAGTGAAATTCCTTTTCTATGTGGCAGTTCTTCAAATGCATGCTCCCCTTTTCATATAATATGATTTCCAGACTTTTCACCATTTTGGTCATTCTCATGCTTTTAGACTGACTAATTAGAAAATGGAAGCTTTAAGAGACAGAAAGTAAAAAATCTGAAAATTATGATTGCAAGGTCTGGGAGGTAATGGAAGGGGAAAAATTAAACACCTAGATGTGAAGCACTGGGTTAGGTCTTTTTTGTACAGACTAAAATGCCACAGGGATCTGAGGACATTCTGTGATGTCTTGTTCTCCTCCTCTGATTCATTTCCCACTTACTTTCTTACAGCATTCTCATAAAAGAGAATCAGTCATCCTGAGGTCAGTCGTCTTGCCCTTAAAATATATTAATTCTGTTTTGCTTTTGTTATTCTATATTAAAATACTGATGGAATAATGTGAAAGAGGCATTAGGATGAAATAAGCATTTCATGATCTTTAGAAATAAATGATACTTAAGTGTGAGGCAACAGGCAGTAGTGAGTTGGCTCTATCTTTGCACATCATAAGTTGCCCAAACGACATTTCCTTTGTGGTAAATTGTAAAGAAACAAATGTGAAAATTTTACTATGTCATATGCTGCAGTTATGTGTACATATTAAAGAAAAAGGAAGGGAGAAGTACAAAATCAATTTTTCTGCTTACATAAATAATTACCCTAATAGTTTATGAAATAAGAAAAAATTGCTCGAGCAAGAATGAAATCATTTCTTTTAGACATTAGAATCTATTCAGAAATTATGTCTTTTCATTGGACTTTCATCTGGCTTCCAACATGTCAAATCATGTATCTTTTAAACCACATGTTCTTTTTTTGTAGGTTGGATAGTTTCAGACTAGGCTCAATTTACCCCTTTTCTCTATAGAATCATGCACCTTACAGTTCCACTTTTGCCACATCTTTCATACTTTATGTTTCACATTTTATGAATGGGAAACCATATTTTAGAATAAAAATCTGTAATGTCAAACCAACATCATTTTTTCTTCTTTTTTCTTTTCTTTTCTTTCTTTCTTTTTTTTTTTTTTTTTTGAGGCAGAGTCTCACTCTGTTGCCCAGGCTGGAGTGCTGGAGTGCAATGGCACGGTCTCGGCTCACTGAAAACTCCGCCTCCTAGGTTCAAGTGATTCTCCTGCCTCAGCCTCCTGAGTAGCTAGGATTATAGGCATGCACCATCATGCCCAGCTATTTTTTTTTTTAATAGAGACAGGGTTTCACATGTTGTCCAGGCTGGTCTTGAGATCCTGACCTCAAGTGATCTGCTGCCTCAGCCTCCCCAAGTGATGGGATTACAGGCATAAGTCACCATACCCAGCCATCTTTTCCTCCTTGGGGTTTTGCTCTATATGTATAGACCTTGAGAAAGAGCTTTCAAAATAGACTTTATCCATAATCAACATCTTAGGATCTTTTTTCCTCCATAAAGATCTTCAGCATCACTATGCACTACAGTTCATTTCTCTTTTAAAGCAAAACGTAGCATAAACTAGACAAAACCCCCAAATAAGCTCTCCATTTCCTGCAGCTTGTGTAGCTCTAGCAATCTAGTCTATTGCTGGGCAATATATTCAAGCCTCTCACTGATTATGTTATCAAAGCTGTTTAAATTCCATTCCACGAGTTTGTGTATGGCAAAGATGAAGCTGTTTGTTTAATTAAACAATTTCTCTAAAAATGCACACAGTATATTTTGAGAACATAGTGAGACTTTGACCTTGCCTCAACAAGGGCATTTTGCTGCCACCCCCATTCTGCCACACTTTTCAACATGTTATCCCTCTTGAGTTTAATTTCTATGTTGTAAAACATCTCATCAATTGATATCTAGCATTTTGCATCTAATGCATTCTCATAACTTCTAGTTGGCTGTGGCTTATTTCATTGTATGCTTTCTTCTTCATACTTCTGGACAAGCTTTGTTTTTATGGCCTTTAAAAAAACATGGCTGTTATCAAACACTATATACGGAAATGGTTTCCTTGACAACCATAACCACAAGCGAGTCGTCTGCACCTCTTTCTCATTGCATGGTTTGTTTGGTTGCTAAAACACTTCAAAATATTTTTATTCAGAGTCAGGTATTAAGTACCTGAATTTACAGAGTAAGCTGAAATCCAAGCAGGTGATGAACTATCAGAACGGTTGTAAAGTGGCAAACTCTAATCATTTTCAAGTATTAGAGTTCAGCCTCATGACACAGTCTCTAAAAGGACAAATGCTGAAAGCTTGATATTTAAGATCCAAAATGAATGACTACCTCAAGGACACAAATTAAAAAAAAAGACTGGCTAGAAATGCCAAAGAAGTGAAAAATATTGCTTAAATGGAAGGTGACATTGCAGTTTTATTCATTCATATAAAAATTCCAAATGTTAATTCTTTAATGGGAAAGAGGTCAGCTTCAAGGTTATCAACAGAACAGCAGATATTTTGTCAAAAGTGCTCCTAAGACTATGTCTCTTGACAAAATTAAGCACAATATATATGGAGCTTCCATTTAAAATAGTTTTTGAAAATTTTCTTTGGTTAAATGTCTCATAGCTCATAAGATTCAGAAAATCTCTATTTCTGGGAACTTCTCAGGGTAAAAATATTTTCCCAAATATCAATTTTTTACAAGGAAATATACAGCTTGCATGGATTACAAAAAAAATTAGAAAGATCAACATGAGATTCTGTACAATGTGATAAGCATCCCAAGAAAAAATCACTAACAATGTCATCTCACTCCATACTGGTCTAGTCTCCTAATATCTGTCAAAGACAGGATATAATAAAAAACATGGTTTACTGTCCCCCCCACCGCATCATGTCCAAAACCATGGTTAAGTTGGAGATGTCTTCAGATTGGTTGGAATCAGAGTAATTTGACTGAAATAAATCACATAAATAATCCTATTTGTGTTCATGCATGTTTATAAAAAACAATTGTGCAAAAATATGAACCTGAAAATTTAATCAAGAGAGGTAGTGGCAATTCTTATGAGAAATTGGAGCTCTGGGTCACCAGGTAGGTTGAGCAGCAGGTGAAAAAAAATTATACAGAGCGTTTTTACTTATAGAATTTTACTTAACAGCTCTGAAAGAGCCTGTGAGGTTAGGTATGAATTATGGCAGGGGAAAGGCAGGCATAAGAAGGAAGGAAGGAAAGAAGAGAGGGGAGGAGGGAGGGTGGGCCAAAAGAAAGAAAACAAAGAGAGAGATAAAGGGAAAACATAGGCCAAGCTGCTCAGAGCATGGGGGGTGGAGGAGGGGGGTGAGGGAGGTGGGACAGTCATAGAGCAACCAAAGTAGAACCAAGGAGTGAGTTAAACGGAGGTTCCAGGTACCATTCTGAGGTGATTTTGAGAACAGTGTTAAAATGAAGCCAAAGAGATGTATCTGAGGCCCGGTCAAAAAAGAACCTCAGCTCCCCATGGACCAAGAGAACTCAAAAAGAGTTTAACTTTTGTCGCATACTTCAATTCTTACCATAATGTTCTACAGGTATAGAATGCTGGGGCCCTTCCATTACTCCATGCACTGGGGAAGAACTAGAATTGTGAGAAGAGCTTTCACGCTCCCATAACCATTCCTTGGCCCACCTCCAAGAAAAGGCAGGCTGGCCTCTGTTTAGGTGTTGTCTGTGCTTGCATTCCCAACGTTGACATGAGGAATTATCAATGGGTTCCGGACATAATCAGCCACACGGCAGAGTGAATTCCAGGAGGTATGTGTCAGGCAGGATCCCATCAAACTCATTGCTTTCAATACTTCAAAAGCTTGTTTTAGAAACACCATTACGGAGAATTGCCTGAAGGATTGAAAATCCAGACATTCCACTGCATACTCTAAAATCTGTCTTTGGGTGGTTCCAGGCCAGCAGAGATTTTCATACCTAGACTGTCTCATTTAGTTCTTGCCATCTTTTGATGACTTTTAAAAATGTGTATATTCATACCTTACTTTGTTCTGTAAAGAATTTAAGATAGGAATTTTTATTGAATTGAGCTGTGAATTTATGCCATCAGCCTTTATCTGAGGAACATTATAGGAAGCACTTCTATGAAATGCCTGTCAAGATACTATTGAGAATGTGGCTCATTACATTTCGAAGTATCCTCCTTAGGAAAACCCACTGGAAAAACTTCCCTCTTGCCTTCATACAAAGAAGCATTGAGCTTGTCTTCTGGCACTGGCTTGTTGTATCTTATGGACACTGATTCACTTATTGGACCATGTTTTTCTCTAGGCACAAAGCCAACTGGGGGCCCTTGCCCATCCACCATACAGAACCTCTCAGCATGCATTTTGTGGATTCACTTCTAGATTTACCATTCTTTCCCTACCCCTATTTTCTCTGTATTCATAAATCTCCACTTTATACATTTTTAAATTTGTTAACGTATATAGTACACTAAGTAAATATACCACGGTGCAGAGTAGCACCTCTCCTGCCAGAGGATGGAGAGAGGCAATATACCCCGTAGGGGCTGGACACATATTCTACCCATTTAGATCCAGAAGGAAACTTGAGCCTCTCTTCTCATAGAGAAAGAGTAGGGTAAAATCACAGACCACCACTATCCATCAGACCACTCTCATCCATGGGAGGGTAACTTTTAGGGAAAGCATTTTGGAGTGTCATGTAATACCACCCAATTTTCCTATATACTCATAAGATTAAATACTCAGTACTTTTCAAAAATGAAAATAAGAAACAAAAGTTCATTGTTAAACCCCAATGTTTACTTTATCCCTTGCATACGATGAAAATAATCTACTTCCCTGAAGGAAAGTGCTGACTTTCTCTATTGGCTCTGTAAGTCCTGGAGCAGGTGGTCCCTGCAGCAGAGGGAACGGAATGAGAAGACCCTTACAGTAGCCAACTGACTATTCTAGAACTCCTGGGAGAACCATACCTCATTATTCACCTAGAATGGGCCCAGCTTGTTCTAATTTCATTTGGCTCCTTGCAGAAACACTCTTCATTGTCTAAAACTTTGGGTGGCTGTGAACTTCAGCTTTGCCCCTTAACTCTCCTCTGACCCTTTTCTTGACCCACTATTTTGCTCACTATATTTTTGCAATATACACTTGGCTTGGGCCACCAAAAAAACTCACCCCTGCCTGGTCCATGGCTACTCCCTTGAGCTCAGCTGAACAGCTCACCCTGGCTTTAAAACTGGAAGTCCCACATCCCTGGAAACTTCTCAGTCCTAGGCAAAGGAGGGATGGTTGGTCACCCTACTCCCAGCCCACACTGATCATGCAGTAAATCAATGGCAGAACCAGAACCTTATTTATTTTATTCCTTTATATATTATTATAAAGCTCATATAATAATAACATATGAAGGACTATAACAATTATATGTTATATAACATATATTATTAATTATATATAACATATTATTAATTATATATTTTGATATGCATATAATAAAATATACAGGAATATAATAGATAAGTATATTATATATAAAGGAATAAAAATATGTTTACAGAAATATACATAAACAAAATTTACATATGCATATATATTTTACAGTACATAACTTCTTAAAAGACAACACTGTAAGCAAATTTCACAGAATTAAGTTATTTAACTGTGTAAGAACAACATGGCAATATCCATAGCAAAATTTTAATCTCATTCTTTTCCCCCATGATCCTTCATGCTTCAGAAATGCCTCTGCTGCCTTTTACCACTGTGTGTTCAAGTAATAGGAATAAATGTCTAAAATTAGTCCAAAGAAAATGAATTAAGGAAACATATCTGTTATCTAAAAAATAAACTATGAATTCTAACACCCCCCAAATGATTTTAGGATTATCCAATTTTATAAAATCTCTCTCTCTCCTCCTTCCTTTAGTGTAAATAACAAGAGCTGCCTATAAATCTACCTCAGAAGACAAAGGGAAAAGCAAAACTCTGCCCAGGAAGACCTTACTTTACAAACCAGGTGACCAAATTTCTAAAACATCATTCCCGTAATCCCTGATCAACAGAAAGGAAGCTCTGGAAGCATGAATGGTCAGTACACACATCGTCCACAGGACTCACACACCACAAACTAGTCATTGATCCTTTTGACCCAATTTCAGAAAATATGTTTACATAGAGACACATATTTTTGCTATTTACTTTTTGAGCAACCAACAGGAAAACCTATCCACATATGTCCATTATGATCCTCTCTAATGAAGACTATCTCTTTATGTTGTTTAAACAAAAAGAAATTAATGCATGAGAATGTCAAAGTTCTGAGCTTTAAGTTTCTGTACTCAATATATTGAATAAAAGATATATGTAGTATACATTGGAATAGAAAGAGATTAACTCAGTGCGTCATCGAGCACCTAGTTCTGGGGGTGGTATAATCATTCTGTCATGTATGATGGATGCCTGGATAGATCTCAGGATTTTGAAAGTCTCAAGTTAAGCTTCTAGTTTATTCCTCTAAATCTCTAGGGCTTTAAATAAAAACAATCTCGTAAATATCTTCACTACAAGATTCAAGTGTGAAACGCTTCAGTAGGCCTCTGAATTAAATATGTTTGGTAATTGATTATGTGTCCACATTATCTGAATGTAGGAGATGGATGTTGACACTGCTTTAAAATAACAATAGGAAAATAGGTTTCCAGTGAGAAAGCCCCTGTGATGGGAATGTCAATTTATTGCAGACATTTGTGATAAAAAAGTCAGTCATTTTTCTTAAATGAAAACTAGAGTTAAACACAGTAAATCTGTTGGCAATGGAAATTAATAGGATACCAATTTAAAAGGAACTACACATTTTTTTAAAAGGAAGAAATCTTAGTTTTCAGAGCAGTTTTAGGTTGACAGCAAAATTGAGCAGAAGGTACAGAGATTCCCAGAAGGTACAGAGGTACCCCCTTCCCCACATATGCACAGCCTCCCCATTGTCAATATCCCCCACCAGAGTGGTACAGTTGTGACAATTATGAACCTACATTGACACATCATTATCACCGAAAGACTATAGTTTATATTAGGGTTCACTCTTAGAGGTACACATTCTGTGAATTTTTGCTAATGTATAATGACATGTATGCACCATTACAGTATCATACAGAGTAGTTTCACCATCCTAAAAATCCTCTGTGCTCCACCTATTCATCTCTTCTTCCTCCCCCTGGCAACCACTGATCATTTTACTGTCTCCAGAGTTTTGCCATTTCTGGAATGTCATATAGTTGGAAACCTACAGTGTGTAGACTTCGCAAGTGGAGTTCTTTTTGGTGATATGCACTGACGTTTTCTCCAGGTCTTTTTGTGGCTTGATAGCCCATTTCTTTGGAACCACACACGTTTTTAAAAAATTGACATTCTTCTGTGACTTACAACTGTGGTTTCTGTGGTTAGATGTAGAGATTGAGTTTTACATTGTTGGCAAATACATTTTGGAGTAGATAAGCCCTGGGTTTAGAGACAGCAGTCATGAGTTCAAGTTCCAGCTCTGCAATTTACTAGGATGGGAACTAGGAGAAGTCACTTAACCACTGAGGTTAGTGAAGGCTGAACATAAAGAGGCTCAATTGTCCACGAGGTAACCCAGCTTGAGCTTTTGTCCAGTAGGGGTACCCCAGAGGGGGTGTGTGACACACTGAGCCAGTCAAACCCTCTGTCTTACAAAGTTGAACCAGCAGATAAATACATAAGCCACTAAGTTTGAGGGGATTCAGAAGGTAGATCACAGAGGTGCTCTTGAGTCCCAAAATAAATTCAGTTCTATCCATATAGTGAAACAAAAAGTAGTCAATAAAGTTCATTATTTGAGATAGGGAAGATTTTAACAATAGGGGGTCACTCTCATAAGTAATTACATGTGGGAGGGGTAAGATATAAGGTAAGATATAAAGATGTACACACAGAATTAGGCTACATCTCTAACTCATGATTTAATCTGATCCCACAGGATAATAAATAAAGGTAGCTAAGGAGATACTCCAACATGATTACCCATATTTATCTCTAAGTAGGGATTATGATTGGACCATCCTGGGTTTCAGCAGAAAACTGATAAAACTCGTATACTGGGTAATTTGAGGAGAGTGTCTTAAGGGTCTATATGTGAGGTATGAGTGAAGAATGGTACGGGTTCCTAGGGTCAGCCCCATTAGCAGCCTAGGCCAGAAGGGGTTGGAGGAAAGAGTGGTTTCCTGAACCTTTAGAGAGAGGGCTGCTGGACAGAGCTGTGCCCTTCAGTCAAGGCACACAGACAGCCAGCTGCAACCCCACAGGAAGGAAGTCAGGCCCAACTTCACTCACACAGGCAAAACTCCAGCAGAAGTCCGAAGGCAAGGGGGCCTTTGGATGGAGCTCAGCTTCCCCAGGCACTCAGCAAGGTGGAGAAGGATGGGTGCAGAGAGCAATCGGGGTGATCTAACCTTCCTCTTTATTCTTGTCTGAATGTTCCACACTTTCTCCAAGGAACATGTAGATCAAACATGTATTTCATAGCTTTAAGTTATTTTCTCCTTCAGTATTCCATTTTTGTCATTCATTGCAGAGGGTTGGATGAAAAATAAAATAGAGGCGTGGGTCAAAAAAAAGACTGAAAATAAGTAGAAGGGGATGAGAAATTCTGGAAAAAGTAACAGAAGTGATTCTGGGCACAAAAAAAGTCACATTTGGTGGCTAAAGTAAATGGGCCGCCAAGTCTCACTGTCCCAGCTCCACAGTGTTCTGCACATTAAAGACTAACCATAATAGAAATAATAGTCACTTCTAAGGGGATTTTCTCAAATGGACTTTCCTGAATCTGCTTTGACATACAAATTAGCCTTAAATGAAAACACCATTTCAGAGTTGCCAAGGCCTTTTTCAGCATTCTAAAGCCATTTTGTCTTTTCATGTCTCTGATCTAAATGTATCTGCTTTCAAACCCAAAATGGTATTTTCTGTACAAGTGTACCAAATTGAATAGAACCCGCATCTGACAGATCTCACAGATATGACTAGTTTCAGTACAAGCAGATGTCAAACCAAGCAAACCATTGTCACTGGCTAAGTGCATGAGGTGAACTGAGGATAAATTCTGTGGTCGCCACTTCCTCAGAGCTCAAAGGCTAACACCCATTTCATCAGAAGGACCCACTGGGCTTCAAGGACTCCTATGCTGATCCAGTAGAGGGCAGTGATGGTTCCAGGAGCCTGGCTGGCCCTATGCAAGGACTCCCCAATGAAGGCAGGACTGTAAGACTTTATACAAGCCAGACAGGCAGAGTCACCTGAGTTTATTCCTCTCATCACACTGTGGTCTGTGGCTATTCCCTTAGTAACCCTGCAGCTGCTGCCAGCAGTCATGGGAAAAGGCATTATGACCTTCAACTCCATCTGCAACCTTGAAAACAAAACCCACAGCACCTCTAGCCTCCGCAATATCAGATACATAGCAGGATTGTCTGGTTATATATTTCAGGCCCAAACCAGCCTCTGAGTGAGGTAGGCAGGGGGCTACTCCTTTAAAGGAGCAACAAAGGAGCCCATAGTTACCAAAAAGGACATTTAAACCTAATCAAGAAGGGATCTGAAGCAGAAGACAATCAATGCTGATCCTTGAAAGGTCTGGGGCTCTTTAATTAAAGAGCCGCCCCCCCCCCCAAACTTGACATTATAGTTAATGCAGGAGAGATGAGCTTAGTTACGAACAAGCAAAAGTGTGTTTCACTTGCAAATATCAAACAAGCTGTGGAAATTATTTGCATGGATTATCAGTTGGTAGACACCTCAGAAGATTTCAAGTCTCTGAGAATTTCTAAAATAATGTATTTAAGTGATTTAAGTTACAGGTTGGGGAAGCACATTATGCAACAGTTTTCCCAGTGCAACTTAACTTTTCTACTAAGGAAAATAACTTAACTTGCATTGCACCATTTATATGCAATCAGGAGTTAGTCTTTCTTTCAATGGCATATAAAAATAGAAAGCATTATAAATGTTAGAGCTAGAAGAGACTTTAGTATCACTGTTTTAAATTTGTTAAGCAGTGGAACCCTTTTCAAGATAAACCTTATAGGCAACCTCAATATATCCAGAACAGATAAAAATATTCTATTAATATAAGTTTATTTTATAAGTTCACATTTCTGTTAAATATTATAAAGTCAGTCACTGAGAACAAGGAAGTGTTTTTAGATGAATGAGATCTGAGTTTATGGATGACTTATAAACATACATCAGTTTTAGAATATAATTTATTTTGGTGTTGTCTTTGCAATGACTTTTGTCAAGGATGACAGTGATTGCCACAGATAAATCACTGTAAATGGTAACAGATGTTTTTGTAATAGCCTTTCTTTCAACCTTAGGATATTCTTTAACTAAATAAAACAAGAAGCTTAATTCCAAAATCTGCACCAAAACAAGTTATTAACATTGGCAACATAGTAGTAAGCTGTAGTGCCCCAAAAGTTAAAAGATATTTTTAAAAATTGTAGTAGAGACAGATAGCTGTGTCCTTAACAAAAATCAGCTCCTTTTCTCTCTGGGTTCACAGCTCAACCATATTTACCAGCCTTCCTGTGGTCATTTGTCTGAGCTCCAGCTAGTGAAGTATGAGTAGAACGGACATGCACCACTTCCAGACCTGGCACCGGCAAACCCCCCATGGCAACCCTCCAACCCTTTCCTCAACAACTGGACCACGCTGGAAAGGACTGAGGATCTAGAGGAGGACAGGGCTGTAATATGGAAGGAGTTTGGTTTCTGAAGGACCATGTAGCAGGCCACCTGCAGGGCGGGAACATCTTTAATAGGTTTGGAATAGCAAGAAATAAACTGGTCTTGTATTAAACAACTAATTTTGGGGTCTTTGTTACAACAGCTAGCATTATTTACCCCTGCTAATTAATATCGTAGATATCATGGTTAAGATAAATATGAAAACAACATTTGAATCAAATGTTTGCTGAACCCCTAAAGCACCTATCCAGAAACCACAGTTTGTAAAAACAGAGTTTTGTTTGTTTTTGTTTGTTTGAGACAGAGTCTCACTCCGTCGCCCAGGCTGGGATGCAGTGGCGCAATCTCAGCTCACTGCAACCTCCACCTCCTGAGTTCAAGCAATTCTCCTGTCTCAGCCTCCCAAGTAGCTGGGATTACAGGTGTGCACCACCATGCCTGGCTACTTTTTTGTATTTTTAGTAGAGATGGGGTTTCGCCATGTTGGCCAGGCTGGTCTAGAACTCCTAAACTCAGGTGATCTGCCCACCTTGGCCTCCCATAGTGCTGGGATTACAGGCATGAGCCACTGCGCCCGGCGGAAAAACCAGAGTTTTGATCCAAACTTCTATATAGATGCATGACTTCCTTGCTGGAGGGTAAAGTGAACTCTTACTCAAAGCCACCAAAAAGTTAGTAGGGCTTTCAGCAAGTAGTAAGAATAATATGATCAAGATAACTTCTGTTTTGTTTTGTTTTTTGAGACGGAGTCTCGCTCTGTCGCCCAGGCTGGAGTGCAGTGGTGTGATCTCAGCTCACTGCAACCTCCGTCTCCTGGGTTCAAGCAATTCTCCTACCTCAGCCTCCCGAGTAGCTGGGATTACAGGCATCCACCACCACACCCAGCTAATTTTTGCATTTTTAGTAGAGACAGGGTTTCACCACATTGGGCAAGCTAGTCTCAAACTCCTGACCTCAGGCGATCCGCCCGCCTCAGCCTCCCAAAGTGCTGGGATTACAGGTGTGAGGCACTGCTCCCAGCCGATAACTTCTATTTTTATGCAGTAGTGTGAGAGAATTAAGGTGCTGGTCCCTCCCAGCTAAAGCCATTATTTCCCTGGCACACTCATTCTCCATGAGCCTTAGGGGACTCAGATGCTGCACCTGTGGTACCTGAAGGTATGAGACAGAGCATGGCCTTTCTTTTCTTCCAATAAATCCCTACAACAGGAGGCACCTTCTCTGCCATTTTATTCCTAGTGAATTTACCAATTTAAGAGGGGAAGCTGTGGACTAGCAGGAAGACCAGCAAACTCAGAGTTAGAAGTTCCAAATTCAAGCCCCACACCAACTGCTTACTAGTTAAATAAACTTAGGCAAATCTCTAAACTTCATCTGCAAAATTAAGAAGTGAGATCATTGAAAATAGTAAAGAAACTCAAACATATGAAAGTTCTTTAAAAAATGAAAGAGTATATGAAATACAACATATTGCAATTACTGGTGACCCTGAAGAATTTGGCAGATCTATAGTCATTTCACCAAAGAGGCATTGTGATAACATGTTACAATCATGAGATTTAGTATGAGAAGACATAGGTTGGCCTCTTTTTCTGCTTTGAAGTTGTTGAATTCTATTTGGTTGTAAGCGACAGAAAAATATGATGGTGGTTTAGTTCTCTCATGTATAAAGTCCTGGGAGACTTCTTAGGGTGGGTATAGCATTCCATAGTGGGGTTCCATTTAGGGCTGCCAGATAAAACACAGAATACTCAGTAAGATCTGAATTCCACATAAACATTGAGTAACATTTCAACATCAGTATGTCCCATGAAGTATTTATTGGTCATCTTGTGTTTTTATTTGCTAAATCTGGCAACTATAGACCAGCCAGGCTTCTTCTTTTAATTTATTCATTCACTTTCCAAGATGGTAGCATTTATATTCCAAGAGGAAAAAATGAAGAGAAAAACAAAGTATACATAAGCACTAGCTTTTAATCACGGCTCCCCCAGAGCTACCACACTACAATTCTATATGCATCTCAAGGTGCAGAGCTTAGTCACATGGCCATGCCTAGTTGCAATGGAGCATGGAAAATGGAGTCATTATTTCAGGTAGTGGCATGCTCACCTAAAAGTTCCATGACTGTGGAAGTAGGAAGGACTCAATGTTGCAGAACAACTGTTAGATTCTAATACAGGCTGTCTTAGTCCATTCTTGCTATTATGACAAAACACCACAGACTGGGAGCACTCATGACTTAATCGCTTCCCCACGGGCCCTACCTCTTAATACTATCACATTGGATATTAGGTCCTAACACATGAATTTTGGAAGAACATATCTATTCAAACTATAGCATATACCTCTTATCAAAAGTTTCATTTTGTAAAAATCAGTGTACTACTTCTCCAAAACACAGTTCACTTATCAAAGCACTTGACTTTTTGAAGATTAAAAATGGAATAATGTATATAGACTTTTGCTTTATTACTAGGTAAACATTTAACTATGCTTTTATTCCTTCACAGACAGAGTGTACAGGCAATATCAATAAAGTCAGGAAACTGCCACTGTGAGGCTTAGCACAGTAGAGTTAGAGATGGGATGGGTAGGTTAGAGAGGGCTCCTTTATGGAGTAGATAGGACTTGGCCTTGATGATGGGTAGAATTTAGAAAACTGCAGAGTAGTGGGGAGGACATTTGTGGGAGGAGAATGGCTTCAGTAAAGGCACAGAGTTAGAAATAGTCACCACCTGTTCAAGGGGTGAGAAGCTAATTTGACTATAATAAAAGAGCTATTACAGAGATTTCAATATTCCCATATTCCCACTCAGAGCTCTGCCTCTTAACTTAGTAATTACATTTCTTATTTTTTCAAATGGCTGATAAGTTGATTTTTAGTGAGCTAAAAGAACAATTTCTTTTAGTTCTGCAATTTTAGCTGAAATATTTCAGCAAATATTTACTGATCATCTCTGATGAGCTGAGCACTGGGGCTATATAAATCAGTGAGATGTTTGTGCAGAAAGACATGTGAACAATGAAAAGATGATATGGAAGTGCTATAATGGGAATATGTGTAAGTTGCCACCAGAGCTTTGAGGGAGTAAGCATCTAACCTGGGCAAGGCTTCGCAGAGTAAGTGAACTTTCCTTGCATAGTCAAGAAAAAAAATATAGAAAAATGGGTCAGGAAAAAATGAAGAGGTGAGCCAGCCCTCCTGGTAGAAACAATCAAAATGTAAAGGCATAAAATCATCGTAGAACAATGGAAGTTATGGGTGGAATGACAGATCAATGTCAAGGAATGTCAGGAATATAAAGGGAAAAGGTTGACTTTGAAGTATTGTGTGAATACTTCAAGTAATAAACTAAGCCCTGGACATCAAAGCATAAATTTAGAAGACTTAGGCTCAATTTCAGTCTCTGCTAATTACAAAGCTACATGATCTTGAGGACATATCATTTAATCTTCTTTTTTTTCCAAGACAGAGTTTCACTCTATCGCCCGGGCTGAAGTGCAGTGGCGCAATCTCGGCTCACTGCAACCTCTGCCTGCCAGGTTCAAGCCATTCTCCTGCCTCAGCCTCCTGAGTGGCTGGGATTACAGGTGTCCGCCACCATGACAGGCTAATTTTTTGTATTTTTAGTAGAGACAGGTTTCACCATGTTGGTCAGGCTGGTCTTGAACTCTTGGTTTCAAGTGATCCCCCTGCCTCGGCCTCCCAAAGTGCTGGGATTACAGGCGTAAGCCACCATTCCCAGCTCCTCATTTGATCTTTTCTGAACTTTAATTTCCCTATTAGTGAAATGGGAGAGATACCCATGCTAGTTTTGGCTATTATTACTATAACTGTGTGCAACAAAAAACCTTTGGAATTTTTAGGCAGGGGGTGTACATTAGAAAAACATATCTAGAGGCAATGCAGAGCATAAATTGGAAATGCAAACAACTGTAGGAAAGAATAACTCTTATCCTAATGAGAATTTGAACTAAGAACTAACAGGAGTAGGCACAGAAAAGAGAGCTGTCTGAAAGTAGAATCAACAGATTTGCCAGACAAGTACTTGAGAGCAGTGAGGAACACAGTCAAGGATTAACTGAGACTTCCAAGCTTATGAGCATAGAGATATTATAGATGAGGCAGTTACAGAAGAGCAGGCCCTGTGAATGTGACCTTATTTGAAAACAAAAAAAAAGGCTTTGCAGATGTTGTTACATTAAGGATTTTGCCAAGCATGGTGGCTCACACCTGTAATCCCAGCACTTCGAGAGGCCAAGGCAGGCAGATTGCTTGAGTCCAGGAGTTTGAGACTAGCTTGGGCAACATAGTGAAACCCCACAGATGTGGTGGTACACACCTATAGTCTCAGCTACTTGGGAGGCTGAGGTTGGAGAATCACTTCAGCCACTGCAGTAAGCTGAGATCTCACCACTGTACTGTATCCTGGACAACAGAGTGAGACCCTGTCTCAAAAAAAAAAAAATTAAGAAATTTAAGATGAGATCATTCTGGTGGATCCACGTGGGCTCTAAATCTAATGCGAATGTCCTTTTAAACGAAAGGCAGAAGATTTGACCCAGAGAGAAGTGGGGAAGGAAGAGAAGGCCACAGGAAGACAGAGACAGAGATTGTGCCTGTGCTGCTACAAGCCAAGGAACATCTGGAACCACCTCTGGATAAGGCTAGGAAGAATCTTCCTCTAGAGCCTTTGAAGAGAGTGCAGCCCTGCCAACACCTTGGCTTAGAACTTCTGGCCTCCAGAACTGTGAGAGAATGAATTTCTCTTGTTTTAGGCCACTCAGTTTGTGTTAATGTATTATGGCAACCACAGAACACAAATATACTGATCCATACATATGAACTTTTTCACACATTACAATTGTCAAGGTCCTGTTATTATCTCATCTTATAGATGAAGGCAACGAGACACCAAAAATTTGAGAAACTTTCCCCAAGATCACACAGCTAGCTGTTGACAGAGCTGAGATTTGTGCTTCAGCCATCCTGCCCCAGAGCCTGTGCACCTCGGGGTGTGGGGGTGGAAGCACTGAGAGATGTCCACACTGAGGCTGCTAAAACTATAGAAAAGTAGACCTAAGTTTCAGACTTACTGGTGTCTCTCATAGTGAAGAGGCTTTATTTATTTATTTATTTGAGATGGGGGTCTCACTAGGTTGCCCAGGCTGGTCACAAACTCCTAGCCTTAAGTGATCCTGCCACCTTGGCCTCCCAAAGTGTTAGGATTATAGGTGTGAGCCACCACATCTAGCCTAATGAGGAGGGTTTAGATGAGCTAAAACCTGTAAATTATTTACATAGTTGGACAGTGTACAGGAAATGCTCAATAAAACTTAATTACTATTACATGTAATTCAAATACAATATTGATATTGTACTTGAAACTGCAAGAGGGACATTGTTCTTGCCTGATAAGAAGACTTGATTTATTGAAGAGTAGAGAGAGAAAGTTACATCAAAATCAAATCTTAAAATCATAGGAACTATGAAAAATAAAGGAAAAAATGAGTTTAACATTAGTATCCACAGACATAGTTTGAACTCTCTAAAACAGAATACAAAGGTAGTAAGAAGAGAACTAAAGAAAAGTCCCTAACATAAGCAAAAAGAAGGGGTGGTAGGCCGGGCGCAGTGGCTCATGCCTGTAATCCCAGCACTCTGGGAGGCTGAGGCAGGTGGATCACGAGGTCAAGAGATCGAGACCATCCTGGCCAACATGGTGAAACCCCGTCTCTATTAAAAACACACAAAAAATTAGCTAGGCGTGGTGGCGCACACTTGTAGTCCCAGCTACTGGGGAGGCTGAAGTGGGAGAATCGCTTGAACCCAGGAGGCAGAGGCTGCAGTGAGCCGAGATCATGCCACTCCAGCATGGTGGCAGAGTGAGATTCCATCTCAAAAAAACAAAAAACAAAAAACAAAAAAAACAACAAAAAAAAGGAGTGGAGAGAAGATAGATCAAACAACGTGGAAACAAAACAATTATGTAAATTATGTAATTATGTAAGTAGGTAAATAGTGTCTTATCTGCTAAAGCAAAGGTCTTGGCATTTGCACTCTGAACATTAAATAATTGCACTCAAAAGCTATGAAAAAATAAAATGACAACAATTAACTTGGTACTTAATTAGCTTAGTACGACAATTTGCTCAGTTCAATCTGATTGGAAGTCCACAAGATATAGGCAATGGTAAGACCTGAGACAACTTTCTTTTAAATTCTTAGGCCCAGGATGGGTTACACTAGAACACCCTTGATAATAGCCCTTGTCCTAACTCTAAAGTCAAAAGATGCAACTACCTTGTGGGTCATTTCTGTTTACATACTCTTGATCTGTCTTATTCATTACTTAACAAACATTAAGTGCCTATATAGCGCTGTCTAAGCCCTGGGAATACACAAATAACAAATAGCCCCTGCCCTCAAGGAGCTGTGCGAGTAAGAGGCAGGCATTGAAAGATGATATGACAATGTAACAGCACAGTATAGAGTTATGCTCTGGATATTAATGGAAGAAGAAAGAAGAAAATCTGGACACATCTAACAAAGGAGATTCAGAGCAGGTTCCGTCCATTTGGGCTGCTATCACAAAATGCCATAAACTGGATACCTTATAAACAACAGAAATTTATTTCTCATACTCTGTGGGCTAGGAAGTCCAAGAACAAGGCATCAGCAGATTCAGCAATTGGTAAAGGCTTTCTGGTTCATAGATGGTACCTTCTGGCTGTCCTCACAAGGTAGAGGGCAAGTGGTCTCTCTTGGACCTCATTTGTAAGGGCGCTAATCTCATTCATGAGGGCTCCACCCTCCCTCACCTCCCAAAGTCCCAATCTCCTAATACAATAATCTTAGAGGTGTGTGAATTTGGGGGATATGCAAACATCCAGATCACAGCAGGCTCCCTGGAGGGCATGCCCTGGGTTAGCATAAGCAAAGGCACGAAGGTGAAAGACCATAGGACTGTTGCAGAAACTTCACATCTCAGTCCTGTTGGAGTATCAAGAAATCCAACCGAACAGGTAAGTTGAGGTCAGATTACAGACCTTTCATGTCTTAATGCTTTTAGGTTTTACCAACTTCCTCCTAGCCCCTTGACTTGCTTCCTTCACTCCTAGGCTGGTAGATTTCAGCCAAGAAGCATTTATTTTGTTCTTTCTAATGAAGAAGTTTTGTCCTTTAGATCAACCACTGGGAGCCAAGGGCTCTTGCTTCTCCTGCCATGAGCATGCCCCACCCACCTCTGAGGGCACATGCTGGCCCTGATGCAATGAGAACCAGAGCAAGGGGAAACAGCTGGAGGCAGAGGGTCACGAGGAAGCAATTCAGCAGACACACCGGTGACTCCTTCCATACCAGGGATCATCCACAGCCCCTCAGAGCATGGTAGAAAAGGTTCCACTCTAATCTGTGTTTCTGAGATAACTTTAGCTGAGAAAAAAAATCAGAACAATCCTGTTTTTCTCATTTCTCAGATCTCTGTGACATAAAGGGACAGGAGTCTATTTAATTTTGGTCATTGCTGCTTCTTTCCTATAAAATTATAAAAATCTTTATTCAAGACAAATTATATACATTAAATATGTGCAATTTTTTAGGCATACAATTGTACCTCAATAAAGCTGATAAAAAGAGTTGCACGGATATACCACTAGCCATCTCAGCAAGAGATTGTTCCAACTCAAGGCTCTCCTGTGGCCATTTCTTGGATCAGCCTCTGGTTTTCCACTACAGGTTCTGCCTTAACTATTTTTCTCTGGTTAAAACTGTAATGACAGACTGAAGCCCCCACCCCTCCTCCACCACCTCCAAGTCCTATCTGTATTTAAGATTTATGTCTTAAAAAGTGTTTCAGAGGAAAGAAAAGGGAAGAACAACCTATCCACACACATGAACACAACGCTTCTCAGTTATCCCATCTGAGAAATAAAGCATCATTGACGGAGCTCACTTGGGAACGTCCAAATATTTACTGAAAGAAAATGACTGCATATCAAGAGGTGGAAGAAATGCCTAGGAAAGCAGATTCTGATAAGATTTGCTGCTGTGTGCACTGGCAAAAACAACTTAACCAGACAAACACCAGTCTATAAATCATGGCAGTTACTCCCAGGAAAGTGGTGTTCCTGTAGAAGAAGAGGTTTTCTTTTTCGTTTTTTTTTTTTTTTTTTTTTTTTTTTTTTTTGCTACCATTATTTACCAAGAGACTTGGTATTTAAAAAAGAAATGAGAAGGTAGATTGATCAGGGGCCATTATGGGAATAGCTGCTCTGAACCCAGCCTTGAAGACAGGTCCTTGGAATCCAGCACTTCCCCCTGTTAAAACACCATTTCCAGTACCAAAAAGAAAAAAAAAAGTGTGCAATTTTATGCAACAAAAAATATGCTGTTGTGACAGGAAACACTAATTAGATGTCTGGAGTGAGGGGGCTGCAGGGGGATTCTGTTGCAAATTCATAAAGGAATTTTAAATACTCAATGTGTGAGTATACTGTAATACAGAAGGAGGCAAGAAAGTGAAATGAACACTAGACGCCATCAGAAAAATAATTTGTAAATATTTGCTTTTTGATAAAGCTAAATGCTTTTTTTTAATAAAGTTGTTCCTTGGTGGTATAAATAACTAGAACACAAAATAAAGACATCCCCAGAGGACAGACGTTTTAAATGTTAATCAAGAAAGCAATTTCCATATAATACAAAAACTAACATTGAGAAGAAGAGAAAGGACAAAATAAAGATGAAAAGTTTTCCTTGAAATATTGAGGGAAAAGTCTTTTAATGTAGTTTCTGTAAAACACAAATATATTTTAACAATATTTTCCATCACTGATAAAATCATAGGTACGTTTAGAGAACATATTAACATACTGATAGCCAATTTGCATTTGGGAAAGTCTGACTTTCCAAAAGAAGAATCACAACTTGTTTTTTTCCCCCTTTTAACCTCGAATATCCCACTTTACCAACTGAAAACAGACTCTAGGACACAACAGCAATATATCCAGGATCCCAACACAAGGTAATTAAAGGCCTAAGGAAATCAAACTGTGGTCAGCAGCTTTTTGTTATCTTTATCTAATTATCCATCAGTCTGTCTCCATAAATGGCACTTGGTTAATTCAACGAATATTTACTGAGCACTCACTACATGTAAGGTTGTAAGGTGCTCTTCTAGGCACTAAGATTAGGGCAGCAAAGAAAATCTACATGTCCCTTTTCTCCCAGAGTTTACAACCTAGACTAGAGGCAGGACTGCAGAGAAAGGGGAGAAATGTTTCCCAGTTGGAAACACTATTGGCATTTGAGATCAAAATCCTTGATGATCAAAATCTCTCAAGCTGGCTGGGTGCGGTGGCTCATGCCTGTAATTCCACCACTTTGGGAGGCTGAAGCAGTGGATTGCTTGAGTCCAGGAGTTTGAGACCAGCCTGGGCAACATGGCAAAACCATATCTCTACAAAAAATACAAAAATTAGCCAGGCATGGTGGTGTGTGCTTGTAGTCCCAGCTACTTGGGAAGCTAAGGTGGGAGGATCACTTGAGCCCAGGAAGTCGAGGCTGCAGTGAGCCAAGATTGCACCACTGCACTCCAGCCTGGGTGACAGAGACCCTATCTCAACACACACATACACACACACACACACACACACACACACACACACCCCAAAGTCTGAAGTCTAAAATCCTAAAAATCACAATCACATCATATTGCGTCATGTTAGGTGGAACTATTATCTCGTTATTATCTCTTTTAGAAATTAAGTATGGTTTAAGGAGATGTGTATGGGCGCCAAGTTGACAAGGGGTGGGTTTGTGGATTTAATTTTAGCTTGTCAATTTGACTGGATTCAAGAATACTTAGAAACCTGGTAAAGCATTATTTTGGGTATGTCTAGGAGGGTGTTTCCAGCACAGACTAGAGTGTGAGTCTAGTGAATAAAGTAGGGAAGATTGGCCCTCAGTGTTGGTGGGTATCATCCAATAGGCTGAGGGCCTGGAGAGAAAACAGAAGGGGAATTAGTGTCTCTCTGAGAGCTGGCACAGACTTCTCTTCTGCTACCTTGGACATCAGAACTCCAGGCTCCCTGGCCTTTGAATTCCAGGACTAACACCAGTGGCGCCCGGGTTCTGAGTCTGTTAGCTTCAGACTGAGAGTCACACCATCGGCTTCCCTGATTCTGAGGCCCTTGGACTTAGACTGAGCCATGCTACCAGCATCCAAGGGTCTCCAGCTTGCAGATGGCCTGTCATGGCATTCTTCACCTTTCATAATTGCATGAACCAATTCTCCTAATAAATATCCTCTAGTATATCTATATACATACGCTATTAGTTCTGTCTGTTTAGAGAATCCTAACTAATACAGATTTGGTGTTGGGGAAACTAAATATCTTTCCTTCTTACTATATTCCTTATAACACAATGGTAGAGATCTGTGAAATTGTTCCCTTGGAAAAAAAAAAAAAAGCTGTGATAATTATATGAGGCTACTTAATGGTAAAAGATAAAAGTTTAAAAGCTAATTGTTATGGGTGTTTTGAAAGCAGAAAATGGCTTAATTCCAATGGTCAAGCAATAACCATAGTTTCTGATGGACAGCATGTACTTAACAAAATTTGTAGGCCACAACCACTCTCCAAATACAAGCGCAGCAATTGTTTCAAAGATCATAGAGGTGAAAAATACAAGAAATCTCTTCTGCCAAATTATTCAATCATGTATGACTTCTGCCTCTTCACACACAGTGTAATGCTTGCTTTCAAAAACACTCTTATTCAGTGAATAAAAAGAATTTGGCAAGCTCAGTGACCTTCTGAACCAAAGACACTGGGTGATTTTGAGGTTCCTTCAGTGTTACAAAGCATATTAAATGGTGAACTATTCTTGATTAGGCATTTGACTGAAGTAAATAGATTTTTTTTTTACATTTACCACTAAATCTAACATAGAAAAACTAGCACATGCTTCACTTTGGCTAGTGGATGGCACTTTCTTTTTTCTTCTACAACAATTATCTTAGGAAGGATGGCACTTTCAAAACTGTCCCCATTGTTTTTGTTGTTTTTTTTTAAATCAGGTATACACACAATTCATGCCCCTGTTGGATCTGAAATATCCTGAACTTATCTGCTCATTTATGTATTAATGACTGGAAAGAGTGAAGTACTTTATAAATGCTGATTTGAAAACTTTGTGGCTTCCTCCTTGCTTCTTTGTCTTGGATCAGTCACTCTGGAGGAAGCCAGATGACATGTCATGAGGATGCTCTAGCAGTCCTATGGAGAGCCCCACATGGTGAGGAACTGAGGCCACCTGCCAATATGAGCCACCTTGGAGGCAGGTCCTCCAGTCCCAGTCAAGCCTTCAGATGACAGCAGCCTGGGCTAACATCTTCAGTCAAACCTCATGAGACACCCTGAGCCAGAATCCCCTAGCTAAGCCACTCCCAGATTCAGACCCCTAGAAAACATGAGCTAAAAATGTCTGTTGTCTTAAGCTGCTAAATTTGGAGTAATTTGTTTCTCAGCAATGGGTAACTAATATAAGTGTGTAGTTTGATCACCATGGTCTAAATAGAAACCTAATCTTCCAAAGTTATTTTAAACCTTCCATATTGCAAATCAGTGTGGTCCAGGTGTCAGCAGCAGCTCCTGTCTTTAGGACATCTTGACATAATTGTCTCTACTCAGAGCTTAACCAGCTCCACAGCTATGAATTGTGAACTCTATCCTGTGGCATCATCCTGAATACAAAGTACTTCCCTGTCTTCTAGACTTCTGTTTCCACCTAACCAGAGATTATTTGCAAATAAATACAATGTTCTCCTTCATAGGAACTGAGGTAAGTACAACTGTCTCCATCTCATTGTTCAATATCTTATTGGATTGCAATGCATAGATTTATAACCTCTGAATCAAACTACTATCAACATATCCCAAAGTACCAGACCCATTTAATGGAACAACACCCTGTGCCACCAATTGTTAACATGTGTGATGAGCAGCTTCTAGGACAGCTCCCCTGATTCCCAGTTCCTGGTATTCATGTCCCTGTACAATTTCCTCCCTTTAAATGTGGGCTGGGCCTAGGAACTTTCTTCTAACAAACAGACTGTGGTGAATGTGATGGGATGCCACTTCTGAGATGAGATTACAAAAAGACTCGGGCTTCTACCGTGTTAATACTGATGACAGCCAGATGCCGTGTTGTGAGCTGCCCTGTGAAAAGGCCCATGTGCCAATGAACCAAGGGAGACCTGCAGCCAACAGCCACTGAGCTACTGAGGCCCTCAGCCCAACAGTCACAAGGAACTAAATCCTGCCAACAACCACATGAGTGAGCTTAGAAGAGGATCTTCCCCTGATTGGGCTTTGAGGGAACCACTGCCCTGGTCAGCACCTTGGGTGTAGGCTTATGGGAAACCCTGAGCCACAGGACCCAGCTAGGCCGCACCCAGTTTCTGACCCACAAAAAAGTGAGATAGTAAATGTTTGTTGTTTAAGCTGCTACATTTGGGGGTAATTTATTACACAGCAACCTATAAGTAATATACTGTGGGAAAAGAATTAGCTATAAAACATAAATTGTAAAGTGCACTACAGTCAAGTGTTTCTAGAGCATGTTCAGCACTGTTAACACAAAGCACTAAACAATATTTGACCAAGACCTAGTAACACCAAAGCATAGATTATGGGATGCAAATTTATCTTGACATGTGAATTTTCTCTGTGATAAGTTTTCCCAGATTCATCTTTGTTGTCTTCATAATTCATAATAATTGTGCATGGGAATATAAACACAGCTATAGAGTATTAAAATGTTTTTAAAAAGCATTAAGTAGAAATATATCTGGCATTTACATAGCTTCTGATCTCCTTTCTTAGGTTTTATGAATTCACTACCTACCACATGGTGGATGAGCATTTGTCATACTTAAATATGTATGGGAAAGTAAATTTGGAAAGCCATTCATCAGCACCATTTGTTTTAAACCCTTGAATTGAAAAAGGAGAAAAGTAGCTGAGTTTTGAATTTTTCTCTAAATTGGCATTTCTCTAAATATACAAGCTATTTAGGGGTGGTATATATATATATTTTAAAGGTTCCATTGTCAAATAAGTTTGTTAAAAGCTAGGTGAAATTAAATTAAAATAGGCTTATTTTTTACACAACATCTCTAAGCCTTTTTTCAGCAGTGTACCTGCTGTACTAACAGCAGTGTACCTGCTGCTGGGTCACCTAAGCCTTTGCTATGTAAATAAGTATTGTGAATCTCTAAAAGGAGATTGTGTTCTGCAGCGTTTTTTTAAATCTTATTTGGTTGAATGACTGATGCTTCTTCTCCAGGAACATTCCCTGAAATCACAGTTTGGCAAAACTGTTGAAAATTAAGAGCTTAACTGAAAACTGACATCTGAATGTTGCTCTCAGCTCTTTCCTATCAGAAGATTCCATTCCTCAGATGTTATCAAAGTCACCCCCAAACTTCCCTCATGGGTGGAAGCTTTATTAGGTAAGAAGCTGAAGCTACACACTTAAACAGGTTTAATACTTCTCACCAGTAGTGGGTTTAGCTTCATTCACAATTGCAACAGACAACATTAGTAACCATATGTGTTCTTAAAATAGGGTTAATAAATGGTAATAGTAAACCCACAGTAAATGTTAACTATGTGCCAGGCATTATTGTGACCCCCCAAAAAATCTGTACTGACAGATGAAAGAGTTGACATCCAGGAAGGTTAAAGAAAACACTGTTTAAATACCACCACCAATATCTGTGTACCATGTATTCATGCCGGGGGAGTACTGTTATAATATGGACATTGCCTGCATTGGTTCAACAATTCAATGCAAATTATTTAATGAAAGAACAAGCACAAATTAATCTTATACCCTATTAAAATTCATCTCAGTTTGCTACTGAATTTTCCCCTATTGATTATTATGTTGTAACAATAGAAACAATATTGACATACTATTCTCATGACAAATATTAATGCACCAAGGATTATATAGTAAATACCAAGATACAACAAATTAATATTCCATTAGTATTTTTTAACATATTTTGAACTAAATTGGCTATAAAATTCACAAGCTTTACAATTTTAAAGTGAGATTTTTTTTCTAGGAGCTTCTATAATTCTAGTGAATACACATTGAATTTATATATAATACCAACCAGCAAGAGCTCTTACAACTGCCTCCTTTGGCTCTTGTTAATGCCTGTATATCCACATATGTTTTGCACAATGAACATTAATGCACAGAGACTACATGTGTTTTTACAATTATTTGTTGACTTTTAAGAGGAAAAAGTTTTAACTTTTAAAAATTATGCCACTTAGGAAATTTTTCTAGTTGTTAAACTTTTAATTGAATATCATAGTAAAGTTTCTGTAATTGATAGCAAAACAGATCAGATACTCATTGTTTAATCTAGAAGAGACCCAACTGTATCTGAAAGTTTTATCATATGTTGGCCGAGCGCGGTGGCTCACACCTGTAATCCCAGCACTTTGGGAGGGCTGGGCAGGCAGATCACCTAAGGTCAGGAATTCAAGACCAGCCTGGCCAAGATGGCGAAACCCCACCTCTACTAAATATACAAAAATTAGCCAGGCATGGTGGCAGGTGCCTATAATCCCAGCTACTCGGGAGGCTGAAACAGGAGAGCTGGAACCCAGGAGGCGGAGGTTGCAGTGAGCCGAGATTGTGTCACTGCACTCCAGCCTGAACAACAGAGTGAACCTCTGTTTCAAAAAAATAAATAAAAATTTAAAAGTTTTATCATGTGCTATATACTTTATCTTATGAGTAGATTACACACACAAACACAGACACACATGGAAGTAGAATTTCTTTGGCGAGGAGTGGAAAGACGACATGGAACCTGCCCTTTGTCATTAAAGCACAGATGTAGTAAAAAGGATTAGATTTGTGTTCAAATTCCACCTCTAAGTGTTTTATTTTGGACTAGTTACTTAGCCTCTCTGAATTATCTATGAATTGATGGTGAGCAGAGTGATAATACAAGGAGTAGAGACAATATGTATGTACCTAGCACATAGTTCACACTTGACAAAGTCCTGGAAGCACCATCATTATTCGATTTAAAAGGCAAACGCTAAAACTCATATTTTCTAAACCCTCTGTGAATCTGTCTTAATACAAAGAGAAGGAAGTCCCAGCTGGTCAGTGATCATATATATGGAACTTGTTTGATATGACACAGTGAACGTTAAGAGACTTGCCCCCATAGTTTAGGGGAAAATAATTAGCCATTTAGGCATCTAATCCTTAGAGAGGGCATTAGAGGTAGGAGGAGGAGAGAATATCAGCAGGTTTGGGGATGGGGCTGCACAGAGAAGGTAAAGAAAAGAAACCTGAGCGTGGACTGTCTTGTGAACTGGGCTACCACACTGACTTGTCTGTGTCTGTCTCTGCTGCTAGCTCGAGAGCAACATAAGATGCTGGGACTGTGCCTTCTTTATCTTCTGTTGGCCACAGTACCTAACACAGACCTTTACACACTGTGCTCAGTAAAGTGTCAGATGAGTGGGAAGAAAGAATGAAAAGGTAAGGAAGAGAAGCTGGAGAGAAAGGCAGAAGAAAGAAGTGGGCAGATGAGAAGCAAGAAGAGGTAAGGAATTGGTTACTCTCTCAAATGGGAACCAGAAACTTCTACTCTATAAACGTTGCTCACATCTATGTTTTTGTGAATTTTTAAAAACTTTTTTCTCATTTAATTGGTAACAGTTCTTTGGTTCAACAAAACTAAGACCAAGAAAGCTTTACATAGTTGGAAGTATTGGAAGTAGAGTTATTGGATGGTGACGGCAGCTACATCAGTTCCCAAGGGTGGGCTGGGACAGCGAGATGGGGGAACCAGACAGCCATCCCATTAAATGTCCCTCTGTGATGGCTAATCCTTCCCACTAACTCACACCAGCCAATCTAATTACAGCCTGCTTACATGAAGGGCACGACCAAATCTTATCTATTTTTCTATGTAATCCCTCTGAAAGTCATTTCTGAGCTTCAACCTTTTTGGCTATACCCACTGGATTCTGAGATCCTGAGTTCTTTCCTTTCAACTCCATTTCATACATAGCTGTAAAACCTTTTGCTGCTATACTTCCTGCTTCAAAACCTTCATTAAGTCCTTTGTCCTGGCTTCCTTACCTGTCACAGAAAATTTAAGTTGGGGAGATTAGTTTTGATCATAGTACTAAAGAAACTAAGGCCAAAGGTTAAATACCAGAAAAAGCTTATAAATTCCTGAACTCACAAACCTTAGAGCATGAAAAGAATTCTAACAATGATTTAGCACAACGCTCTTATTTTACAGAGGAGACTATTAAGGCCTGGAAAGATCAAGTTTGCATTGAAGGAAAAAAAAAAAAAAAGAATGTATACATGGCCACAGAATGATTTTTAAATCTTAGGCAATCATCTTGAAAATGCCTGTTTTGTATTTCCAGAAGTCAGGCAAGAATGTGGATTACATCATATAACCATCACCCTCCTGGAGGAGGCTGGGAAACCTCAAAGCTCTTGAAATTCTCTTCCCCTAATTGCCAGACCCCTTCCCACTGAAGTATGTGTCCTAATCCTTAGCCCCAATTTGCATTTCTTTTTTTTATTATACTTTAAGTTTTAGGGTACATGTGTACAACGTGCAGGTTTGTTACATATGAATGCATCTGCCATGTTGGTGTGCTGCACCCATTAACTCGTCATTTACATTAGGTATATCCCCTAATGCTATCCCTGCCCCTCTCCCCACCCCATGCATTTCTTTATTTTTGTCAACTGAATGTTGAGGAGAGAAAGACCAGAGAACGATCTCAGATAACATGTGTAGTATAGAAGTGACATACAAGGATTCTGGGGAGAGACGGGGCTGGAGTTCTAGCTCTTAGCTGCCTCCTAACCCTTACTTTGGGCAAGTTTCTTAACCCCTCTAAGCCTAAGTTTTATAGCTGGAAAAATGAGGTCAATACTAAGTCCCACATTGTAGAATTTTTGAAAGGGTGAGTGAGCAACCCTGAACCAGCCTTCTGCTATAACCACATAGACCCTTGTTTGTGACATGTGGCACAGCCTAGTTGTCCCATTTCCCACAGTGAGTTTCTTCCTGGATGGGAGAGATCTGATCTTCTTTCCTAACTAATGACTTCAGCTAGGACTGCCTCAGACCATCAGAGATGTTCTAACAACATTCAACCTCAAAAGGGAAGAAATTAGGATCTCAATCACTTTTATTCCCATAAGCTTCTTAGCACCGTGTGGAAATATGCTTTCACTCTCCCCACCCTACACGCACCAACCAGCAACCTCATATACCAAGGGCATAGAGGGGCTGCCATTGTCCGGCCAAATAAAGTCTTATTCTGCTGCCATAATTCATCTTTATTTCGTGTACTTTCTTCACCTTTATGCCATATTTTCCTATAGCATGGATCGCATTTGATTCTTTCATATTCAGTCACATATTCTTTTTGTTTGTTAAGCATTTGTTTACAAAAGTATTTTTATATTGCTACATAAATAGGCATGCCTGTTAATATACATTCACATTTCTGAAAAGAGCCAAATATTCTCCCCAGAAAAGTATCTGAGTCAAGCTGATCTGATATATCCAGCACCAGAAACACACTTTTAAATAGCAGTTATTCTTTCTATGAGTGTTCCCACATTTCTTCTTATTGGGCAACCAACCCCATCAAAATGATAATATCATTTATTATGTTACTATTATGTCCTAAGCATTTTTTCAAGTGTTACTTTATTTATTCCTCAAATAATCTTAATTTTAATAGATCAGCATGGTTATTCCTATTTTTCAAACAAGGAAACTGAGGTACAATGGGGTAATGTCATCGGCAAAATGTCACTCAGCTAGCAGACCATGGAGCCAGGATTCAAAACAAATCTATATGGAAATGTCAGAGGCATTTGAACCAGAGCAACTCCATCTTGAATAGGAGCTCGGTAAATTAAGACTAAGACTTACTGGGCAGCCGCATTCCCAGATGGCTCGGCATTCTAAGTCACAGGATGAGATAGGAGGTCGGCACAAGATACAGGTCAGAAGACCTTGCTAATACAACAGTTGCAGTAAAGAAGCTGGCTAAAACCTACCAAAATCAAGATGGTGATGAGAGTGACCTCTGGTCCTCCTCACAGCTACACTCCCACCAGCGCCATGACAGTTTACAAATGCCATGGCAAAGTCTGGAAGTTACAGTATATGGCCTAAAAAGGGGAGGCATGAATAATCCACTCCTTGTTTAGCATATCATCAAGAAATAACCATAAAAATGGGCCCAGCAGCCCTCAGGGCTACCCTGTCTATGGAGTAGCCATTCTTTTATTCCTCCACTTTCTTCATAAACTTGCTTTCACTTTACTCTATAGACTCACCCTGAATTCTTGCTTGCATGAGATCCAAGAACCCTCTCTTGGGGCCTGGATCAGGACCATTTTTTGGTAACAATTCTATAACTCATGCCTACATCATCTTAATTTACAGAATTCTCCATAAATGAAATATAAGCCAATGGCTTAAAACGTGTATTAGTCCGTTCTCACACTACTATAAAGAACTAGCTGAGACTGGGTAATTTATGAAGAAAATAGGTTTAATTGACTCACAGTTCCACAAGCTGTACAGGAAGCATGGCTGCGAGGTCTCAGGAAACGTACAGTCATGGTGGAAGGCAAAAGGATAGCAAGCACGTCTTACATGGTGAAGCAGGAGAGACAGAGAGTGAAGGGGGGAATGCCACGCACTTTCAAACCATCAGATCCCATGAGAACTCACTATCACAAGAACAGCAAGGGGGAAATCTACCCCCATGATAGAATCACCTGCCATCAGGCCCTTCCCCAACATTGGGGATTACAATTCAACATGAGATTTGGGTGGGGACACAGAGCCAAACCACATCAAAAGGCAACTATGGCAGAAAGTTTTAGCCTATGACTCAGAAACTCAGTAGCTGTTTGGTGGCAGAGAGGGCGTACAGCAAAAGCCCAAGGAAGTGAGTTATGTGTAGGGGACACACTCTCCGAGGCCCACGGGCTACAGGAGAAACACAGCTGTTTGGCTTCCCACATTGTTAGAGCCCTTACTTGTTCTCTCACTGACAAGTCAGCCCAGTATTCGGAAGACCCACAGAATGGCAGAATCCTTGAAAACTTTCCATGAGACAAGGCATGTTGTAGTATGTGGTAAATTTAGTCACAAGCTGAAAAAACATGTATAAAATACAAATATTATCAAAATGATTTTAACTCAGAGGCTGTAACATTTTAAAGGAAAAATTTTAAAAGAAAATGATAGGTAATATATATATGTACATGTGTGTATGTGGATAGATAGTATTTATATAGATATAAATTATACACTATAAAAATTTACAAATGAGGAATATACATGTGTATACATATATGTATATCGGGGGACCTGCCCCAATAATCACATAGGTTCTTTTCTATTTTCCTAAGCATCGGCTGGCTTGAGAAATAAAGGGACAGAGTACAAAAGAGAGAAATTTTAAAGCTGGGCGTCCGGGGGAGACATCACACGTTGGTAGGATCCGTGATGCCCCACAAGCCACAAAAACCAGCAAGTTTTTATTAGGGAGTTTCAAAAGGGGAGGGAGTATACGAATAGGTGTGGGTGACAGACATCAAGTACTTAACAGGGTAATAGAATATCACAGGGCAAGTGGAGGCAGGGCGGAGATCACAGGACCACAGGATGGAGGCGAAATTAAAATTGCTAATGAAGTTTTGGGCACCATTGTCATTGAAAACATCTTATCAGGAGACAGCGTTTTGAGATCAACCAGTCTGACCAAAGTTTATTAGGCGGGAATTTCCTCTTCCTAATAAGCCTGGGAGCGCTATGGGAGACTGGAGTTTATTTCACCTCTGCAATCTCGACCATAAGAGATATGTACGCCCCAGGGGGGCCAGTTCAGAGACCTACCCCTAGGTGCGCATTCTCTTTCTCAGGGACTTCCCATGCTGAGAAAAGGAATTCAGCGATATTTCTCCCATTTCCTTTTGAAAGAAGAGAAATATGGCTCTGTTCCGCCCGGCTCACTGGCGGTCAGAATTTAAGGTTATCTCTCTTATTCCCTGAACAATTGCTGTTATCCTGTTCTTTTTTCAGGGTGCCCACATTTCATATTGCTCAACTACACATGCTGTAAAATTTTGTAGTTAACGCAATTATTACAGGGTCCTGGAATGATATACATCCTCCTCAACTGACAGGATTAAGAGATTAAAGCAAAGACAGGCATAGGAAATCACAAGGATATTGATTGGGGAAGTGATAAGTGTCCATGAAATCTTTACAATTTATGTTTAGAGATTGCAGTAAAGACAGGCATAAGAAATTACAAAAGTATTAATTTGGGGAACTAATAAGTGTCCATAAAATCTTCACAATCCACGTTCTTCTGTCGTGGCTTCAGCCAGTTCCTCCTTTTGGGGTCCCTGACTTCCCACAACATATGTACATATATCCCCCCCAAATTAAAAACCACCTGTCAAGATTAGATAATCTATCCATGTTAGACATGATAAATGGTAGCATTAGAAGCACTTGAACTTTGTACCGCTTATCTGGGCAGCTACATCAGAGAACTTGTGATCTCAGTAAGCCAGAATTCTTGGGAGAAGGGCCTCATGGCAGTCAGGAGACTCCTTGGTCCAGGCTACAAATACTAGAGCAGTAGTGCTGTCTTGACAAGGATGTTTATCCAGGAATCCATCTGACATTTGGTCAGAAGCTACTGAATTCCTTTAGGGTACTCTGGATATGGACTCCTCTGCACCTGGAGAGTGTGAGCAGTAATAACAGGTGGCTAGAGTTGAAAAGAACATCCCCCACAATTCCACCTGGGCACTGCCCTTCCCTTTTTCCTGTTTACAAAACCGGACTTCCCATTAACTTCAGCCCAACTTCATTCCCTGGCTCCTGTTTCTTGCCTTTGCTTTCTTTAATGAGGCTTTATGCTCAAGTCTGTGTCCAACCTTCAGTTCCATGAGCAAGCTCCATCCCTGGATCTTGGTTCTACCCTGGCCTTGCCTTTGTTCTCAGCTCTGCTCTATACCCTCCTAGCATGCCACCCTCTCCAGTATGCCCACCTTCCATCAACCTCACATCTCCCTTATCCCTTCCCCAGGACTTGGGCTCATGCCTGCCCACATCTGATGTGAGCTCCTAGCTCCTGTTCAACTGGAGCTGGCTCAGCTCCTCACCCAGCTATGTGAAAGCCAGAGGGCTGCCGAGTCTCAAGGTGAGGCCCCAGCAGAGCCAAGGAACCATTCCTCTTCCAAAATTCTTACCAAATACATAAGAGAGTCCCAATAGCCTTGCCAGAGTCAAAGATAATTCCCATCTCTGTGGCAAGCTCTCTATATCTCTGTTCTCCATCCCATATTGTTCACACCCAGAGAAAGGAAGTGTTTCCCTTGGAAATCAAGGCTGGCCATGCACCCGCAATCTTAATCACTAACCTTAAAAGCCATAATGTCTTCAAATTTTTAACTGTACAGGTTCACAATGAATGGAGAGGCTATGGCGTTATACTTAAATGTCAAATAAATGTGTTATATTTCTCTCACTGAGAACTATTGAGGATTGAAGTGATAGAGTTGATTAAAATACCAGAAACAAAACTAGTTTCTGAAAACTTAGTTCTACTGAAAGTAAAAGTATAAGCTTAAAAAAGAAAAAGAAAAGAGGAAAGGAAGGGAGAAAGGAAGGGGGAAGAAAAAGAAAGTGACAGGTCTTGTAGCAGCAAAAACTACTAGGAAAGCTTGGAGATTTTTTCCCCTCATTATACAATTAATACACGGAGACTAATAGAAAACTTTGAAAAAAAAGAAGCAATTTTTAAAACTATTCCACCACCAAAATACATCTGGATTTTATGTGTTTTCTTCATCTTTATGCTATATTTATCTTATAATATAAATCATAAGTATTTCATTTTATTATATACTCAAATGTAAATTTATTATTCGATAAGCATATGATGATGTTACATCATCTTTATAATCATTATTTGAATGGTTGCATAATATTCCACAGATTCCACAGACTGACCAAACTGTTTTACCTAGTTGTTACCAATGTATTACCTGGATAATAAATTGGATATTTAGGTTGTTTCTAATTCTTTCCTGTTTTCAAGTAACACTGCTGCTAGTAATACCTTTACACAATTTTTCAACATTTAGAATATTGTTTTAGGCTAAGTGTCCAGAAGTGGATTAACAAGAAAGGGTATAAACACTTTAATGGTTCCTGATCTATGTTCCTAAATATCTTTCAGAATGAATTTTTACCAATTTACACAAAAAGGTTTGATTTTACTGGACTCATCAAAATTAAACATTGGCATTTTAAAATTATTTTTTATCAATTAACTCATTTTTTACTTTAATTTAGCTTTCTTTGATTCTTATGTATAATTGAATTAGGTATGAATTTTTTTCATTCTCTATACAATTTATATATATAATTTAAATGCTGTTGTAGGCAGAGAGAGTACTAAAGGAATTGCAGACACTTACCAAAGGATTACTTCCCTAAATGTTAAATAGATTTTACCAAAAGTTAAAATTTGTAATGCTCTTTCGAAAACCAGAAGATCTGAATCAGCTTTCTTGCTTCTGCATTTAATTTAGGATCATTTAATAAAGTACTGGTTGATCTTGAAAGTGTTATATTTGTTATTTTTGGTAACAGAAGGAGAAAGAATAATATACTGGAAGCACCACCATTGCAGATTTGTAACAACGGGCTTGTCTTACAGGAGATTGGGTGAAGCCATTTACATCTCATTACTCTGGTCTTATAAGTAATATTCACTTTGAAGCATTTATTTTATTGTATCTTTTGCCTTCCTCTCCATGCATAAAATGTTTACTTATATGGTTTCCTAAAAAAAAAAAAAACTTTGAAAAATTATTCTAAGAATGGGCACTTGCCACCCAAAGTCACTCACTTGGCAATCGTAAAGAACAGGAAATGCTGAGAGAAAGGATTAGAGAGAGGCAGGCTTACCAACAGAGTTACACAGAATTATCAGGACATATGAAAGGTGAGAATATTCATATCTAAAATTTTGGCTTAAAGAATATGAAACATTGATATTAAGGGCTGGAAGTAATCAGCAGTGCACTTGAGCAGGTAAAGAGAAAGGGGGAGCTGTCAAGGAAAATGGAAGGCTTAGACAAACGGTAGACATTCCATGTTCCTGCAATTAATTGCAAGCCAACCAGAATCTCAACCAGGAACCTGGAGCCAAGTAAAGTAACAAAGCGTACTCAATGTCCTAAACCTCCTGTGTACCTCTGGTGAGGCCAGGGCTTAGTGCTTTCCCAAAATGATCTGTAGATTCACAGAAGCAACACCTGTAACCTTCTGTCAACAAACAAAGCCATGAAAATAGCATTGGCCTTTATGTCCACTGGCCCATGTTCTCGAAAAGTCAACGTGGAACTGAAAGCAAACAAGCACTATGCCAAAAAAAATTAAGTAAGAGGCTTTTGGCACATTTTATGACTTCCCGTATTTTGTGTGTTAAGAGAGCGATTTACTCTTGCTCATTAAAAAATGATTCATCGTTTTCCAACAACAAAAGATAAATTTTTAAAAATGTGGTATATTCATTTAATGGAATATTTATAATCTTTAAAATCCATAAGGACATGGGAAGATTTTTGATGTATTTTCAAGTAAAAAAGAACTGTTATAAACCAGTGGAAATTGTTATATTTTAAAAGTGGGTAAAACCATGAGGCTCATACAGATAGAAAATAAACATATGTCAAAATTTCTATGTAACTCATTATTAGTTATTAAATGAGGGAAACAAGCAGATGTTACAACCAATTCAAAGGAGAAATAAATGAACTGGAAATTTACATGGAGCAAATGAATGTTGAAATAAATTTAAAATGAACACAAAACTGGCTTTTTCCTGGGGATGAAGAGGGAGATTGTCTTTCCAACAGACAGAAGTCATTTGAAAGTCTAGAGACAAGAAGTACTTGCATTTTCAATAATTTGTCAGTAATTCATAAATTACAGAATGGGAAAATAACCCAAGGAAAGACAAAGTCCACATCCCTATAGCAGTGATTCTCAATGTTTCCTTCATTATTGCCTTCCTAAGAAGATTTTTTTCGGATATCTTAACCTAATCTCCCCTACTTAGTGCCCTCAAAATTAAACACTAAGATATAAGGATTTTGTTGGATAGAGTTGAACTTTGGAGGGCTACAAACCATTATAATTACTATGATTCTTTTCTGCCCCTCAGATCGAATTTTTGTCCCCTTTGGGGCAATTGAAAATCCATGTTGTTTAGGACAGACAATCCCCAGAGTCTATTGGAAGGAATATCTAGAATCTCTGTAGCCTGTTTCAAAGCTTTAAATTACCTTTACAATATAATACAATGATATCATTCTTTAAAACCACCACATATATGTGTGTCGGGGGTGGGTGTTAAAGTGTATTGCAGGAATCAGCAAACTACAGCTTACAGGCAGACTCTAACCTGCCCATTTTGAAAACACAGCTTTATTGGTGACACACAGCCACACACACAGTTTCTAATCATCTCCTGTCTTCTGTGGCTGCTTCCATGCCCCAACAGCTGACTTGAGTGGTTGCGACAGAGACCTCAGTGTCCACACAGCCTCAAATATTTATTATTTTTGTCCGTTGAAAGAAAACGCTTGCCAATCTCTGGTTTATACTAGGCTGTTGATAGAAATTGTCTCTAGTTAATAAGAAAATAAATTATTTTTCTTTACAAAAAATAACATCTTTATTTTCTATAAATGTTTTACTTATTGATGAGACAAAAACTCAAAATTATTTGTTACACATCAATCGTATGCAAAGCACTTGAAGGATAGAAGTATACACCATGGTTCCTGCTTTTAAAAAAGCTTCTAATCCATGTTGCTGGGATAAAGCGGTATGTTTGCTATCAGAGTTGCAGCAGTTTTGCTGAAGTAAACTAAAAATAGAAGTAGACAGGGACCACTAGAGGGGAAAATAGATAGTAATTGTAAATATGAGCCAGCTCAATATCAACTTCTAGTTTAAACTTTGGCCTTCTGAGCCTTAAAAATAAATGAAAATCAGATTTAATAGTTCATCATGACTGAAGTATTTGTTTCAAATGATTATAAAAATAATAAGAAAGAATATGTGTGTTTTCAACCTCTAGAGAACAGTATTTTCTCTCCATTCAAATTTTATACTCACTGAGGTCATGAAATTCAAAGTTACTCTAAAAACCACTGTGAGAAGATGTCTTCTAGATAGGAAATATTTCAAGACTTAAGCTGTCCTGATTCACATAAATCTCTAATCTTTTCCTGTCCATGTTTCAAGATATCATAGCTTAACAGAGTATCTCAAGGTATGTGTGGCATTCTTTTCAGTTCATTCTCTCCAGTTCATTCTCTCCAGCTTCCAGAAACTTACTTTCCCAGGGACTTTATCCTTGGATGGGTCTCTTTAATACATGAGTGACAATATCTTTGTTCTCATTATAATTCTTATATTATGAAAAAGCTATTTTTTGTAATATAAGACTCTTGTATATAACCATAAAGACCCAGACAAATGATTTTTCTCATTGCTTAATTCTAGAAATTTGAGAACAGCAACCTCCAAACCAGAATATTTATAGAATAAGAATTTTACCTATTGGTAAGATAAAAAGTAAACAGATAAATGAATGAGTCTAGGGGGATCAAAAGAATTAAATTTTTTGGTTGAAAATTCTCCAGGAAAAATAACTATAAAATCACCATTAAATCCAAATCAACTTAATAATTTCGTTGGACCTAAGATATCAGCCTTTTCCAACCATGTTGTCATAAAACACTAAGGTACACCAATCAATTGTGTGGTGTGTCTCCAGTAATCTGTCTCTAATAAAGGCGAAAGTACTGAAGTTTCCAAGTTATTTACTATTTTCAGAAATGAAAACTGATTCAAGGTGACCCCTGTAATAACCATTCTCACTCACTTGCCTTCTAATACATGTTACTGAATGAGCAAGAAAGAAGAAGTTAAGGCCAACGATGTTAAGGCCAACGATACTCCTACAGAAGTGTCTGGCATGTGAACAATATCTGTCATTTATATCATGGTATACAAATGAGGTTCAAACTTGCAGCTGAATGGAAAGAATCAATGGGGAAAGAGAAAATGGTGGAGGAGGGGAAGACAGAAGACGAGGGGGTGAAGAAGCAGGAAAAGAACAACAATTTGGTGAATGAGAAAGGAGGAGAGCCCAAATGGAAACAAAGCAAAAAGAATCAGAAACCAGGAGACAGTGGCTAATGGAAACCACAGGTGCAAAGTCTCTAAAACAAAAAAGGGTGTAGAGGGCAGCATCAATTCCTGCTGAGAAATTAAGCAACCTTGTTGATGTGAGGCAATTAGATGCCCCTAGGCTGGCGTTAAAGCCTGAATCGAAGAAAGAGTTAAAGGAGGGGAAATAGAGCATCTGTAGACTCTTCCTTGCCGAAGCTTGGCCTTGCTGAAAGAGAAAAAGATAGGATAGTGTTTACAGAGAACACTGAGTAAAGGCAATCACTTTTAAGAATTGGAGAGACCTGAGTATGTACAGAGGCTCCAAACAAACAACAAACTAATAAGGTTAGGTTAAAAATATCTTATAGAGAGGAAATACCCAATGGAACAAGGTTCTATTCCCAGAAAGGGCAGAAGGGGATAGGATCATGAACAAGGTTTGGTCTTGAACAAGAAAAGACACACCTCTTCCTCATAAACTGGAAGAGAGGAGATAAGAGGGTATGTATTTGGAGTGCAATTTCTTGTGGATAGAAAGCCATGAGATTCAGATCCTGTAGACCTGAAAAAAGTCATCAACTGAGTGGTAAGAGGACAGGGTAGAAAATGAATAGCTGTTGTAGAACGTGGGAGAGGAAGATGAAGAGAAAGAGCTAAAATTATTGCTCCAGCCCCTCACCCCACCCCCAAGGCCCTGTATATATTTTCCAGAAGAAAGGAAGGAGGAGCTAACAAAGATATTGGAGAGAGAATGGCCACGGTACTGGGAAGAAAGCTGCATTGTCACGGAAGCCATAGTAAGGAACGCTTAAAAGAAAAATAGGAAAATGAAGGAGCTGATCAATAGAATGCAAAACTACCAAGAACTTCGAATGATACATATAGAGGAAACTTCACTACATTTAGCAACAAGGAAGTTATTAGTAACTAAGTGAGATTTTCTATAATGGCAAAGATTAGACCAGATCTCATGGAGTGGTAGTGATGAGTTGAAGACAGTTATGGGAACATTTCACCTTTCCAGGAATTTTAGAAGTGAACAAAGTATGAGATGGGGTAACGGTTTGGGGAGATGGGATATTTTGTATATGAAAGAAAACTGAACATGCATTTGTGTGTTTGTGGCAGGGGTTGAAGGGTATACATTGAGTGCTACTATAACTCAACAACTCAGCTACCTTACAGGATTATTGTCAGAATTAAATAAAACACTTTATAAACTGAAAATTATCATACTAAGTGTTACCATTTTCATGATACACAGATTCTCATTTATTGAATGTACAAAACATGTTTCTTGCCATTCAAAATTCCATTTAGTGTTTTATATGAATGCAGTCATGAATCAATAAACTTTATCATCAGAGTTCTCTCCTTATAGCCACTAAAATCCTTGACAGCTCTGAAAGATGAAATCTCCAGACAAATGAAACCAGCAGTTGCCATCTCAGAACCTGAGCAGAGAAAAATGGAAAAATTACATTAAGCTGATTTCTATGGTCCTCAGACACCTGCAGGTTGTTATGGGGACAAAACACTGACTTTGGGAATTAGCTTGCTTTTTCATTCTGGCTTTCAGATCTGTTGCTAATTTAATGAAACCCATATTTCTGCTGGGCAACACCCAGGTAAGTCTTAGGTCAAGTTTTTAAACCCAAGCCTTTTATCACACTCTGACAGCTGGGAAAATGACGTCTGGAAAATGCCGTTATCAGGAAAAAGCGGTGTGTTTTGCTTTGGGCTCTTCCACCTGAGGTTTTCTGCACATTTGAAAAACTCCAAAGGAGCTAAGCAGTTTGCAGCTAACAGCTAGTAAAGTAATTAAATTGTGTATTTGCCAAAATAAATAAAACTTATTAATTAGTAGGATTGCATTACATTCTAATATTTCGGCCAAAATTTTTTTCTTTTAAGAGTAGGTTCTCAAACTATCAACTCTTGATATGAAATCAGGGGCCTTTGGAACAGAACAATCTTCCTGTTTTTCTGCTATTTTATATATTTGAGAGCAATTAATTTAACCTACCTGAATGTTAATTTTTTCATATAAACTGGAGATAAGAATTATAGTCATGTGCCACTTAACGACAAGGATATGTTCTGGGAAATGCATTGTTAGGCCATTTCATCATTGTGTGAACATCATAGAGTGCATTTTCACAAGCCCAAAGGGTATATATAGCCCACTACACACCTAGTCTAGACGGTCTGTTACCATACAGTTACTGCAGGCAACTGTAACACAATGATAAGTATTTGTGTACCTAAACATATCTAAACATATAAAAGGTATAATAAAATACAGTGTAAAAGATTAAAAGTGGCACACCTGTATAGGGCACTGACTGTGAATGGAGCTTGCAGGAAGTTGCTCTGGGTAAGTGAGTGAGTAGCGAGTGAATGTGAAGGCCTAGGACATTACTGTATACTACTGTAGACTTTATGAAAAGGTATACTTAGCCTACACTCAATTTATTAAAAAAAATCTTTCTTCAATAATAAATTAAACTTAGCTTACTATAACTTTATTTTATAAACATTTAAAATTTTTTAACTTTTTGACTCTGTTTTAATAACACTTAGTTTAAAACACAAACCCATTGTCAGTGGTACAAAAATATTTTCTTTATATTCTCACTCTATACATTTTTTTTCCATATTTAGAACTTTTTAATTTTTATTTGTTACTTTTAAAACTTTTTTTGTTAAAAACTAAGACACAGACACGTACATTAGCCTAGGTTTACAGAGTATTGGGATCATCAAGATGTCACTCGGTGAGAAAAATTTTTCAGCTCTACTATAATCTTATAGGACCACCACCTTATATGCAGTCTGTTGTTGACCGAAATGTCACTATGCAGCCAAATGACTGCTTTGGTAAAGAGGAACATTTGCACCTTCGTTCAGCACAGTAAGCATTGGGCATATCATCCTTGTCTTCACAGAACTTTGGATATTCAAAATGCAATATTACTAAAATAGTATTTCCAGCTCTTAAACATTGAAAACCTGGCTCTCAGAGATTAGCTATGGGTTTTGAAACAGAGAATCTGTGGAAAATTTGGCATTAGAACAGAGGCCACCAAAAGCGAGATGGGATACACAATAGACTCTTAATGTAGGTCTGTCTGGGAGAAGGTGGGGACAAGATGGAATGTGGAATCAAGAAGATTGAATGTTATTTTAGCGCACTTGTTGTCACCCTGAAAATGCACTGGGTTTTGTAGATTTTGAAAGTTTTCATAAATATTTTAACATAGATTTAAATAATCCATGTCTCTTTACTCCTTTTAGTACAAATCAATATATAGTTTGTTAAAGTTGTATCTTCAGAATCATAAATAAAGATAACTTTATTTTAACCCTTATTAATTTAAGTGAGGCAGCTTCAAGTTGGAAGCCTTACATAAAATGATCAAATGTAATACTTGGCTAACTCATATTTCCCCACATCTAGTGAATTTCCTGGGCTGTCAACCAAAAAAAAAAAAAAAAACCTGGTTTGAGCAAAAAGACGCTTAGTAAGGAACGAGGACATTCCTCTATGCCAGTCTTACATAAGAATCATATTGGCAGCAATTCTTCCAAGCCATCATCGTCAAATGCTGCTATCTGCTAAAGACAGGAACAGTGCAGCAAACTGCAGAAGAGCAATGAGTCACAGGCAATACCTGCCACACGCCTTATCCTCAAGGTAAATGCATGTCATGAGGCAAGGCCACAGAGTCCCAAAATAGTCTGAGCCTGTCACTTGGTACCCAAAGTAATTATTCAAGAAATAATTGTTTCTAAAGGGACAAATTACCCCATCAGCATAAAATGACACTGTCATGAGACTGTTGGATAATGTCTTTCTTTTAAATAATTTCATGGTAATCACTCTGACATGAAAATTATAAATTAAAATTACATCAGCTAAAGGGAGTCAGGAATTGTTTCCTAAATATCTCCTCAGTTCCAGTCTAGGTTTGAAATAATTCCCACAGAAGGACCACAGTAGGAGCTGGTCACGAGAATCTATGGGAATCAACTATGAAGAAAACTGAAAAGCAAGTGCCTCAGAAAGACCAGAAAGACTGGAGGCTTCCCATGGGGAGAAGTCAGAAGAAGATGCTCCAGAGCTCGAATTTTCATGCACACGCCTGCTAGAGAGCCACGTCCTGTTACAGAGCACATGAAAGGGGTGTCTGAACACAGAACTTTAAACATGGGTCAGGATCAACTAACCCAAAGTTTGCAAGGTGTATTAGTTTCCTGGGGCTGCCATAACAAATGATCACACACTGGGTAGCTTAAAACAATAGAAATCTATTGTCTTGAAGTTCTGGAAGCTGGAAGTCCAAAATCAAGAGGTCAGCAGATCAAGAGGCTCCTCCTAGAAGTTCTGAGAGAGAATCTGCTCTATGCCTGTCTCCTAGCTTCTAGTGGTTGCTGGCAATTCTTGGTGTTCCTTGACTTGCAGGTGCATCACTGTAATCTCTGCCCCCATTGTCACATAGTGCCCTCTTTGTGTCTGTCCAAATTTCCCTCTTTTTATAAGGATACTGGCCATTGAATTAAGGTCTACCATAATCCAGTATGACCACATCTTAACTTGATTACATCTGAAAAACACTATTTCTAAGTAAGATTACATTCACAGGTACCAGTGGTAAGGATTTGAACATATTTTGTTGGAGTCGGGGGACACAATTCAACCCACAACACTAGGTCTCTCAGAAGCAACCTGGTTGTCCACTACCACAATGATGTGGGACCTTCTGGCACAATGTGAGGAAACCATAGAATGTTAAAGCTAAAAGCAATCTTAGCAATCACCAAACCTAACCATCTTACTTCATAATTAAGAGATCTTTCCAAAGCAGCAGTTTGTAACCAAGCACACTATTGAGACCCAGGGTACACAATCTATGGTAAGGGTTGAGACAAGTAAATGATTATTTTTTAAAAACACTAAGTAGTGAGGATGATTCACTTTCACTATGCACAAGGATAGATGAACAGCTGTGCCCATAAGTCCCTCACTCACACTCACTTGTATTTCTTGTGTTGGAGAGAAAGGAGGGACAATAAAGCCTAAGGTGCTGAGAATTGCCTGTAATCCACATGCATCTTACCTCTGCTTCCAAGAAAGTATATCAAGCATTAGAATGTCAACCAGATGGGTATCCCAGTACAAAAATGGCTAAAAATCCCTATTCTGCAAGAAGTACTTTAGCAGGCAAAGACTGTGAGATGCACACATGCACTACCCAGTTTCTGGACACACACAGAAGAAACAGAAAGGGGAACTTGAGAGAAATATGCAAATGGCATACATAGTAGAGCACAACCTCAAACAAGGTGGCTTAGACAGGGTTGCAATGGAGAGCAAAGAAAGTGTGTAAAACATAGAATCAAAGGAAAATCTTCAGAAGGCCCCACTGAAGACCCCACCCAGACACAAAATGACTGTCTTCAGTCCTCTACCTTCCAGCAGGAAGAAAAGAAAGATAAAGAACAATCTATACAAACTTTGCCCTGCTCACCTGAGAGGCACTATAGCAAAGTGGCTATGACTAAGGTATCCACTCTAGGGATGATATCAGTTCTGCTTCTGGAAGGCTGTGTGACCTCAAGCAAGTTACTTTAACTCTCTGGGCCTTGGTTTCCTCATTTATGAGGACGATAATAGGAACTAAGGTGGTTTGAAGGACAAGGTTAATAGACATAAAATACTTAGAAAAATGTCTGGCACATAGTAGACAATAAATACTAGCTATTATTTTTATAGTGTTGTTTGTGAGGATCCAATGAAACATTTACAATTTCTGAAAGCTATAAAATTGACATTGTTACATCAGTAATAAAGGGAATGATATCTTCTTTAAAACAGATTATTTTATACTTGACAAATATTTATGAGGCTCTTTTGACATATTTTCTTGAATTTAAACTCAGCTATAAAAGATAAACACTACTTTTTGAAATTCACGTAGGCAATTTTTAAATGTTTAAATCATTTAATATCTTACATTGGCCAATGTATAGGTATAGACTCATTATTTTGGAGTCTTGGAGTCTTTCTAAATGCTCTCTAAATTCACCATATTTGGATAAAAATCACATTAGACTGGTAACAAGACTTCAGGTTCAAATTCTAGCCCTGCCATAAACAAACTGAATGTCTTTAGGCAAGTTATTTGGCCTCTCAAAACCACAGTCTCCTCATACATAAAATTTCCAGGTGGGAGCAGATAATCGGTAAGGCCACATGCAATTATAAGATTCCATGAGTTGTAAGTTAGGGCAAACATCATTATCTTTGTTTTCTTTAGGATACATTTTAAAAGACTTGCCTGAAGTCAGACATTTCAAATTTCAAACAAACAGAAAACGCCATTCTCCTGGCTCCCACACTGGAACTTTCAGTTCACTGAATCTCCAACTTTTGAAATCAAGATGCCATAGAACTTTACTATGTAAAAATATTGAAAATAAAGACAATTGAAGAAAAATAAACTCACAATTCTTAGCAAGTTGACACCACCTGAAAAACACTTCTGTTTTAATCTTTCTCAGGCAAAAGGATACCTCTACTAGCCTGGCAGAAGCAAGGTCAAAAAAATTTCCAAAGGTAGACAAAGCCAACTCATCCTATTCATATAGCCTGAAACCAACAAACTAATTTTGCTGCTAGCCTGCATTGGTCTCAACACTGCCCGATTTTAAGAAAACTGCAATGGCCAACAGTACGTCGCTCCACCTGTGCCTCACCAATGTATTTAACACTACCTGACAAAAGTCAGCAGGAGGGACAGTGACATGGTTTGGCTGTGTCCTCACCCAAATCTCATCTTCGGTTATACCTCCCATATTTCCTACATGTCATCGGAGGGCCCTGCTGGGAGGTCATTGAATCACAGGGGCGGGGGGAGGGGTGGTATTTCCCATGCTGTTCTCATGATGGTGAATAGGTCTCACAAGATCTGATGGTTTTATAAAGGGGAGTCCCCCTGCACACACCTGCCTGCCGCCATGTAAGACATGACTTTACTCTTCATCTGCCTTCCGCCATGACTGTGAGGCCTCCCCAGCAATGTGGAACTGTGAGTCAATTAAACCCTTTTCCTTTATAAATTACCCAGTCTTGGGTATGTCTTTATTAGCAGCATGAGAACAGACTAGTACAGTAAATTGGTACCAGAAGTGGGTGCTGCTGTAAAGATACCCGAAAATGTGAAAGTGACTTTGGAACTGGGTAACAGGCAGAGGTTGGAACAGTTTGGAGGGATCAGAAGAAGATAAGAAAATGTGGGTGGGAAAGTTTGGAACTTCCTAGAGACTTATTGAATGGCTATGACCAAAATGCTGATGTGATATGGACCATGGAAGTCCAAGCTGAGGTGGTCTCAGATGGAGATGAGGAACTTCTTGGGAAATAGAGTAAAGGTCACTCTTGCTATGCAAACAGACTGGTGGTATTTTGTCCCTGCACTAGAGATCTGTGGAACTTTGAACTTGAGAGAGATGATTTAGGGTATCTGGAGGAAGAAATTTCTAAGCAGCAAAGGGTTCAAGAGGAAGCAGAGCGTAAAAGTTTGGAAAATTTGCAGCCTGATGACACTGTAGAAAAGAAAAACCCATTTTCTGGGGAGAAATTCTAGCCACCAGCAGAAACCTGCATAAATAACAGGGAGCCAAATGTTAATTGCCAAGACAATGGGGAAAACGTCTCCAGGGCATGTCAGAGGTCTTCACGGCAGCCCCTCCCATCACAGACCCAGAGGCCTAGAAGGAAAAAATGGTTTCATGGGCCAGGCCCAGGTCTCCCCTGCTCTGTGCAGCCTAGGTACTTGGTGCCCTGCATCCCAGCCACTCCAGCTTTGGCAAAAATGGGCCAAGGTACAGCTTGGGCTGTTGCTTCAGAGTATGCAAGCCCCAAGCCTTGGCAGCTTCCACATGGTGTTAAGTCTGCAAATGCACAGAAGACAAGAATTAAAGTTTGGGGACCTCTGCCTAGATTTCAGAGGGTATATGGAAATGCCTGGATGTCCAGGCTTAAATTTGCTGCAGAGGGGGGTCCTCAGGGAGAAGCTCTGCCAGAGCAGTACAGAAGGTAAATGTGGGTTTGGAGCCCCCACACACAGTCCCCACTGGGGCACTGCCTGGTGGAGCTGTGCAAAGAGGGCCACTGTCCTCCAGACCCCAGAATGGTGGATCCACCAACAGCTTACACCTTATGTCTGGAAAAGCTGCACACATTCAATGCCAGCCCATGAAAGTAGCCAGGAGAGAGGCTGTACCCTGCAAAGTCACAGAGGTGGAGCTGCCCAGGACTATGGGAACCTACCTCTTGCATCAACCCAGATGTGAGATATGGAGTCAAAGGAGATCATTTGGAGCTTTAAGATTTGACTGCCCTGTTGGATTTCAGACTTGCATGGCACCTGCAGTCCCTTCATTTTGGCCAATTTCTCCAATTTTAATGGATGTATTTACCCATTGCCTGTACCCCCGTTTTATCTAGGAAGTAACTAACTTGCTTTTTATTTTACAGGCTAATAGGTGGAAAAGACTTGCCTTGTCTCAGAGAAGACTTTGGACTGTGGACTTCTGAGTTAATGCTGAAATGAGTTAAGACTTTGGGGGGCTGTTGGGAAGGCATAATTGGTTTTGGAATGTGAGGACATGAGATTTGGGAGGGGCCAGGGGCAGAATGATATGGTTTGGCTGTGTTCCCACCCAAATCTCATCTTCAATTGCAGCTCCCATAATTCCCAAGTGTTGTGGCAGGGACCCAGTGGGAGGTAATTAAATCATGGGAGCAGGTATTTCCCATGCTCTTCTTGTGGTAGTGGATAAGTCTCACAAGATCTGATGGTTTTATAAATGGGTATTCCCCTGCACATATTCTCTTGCCTGCTGCCATGTAAGATGTGACTTTGCTCTTCATTTGCCTTCAGTCATGATTGTGAGGCCTCCCCAGCCATATGGAACTGTGAATCAATTAAACCTGTTTCCTATATAAATTACCCACTCTCAGGTATGTTTTTATTAGCAGCGTGAGAACCAACTAATACAGACAGTATATTGGCAAATGAGAAAAATAAACAGAAAGCATATTAAAGTCAATTATTTCCTTAGTGGTTATATTAATATCAGACAAAGTAGACTTCTAGACAAGGAATATTAACAGAGATAAAGAGGGACATCCCATGATGATAAAGGGGTCAATTTATTAAGAATATATGGCAATCTTAAATATATTTGCACCTAATAACAGATCTTTAAACTGCATGAAGCAAAAATTCACAGAACTAAAGAGAAAAAGAGACAAATCCATAGAGTTTGAGATTTTTAACCATCCTTCTTTCAGTCATTAATACAATAAATAGAGAAAATCAATAAGAATATTGAAGATTTGCTTAATGCTATCAACCAACTTTATCTATTTGATATTTATATAACAGAACAACCAACACCCTGCATAAAATACTTTTTTCAAAGGCATATGGAACAATTATCTAGCAGGATCATGTGATGAGATATAAATCAAATCTCAAGAATTGGAAGAACTTAATCATACAGAATATTACCACGACTATAACAGAATTAAGATAGAAATCAGTTACCAAAAGATACATGGAAAACCTCAGAATCTGGAAATTAAAAAACCTACTTCTAAATAATCTATTAGTCAAACAAGCAATCTATATAATTCAAGCAAATTGCTTCACTTGAATTATATATATAATTCAAAGCAAAATGAATATATTCAAAAGAATATAATTCAAGCAAAATGCGAATGAAATCAAATTTTGTAGAATGCAGTCAAAATTGCACTTAGAGGGCAATTTCTAGCTTTAAATGCTTATATTAGAAAATAAGAAAGATTTATAAATAACAATCTAAGCCTCTAAATAAAGAAGCTGGGAAAAGAAAAGCTAATTAATTTAAATTAATTAGAAAAAAGAAAACATTAACGAATGGAAAACAATAAAATGAGAAACAGGAAATGGACAAAATAAAAGAGCTAAAAAAATAGATTTTGAAAAAAAATTTTAAGGTGATAAACCCTGTGAAGACTGATCAAGTAAAGAAAGAGAGAAAAAACCCTCACAAATTACCAATATCACGAATAGAATAGGGACATTATGACAGACCCTATAGACCTCAAAAGACTAATAAGGGAATATCATGAAAAACTTTATGCTGATTAAGTTGCCAATTTCAATAAAATAGAGAAAATCCACTAATAATATAAATTGTGAAAAATTATGCAAGAAGTAATAGAACATATGAATAGCCCTATAACTGTTAAGGATGTTTAACTTATTTAAATTTTTCCACAAAGAAACATCAAGGCTAAGATGGTCCCATTCATGACTTCTATCAAACATTTAAAGAAGAATAAATATCAATTTTATACAAACTCTTTGAGAAAATAAAGTAGGAGGAACTTTCCCAATGCATTTTATGGGAACAAGATAAACCTGGTGTTAAAACCGGACAAGGACATTACAAGAAAAGTATATAAAAATAACTCCCTTGAATAAAAATACAAAACTCTTTAACATAATACTAGTAAATCAAATCTAGCATATAGAGAGTATAGTGCATCATGACAAGTAGGCTCTTTCCTCTGAAGGCAAGATTAGTTTAACAATCAAAACTCAATCAATGTGTGTAGGCCAGGTGTGGTGGTTCACACCTGTAATCGCGGTACTTTGGGAGGCAGTGAGGGCAGATCGCTTAAACCCAGGAGTTTGAGACCAGTCTGGGAAACATGGAGAAACCCTGTCTCTACAAAAAATACAAAAATTATCCAGGTGTAGTGGCATGTGCCTGTAATCAAGCTACTTGGGAGGCTGAGGTAGGGGGTTCACCTGAGCCTGGGAAGGTCAAGGGTGCAGTGAGCCATGATTGCACCACTGCACTCCAGCCCAGGTGACAGAGTAAGAGCCAATCTCAAAAAAATAAAAATAAAAAATTTAAAAAATCCAGTTAATGTGTCAATTAAAATTAAGGCTTTTCAGATAAAAATAATTTAATTCAGGTTCCTCCAAAGCCAAATGTGAGGATAAACTTGAGAAAACACACCATCAAAGTTAAGAGTGTTTTGAAGTCTGTTGGAAAACTTTTATAGGAGAGATTAGGAGAAGGGAGGGGGACTCCTCATACTGGATTTTCTTTTCATTGGAGGGTGCAATATAGAGGTTTACAATCACTGGATACAGATTGCAATGTACAGGCTAAAATGTCTGCATGCAAAACAATTAGTAAAACTTTATAATTCAAAAATGAGTCAGCATCCTTTTCAGTGTCAGTAGGCTATGCATTAATCAGTACATCAACAATTTGAGGAACTCAAGACAAGACTCTTTACTCAAGAAGAAGGTGTCATCATGAATCACAAGACTTTCCCAAGGCAGATTAATTTGAAAGCCTGTTTTCTTTTAAACTGTCAAAGTGACGTCTGGTTTTTATTTCCCGTTTTTGATCCAAAATCTTCCCATAGAAGCATTGATGATCAATCTCTGCTTAGGTTACAGTGATAGACTTGCTTCATTCCTTGGTGCTAGGAAAGCTCATTCTCAGAAAGTCATATCCTTCAGTGGGGGCAAAGAACCTTGTTACTGCAGGTAAGGCAGATTGCTAGGAATGTAGGTCATGGACACAAGACTACATGCTATTCTCCTGAATAATGAATCATTGCCAGTTGCTGGGTGACCATGATTTTGGCTTTAGACATTGATCTAAAGCAAGCAGAAATGAAAATAATGAGTAACTTAATAGTCAGGAAAATGACAACTATGTTTATATTTATGGTTATGGTTATAATAATAACAACTTGAAGACCAGTACAAAATAAAGGAGTTAGTCCTGAGTGTAACCAACTAAATAAGATATCAATTTATAGCTGCTCTCACTTGTTGAATCATCTCTAATCTTTAGAATTGCATGATTTTTGTTTTCTTGGAAGAAGTAAAACAATGAGACATACATAGTATTAATAATTTACATAGTGCAAAAAATTCACATAAGGATTAGAATTAAAAGGAGAATTTGTATGCCAGAATGGAAAAAAGAGAGCCTATACCATTAGGGAGCCAACTAAAATCATCAAGAAGAAAATCAACTTCAAGTTCTTCTTTAGAGACATGTTATAACCAGGAGATAATCCAGTATTCAGTCCAAAAAAAGGGCAAATTTTTAAAACTCAAAAACAACAGTCAGGGCTAGAGTCTAATAACAGGTATACTATAGTTATCTTCTGAAACATGATAGTTCTCTCTCCAGTCCCTTTTTCTACCAAAGAAAAATCACAGTGAGACCAATTTGTTCGCCATATAAGTTTTAGTCAGATTGTATTTGCCTTGGTTATTCGTGTAAAGTACAGCAAGAATAGTGATTGGCCATAGAGACTCCTTTTAAATTAGCTTTGCTGTAACTTTTTTTATAACAGATTTTGGGTTGGACTTTTAAAAGCCTCTTGAGCCTAAGTAGCCAACCCAAGGATTCACTATCAGACGGTGCTTGTAATACCAGCACAGATTAGGTGACTTCCCCTCTTCTTGAGGTCCCCAGAATATCTTGAGGTTCCCAAACCTGTCCAAAAGTAACATTCTTTACTTACCACAAGGTCAGAAACCTTGTAAGGAAATTGTGTAGACAAAGTATTAGGCCCATATTTTTCCAAGTCTATTAGCTTCAATCTCAATTCCTTAAAGCAATTTTGTCCTATTTGAAAATATGACGTTCTAGTTAAAGCTTTGGAAAAATAACCAGTGTTTCCACTGTATCCTGTTACCAAAAAAATAAAGATTCTTATTGAACTTATACAAATAACTACATTGTCATAAAACAAGAATGCTTAGGAATAATTTCCAGATTCTGGATAATTCAAGTAGAGAGAGAAAGGTAAATGTTTCAGTTTTGCTTATAGAAGTATATTTTACCCAATTACTGTAAAATATAAATAGCTCAAAAGAAAAAAACTGTTTTTTTGATGCTGGAAAACAAAATATAAAAGGAATCAGCCCTGTTTCAAACAAAAAGTCATAAAAAATCACTTTAGTCCTCCATCAGTTTAGTTCTATATAATTTTTGTTCTGCTTGGTTTTGGGTTAGCAATTTTCATGAATACATCAGTTTTTCATTAGAGTTCTGAAAGTTCTAGTCCATTGATCTTAAAGTTATCAGAAGTCTGTGTTCAAGAGCACTTGTCAGAGTTTTTCAATAAAAAGCATTTTTGTACCTTGGTTGATTACAAATATTTTTAGAGAAGAATTGAAAATATTAACTGTAGGTGACAAAAAGTTAGAATAGCCATGGTTAAAATCTGATGGAAGTTTCTAATTGATAAACGAATGTAGTTATTTCTATTACATGCGGCATTTTAAGAAAACAACCAGAATCATGACTAACAGCATCACACGAGGACCTTTAGACTTTTGTAAATTTCACATGCTCTTTAGAATATTTAGAATATTCACATTAATAACATATTCACACAAATATAATTTTAGAAAAACTTTAACAATCAAAATTATAAACAACATATTAGATTTTTATGAATTTGTATAATTTTTGGAACATTTATATCAATAACATACCCATAAATATAAATGATTTTGATACTGAGGAAATCTGCATGATATCAAAGTTTCAAAACATGTGATCAAAGCATAATCACAGGTCATTGTAAAGTAACAGGTATTCATTTAACCAGAGTCAAGTTGACTTCAAAAGCAATACAGGAAGTTACATGAATGTAAAAACATTAATCCTTTTAAAACTCAGTTTTTCTAAGTAATCAAAGTCCCAATAAAGACAATGTAGAAATTATCTTGATAAAAAGAAGTTTTGAAAAGAAAGATTACAGGATTAAAAATTGAAATCTCTTGCAATTGTATTAAGAGCAAATTAATACTTCAAGAAAGCTTTGTTATTATAACATAGGGAATAAAATTCGTTAAGTTTTACGTTGTGTATTTTTAATGTTAAAGTTTCATCTTCAAAAAGACATCCATAATTTTCATATAATTATAGCCAACTTGATCACACACAAAATTTCTTTCATAAATTTTCTTTTCATAAACCTTATCATGACTTACTCAGACCATTGACAATATGCTTGGACTTTTTAATTTATCCTACATCTCCTCTTTCTTAAATAGCTAGTCATTTTACTTTAGGAAAAAGTAAGTCATCTTCATATCCATACTTTTTTTTTGTTTTTTTGGTTTTTGTTTTGTTTTGTTTTGGTTTTGTTTTTTTGTTTTTGTTTTTTTATTATACTTTAAGTTCTAGGGTACATGTGCATAACATGCAGGTTTGTTACATATGTATACACATTGGTGTGCTGCACCCATTACCTCGTCATTTACATTAAACATTTCTTCTAATGCTATCCCTTCCCCCTCCCTCAACCCCACAACAGGCCCTGGTGTGTGATGTTTCCCACCCTGTGTCCAAATGTTCCATTGTTCAATTCCCACCTATGAGTGAGAGCATGCAGTGTTTGGTTTTCTGTCCTTGTGACAGTTTGCTAAGAATGTTGGTTTCCAGCTTCATCAATGTCCCTACAAAGGACATGAACTCATCATTTTTTCTGGCTGCATAGTATTCCGTGGTGTATATGTGCCACATTTTCTTAATCCAGTCTATCATTGGTGGACATTTGGGTTGGTTCCAAGTCTTTGCTATTGTGAATAGTACTGCAATAAACATACGTGTGCATGTGTCTTTATAGTAGCATGATTCATATCCACAACTTTCTTTATATTTTTTTCTCTCTCCTACTTACTGATTCCTTTTAATCTCATTTGTTTCCTTCCTAAATCCATATTTTGAAGTAATTTTTAGGTAACATCGAAATTGTACAAAATTATTCTTTTCTCAATAAAGAACACATTTTTATACCTTCTGATAATATGTTCTCATCAAAAACACATCTTACTTTTTTGGTCCTTTTTATATAAAGAGTTGTATATATTAATTTGAATTTTAAATCTTACTAATCTTAAATTTTAGTGAGAACCTAAGAAGTAAGAAATCTAGAATTATCTGTCACATATCAATTTTGTATAGATAAGAAGCATTTTATAATTTCTAGAAACATGCTTTCTTATAACACAATTTTTTACCTTAAGTGGAAACGACCCAGACGTTTGATGATTATCTATTATTGAATTTAACATACTTTTGAGATTTCAAATAACACAAAAAATTCATTTATAGAAGTTTATCCCATTTACATTTACTTATTTGATTTTAACAATTTACCTAGTTTACTTATGAGAACTAAGATATTAGACAAAGGTAGTCATCATTTCAAGTTATTATCCTGTTAACCATTTTTATAGCCTGTGAATATCAGCTGCGCACTCAAGAAAGACTATTAAAGTTAAATATTTGGGTGTTTTGCCAATAACTCAGAAAATACAGCTATTTTCATTAAATCAACAATATTAAATTAATCTTATTTACCAAAAGATTTATTCAAGTCCTGTGAACTTGGAAAATATTTGGGCTTACTAATTTATGAGCACTCATTTATTTATAAGTCAATTTAGTACCATGTAGACAACATAGAAATACAGGTATGTAAACATAAAAATACAGATAAATATTTTATAGCTTTGAATTTAAAATTTTAGTCATGAGTCAGAGAAAACTCACTAGTTTAAATGAAGAGTTTAGTTAAATTTTGCCTCTGAGAACAGAACAAGTTAAAGTTTATCTGTCCTGCATGGCCAAAGCCCTTACCATGTGTTAGGGAAAACAGTGTAGCAAATTTATATCTCAAAGCATGGAGAAAGAATTTAAGCCTTCCAAAAGGACGTGAAGTTTTACATCTCCAAATGACTGCAAAGTCCAACAGGGCATTTAAAGAACATTATCTGATATTGGGTAAAAGGTTTAATCAATTTTACTTCCACTTTAATGGGGATGGCTGAATATATTTCACCAATATGAGTGAAAATTGGGACCATAAGTGATCCAGCACAGCTTGCAATAAATTATCAATATCACTCATTAGTTCTGGTTTAGGAAAATTTGTTGGATCTGTATTTTTATAATCTCAGTGGTTTTATTATTCTGAATTATTGCATTTGCTCCTTCTGTTCCAAATTTAAATACATTTTCCCCTTTTGAGAGAAGGAAATGTGTGCATTGTGAAATTCCAAAAAATCTCTGCCTGAGACGTATGGGAGTTGAAGGAACAAGCTGAAAGGAATGATTTCAGATAAGGGAGAATATGAAGGCACAGGATAGAATGGGGAAGAACATTCAGAGGCAACAAGGAGAAAGCGTCTGAAGTCTTGTCTAATTTGGAAATAGTTTCAAATATCCTTTGTTTACCTCTTGAATGGGGAAAACATTTTTTTCAGAATTTGTTTTAGAAGCTTCTAGGTGCTACTGAAAGTAAGTCTCCCATTCAACTTGTCTGATTCTAAAACCAGCTTTTTCCAATTTGTTTTGAGTAAGACAAGCTATGTAGTGGATCAAGTGTGCTAGTTATGAATCATTCTTCCCAGAGGTTTCATGCAATGGGCCTAATAGAGTCTCTTAGGTGTCTCAGATTCCCAAATCACCTCCAAAGAAGTGGCAGGGTGCTCATGGGAAAGAGATGATTAGTCTTTATAAATCCCACCAGTGGAGCAAAAAGTTATGATCATTCTTTACAAATCCCACCAGCTGTGCAAAAGGTTAACAGTGTAGGGGTTTTCCTATGAGACTACTACATATCATGGACAGTTCATCAGACACCTATGTTAGTTTTTGTTTCCCAAGAGTCATTCAACCAGAGGAAGTGTCTTTTACCTTCAGAGCAAGAGTGTCCTCATGAGATCAAAAAAAAAGAAAGAAAGAAAGAGAGAATGCAAAAAAAGAAAAAAAAAGCTAAGGTTGTCTTGCTTCAAACCTCCATGGAGACAATTCACAGAGCTCCTATTTTCCTATTTTACCATGGCCTAGAACTAAAAAAAAAAAAAAACAAAAACAAAAAACCCTTACCTTGAATTCATGGGAGTAACTCTAATTTTGAGAGAGTCTTTGACCTCTTAGCCAAGGAAAAAAACAGCTTCAGTAAACTAGAACTTTCACCAAGACGAGAGGTTTACTGATTTTGGGAGGAGCTCATCTGTAGTACCCAGCAAGGGTATCTGAGTTCAGGAATACAATGGGTCCATTGCTAGTATCGGCACAAATGCTGGAAGCCATGCTGGATGATCTAGGGAGGTCACTGTAAAATCCTACCAGCTATGCCAAAATGTTGACCTAAATTAAGTTTGTTGAGCCAGAAATAATTTGATAAAGTTTTATTGGAAGCCAAATGTGAGGACTGATCTGAGAAGACACACCAACAAAGTTGGGAGCATTCCAAAGTCTGCTACAAATTGGAAAACTTTTATAGGAGACTTTAGAAAGGATGAGAACTCCTCATATCAAACTGTTATTTTTCACTGGAGAGTACAATACAGAGGTTACAATCATTGGACACAGGATGCAATATACATGCTAAAATATCTGCATGCAAGACAATCAATAAAATTTTATAGTACAGAAATAAATCAGCACCCTTTGTAGTGTCAGTAGGTTATACATTAATCAGTACATCAACAATTTGAGGAACTCATGATAAGATTTTTTTTTTTTTTAACTTAGAGACAGTATGTTGCCATGAATCACAAGACCTTATCAAGGCAACCCAATTTGGAAGCCTGTTTTCTCTTAAAGAAAACTGTCAAATGTGAACTGTAGGTCATCAAATGTAATTCACAATAACTGTATCATATTAAAAGCATTAGAAAATGACAAAATTCAAATCAATTAATTCAGAAAACCATAAATAGAAAGAGAATATCTTCAATATGTATGAAAGACATACACAGCTAAAAAAAAAATACATACCTGGCCAGGCGCGGTGGCTTATGCCTATAATCCCACCACTTTGGGAGGCCGAGGCGGGCAGATCACGAGGTCAGGAGATCGAGACCATCCTGGCTAACACGGTGAAAGCTTTCTCTACTAAAAATACAAAAAATTAGCCGGGCATGGTGGCAGGCACCTGTAGTCCCAGCTACTTGAGAGGCTGAGGCAGGAGAATGGCGTGAACCAGGCAGGTGGAACTTGCAGTGAGCCGAGATCACGCCACTGCACTCCAGCCTGGGCAACAGAGTGGAACTCTGTCTCAGAAAAAAAAAAAAAAACATAGCTAACATTATACTTAGTGGTGAAAGACTGACACATTTCTCCAAAGATCAGGTAAGAATGGCTCTTTTCTTTGTCTTTGAACTGGAAGTCTTAATAATAAAGCAAGACTTTATCATTAAATTATTAAATTTTCTTTATTGTAAAGAAAATTTAAAAACAAAGATTAGAAAAAAATTAGCATTGTCTTTGTCAATGACATGATTTTATTCATCCAAAATCCCAAGGATCCATAAAGAATCTAATAAGCCATAAAACAATTCTTAGCAAATTCAAAGAAACCAAAACCATACCAACCACACTCTTGGACCATAGCACAATAAAAACAGAAATCAAGACTAAGAGGATTACCCAAAACCATATAATTATATGGAAATTAAACAACCTGCTCATGAATGACTTTTGGGTAAACAATGAAATTAAAGCAGAATCAGGAAATTCTTCAAAGCTAATGAAAACAAAGATACAACATACCTGAATCTTTGGAACAGAGCTAAGCAGAGTTTAGGTGAACATTTATAGCACTAAATTCCCACATCAAGAAGTTAGAAAGATCTCAAGTTAACAACCTAACATCACACCTAGAGGAACTAGAAAAACAAGAGCAAACCAATCCCAAAACTAGGAGAAGACAAGAAACAATGAAAGTCAGAGCTGAACTGAATGAAATTGAGTAGTGAAAAACCATAAAGAAAGATTAACAAAACCAGAAGTTGTTTCTTTGAAAGAAAAAATAAGATTGATAGACTGCTAACTAGATTAATAAAGAAAAAAGAGAATATCTGAATAAACACAATCAGAAATACAAAGGGGACATTATCATTGACCCCATAAAAATACAGAAGACTTTCAGAGACTTATTATGGACACCTCTATGCACACAAACCAGAAAACCTACCAGAAATGATTAAATTCCTAGAAACATACAACCCTCCAAGACTGAACCAGGAAGAAAATAAAACCCTGACTAGATTAATAACAAGTTCCAAAATTGAATCAGCAATAAAAAGTCTACCAACCAGGAAAAGCCCTGAACCAGACAGCTGAATTCTACCAGATATAAAGAAGAGCTGATACTATTCCTACTGAAACTATTCCAAAAAATTGAGTCAGAGGGACTCCTCTCTAAATCATTCTATGAGGCCAGCATCATCGTGTATATTAGTGCATTCTCATGCTGCTATGAGAACATACCTGAGCCTGTGCAATCTATAAAGGAAAAAGGTTTAATTGACTCACAGCTCCACATGGCTAGGGAGGCCTCAGGAAACCTATAATCATGGCAGAAGAGGAAGCAAACACATCCCCAGAACCACACACAGTGGAAGGAAGGAGAAGAATGAGAGCCGAGCAAAGGGGGAAGCCCCTCATAAAACCATCAGTTCTCACGAGAACTTACTATCACAAGAATAGCATGGGAGAAACCGACCCCATGATTCCATTCCTTCCCACCGGGTGGGACACAGCCAAACCATACCATTCCACCCCAGGCCCCTCCCAAATCTTATGGCCTCACATTTCAAAACACAATCATGCCCTTCCAACAGTCCCCCAAAGTCTTAACTCATTCTAGAATTAACCCTAAAGTCCAAGTCCAAAGTCTCATCTGGGACAAGGCAAATCCCTTCCATCTATGAGCCTGTAAAATCAAAAGCAAGTTAGAGATTGATCATAAAAGTGAAAACTATAAAGCTTCTAGAAGAAAATGTATGATACTATCTTTATGTTCTTGGGATAAGTAAAGATATTGTAGACAAGATTAAAAAGTCTAAGCATAAATGAAACATCAATAAAATTAAAAACTATTGTTCATCAAAAACACATTAAGAACATAAATAAATAATCCACAAACAGAAAATATTTGTGACATCTTTATCTGATGAAAGACTTATATCCAGAATATGTAAAGAACTACATATCACAAACCAATAATAAAAAGATAACTCTATTTTTTTAATGGGAAAAACTTGAAGATATACTGGAGGAAAAAGAGAATACACAAGACAAACGGCCAAGAAGCACATGAAGAGGTGCTCAACATCATCAGTCATCAGTGAAATGCAAATGAGAAGTACATTGAGAAATTACTACACACCCTCTCAAATGGTTAAGATGTTAAAAGTAATAATAGGAATATTGGCACGGATGTGAAACCACTGGAACATTCATACATCACTGGTAGGTGAGGAAAATGCAGCAACCACTTTGGAAAACCATTTTTTGGTTCTTTATAAACTAATATATATACGTATATATATACACATACATATATATACATACATATATACGTATATATATACACACACATATATATACGTATGTACACATACATATATATGTATATATATACACATACATACATATATGTATATATACACACATACATATATACGTATATATACACATACATATATGTGTATATACACACACATACATACACACACACACACACACACACACACATATATATATACCTACTCATTTAATATTTCTACTCCTAGGAATTTACCCAGGACAAATGAAAACACAAAAATTTTTATAAGAATGTTCATAGCAGCTTTATTTATAATAGCTAAAAACTGAAAATAATCAAAATGTCCATCAATAGGAAAATGGTTAAATAGTGATATAATCATATAATGAGATACTGTGCAGTAACAAGAAAGAATGAAATAATGATACCCATAAAAATCTAAATGAACCTCAAAGATTTCAAAAACACTCTGTTGAGCAAAAGAATCCAGGTGTAAAAGATATGCCATTTATAGCCAGTTCAAGAATAGTATAAATTAAACTATAGTAATATAAATAAGAATATCAGTTGGGAGATGGGGAAGGAATTGACTGGAAAGGCACATAAGGAAACTTTACAGATTGATGGGAATATTCTACATCTTTATTGGGATGTTGATCACATAGGCGCATACATTTGTCAAGACCCATCAAACTGTACAGTTAAGATCTGTGCACTTTGTACATTAATAAATAAAAAACTAGCATTTCAAATACCTTATCTGATGTGAAATATAAAGCAGATATGTGTCACTTTTTTTTTTTTTTTTTGAGACGGAGTTTCGCTCTTGTCGCCCAGGCTGGAGTGCAATGGCACGATCTCGGCTCACTGCAACCTCTGCCTCCCGGGTTCAAGTGATTCTCCTGCCTCAGCCTCCTGAGCAGCTGGGATTACAGGTGCCTGCCATCATACCCAGCTAATTTTTGTATTTTTAATAGAGATAGGGTTTCACCATGTTGGCCAGGCTGGTGTCAAACTCCTGACCTCAGGTGATCCACCCACCTCAGTCTCCCAAAGTGCTGGGATTACAGGCATGAGCCAATGTGCCCAGCCATGTGTTGCTTTTAAGAAAAAAAATAAAATAAAATAGCTACATTGGGTTGTTATTAGCAAGAAGATTTTTACTTTAGATACTTGCTCGGGAGTTCCTCTCAACAAGATGATCCTTTAGTACACTGAAAATATGATTAGATTTTCAAGTATATAGTTTAAAACAGCTTTTTAGGAACATAAATCCTGCATAAAGAATCAGCTCAAAAATATCTTAGTTCTTGGTTACAAAGAATCTCTCAGGTATTTAACTTAACAGTCCCAGAAGTAGATAACTTGAGATCATGTTCCAAGAAAACATTCCTCATGGTAGACATGTCACAACTGATGAGCTACCTATGTCAGTTTTTCTTAGCACATAGAAAAAAAAATGTGATTCAATAGGATCAAAAGAGCTATAGGAAGAAGCTTCGGCATATATGACATTTTTCTGCATGGGCAAACATCTTCAGTTTTATCTTGACATATCTATTGCCATCTTTCTAAAAGCTGCTTTTGCACATGAAAAATTGTCACTTCACACATAGTGAAATACTTTAAATCTCCTTCACACATATAAAAAAAGTCATGTAATCTCTGAAAAATTGGTTATATTTTTATCATTACTGAGAACTGATAAAATTAAATTACATAAGTTACATAAGTTTATGTGAAGCTTACATATTACTAACTAGCTGGGGTAGATATGATCTACATATAATATATATACCTTTGTTATCAAAGGTGTTTCTAATTGCCTGTTTTCTCAGTGTCCTAATCACTAACTCTTTAAAGTCTAGTCATACCATGATTTACATAAAGATTGAAAACAAAGGATTGAAAATATATAATCAGGATTCTGCTACTTAGAACAATGCCTTTTCTCCCCAGTAACAGACAGACACTAATACTACCAATGACATCCAATTCCATAAATCAGTGAGGTAAGTGGCACCTCTCCTGGGATTCATTGTAACTAGTCACTGCCATTGGCCCTAACTCTGCTGCCATTGCCAATGTCAGAGTTCATGGCCACTGTTGGGAAAGAAATAGAAGGAACCTTAACAGGAGATCCATGAACCTGCCAATAGTGCTGGCCTAGATTTGGTCAAAGAAAAAGATGTGGTGCAGTGCTACACCCAACAACTTGATTATTCACTTCCTTTCTTAGCTAATACTGGGTGGGGGACAGAAGAAGCAGTTTAACTTATTGAACTGAGACACTACATTGAAAACTATTTGTTAACAGAAGGATTTGGTGTGCATCTGACCCATCTTGGGCTGTATCCAATTTAGTTACTGAAGAACCTGGGGTGCTTTGTAGAAAATGTCACTGTGAAAAGCAGTGTCACCTATTTGGCCCAACTCTAAAGAAGGAGTTATGGAACACTAGAGTAATTCCTAGCATATAGTAGGCTATCGATATATATTTGTTGAGTGAATGAATAGATAAATGAATGAATGAATAAAACAAGGCTGTAGTACATTATTAAGAAGCTTTAATACTTACACATAAAGTTAAGCATAATTTATTGGTTTCACTTGAACAAGTATATATAGATAAAATAACAATACTAGCTACCATTTATCAACTACCTGCTGCACAGCTGAAGGAAAAGAGATAATATTCTGAAAATATTAAGCTAGTAGATATGCCTTACTACTCCCCATCCAGTAAAAACAAGAGCTTTTTAACACTTTCAAGGAACAGATAAAGAAAAATGAAGTTACCATTCAGTTTTAACTTGTATATTATATTTGCTAGTCCCATTTTTAGTTTTGACAACCAGATTTTGTTGAGAGGGGATGGAAATTTCCAAACTCAAAAGGCTTCTCTTGAAAACTAAGAACAAGAGCCTGAAAAGAAAATCAGGGAAATAAAGTCAGAAAGTGCAGTGTATATGTTCATGCAAATGGACACCAAAAGTGAGCAGGAGTAGCTATTCTTATGTCAGACAAAACAAACTTGAAGGCAACAGCAGTTTAGAAAGTCAAAGAGGGACATTATGTAATGATAAAAGGGCTAGTTCAATAGGAAAATATCACAATCCTAAATATATATACACCTAACACTGGAGCTTCCAAATTTATAAAACAATTACTACTAGACCTAAGAAATGAGAAAGATGGCAACACAATAATAGTGGGGGACCTCAATATTCCATGGACAGCACAAGAGAGGGCATCAAGACAGAAAGTCAACAAAGAAACAATACTAAACTATACCCTAGAAAAAATTGACTTAACAGATATTTACACAACATTCAACCCAACAACTGCAGAATATACATTCTATTCATCAGCACATGGAACATTCTCCAAGATAGGCCACATTATAGGCCACAAAACAAGTCTCAATAAATTTAAGAAAATTGAAATTATATCAAGTATTCACTCAGACAACAGTGGAATAAAATTGGAAATCAACTACAAAAGGACACCTCAAAACCATGCAAACACACAGAAATTAAATAACCTGCTCCTGAACGACTATTGGGTCAGCAATGAAATCAAGACGGAAATTAAGAAATTCCTTGAACCAAATGGCAATAGCGACACAACCAATCAAAACTTCTGGGATACAGCAAAGGTGGTGCTAAGAGGAAAGTTCATAGCCTTAAATGCCTATATCAAATAGTCTGAAAGAGCACAAATACACAATCTAAGGTCACACCTCAAGGAGCTAGAGAAACAAGAATAAACGAAACCCAAACTCAGTAGAAGAAAAGAAATAACAAAGATCAGAGCAGAACTAAATGAAATGGAAACAAATAAAAAATACAAAAGCTTTAAAAAAAAATGTAAAAAGCTGGCTCTTTGAAAAGATAAACAAAATTGATAGACAATTAGCAAGATTAACCAAGAGAAGAAAAGAGAAGATCCAAATAAGTTCAATTAAAAACAAAACAGGAGATATTACAACTGATTTCACAGAAATACAAAAGATTACTCAAGGCTACTATGAACACCTTTGCATGCATCAGCTAGAAAACCTAGAGGAGACGGATAAATTCCCGGAAATATGCAACCCTCCAAGATTAAACTATGAAGAAATAGAAACTCTGAACAGACCAATAACAAGCAGCAAGACTGAAATGGTAATTTAAAAAAATGGCCAACGAAAAAAGTCCAGGACCAGATGGATTCACAACTGAATTCTACCAGACATTCAAAGAAGAATTGGTACCAATTCTATTGACACTATTCCAAAAGATAGAGAAAGAGGGACTCCTCCCTAAATCACTCTTTGAAGCCAGTATCACCCTAATACCAAAACCACGAAAGGACATAACAAAAAAAGACAACTACAGATATCCCTGATGAATATACATGTAAAAATCCTTAACAAAATACTAGCTAATGGAATCCAACTGCATATCAAAAATATAATCCACCATGATCAAGTGAGTTTCATACTGGAGATGTGGGGCTAGTTTAACATATGCAACTCAATAAATGTGATACACCACATAAACAGAATTAAAAACAAAAATAATATGATAATCTCAATAGATGCAGAAAAAAACATTTGACAAAATTCAGCATTGCTTTATGATTAAAAACCTTAGCAAAATCGGCATAGAAGGGACATAACTTAATGTAATAAAAGCCATCTATGACAAATCCACAGCCAACATAATACTGAATGGGGAAAAGTTGAAAGCATTTCCCCTGAGAACTGGAACAAGACAAGGATGCCCACTCTCACTACTTCTATTTAACATGGTACTGGAAGTCTAGCCAGAGCAATCAGACAAGAGAAAGAAATGAAGGGCATTCGAATTGGTAAAGAGGAAGTCAAACCGTCGTTGCTTGCCAATGATATAATCATATATCTAGAAAACCCTACAAACTCCTCCAGAAAGCTCCTAGAACTGATAAATGAATTCAGCAATATTTCAGGATACAAAATTAATGTACACAAATCAGTAGCCCTGCTATATTCAAACAGTGATCAAGCTGAGAATCAAATCAAGAACTCAACCCCTTTTACAATAGCTGCCAAAATAAATAAATAAACGAAACACTTAGGAATATACCTAACCAAGGAGGCAAAAGACGTCTACAAGGAACACTATAAAACACTGCTGAAAGAAATCATAGACAACACAAACAAATGGAAATACATCCATGCTCATGAATGGGCAGAATCAATATTTTGAAAACAAGCATACTGCCCAAAGTGCTCTACAAATTCAATGCAATTCCCATCAAAATACCACCGTCCTTCTTCACAGAACTAGAAAAAACAATTCTATAACTCATATGGAACCAAAAAAGAGCCCGCATAGCCAAAGCAAGACTAAGCAAAAAGAACAAATCTGGAGGGATCACATTACCTGACTTCAAACTATACTATAAGGCTATAGTCACCAAAACAGCATGGTACTAGTATAAAAATAGGTACATAGACCAATGGAATAGATTAGATAACACAGAAATAAGGCCAAGTACTTACTGCCAACTGTCTTCAACACAGTAAACAAAAACAAAGTGGGGAAAGGACACCCTATTCAACAAATGGTTCTGGGATAATTGGCAAGCCACGTCAAGCCACATGTAGAAGAGTGAAACTGGATCCTCATCTCTCACCTTATAAAAAAATCAACTCCAGATGGACAAAGGACTTAAATCTAAGACCTGAAACCATTAAAATTCTAGAAGATAACATCAGAAAAACCCTTCTAGACACTGGCTTAGGCAAAGACTTCATGACTACGAGCCCAAAAGCAAACACAACAAAACCAAAGATAAATATATGGGACTTAATTAAACTGAAAAGCTTCTGCACAGCCAAAGAAATAATCAGCAGAGTAAACAGACAACCCACAGAGTAGGAGGATATCTTCACAATCTATACATCTGACAAAGGACTAATATCCAGAATCTACAAGGAACTCAAAAAAATTAGTAATAACAAACAATCCCATCAAAAATTGGACTAAGGACATGAATAGATAATTCTCAAAAGAAGATATACAAATGGCCAACAAACATGAAAAAATGCCAATATCACTACTGATCAGCGAAGTGCAAATCAAAACCACAATGTGATACCACCTTACTCCTGTAAGAATGACCATAATCGAAAAATAAAAGAATAATAGATGCTGGCGTGGATGTGGTTTAAAAGGAACACTTTTACACTGCTGGTGGGAATGTAAACTAGTACAACTACTGTGGAAAACAGTGTGGGGATTTCTTAAAGAACTAAAAGTAGAACTACCATTTGATCCAGCAATCCCACTACTGGGTAACTACCCAGAGGAAAAGAAGTCATTATACAAAAAAGATACTTGTACACGCATGTTTTTAGCAGCACAATTCGCAAATGCAAAACTATGGAACCAGCCTGAATGCCCATCAGTCAACAAGTGGATAAAGAAAATGTATATATATATATATATATATATATATATATATATATATATATATACACACACACACACACACACACACCATGGAATACTATTCAAGCATAAAAAGGAATGAAATAATGGCATTTGCAGCAACCTGGATGGAATTGGAGACCATTATTCTAAGTGACATAGCTCAGGAATCAAAAACCAAACATCGTATATTCTCACTCATAAGTGGGAGCTAAGCTATGAGGATCCAAAGGCATAAGAATGATAAAATGGACTTTGGGGACTTGGGGGAAAAGGGTGGGGGCAGGGCTGCAGGATAAAAGACTACACATTGGGTACAGTTTACACTGCTCGGGCAGTGGGTGCAACAAAATCTCAGAAATCACTGCTAAAGAACTTATTCATGTAACCAAATACCACCTGTTCTCCAAAAACCCACTGAAATGAAAACAAACAAAAAAACAAATAAACTACAGCTCTTATAACCCATACCCTATTCCAGCTAGAGTCTGGAAAAAGCAATATACATTTAATAGGTCTAATTTCTCACCTTTTAAATTAAAATTTTATCAAACTGATATATGCAAAGGGCTAAAACAATAAAAATTAAATAAATGGGAAAATAATGATGTATTATATACCAGACAATATACTAAACTCATTACAGTTATTAATTCATGTATTAATCACAACTATTCTACGAAGCAGATACTATTTTTTAACCTACATTTCTTTTTTTGTAATGTCAAATTTTATTTTAGATATGGGGGTACATCTGCAGTTTTATTACAAGGGTATATTGCAACCAGGCAGTGAGCATAATACCCAATAGGTAGTTTTTCAATTCATGTGCCCCCTCTAGTAGACCACAGTGTCTCTTGTTCCCATGTTTATGACTATGCATGCTCAATGTTTAGCTCCCACTTATAAGTAACAACTTATAGTATTTGGTTTTCTATTCTTGTGTTAGTTTGCTTCCCCCTCCATCCATATTGCTGAAAGGACATGATTTCATTCTTTTTTATGGTTCCGTATTCTATGATGTGTATGTTCCGCATTTTCTTTAGCTAATCCACCATTGATGGGCAATAGGTACTGTTTTCATACCCATTTTACAAATGAGGAAAATCCCACAGCTAGGAAGTGACAGAACCTGGACATACACTAGGCAATCTGGCACCAGAGCCAGTACTCTTAACTCCTCTGGTAAACAAAAGCTGTATTTGTTTTCTTGCTTTTGTTTTGGTTTTGTTTGTTTTGTTTCTTGTTTTTTTGAGACAGGGTCTCTGTCGCCCAGGTTGAAGTGCAGTTGCGTGATCACGGCTCACTACAACCTCAACTTCCTGGGCTCAGGAGATTCTCCCACCTCAGCCTCCCAAGTAGGTGAGACCATTGGAGCATGCCACTATGCCAGGCTAATTTTTAAATTATTTATTATTATTATTATATTTTGTAGAGATGGGGTTTCACCATGTTGCCCAGGCTGGTCTCGAATTCCTGAGCTCAAGCAATCCTCCCACCTTAGCCTCCCAAAGTTCTGGGATTATAGGCATGAGCCACTGCACCTGGCCTAAAGCTGTATTTGAATAAAATTAACTTTGCAAACTAGGAAAGAGCCTATCTAGGATTTAATACAGTCATGTGCTGCATAACACCATTTCAGTCAATGATGGGCTATACATATGACTGTGGTCTCATAAAATTATAATGGAACTGAAAAATTCTTAAGGCCTAGTGACATTGTAGCCATGGTAACCTCCTTTTCATAGCATTACCTGTTCGATGTTTAGATAGTTTAGGTACACAAGTATTTACCATAGTGTTACAACTGCCTACAGAACTCAGTACTGTAACATGCTGTACAGGTTGGCACCCTACCAGCAATAGGCCACACCATATGCCCTAGGTGTATAGTAGGGCATCTAGTACACCATCTAGATTTGTGTAAGGACATTCTATGATGTTAACGTAATGACAAAATCACCTAATGACACGTTTCTCAGAACATATTCCCATTGTTAAGTGACACCTGACTATACATCCATGGGTCTAGATGCAGTAAGATCCACAGTCTAATGCTTCTGATAACAGAACCACTTTTGTTTTGGTACTTACACCTTTCCATAAAGGGCTATCAGTCGAGGATCCCCACCCAAACCAGCCAGTCAGTGAACCCTACTAACCTTAAGCATTAATTGGTTACAGGGCCAGCAAAGGATCCAAGCAAGACCAGTCAGAGTCCTTTTCAGAGATTGAAACAGACCAATCCTGGGAGAAAGAAAGAATCTCTCCTCTTCTGGGACTGTAAGCGTTGTGGTAGACAGTTATTCTCAGTAACCCAGAATCTAAACCACCATCAGGTTTCAGGAATTCACCACCTTAAAGGCAGAGAATGAATCCCATTAAAGAAGCCAAATGTGCCAGATATTCACCTTTTCAATCCCGCTTGTGGCTATTGTACAAGCATAAACCCCAAGCCAATGCAATCAGATATACAGACTCTAGGTTTTGATAGAAGTGGAGACTGCACAAAATCAATCTTTGGAGACGGTGATATATGATAGCATCTACATCCATTTTCCAGAAAGAACCGAGAGAAGATGCACTTCTAGCAACAGTGTTTGATGCCCAGTGTCCAGAGTTGGCATCAGCAGGGCAAGCCACAAGAAGGCTGCAGTAGGCCAGTGATGTCTGCAGAAGATGGTGGTGCAGCTTACCCTGCTGATACCAACACTGGACACTGAGCATCAGACACTGTTTCTACTTAAAATAGTCATTTAGTTCTTGTACTTGCAAGTAGGAACCTGTTTTAGTTTTTTATTGATGCTGTGGTGACAAATTAACACAAAGTTTGTGGCTATAAAGAATTCAGCTGGGCATGGTGGTTCACACCTGTAATCCTAGCACTTTGGGAGGCCAAGATCAGAGGATCATTTTAGCTCAGGAGTTTGAAATCAGACTGGGCAAGATAGTGAGACTCCATCTCTACAAAAAATAAAATTAAAAAAATTATTTTAAAGAACACAAATATTCCCTCACAGTTCTAGGAGTCAGAGTCCTAAAATCAAGGTGTCAGTAGGGCTGTGTTTCTTTCTGGAGGATCTAGAGAATAATTCATTTCCTTGCCTTTTCCATATGTTAGAGTTCTCTTTTCTCCATATTTAAAACCAGTAATGTTGCATCTCTGACCATTCTTCCACTGTCACATCTTCCTCTGACTTCCACCTTCCTCTTCTACTTTTAGGAGCTCTTGGCCTGGTGTGGTGGTTCATGCCTATACTCCTAGCACTTTGGGAGTCAGGAGGCCCCTAAGATTGAAATAGTGATCATCCACTAAGGTCATATTTGATTTCTATGACTAAAAAACTCTAGGTCTGGGAAACAAAGGGCTGGTTTGAGCCACTATGATAGGAAGCCACTCTCCTTATCCACTTCTCTGATCTGAATCACTTCATAGGAAATAAAGGAATGGCACCTTTGAGGAAGAAACCTGCAATGACATGAAAGCAAGTACTGTACATCCTCCTGCTAGCTTTTCCTATGGAAACTTTGGAAACTATAGCTATTTGCCAAGACAACTATGCATTGGAGAAATGGGAATATTCAGTCCTTTGAGTCTTATTGACATTGGCTCTACACCATGCTAATTCCTGGAGACCCATTTTGTGGTACGCCATTCACAGTTAAGGATTACAGTATCAGATAAGTTCACCTACTCATATGCCTAGGGTCACCCTAAACCTATCATATCTTTATATCACCAGGTCTGAGTATATAGTTGAAATAGGTATGCCCAGAATTTCTCAGAATCTGCACATTAGTTCCCTGGACTGTGGTGGACAAGTAAAAATTCTTTGAACTCCTACTGCTAAGACAAACACTACTTCCACCATCAAAGACTTGTAAATGCAGGGGTGGTGCATCTGTCATCCTCATTTCCTTTACCTCTTTGATCAGTGCAGCAGGCAGATGGAACTTACAGAATACAAGTAGATGATTATAAATTTAATCAAGCGGCGACTCTGATTGTACCTGCTATTCTAGATGTAGTCACTTTGCTTAAGTAAACCAAAATAGTCCTTAGTTCCTGATATGTAGCTACTCATCAGGAAAATGCGTTTTTCTTTTTATCAGTATGCAGATACCAAAATCTCTTCTGGGAGGGGTATCAATACATCTTCATCATCTTTCTCGCTTATGCCAACCTCCTGGCTCTGTGCTAAAATTTAGTCCATGCATCCCTCGATGACCATTCATATCTGACTGACCCCCTGTATGACAAAAAGAAGTGTATTATTCTATATTCTTTGGTAATACAATGTATATAAGAAGAAGAACAAGAATTGTAAGATAATATCATGATTTGTAACTTCAGTTTCTGGGAGCTTAATGATCTGGGACAAGTTGAGGTAGCATCCCCAAAGTGAGGGTAGAGTTGCTAACTTTGAACGTTTTCTCACTGAAAAAGAAGCCAACAATTTTATGGATCTATTTGGATTTGGGAGGCAACATTCCTATGTATGTGCTGGCTTCTCTGGTCCATTTACTGGATGACCTAAAAAATGGCTAACTTTGAATAGAGCTACCGCTAATCAATCAAGGGCTTTCTCTCTGGTTTGAACCGTAGCTCAAGCAGCTCTGCTACTTAACCTTTATGACCCATCAGGAGAGATAGTGCTTAAAATATAAAATGAAACAATAAGGATGCTAAATAGAGCTCATAGCAGGTCATGTGAAAGCCCCTAGGGCTTTGCATAGAAGCCATGCCCTTTTCAGCAAGTAATTATTCTTCTTGTGAGTAACACCTTGCTACTGGACTCTGACAGAGACTAAAAACCAGGTCATGGGACACCAGCTGACCATCATGAATGGGTTATCTCAGATGCCTCACCATTAACTAAGTACACCCTGTAGCATATGATTATCAAATGGAGGTGTTTTTCTACAGGCCAAAGCACAAACACAAACTTTTGCTTATTCTGAAAGCATAAGTTTCACGAGCAAGTGGTTCATACTTCTGGCATGTCTGCTTCTGACCTAATACCACCCCTCCTCAGCCCACACTTATGACTTCAGGAAAGTGGTCTATGAGTCATGGACTACAATGGAAAAGTTTTGAACAGCATCTAGAGAAGGCTCTGTGTGATATTCTGGCACCATCCGAAAGATTTGCTGAAATGTTTAGCAGCCATTTAGGCATGCTTCTGAGGGACTATGAAAAAGAGAAACCTCCCTGTGAGTAGAAACTTGAGAGCTCTTTTGTCCAATTTGCCTGTAATTATCAATGGCTTGAAGTTAAATCTATACAGGTTCACAGGAATGTGCTAACGGTTTGGTCAGATATTCAGATATTTGGAAGGAATGAGATTGAAGGATTGGAGATAAGGTTTGGAGAAATGTATATAACTCTCCAAATGGACCCAGGTTGTGAGGATACCTATCGCCTACAGGAGTACTCACCGAAAGACCTAAGAAACAAGGATATTCCCCAACCCTGTGTGACCCACGTATTGTCCTGCCTTCTCCTTCTTGCAGTTATTTCCTAACGCTAGATGGTTGCCTCTCACATGTGTACTGATCATTACTTAAAGACTCAAGGGGATCCCTCTAGAGATCTCTGAAGTGCTCTCTTTGTGGAGTCCTTCTTCTTTAGTACTCCACTCTGAAAATTTTAGAAGCCATGACTTCCCCCAAACTCCGGTCTCCATCTCTTACACTCAGCAAGATGACCAGAGACCATCCCTACCCTCACTATCAAACCTCTTGCAGATAGGAATCTAATACAATCTTAGCACTTGTCTTATTTTCTTTCTCTCAAAGATCACAGTCCTGCACTGTCTGTTGTCCAACATTTGAAACCATTAATTTGTATCATTTCTCTGGTGCTTTGTTGTTTCAGGAAGAATGGTAAATCCAAACTCTGTTACTCCATCTTGGCTGGAAGAAGGGTGCAGCTTCATTTTTAATGGGTGCCTAGAATTCCATTAATGGATGTACTCTGCTGGACTATATGTATTTGGTAGGACAAACCATGCCTTGTTGACTCTTATACCCAAAGTCTGAGGTATGATGGAATTTGACATATAGAAACATTCAATAAATAATTAACAGAATAAATTAATATTGAAGCTGTTTCTATCTCTTAGTATAAGAACATTAATAAATAGATATTTTTGTACAAATCTTTATCAGAGTTCTATAGTATTCATCATTTCTTTAGGATACATTTTGGTAAGCATAAATACTGGCTCAAAGAGAAGGCACATTTTAAGGCATTAATGTTTACTTCCAAATTGACCAAATGCAATCAATTTACATCTTCATTAGCTAATAAGCTTTTCATGAATGCTTATTTCTTTATATCCCTGACTCAACTGGATAATACACTTAAAAATATTTCTTAATTTCATAGGTTTTAAAGAAGCTATATTATATTAGTTGTTACTTTGATTTCTTCGACTACTATTGAAGTTTATCATATTTGTGTTTTTGTTTTCATTTGTAGTCCTTAAGCAATTCTATTGTTCAAATATTTTGTGAATTGTCTCCTAATCAAGTAGATAATGGGAACTTTTAACCTCTACAACATTCATCTTATATTCAGCACTACATCCAAAGCTTAGAGAGATATTTGGTTTTTAATCACCCCTTTTCTACTGTCATGTTTAAAACAGCTCAAAGCCAGAGAGCTCATTTGCTACTACAAAGAATGGACAGTATGTTCAAAGGATCCAGCAGTTTGGTAGAATCAAAAAGCAAAGAGGCAAAGAAAAGAACTGTAATTAAAAGCACTTTCACAGATCAAAAGTGTAAGCTCATTAAAGTTTTACTGAGCAGATGGCATTAATGAGTAGCCAAAGATGCATGCTCATTATTATTGTCCCCGTCATTGTTCCTTTGACATAAATGGCTCAGTAGATGTGAGACGCTTACCCAGATGATGAGATTCAATAATTAACATGGTACCTGGTCTCTTTTCCTACAGAAACACTCAATAGGGTCAATAAAGGAAAATGCATAAAATTAGAATAAGAAACATTCTCACCTTATTAAAGGGATAACTTACCTCAGCATTATTTATAGTTACAAAAACATTGGAAATTTCTAATAATATAGTAAATGATTAACTAAATTATGGGACTACCTCTAACTAAAGATATATGCTGCTATTAAACACTATTTTTCTGTAAAATTGTTAACATGGGAAAATGTTCATGACATGTTAATTTTGTTTAAAAAAGCCAAATGTGTATGCATTACAATCTCAATTACATAAAATACATACAATTATAAATATATGTGTATGTAAAGGACTACAGATTGTAGAAAACACACTAAAATATTAACTTTATCTTTGTGTGGGATGATAATAAGTGTTCGATTTTGTTTTCTGCCTTTTACTGTTATAATAACCACATATTACTTTTCTAACCAGAGAAAAACCACCACCACAGACTACTTTTTTAAAGAGAGAATTATATATCAAACGGTAGTTTGATCACAGTAGTTACCTCTATGAAGGGTGGCAAGACAGGGAACTTGCTTTGTCTGTACTATCAGAATACTTTAAAGCAAGAATATACTCATCTATTATTTATATAATGAAAATCATTTATTTTTTAACAAGGAGAATTGTGGATTATATTTTGGATATTTTCTTTATTCTGTTCCTTCATATTTAATATTCAAGTGTAAGGTTCCATTGTAACATTAGATTTAATATAGTGAAAAGCAGTCACCTTAGTATTAGAGACAAACCTTGATTTTTAGCCCAGGTCTACCACTTACTAACTGTGTGACCTTGGGCTAGTAACTTAACCTCTCTGTGCCCCAAAATTGGGGCATATGTAAAACATTAAATTGATATTTTTCTGCCCATCAACATGATTCTGATAATTCTTATAATTTATAGGAATGCTTGTGAGCTGTAAAAATGCTCCCCCAATGCAAGGTGTCATTTGGCAGTAACAAAAATGCACTGCCACTGAACAGAAAGGACACTTTTCAAAAGTTGTTTAACTTTACCTTCTGAACAAGGGAAATTCAAAAAGCGAGGGAGCAGAGAATTTAAAGAAGCAGGATGAGGGAAGCATAAAATTGGGAAGAAGTAAACTCCCCTCACCAGAAAAAAAAAAAAAAAAAAAAAAAAGGAAAAAGAAAAGCTAATCTCTCTCTCTCTCAATCTGAAGAAACTAAAGTTCAGAAAAGTAACTTGTGGGAAATTCTCATGGAACTAGATAAGACCCCAGACTTCCAATGTCTGACACACTGAAAGTACCAAACTCATGTTAATATACTAGATTTCAGCAAGTCTTCTTGGAAATTCTATACAGGACATGCAGCTCAACACCACTAGGCAGACATTAACTCGCTGGAGGAATAACCACGCTCATGCTCAGAACAAAGTGGGGACTCCAGCTTCTCTTCTCATCAGCCCCTATATCTACTTACTGACATATGCTCCTGTTACTACAGATGAACTGCCCAAGTTCCTGGGCAGTCCTGGTTAACACGTTGCCCTGGCATAATTATCAATGGTACCCTCATTTTATGCTCAAATACTCCCTGGTCTGGATCACAAAGCACATGTGATTTATAGGTATATATCTTATATATTTTAACCTATCAATAAGCAGTAGCGGGGACAGGTGGGTACTGAGACAGGTCATCCTGCTCACGGTCAGCACCAAGTCCTGAATGCGATGAGCACTGTGTCAATAACTGTCAGCTCCCTTCAGCTGCCAAGGAATCATTTTAACTCTGGGAGATGAACTAAAAAATGCCCCAGTGGAAGGAGCCAGTAGCTCATGGTCCATGTTTCACCTTAGAGTTCTCACACCCTCTCTCTCCTCTCACTAGCCAGGGCTCACAAAGATGATTCCCCATCTCCACCATTACCTCGCTCTTAGCCCCCAGACCTTCACTTCCACTGATGGATATTTTGAGTCCAATTTGCTGCAACATCTTGATATATCTAAAATCAATTATCACCTTGCCTCCAAACCAGCACTCTCCTCAGATTTCCTCCATCCTATGAATGAAGCCATCTGTCACCCAGACCCAGGCTGCAGAGTCATCTTCCACCTCCTCTGTGGTTCACCCCACCACCTTCATCTCAGCCAGCTGCTCAGGTGTGTCAGTCACCAACCAACTTCAGATCTATGTGACTGGGAGACTCTAGAGACCTCTGCCCCTGGTCCCTGCAGAAGCTTTATTTGGAAAATCTTCTACAAGTACTGCTATAATTACACCACTCCCTTTCCAGCACGTGCATCCTCTAGAGTCCAGCCCAACTCACACCTCCTCAGAAAAGCCTTCCCAACTCTTGCAGAAAGGCATTCTTTTCTCCTCTGGATAGCCATCAAACCTCTTAACTGTAGCATGAGTTCAGCATTTTTACCACAGCCTACTGTTGTCTCTTCTCTTAGTTAGAGTATGGAATTTCTGAGGGCTAGGGTCCTATCTCAGATATTTTTTTAAATCTCCCTCAAGTCTAATACAGAGCTTGATGTTAAATGCTTCCCTGTTTGGTGGCATAAGCTGAAGCACAACCAAATTAGATGATGTGTCCACTGAGGGAGCTTCAATTACAAAACTAGGATCAAAATGCAGGCCTCTGAGAACACCTCTTCAATCTTCCTTATAAAAGCTGTAGAAATATTCACTAGGTTAGTCACATACTCTAATTAATTTCATTAAGCCCCTCTGTGAAGAAAAGATTCTCTGTAATCAATACGTCGGAACAAATAGTTTCAAAGATGAAAAAAAGTGATTCATTTGCCCTAGGCAACACAGCTAGACTTTTTGATCTTCTGGAGTATATTTTTTATTTAAATACATCTTCATTCTGGAAATATTATCTGAATTTGTAATTTTTAAAGGACAAATGGGTATAAGTTGCCTGAAAGAAAAGAAGTTAACATTTTTGACATTCAATATATCCATGAATACTATGTCATTCAGTTCCTCTATTATTTTGAAACAGTCATTCAGGAAGTCTTTTGGTAAAGCAGGAAGAGAACTGGTCACTGAATATAATGTATTCCAGTCTCTCTAACACTTAGCACTGTCTAAATCTAATACTTTTGTCCTTCAAGCATTTGTGTTTTGCTTTTTCCATGTCCCCTTCAAACTAAAGTGTGATCTTCATGAGAGCAGGAATATTGCCTATCTGCTTCTTCAACAACAATGCTTGGTGCTTGGGTGGTGAAATTCATTTAGTTTCACTGGGTATTGGTTTCCTCACCGGTAAATTTAAAACATTGATGAACTCCAAGTTTTCTCTTAGATTCAAAAATCCTATTATTTAGGTAATTTAATAAGAAGCATAAAAAAGGAGGTTAGGCGGTGGCTCATGCCTGTAATCAATCCCAGCACTTTGCAGGCCAAGGTGGGTGGATCATTTGAGGTCAAGAATTTGAGACCAGCCTGGCCAACATGGTAAAACCCCATCTCTACCAAAAACACAAAAATTAGCCAGGCGGTAGTGGTGTGCACCTGTAATCCCAGCTACTCAGGAGGCTGAGGCAGGAGAATCGCTTGACCCTGGGAGGCAGAGGTTTCAGTGAGCCAAGATCGGGCCGCTGCACTCCAGTCTGGGCAAGACAGTGAGACCCTGTCTCAAAAAAAAAAAAAAAAAAAAAGGAAGGCTAATTTGGGGTTCATAGTAACCAAAAATATCCTCAGTCAATTAGGGCAGCAGCTGTTCTAGTTAATTGGTTATATTCCAGGAAATCTTTAATTTTCATGCTTAAATCACAAAGCAATATAACCAAGCAACCTTACCCATATTTAGCTATTTACGTTATTACTTCTAGACTTCTCAAGGATAGACCAGATTCTTTTAATGCCTAAGATACTTTAAAAGTGTCAGCTACTCAGGAGGCTGAGGTGGGAGGATCCCTTGAGGCCAGGAGTTTGAGGCCACAGTTTGCTATGATTGTACCTGTGAAAAGCCACTGCACTCCAGCCTGGACACTTAATAAGACCCTATCTCTTTAAAAAAAAAAAAGTTATTTTCTACCTCTTCAAGTTCATTGAGGTCTTATTTAACAGACCAAGGTAATTTTATTAAATGGTCTACAGTAGTTTGTAGTTTTGAATTATCTCCTTTTATAAAATCCTTCTTACCATCCAATTCTCAATCATTCTTCCCATTTGCAAAAGTAAAACTTTAAAGTTAGAGATAATAAATGATTATTTGCATTGTAAAAGACTTCATAATTCCCCTCCTCCAAGAAAAGTACTTGTAAAATTCAGCTAACTAGCAAGCTATCTTAAAATCTTTAGAAGAATTCCATTTATAAAAAAGATAATCAATTTTAAACATAGCAATTCAATGAAATGAAAAAACCAATCTAACCATACTTTTGTTTCAAGCAAGAAGCTGCAAATGCTGTCCTACATTTATAAAATGGATGATATATCATTAGGAAAAATGTAAGAACAAGTTGTCAAAAGGGTGATTTTTGAGCTCATACAGAAGGAACAAATGATTAACAGGAGCCGTCTGGCTTCACAAAGAAGGCCAACTTAAACCTATTCATTTTTTTGATAGGAGTATCAACTAAACTGAAAGATTAAAAGAACACTATAGTCATGAAAGGATCTAAATTTCAGTATTTCCGGATAACCTTACTGAAAGCATAGTGAAATGTGAGCTGATAATCACACAGTTAGCTGACTTCAGCATTGAATGCCAAGAATGCCAATCAATACACTGATGCCAATTTAAAGAGGCTTGATACCATGTTCTGTCTTTATCCTTGTATTATGGGGGCTTGGGGATAAATGACATATAAAGAAATGAGTGTGTAACAAGAAGCTATGTGGAATAGCAAAGTCATAAGATAATGAATTAACTATCCAAAATGAATTCAATAGAGCCAAACCAGGCAGTTAATTTTACATGAAAATTATGTGGGTAACCAGTCATCAGAAAACTGCAAATTAAAGCAATGAGATAATAACACTATACACATCTTTAAAATGTCTAAAATTGAAAGGACTTAACTAGTACTGGAGATACGGAAAAATAGAACTCTATACATTGCTAGTAAGCATATAAATGGTACAACCACTTTGAAAAATTATTTGGCAGTATGGTCTAAGCAAAACATATAGTTACCCCATGACCCAGCAATTCCACCCCTGAGTATACAACCACCAGATATGAGTGCCTGTTTCCAAAAGACATGTACTAGAATAGTCTTGGTAGCTTTATATTTAAAAGTCAAAGAGTTGAATGAATAAATAAATTGTGGTATAATTCATACTATGGAATGCTACATAGTAATAAAAAAGTGAGTTTCAGCCTCACTCAGCTATATGAACAAATGTCAGACGCACACATGAGAATTGGAATTGCACAATTTTATTTATATGAAGTTCAAAACAGGCAAAATTAATCTGCAGTGATAGAGATCAGAACAGTGGTTACATTTGTGGGATACTGGCTATGAAGGAACCTGAAACCACCTTTTAGGGTAGTAGAAAAATTCTCTATATTGATCTGGGTGGTGGTCAAATGGATGTTTACATATGTAGAAATTCTCTGAGCAGTGCACTTTAGATTAGTGCCTGTTACTCTATGTAAATTATTCCTCATCAAGGAGATTATATATACACATATGTATGTATGTAAATATGCATATATGTATATATGAATAAGTTAAAAACTGCATTTACATTCAAATAGGCAATTCTATTGGAGAGAGAAGAACCTAAACTGCTATACAAATGAAAATATTAATGGGTTTCTGTTGTCTACATATATGATATGAGTAAATGGCAAGGATAATTAGCTAATAAGATCTTAGTATTCATAAAAATGTGGTGTCAAGAACAATTCTATTGGGCCTTCTCTGTAGTATTTAGACCACACCTTGGGTATTATGGTTATTTCTTTCTGCAAAGCTTTAACATCACAAATTGGTATGCTTCTAGAGAAAAATAACCATATGTTGAACATCTGAGGCAAGTCTGAAAGAGCTAACTAAGGCTTTTCAGCCTGGGGAGGAAAAAAAAGATTCAGAGGGGAACCAGATTTATTCTATATATACTCAGAAGGCTGAAGTAGAATTAATAAGTAGAAGTTACAAGCAGGTTGATTTTGTTTTACTATAAGGAAGAAATTTCTAAATTATAAAGCTTCCATCAAATTGCTGCAAGAGGTAATAAGTTGATCAAACAATGACCAGACATATGCCTATGTATTTTGAGAAGGTACCTTTCTCAGCTAGTCGGTTAAATAAGAAGCCCTCTAATATTCCTCTTAATTCTGTTATTCCATTATTTTCCCAGTCAACATCAGTTTGTGTAACAGGAACATTTGGCAGGAATAAAGGAAATCCACAAGCAGCTTATTCTGTGCAGAAAGTCACTGATCATATCTTTCCACTCAAACAAGAGAGGCCTCTGTCCTACGGCTATAGACTTAATCACCATTCAAAGCCTTCATTACTTAGAAGAGCTTTCCAAAGTAGATAAAGCACATTTCTGAGGATGATAAAATAGAAGGGGAGTCTCTTGACAATGATTTACCTGACTGCCCATAATTTAAACTATAACCATCTTTATATAAATTGTTTTCTTTTTTGGTTTATTTCCTCAATCTATATACCATAATGTAGATTATAACTGAAAGGGCAAGAAATGTTTTATTGCTCTCATCATAATTGGGAAGAATGTACTCCAGAATCATTGGAACAATTTAAATGTCACTAGCAACATATAAATATATGTATTTTTCTCATACCTCCATTAACACTGGGTTTTGTCATTGTCATTATTTTTCTTCTAATTTAATAAGCAATAGTAGAGCTCTGAGTTGTTTCAACTAACATTTATTTAATTATTAGTGAGGCCACACACTTGAAAGTATTGAAAAACTGGAAAAAATACAATAAGCAATCCCATAGTAATCCCATAATGTTCATTTTTCATTGCACAGATCGCATCTGTTTGAGCCAAATTGTTTACTGCCGGGACAGGGATTTCCTCTGTCCTCACAAGCCAAGTGGTTCTACAGGATGGGAAACCATCTTTCCTTGACATTAGGTGAACATGATACTGTGGTCTTACCACTTCCTCATTATGCCGCTGTACTTTGTCGCAGGACCATTTTTTCCAGCCATGGTTATAGTAACAGCAAATTTCATTACATAGGTCCACAGTGGACAGCACTCCCATAAAGACTTCAGAGAATGCTGGTGTGCCAATGCATACCAAAGAGAACATTGCTACAAACCAAATTATTAACAGTGGTCACGTCCATTGATAGGATTGGGGGTAACTTTTTTCTTTTGTTAGTCTGTATTTTCTAATTTTTCAACAGTGAACATGGAGTACTTGTACAAATTTGTTTAAGTTCTCTGATGGGAACAGTGACAAGTAGGAGGAATATAAATAGAAAAAAGAGAAAAAAAGATTTTATCTTTAAACTATATTCCCTTTGTTGTTTTTTTAAAGGAAAGAAACAATTCCCATAATAGGCTCCATTGATGCATAAACTGTTACAAGCCATAGATCAAGGTGACGCAAAAAGTGCGGAAGTGGAGTTCCACAAAGACTTTGGGTTGTATTACTGTAAAGGCACCTGCTTTTCTCAGGCAAGAGTAGGGAAGAGAAGGAGAAGACATATCTCTAATAAACCACTTCAAAGCCAATGAATATTGGATTTTACGCAAACATTTTTCTATTTCTGTCCTGAAAGGCTTGAACACCAGGTTCATTGTCTATTACCAGGAAATATTCACATGTACTGGGACAAAAAGCAGGCGGAGAACCATGAGCAATTTGACCTCATTGTAGGCCACTTAATAATCTTTCTCTATTTACATGTTCATATATAATTAAGCTTCAAGGAAAGCTATAACTGGAAAAAAAAAATCCAAAAATGGTCAGTGGGTTATCCTCCCTAAGTTTTGACAAGGCATTATAGCTCCCAAAGCCCCAGCAAGATCCAAGGAATATGTGTGCTTCCCCTTGTGAAACACACAAGGTACAGACCCTTCCTCACTTCCTTAATCCTTCCTCATGTACTTGCAACCAAGCCAGAATGCTGGGTGAGGGGGCAATTCCAATGAACTTTTGTTCTATAATAGCAGAAATATCATTTTTTTACTAATGCACACAAGGGCATAATTATTAGGGTGTACCTCTTTTAAAAAATAGAGCTAAAATTACTTTTAACTGTAATTGCTTCAGTAAAAAATCTGACACCTCAATTCAAAGTTCAAAATGTACATTTAAAAATATTCACAGTGCTTTTTATAAAGCCATTTAACCTTAAATGTAGCACAAAATACTCTTTAAGGAAAACAGTAGATATTGGAAACATAGACTAATGAAATCAGGGGGTTTCAGGTACCACTTAGAAAATTATACACAGAGGGAGAAAATTTGAAAACAAAAATACCTTTTAGAAAAACTTTAAAAGAAACCTAATTAATAAAATTCCACAAAGATGACCTTCAATTGAGATGCATTTTCAAAATCTATTCAAGTTGTAAAGCTTATCATATAGACGCTTTGGGACATCATGTGAGACATTCATCAGATCCCAAGGCTCAAGATGTAAAAAATAAAAAAAGGGAAGTGTGCCAACCTGTGTCTGGAAGGTTAGGTGGTGAAGTCTTATAAAGAGAGATGAGGTTCAGGCCGGGTGCTGTGGCTCACACCCATAATCCCAGCACTTTGGGAGGTGGAGGCGAGTGGATCACCTAAAGTCAGGAGTTCAAGGAGTTCAAGACCAGCCTGGCCAGTGTGGGGAAACTCCATCTCTACTAAAAATACAAAAATTAGCTGGGCGTGGTGGTGCATACCTATAATGCCAGCTACTCAGGAGGCTGAGGTGGGAGAATCACTTGAACCCAGGAGGCGGAGGCTGCAGTGAGCCAAGATCATGCCACTACACTCCAGCCTGAGTGTCAGAGTGAGACTCTGTCTCAGAAACAATAAAAACAAAGAGACAAGGTTCAACAGAGAGCCAGCAGACTAGAATAGACTAGAAATTCAGAGCTTTGATAGAGGAGAGAAATGTGAAGGCAGAGCCAAGGTCTCTGCTGAGCACAGCAGGGCAGGGCGCCTGTGCCTGCGGCAAAGACAAAGTGAGCCAGCAAAGTCCAAGGGCAAAAGCTGGAGATTGCTAACTGGCTGGTTTTAGGGCAGCTTCAAGGAAAACCACCCCAGCTGCTAAAAGGACACGTCTGGGCCCACACCTCAATAGACTTTGCTTCTCCAGAAATCTCTAGAGCAGAAGGAAAGAAACAGGTTAGCAGAACCAGTGCAGTCCAGCTCTGGAGAGTGGGAGTCAGGAGGAAACAGAGAGGAAGAGCTGGGGTATGCAGAGGCTTGGGGTTACCAGAGTACATCCTGGCTTCCCTCAGCGAGGCAGAGGGGAAAAAGCAGGGGCTTCTTAATCATTAACTGACTCCAAACTAAGGAAGATAAGAAGGAGTGCATGTAATCTGTTCCCTGAAATTTCCTTTCAGTAATAAAGGAATTTTTGCACTAAAAATTCCTTTATTAGGAAGACTATTTGTCTGTTTCTCCTCTGCAGGGTAAACTGCATGAGGGCACAGTGCACCCATGCCTCACAGAGCCCCTGGCCAACAGGAGAGTAGATGCTGATCCACTGAATGAAGGGAGAGGGACCCAGGGGTGGAGTAAGTCAGTCTCAGTAGGGAGTGAAAGGGTAGACTTCAAATCCCAGGTAGTTTTTCTGGAGGCAAATCCCCTTCAATGCCTGTTAAGGGTAAGCGTTACCCTAAAGAAGCAGTATTGGGAAACCTGCAAGACAGCCTTCTGTTTCCATGAATCTTCTGCTTTGGTGAGTCTATTCAGCCCACAGCTGACATGCACTAGTCCCCTAAACATGTCAGACTTGACATTTATCATCACATTTTCAAGTTTTGCAAACCTGCTCCTAAACATGGGTTCCCTTTAAACAAAACTACAAAGAACCCTTTATATTACATATTTTCTTTGATTCTGCCTGCATTAGCAAGCCAGCAAGAAACGTGGGCAGTGAAAACTCCTGACTATAGTGCTATCTGGCTCCTTTCATGTCTCTGTGAGTTGTTTCTGTGCACTGTCACTTGGGAATCAAGCCTTGCACCAGCTACGTGGCCAGAATTAGAATGGGAAGTTCACTCTCTCTGTAGACCTGCTATTGCTATACCCCACAACAGCAAAAGGAAGATTACAAAAACACAAATCAGATCTTGTAAACACTTCACTGTATAAAACATTTCCCCAGGTTCTTATCACGCTTAGAATAAAATTCAAATTCCTTGTCATGACCTCCAAAGCCTTAAACGATCTAGTCCCATCCACCTTTCCAACCTCTGTTTCCACCTCTCTTTTCTCTCTCCCTCCCCATCCAAACAAGCCTAAATATGCTGTCATCCAGGAGAATGGCCTACAACAAAAGACCTTATCATATTTTCTCTTATTTTAGTAATTTTTTAAAAAGTTTTCATTGTTTCAAAAACTTTTAACACAGCTCTCAATCACTGTGTAATGAACATAACAAAATGTAGACATGCAGTTATTTTGACAAGCCTGGATGAAAAGTTATGCTTCCAGTCTTGGTTTATGATTAGTCTGTCACTTACATCACTCCCCCTTATTATCCATGCACCTATCATTCTCAGTTCCTAATGATCACAGGGGCGGAGATGGTCAGAGCTAAGACTTACAGAGTAGACATCAACAATTCCACAAATACCACTGAGCAAATGTCTGCCCTTAAAAACCAGGATCACCCCACAACAGAACATCATCTCATTATTTTAACACAGCACAGCTTTTCCTTGCTAAAATGCGTTTGGTCTGTAGGATGGATTGGTTTGGTTTGGTTTTGAATTGCAATATTTGCAGTTGGTGCCCAGCTCACAACTGGGTCTTCAAGCAGGCTCACTGCCCATCTCACCAACTGCTGCATTCTCTCATGGCTGCCAAGAGAAGAACATTTTGCTGTTTCAGCATTCCAGGAGAGCGTGCAGAAAACACAAACTCCAGGGCCTTATAAGTCAGGCTTCTTCACATGCTCTCAGTATGGACACAGCAAGCTTTAAATGCCTCACAATGGAGTTCAAGCTTTAAAATTTCTGGTTGGTGGCCAGAGGCCTGGTGAGCTAGAGATGCCTATGCTTCTCCTGGTGGTAGGTAGAGGAGACACTTCACCATTTGAAAAGTGAACTTCAGTTATCACCACCGTCTCTTTAGGATTTGCTAAGAGCAGCAGACACCTTGTTTGCCAGAATGTAAGAGCATGAGAGGTAACAGCCAGGGCAGGCTGTTCTCAGGACCCAGACAAGTCGGCTTTCTCTCCAGCCTTAGAGGCATTCTGTTGTTCTTCGAGATATCAGCCCATTTTCCATGGCCTCTCTCTCTTCAGTCCCTGGGTTGTTTCCTCTGAAACTGCCAGTGTGTAGAGGAGGCTGATAAAATGAGTTGTTTAAAGTGTCTACTAGACTCTTTGCTTTTACTTTAAACCTGGCTCACCTACCACCGACCACCCACCATGCGGCCAGCAGTCGACTAAAGGAAGCCACTGTTCACCAATCACCTTTGACCTGCTGGCCTTAATCCCCGCTCCATTCCACTTCTCCAGGCTCTGACCACTTAGTCTTAAACTTCCCTTCCTTTTCCTGTTGGCCCCAAGATTTCATCACTGAGTTTAATCTCTTCCTCATGACCTGTCACCTTCTCTAGCACACGGTTTATGTTCTCCATCTCTCTCCTCCTCTCCTGATCTATTTGACTCTCCCATCTCTTTCCCATAGTGGTTTCCAGCCCACCTAATGAGTGACCCTTGAAGATAAATTCAGACATAAAGATGTTAAAAGATTTAACTTGCCAGCTCCATCAACCCTGAAAACTACATCTCCAGCCCTTCCTCCCTCCCATTTTCCTATATCTTTTGTGCCTGAAAGCCATATTAAAATCAAAGTTATCTTTCCTCTAAAACCAGATTTATTCTGGATGATTTCTCTCTTTCTGTTCTTAGTACCATCATTCTTCTGCTCACAGAAGAATGTGAGCTGTTCATCCATTCTCACAAAGGTCAGCATACCAGCCTCCTTTTCACTCGTTTTCAACCCAAGGACTTCACAAAAGCTGTTCCCTTTGCCTGGACAGTTCTTACTTTCCTTCATTCCTGCCTCACTCCAACTCATCCCTCAAGTTTCACTGTCAGTATCCCCAAAACCCTTCCTAATTGCTTATTACGCCAGTTTCCATTTCTCTGATAGCACGTATTACCATTATAACCTAAATCAAGCTTGTCCAACCCACGGCCCAGGATGGCTTTGAATGCGGCCTAACACAAATTTGTGAACTTTGTTTAAACATTATGAGGTGGTTTTTTTTCTTTTTTTTGTTTTTTTGCTCACTAGCTATCATTAGTGTATTTTATGTATGGCCCAAGACAATTCTTATTCTCCCAGTGTGGCCCAGGGAAGCCAAAAGATTGAACATCCGGATCTAAATATTGACTTGTGGAATTACATGTAGGATGTTGGTAAACCACACCTCCCAGTACAGTAGGCACGAGCCACATGACACTGTTGAGCACTTAACATGTAGCGAATCCAAACTGAGATGTATTATAAGTGCAAAACACATACAAAATTTTGAAGACTTAGTACAATAAAAAGAATGTAAACTATCTCAATAACTTTTACACTGATTACATGTCATAATACTTTAGCTATATTGTTAAATAAAATATGTTATTAAAATTAATTTTACCTGCTTCTTTTCGCTTTTAAAAATGTATTTCTAGAACATTTTAAGTTATAATATGCACTCCCATTATATTTCTACTGGACAGGGCTGTTGTAGACCTTAAGCCCCACGAGGACAAAGCCATTTTGTTCATGACTGTAATCACAGCTACATTAGCACAGGGCCTGGCACATAGTAACTGGATTGGGGACTATATTTTGAAAGAATAAGTTTTTCTAGACACCTGGGATTTAAATCTAGGATTCTCAGGCCAGGGATGGTGGCGAACACCTGTAACCCCAGCACTTTGTGAGGCCCGGGAGTTTGAGACCAGCCTGGACAACATGGCAAAACCCTATCTCTACAAAAAATTAAAAAATCAGCCAGGCATGGTGGCACACATCTGTAGTCCCAGCTACTTGGGAGGCTGAGGTGGGAGTATGACTTGAGCCTAGGAGGCGGAGGTTGCAGTAAGCCAAGATCACACCACTGCTCTCCAGCCTGGGCAACAGCGAGACCCTGTCTCAAAAAAGTAAAAGTAAATGAATAAATAAGTCTAGGATTCTACTTTTTAGAAAAAGAGTAACCAAGGATAAACCATTAAGATGAGGGAGTCAGCAGCTCCCCTCTCCAGCAGTTCGTGCTGTCTGCTTGCCATGGGCATCAGAGCTTCTCTCAGCCTGGGAGACTTCGTTGTGGGACAAGGTCTAAACAGGCTCAGACAGTTTGTCACTGGCTTACATTGATAGCATATCCATCTGAAAGTACTCAACAACTAGGTTTACCTTTCAAATTATGGACAATGCTGGAACAGAAAATAATAAAAGAATCTACATAGCAAGAAAGGATTTAAGGGCAATTCATTTGATCTAAGTCATTTTCACAAATATGATCTCATGAGTAATAGCTCATTTGCTTTTCTCAACCCTTAGTATCAGAAAATTCCTAACCTGAATTCATCATAAGGCAAAACATTTAACATGTGGGAAAACATTTAAATGTGGGAAAGAATAGAGTGTCTAAGAAGTCTAGTGATGTCCTGAAAGACCATTCTTCTTCCACATTATTTGGCTCACTCACATTCACAGACATGACCATCACTGTGAAGTGACTCAGCAATTTCAAGTATCTGTATTGCATTACACCAAGTTCCCATGGTTGGCATTAATAGCACATTGCTTGAGGAAGGAAGAAGCCAAGCTGTCCTGTGATCCTGAAGACTAATCCCACAAGAGAAGCACTGGTTAGTCACAGACAAGAGCACAGGGAATAGAAGCTGTTCAACCACATGTATCAGGTGACAACTGGAAGAGAGTTGCTGAGAGCTGGGATGCCGAGAAGGCAATCTAACACAAAGACTCTTAACACAAACATCCATTTCATCTGAAGCATCAACCACTCCTTACTTGGCAGTATCACTGCCTTCCCCAATGACAATAGGAACAAAAAACATCACTTTAATGAGGTTTACAGAGGCAGAGAAAGCTACCACTCCCTCTTTCTTTCCTCATGTTTCAAAATCCACAGAGCTGAGAGACAACCAGATGGTATAGCCTCAGAAGTGTCACAGTCAGCCTTAAGCTTTCTCAAGAACACAGAAATAGTACTGGGCTAGAAATGAGAAGTTGGGATTCCTATCCCTCCTATTAGGTATTAGTTTGAAAATCACTGAGTTGACATGCGTTAGGCCTGTTGTTCCCAGTGTTGCCTTGTGACTCTGCTCACAGCAAATGACTTAAACAGCAACAGCCATATGACAGGATACTCAGCTTCCCTGTGGCTGAGGCTCCTTTTGTTACAAGAAAGTCTTGGAGGAACACAAGATCCAACAGGATGCCTTCATGTCCATGAGATCTCACCAACCCTACATCTATCTTTCCCCACTTACCCAATAAGGATTCAAATATTTTAGAGTAAAATTAGAGAAAGGAAAAAAAAACTCAGGTTTTTTTTTTGTTTTTGTTTATTTTTTTAAAGATAGGGACATGTAAAAAGGGTACACGAGTCAAAGGCCCTAAGCAGGAACAGATTGAGCAACAAAACAAATAGTAGTATTGGATTTTAACCCATAGACTAAAATAAATACCCATAAGTCCACACTGAATAAGTAAATGAGTGAATAAATAAATTAGGGAGAAGAGACAGCTTTTCCTTACAGAAAAATTTCAGTTAATGAAAATAGAAGAAATAGGGAAATAGAAAACAGCAATTAGAATACCACAATAATAATTACTGCAGGCAAGATCCACAGTTAGATGCTAAAATTAATGGTCAGAAGGTTGAGGAGGAACAGATATTTTTAAAGTCTCAAAATATCTCTCCCAAGATATTTATAAATTTTAAAAGGGAAAATAGTAACCTTACAGAATAGAAACTCAAGAGATACCACCCTAACCAAGAGATCATGGCTAACAGCACCAGTAATAAGATACACTGACGGCCAGGCACAGTGGCTCAGCCTGTAATCCCAGCACTTTGGGAGACTGAGGTGGGCAGATCACGAGTTCAGGAGATCGAGACCATCCTGGCCAACATGGTGAAACCCTGTCTCTACTAAAATACAAAAAATTAGCCAGGTGTGGTGGTGAGCGCCTGTAGTCCCAGCTACTGGGGAGGCTGAGGCAGGGGAATCTCTTGAACTCAGTAGGTGGAGATTGCGGTGAGCCAAGATTGCACCATTGCACTCCAGCCTGGTGACAGAGCAAGACTCCATCTCAAAAAAAAAAAAGATATACTGACATCAAGAATCTCACGTTAGATGCACTGAGATCACTGATATTACTTCAGCTACAATGTAATTTTTTTTACCAAAAATATGGAACCTCAATCTCCTCACAAGAAAACATCAGACAAACCAAATAGAGGGACATTCTACAAAATATTTGACCAGTACTTTTCAGAAGTGTCAAGGTCATGAAAGAGAAGGAAGGACTGAGGAGCTGTCATGCATCACAGGAGATTAAGGAGATGACAAGTAAACAAGACGTGGGCTCCTGAACTGGATCACAGAACAGAAACAGAGCACTAGTGGAAAACTGGCGAAATCCAAAGAGTCAGTAGCTTAGCTGATATTATTGTATTGATATTAATTTTTTAGCATTGAAAATTGTACTATGGTTTTCTAGGATAGTAACAGAGAATCTGGGTGAAGAGTATACAGGAACTCTATATATCGGCAACTTTTATGCAAATCAAAAATCATTCCAATTAAAAAGTTTAAAAATGGAAATTAAAAATTTGAAGAGGCCAGGCGCGGTGGCTCACGCCTGTAATCTCAGCACTTTGGGAGGCCGAGGCAGGTGGATCACGAGGTCAGGAGATCGAGACCATCCTGGCTAACACGGTGAAACCCCATCTCTACTAAAAATACAAAAAATTAGCCAGGCGTGGTGGTGGGCGCCTGTAGTCCCAGCTACTCAGGAGGCTGAGGCAGGAGAATGGCGTGAACCCAGGAGGCGAAGCTTGCAGTGAGCTGAGATCGCACCACTGCACTCCAGCCTGGGCGACAGTGCAAGACTCCATCTCAAAAAAAAAAAAATTTTTTTTGAAGGAAGGTTGAATCCTAAAATTAAAAGTGGCAGAAGATATTAAAAATGTAAAAGACCAACATATTCAACTAAATAAAATTTCAAGGAAATAAGGAGTTCACAACAGAAAATAAATCAATGCACTGCTTCCTTCATTGAGAAAGTCTTGAATGAACAAAACATCAGGCAAATTAAACAGCATGTCTAGTGACCTAGTTGATTTACATTTTGACACAAACTTCTAATCGCCTCATAGACTAGTAACAGCTTGCAGACAGTCACAGGTCCATAGACCATACTTGAGTAGCACCATTGTAGACCATTATAAGGGCTTTGACTTGTATGTAGTGGGATAGGGAGTCTATTGGAGAGTTTTGAACCAAAGAATAATTTGATCTGACTTATATTTTAACAGAATCATTCTAACTCCTACTTTGAAAAACGCTGATGCTCCTGAGGTGGCAGGCGTATAAAAACAAAAACAAAAAAAGAAAAACGCTGATGAGTTGATGACTTGGACTACAGTTGGATACAGTGAAGATGGTGTGAGGTGGTTGGATTCTAGAAATATTTTGAAGCTAGAGTCAATAGAATATCCTGACAGGTTGAACAGGTAAGCGACGGAAAAAAAGGCGACGACAACATCAACATTTTGGCCATTGCAACTGGAAGGATGGATAAAGTTACTGTCGAGATGGAAAGACTTGGAGCAGGTATGGGGAGAAAGATAAGGAACTTGGTTCTGAATATGTAAAGTCTGAAATGCATATTAGACACCTGAGAGGAGATATCAAGTAGATAGTTGGACATAAGGGTCTGGAGTTCAGGAACTTATTCTAACACCCTTCCTTCTTCCCGATCCTCCAGCCTCTTCAGACCAGACCTAGATCTGCCCAAGTTATTTCTTGTAATTACTTATACCATGGAAAATCTTAAAACTATTGCTAGATGGAAATCACTAGGAGTCACTTTACGTTGATTATTCCTTTTAATCCTCACCATTTGGCCAAAGGTTAGACACTATTATCCCATTAAGGTAAGGAAACCAAGGCTTAGGGAAGACAAATAATTTTCTCAAGATCACATAGCCAGGAAGTAATAGAATGATTATTTAAAAACAATTCTGTCTACCCCAAGTTCCTGTCCTGTAGAATGCCTTGCTGTTCAACTGCTGGACAGTCTCCCTTGGGAATGTGGTCATGAAGACTCTTGTTCACACGGGCAGTTTGGCTGGGTTAGACCAGATGACTCTGAGAAGCTTCCTGGCTCTACAATTCTGGGTTTCTATAAAATCTGTTTTAAAGTGAGAATACGTTTTGAAATGTTTTATGTCTTCTTTTTCCCCCTGAAAAATCTCTATAGGAAGGAACCAGTTTCCAGTTCAAGAAAGGGAGTAGGTACTTCAAAATGATTAGAGCAATGGACAATTTCCCTTCCCAACCCAGCTCCAATCCATGGGCCTTTAAAATAAATTTAAAAAAAAATTCAGTGGTAAACCTATGGATTATATTTTTTTAAAAAATCCAATGATGTTATTACCACTACCTTCAGTAAACATATACAAACATCCTCAATTTTATCAGAAAGCAAAGACAAACATCCTCAATTTTATCAGAAAACAAAGACAAAAAGTGAAGACAGCTGCTATTTGAATAAAAATCATGAATTGCTGCAGGCACGTTCTTTAAAGCACTGTTTCCATATTCTTCTTCCCCCATGACCCTCCCAACAAGTAGCCCTTAATGACAGTTTCACTGTTTTTCACACCAAAAATGGCTTTCAAGTGTAGGAAAGTATCAGAAGGTCCCTGCTGGGCTGCCAGCTGGGCAAGTGTCACAGGCCACTGAACTCTAAAATGAGCTGTCTCTGTAACAAAGGGTCCCTTTCTCTTGGAACAACTTCAAGGAGATGGCACACTGCAGCCCTCCTCGCCCGTTTTGTATTCCAGTTTGATTAAACTGGGAATTGTTCTGTGCTCACCGCTGTTGAGAACACCAGGTGGTGGATTCTAGAGATAAAGGATTATATAGATCCTTTGTTAGAAACAGACGTCTCTATTGTCTGGCTTACAATATTTCAGCACAAATGCCAGGAGCTTCCCAGACTGCCTAACGGTTATGCACAGGAGACAATCAATAAATCCTATTCCCCACTCACGCAAGGCAAATGGGGGCTGCTGGTGGCTAAACATGGTCTAGCCACTGGCTAAAAATGAAAGAAAGTGAAAAATGAGTATTTACAATGAAAGAAGTGAAATGTGTCCAAGATGTAGCAACAGTTGATCTTCATAGAACCTGGATGTCAGGAAAAATGAGATGATTTCTCGTCTTAACCAGAAACTCCTTGTGGGACTGGCACCACGCTGGGTCAGCATTGTCTCCCCAGTCCCTCATGCAGGACATATTTGCTGAAGAGGTCTAATAATAAATGGAACAATGATAGCTAATGTTTATTAGAATCGTTATTTCTCACTATATTAGTTTTCTTTTGTTATTGTTGTGTTTTTGAGATGGGGTCTTGCTCTATTGCCCAATCTAGGGTTCAGTGGTCCAATCATAGCTCACTGTAACCCCAAACTCCTGGGCTCAGGCCATCCTCCTGCCTCAGCCTCCCGAGTGGCTGAAACTGCAGGTGTGTGCCACCACATCGGGCTAATTTATTTTTTAGTAGAGACAAGGGCTCACTATGTTGTTCAGGCTGGTCTCAAACTCCTGGCTTGAAGCATTCTGCCTTCCTCAGCCTCCCAAAATGCTAGGATTATAGGCGTGAGCTGCTGTGCCTGGCCCTTTTATTACTTTTCTATTGCTGTATAACCAATTACCACAAGCCTAGTGACTCAAAACAACACACAGTCATATCTCACCATTCTGTAGTTCTGAAGTCCAAGAAGACTTGACTGGATTTTCTGCTCAGAATCTCACAAGGCTGAAGTCAATGTGTCAGCCAGCTGGGCTCTTATGGGGAGGTTCTGAGAAGAATCGACTTCTAAGCTCATTCGCATTGTTAGCTGAATTTACTTCCTTGAGGCTGTAGAACTGAGTCTCCATTTCCTTGCTGGCTGTCAGCCGGGGTGTCTATCAGCTCCGAAGGTGTCTATTCCTTCTCACTTGGTGCCCTCTCCTCAAAGCCAGCAATGGCACATCAAGTCCTTCTCACACTTGGAAACTCCCGGACTTCCTCCTCTACCAGCCCCTGAAGAAAGCACTCTGCTTTTAAAGGGGCTCGTATGATTAGATTGGGCCCACCCAGAGAATCTCCTATTTTAACTCAATTGTGCCTGCATAACAAGGGGGAGTGATGTTTCATCATATTCCCAGGTTCTGGGGATTAGGGGAGAACATCTTTGAGGGGCATTTAAGGAATCTTGCATACTACAGTGGCAGACATTGTTCCAAGTGTTTCACATTTAATAATCCATCAATCCTCATAACAACCCTGTGCGGTAGGCTCTATTATCTTCCCCATTTTATAGATGAAGCACAGAGAGACCTTACTTGCCAAGGTCTCCCAGGCAGGGCCTGGATTTCGACTCAGGCAGGCTGGCTTCAGAGCCTTACCTCTTATCCACCATTGTACATTGCTATTCAATTAACTGTTTCTGGAATTATTGAATACATGAATAATTGAATTTGGTATGGGACTTGGAGACAGTGCTAAGGATGAGTAAATTCCTTAATTTGTATGGAAAATTTTGTGCATAAATTTTCTGCTAATTGTGAAGGGAGTCTGCAGAATCTCAAAGGCATAGGTCTTAGAGAAGTGCCTATACCTGAGAAATTCCTCCAATAAAATGCCTTCCCTTTTCAGACTTCAGCTGTTAGTGAGCAACAACACTAAACACAGAATTGCAAACATCTGAGACCAATGTGGAACTGTTGCAACTGCTTTTGACACTAGATAGTCTCTGCCCTCTGTCACTTTCCTCCTTGGCCATGGCCCAGGACAAATATTGACAGTCATGAGAACAAAGCCAATATGCTAATTTGGATTCTAGGAAAACAAGAAGAAAAATTAAAAGGGTCAAAAATTGAGCCAAAACAAATGCAAGAAAGGAGAATCACCAAAAACTGAAGTCATTTCGCAAGCCTGAAATTTATTTTACGTGCTGCTGTCTCTTTCTGTGAGTCCTGTTGTCTATTGCAGGGGTGTCCAATCTTTTGGCTTCCCTGGGCCACAGTAGAAGAAGAATTGTCTTGGGCCAAACACAAAATACACTAATGATAGCTGATGAACTAAAAAATAAAAATTGCAACAAAAATCTCAAAACGTTTTAGGAAAGTTTACGAATTTGTGTTGGGCCTCATTGAAAGCTGTCCTGGGCTGCCTGAGGCCCGTGGGCCACAGGCTGGACAAGCTTGTCCTATTGCTTATCTGGGGTATAGAAGAAACAACACTGGATTGAAACTCAGAAGACTTGAGTTCCAGGCCTGGCTCTGTTTCTTATGTGATCTTAAACAAGTCACTTAATTTTCTGGATCTTATTCATCCCATTTGTAAAATACAAATAATGCCTACCTCACAGAATTTTGGAAATAATTAAATATGATAGTGAATAGGTTGTGTTCCCTTTACAAATTGTAAAGTACAATACAAATGTTACATGACATTATTGCACCAGGTGACCAAGGGACTGATGGAAGGAAGGGATAGTGCATGCAGAGCCACCTGACAAAGAGGATACTTCTCCCAGTGTGATGATCTAAAATGAACATGGGCTTAGGAAGAAAGAGAGTAACATCAAGAAGCTATAGACTACCCGCTAGTCTTCTGAACATGCATTTTGCAAAATAAAATACACTTAAAGAGTAAAAAATAGTATTGATATCTTTATGGGAAAAAATGGAGGCAAAGAAAAATCATTTGCACAAGTTGCAGAGCTGAAAGTCCATTTTGGATATGCTGACTCTCAATACAGTGCTTGAAGCCAAACTTAAATGTATCCATTCTATGTCTAAAATGTCAGAGGAAAAAAATGGTCTGCTGGTTAAGAGAAGAAATTATGTTGTCTGAATAAATACCAAGACTCAGTTGCATCAAATTAGATGGAATACCAAAATGTTCATCCTCTTAAACCTCTACAGCTAAATGGTCAGCTGTGAGTATCAAGTCATGTGATACTGATTTTCCTTAAAACAGTCATATAATCTACATCTGAGAGGACAAAACAGTTCTCATGTGCAATATCTCTCATGACACTTTGATTCTGGCCTTGTGAGACCCTGAGCAGACAGCCTAGTCAAGTCAGCTCAGACTTCTGAACTCCAGGACTATGAGGGAATCAATGGGTGTGGTTTTAAGCCAATAAATTTGTAGTAATTTGTTACACAGCAGTTTGTCTCAACACTCCTTTTTTTTCCACATAGTAATCAAAATGCTTAAAGAAAGTCACCTTGAGAGCACATTAACGTAAAAGTAATGACTACAATTCATCAGCTTCTGGCAAACTCACCATTGCTAACCAGCAAGTTCTAAAAACCCAATGGGGGAGTGTACATGGCTTAAAGACAGGCAATCCAGAGTTCTCCAGTAACATCCCAACACCAATGACATTAACATGAATATAATAATTGTTGGGCAGTTAAGCTAATCAGCCTTGCAAAAACAATTCAAGCCTACAGACTGTCTTTATTGTCTGACAGAAATACTTAAAACACATTTCCAAAACAATCTGCAACAGCAAACAAAGCAGCTCAACAAGGTGGTTGCTTTGAGTTGACTTAGAAAGGGTCCTGATAGTCATGCTTCATGGAGAACTTCCTGAGAAATGGTACCACCCCCCAACACAGACACAGACACACAGACACACACACACACACACACACACACACACACACACACACTCCTCCTATCCAAGGTGACCACCTCAAGGGCAGAGACTGTGCCTTAACATCTTGTAATATTATCATACCAAGTGTTATGGATATTAATAAAGTTTAATGACACTTACTACCTTCATGTTTATGGCCCTTCGAATAATAAAGTCAAAAATTTCTATAAACATCCTTAATCTATGTAGCGACTTCCACCTAAGTTTAACATTGTAGACACTTTAATACTTGTGGATGTCAGTTAAAGTAGTTTTAAAGAAGAGATAAATCAGAGAGGTTAAAAGAGTGGGGAAAGGACTACCAAAAGAAAAAGTTACTGATTTGAACTAATTGAGGGCATGGAGTTTTCATGGAAAACAGAAAGGCTTTGGGGTTAACTTCGAGGGATACAAGATGATATGGTGAAAAGAGTATGCCCTAGAGATGCAAACTCTAGGGGTGATACTCTAGGTGCATACTCTAGGTTGTCCTCACAACTCATGAGCATCTTAACCAGAGGCAAGTCCTTACCTCCCTGAGATTCAGTTTCCTCCCCTATAAAGTAACAATAATAATAAATGAGTGTGGTTGTGAGAATTCCCTAAGAGAACATAAATGGAGGGCATCACACAATGCCAAGCACACAGTTGGCGTTCAGCATATTTAAGCCATTTCTTTCTGCTCATCATGATATACAAAGATTCCATCTCCCTCTTTCTGTGCCCCATCCTCTTCAGCATTGACAAAAAATGTGACCCACCAAGTGAGCAGAGTAATATAACGATATCACTCACCAGAAAAAAAAAATAGATACTTCTCTGTACATACAAATGCCAGGAAAACGGTAAGTAAATGATGGTTTAAAACCTGGCTTTATCTCATGTACTAGTTGGGAAACTTTTGGCAAGTTATTTAACCTCTTTGTACCTCAGTTTCTTCTTCTGTAGAATGGAGATAAGAACTATGTTTATCTCATAGAGTTTGTATGAGAACTAAATGAGCCAATAGATGTAAAATACATCCTTACGACAGTGCTTAGTACAAGGTCAACACTGGTAGTCAACATTAGCTATTATTGTTAACTATTATTGTTACTCACAATAGCCTTGTATGTGCAGTACCTAAAAGAGAATGAAGAAAGAAGGCTGGTTTCTGCCATGAGGCAAAACTGCAGAAAAGGTGTGGCAGCAACAGCAGATTATGCTGCAGGAGGGAGGAGCCAGCAAACAATGGAAAAATGAGCTATGGAAAGAATGGTAATAAACACCTGTATAATGTTCATTATGTGGCAGGCACTGCTAAGTATTTTATATATATTAACTTATTCAATTCTCCTAACAATCTCTTAAGGTTTTGACTCATTTAATCCTTGAAACAAGCCTAAGAGGCAGACACAGTAATTATTCTATTTTTCAGATGAGAAAACAGAAGAACAGAGAGGTTAAATAACCTGACTGGAGTCACACAGGAAGTGGTAGAATCAGGATTTAATCACAGACAATCTGGCTCCAGTGTCTGGGCTCTGAACCACATCATTAATGTAGACTATTGGCTGCAAGGTAGACTCACTGACACACTCACCCCCTATTCCGTCAGAGATAGAAACAGGTCTGGGTTTTTTTCAGTGTGAGAAATGAGAGTTCAAGCCATTTTTTAAAGAATGGTCAAATAAAGCCAGATGACTTGAGAGCATCCAAACTAGAGACATTGTGGGGAGAGAAAAACAGGTTGAGATGGGTAGGTTGACAAGAGGATTTCCTGGAGGAATCAAATAAGTAAAATTATTAATTGTTGCAAAAATTAGTATAAAACTTATATACTATAAAATTGTATTTAATTATTTTTTAAAGTGATGGAGTACATGTAAAACTTAGTTTTCTAGCTTTGCAGCCTATAGTAGTCCGATTTCTTACTGCTATAAAGAACTGCTGGAGTCTGGGTAGTTTATAAAGGAAAGAGGTTTAATTGACTCACTGTTCAGTATGGCGGCAGGAAGGAGAATGAACATAGGAGGAACTACCAACACTTATAAAACCGTCAGATCCTGTAAGAACTCACTCACTGTCACGAGAATAGGAAAACTGCCCCCATGATTCAATTATTTCCACCTGGTCTCTCCTGTGATACGTGGGGATTGTGGGGATTATAATTCAAGATGAGATTTGGGTGGAGACACAAAGCCTAACCATATCACAGCCTAACTTTCTTCGCGAAATTAGACTTAATCTTAAAATAGGAAGACAAATTCCCAATTTAATTTTCATCCCTAGAGAAGAGCCAGCTGACCCCAGGGAACACTCAACCCCATGGGATCAGGCCACACCCCTCGACACCCTCCCTAGGGAGCCTTACATAAAAGCACCAACAGCTATGGCAGCTGGGATGGGAGTGGGAAATATTCACTTCTACCATAGCTTCCCAACTATTCACCTGCTCCTAGATTCATGCCCATCCACAATCATCCTCCCCAAAACCTCCAGTCATATTTCTAAAAGACAATTCTGATTCTCTTCCTCTATTGCCAGAAATCTTTCAAAGATTTGCTATCAACTATGGGAAACGAGTCAAAATCTTCAGCATGGACAACAATGTCCTCCCTAAGCAAACCCCCGTGGAAAGCTCATCTTTCCCATCCCTGGTGCCGGGTGCCGTGTGGTGGTCTGGAAGATGGAAAGGCATGCTCGCTGCATCAGCAAAATTCTTTGCATATTATGATGTCTGTTAACCAGCTTCCTAGTCTTAATTTATGGAGGCTTTTGTAGAGGGGCTCAAAAGATTCCAATGGGGATTCACTGGGCAGGGAAAAAAAAAGCATAGAGTATGTATTAAATCATAAAACACACATTTGCGAAAGTTGTCCTAAAGCTTTCCCAAGTCAGAATCTATAAATTCCCTTACAGTCATTTATTATACATTAGGGAACACATCTTTTTCCAATGTAAAGATGTAAAAAGTAAACATTAACTCCCCTTTTTTTTAAGTTCAGGCCTTTTAAAATTTAATTCTAAGTATTCGCCTTTTTGAATTCTGGTGAACTCGGCAGTGGTGGGGGCTAATCTCATTTAGAACAGCTGTCTTTTCCTAGACTAAGGCAATCAAAAAGGAAAATCTCAATTGAAAATGAACCAAGAAATGTCTACATTGTTGGTGGGGCAAAAGATGACTAACCTACTAGTGGGCTTCATTATCACTGGGAACCCGGGTCCAAAAACAAAACAAAACAAAAACCAACATAGGGCTTAGTGCAAACACTGTTCTGGGAGTTAAGATTAATATTTAATATATAACAATGATTCATGGAAACTTATTTGTATTATTTGATAGATACCTTCCTGGGCAAAAAGAGTCACTCCAGGTTGTTCTAAGTTACAAACTCCCTGAAAACTCAGAAGATGCTAATTTCATTTACTGAATATTAACTAACACTAAACTTGTTTGGAACTATATTTAGTACAGTAGTGAGACCACAGGCACCAACCAGCAAAGCATATGAATTTTCCTTTCAGCTTCTCAGCCTTGGCAGCGCAGAGTGTTAGAGCAGCGAGAAAGGCCTCTTGCTTCACCTGAAGAATCTATCAAGAAATTTTATGACAAGCCTCAGAAGTGACATTTTGCACCTTCTCCCTGTGGCACTGAGCCATTTCACACTGGCTGGAGAAAACAGTGTGCCTGTTAACAACATTTTTCAAGGAAAAATTAGAAATCAACTCCAAAGCAACCGTAAATAGTACCCGTCTACCACAATTACTGTGCCTCCAACCGACACATAGTTCTCAGGCACATAAAGGTAACAAAAATAAACTTAAAAAAGGAAAGAGGGGCCAGGTGTGGTGGCTCACACCTCTAATCCCAACACTTTGGAAGGCTGAGGTGAGAGGATCACCTACGCCCAGGAGTGTGAGACCAGCCTGAGCAGCATAGCAAGACCTTGTCTGTAATAAAAAATAAAATTTTTAAATGTGTTTAGAAAAAGGAAAAAGGAAGTAAAATGAGTTATAATGAAGTGCTCTTTCTCTGTAGATGCTAATCTTATAATAAAGCCAACTGGGGAATTCCATTTTTAATTAATATTATCGAAGACTTTTTAAGACAGAGAAAATAACACTTTTACTGAATATCCAGTTTTGGGTACACTTTTCATTTATCCATTCATTTTAAGTTCCAGAAAGGTAGGAATTTTTGCTGTTTTGTTCACTGCTGCATCCCTAGCTCCTGGAACAGTACCTGGCACAAGGTAAGAACTCCATAAATATTAGTTGAATAAATTCATTCATCAAATACATATCGAGTGCCTATGCTGTATCAGGCTGGGTGATAGGCCCAGGGATATAAAGAGTTGCTCACAGTCTGTAGAGTATATCCCTCCGAGCTCCAAATTCATATATCTAAATGCTTCCTTGAAATATCTAACAGGATTCTCAAATTTGACATGGCCAAGACAGAACTTTTTCTGCAACTACTCACCTGCTTCTTGCTTCAAATCATTCCTACCCTTGATAGGTGGAAAATAATTACACCAGGACTTCTGATCACCTGATGCAAATATATACCAATTAAGCACTGGTGTAAGGTTTCCTATTAAGTAGGTATTGTGCTAGACACAATCCTAACTGATATATCATTCAAAGGGTAGACAGAAGAGAGGCAAGGAAGAAAACACATTTTAAAAGGGCTTTCAAAGGTAGTAAGAGGAACAGGGAAGCAGATTAGATAGGAAGGTCAACTTGAGACCAAGGGACCACCACCATGTGGTCAAACAAAATGAGAACATGATAAAAAGTGATTTTACTTGGCAGTTAGATGTCAGTTCCAACAGGAGTGAAAAAGAAGAAAAGGAGATTAACGTATTTCCATTATTCTATCTAGAGAGATTTATATGTTTTATTGACTATTAAATCTGTATATTCTTAAAACTTCTTTGCTTAGCTTTACTTAAATGGCAGGAGAATCATGTACTAACATATTCCAGCTATCATGGCAAAGAAGACCTGTGGAACCTGAGTTAACCTCTAGAAGGAGGAGGCAAAATCAGTTGGTATGACTGCTGTCACCAGTATCCCCCTGACTACAACCAGACTAATAGATTCTCAACGGCAATGAAAGAGTCTATAAAAGAGAAGGAGAAAAGAAGGAAGAAGAGGGGGTGAGGGGAGAGAAGGAAGGAAAGAAGAAAGTGAGGAGATCTAGAGGGAGCGACACAATGCCATTTGTGTTACAATAGACAGTGGACACGCTAGAAGACAGCAAGGGAAGACTTCTCAGCAGAAGTTGCTCATAAACTGAGATCTACAGACAGCATAATTAACCAGAAAATAATGTGAGGAAATGCTCCAGGCTGGGCCAGGAAGGACCACGGAAAGTACATGAAGCATGACTTAATCATCTTAAACATCTCTCTCAAGGTTCCTTTCCATCCTTGTGCTTGAACTTAACAGGTAACCTACTATTTTGAGTTATGCTGATTTGGTTTGTCTGGTAATTTGAAACACTGCCCATCATCCAAAGTCATTAACTGGATTTTACCAGTGGGCACTTAGGTCCCAGCTAATACCCCAGTTCCCAAAGCAAGGGTCTGGGAACTGTTATAGTAACATATGATAGTAACATGTTACTATCATAATATTTAGTATCTTTTACTGAAGAATACCAGTGAACCCCGCAAAGAGAAAACTCTGAAATCATTCTAGTCATTTATTTGGATATTGATGTGCAGCCTTTCACACATCACCAAATCAGAACACAACAGGGTTTGGTGGCAGCCCCCATATACTCACTGTATAATGCCAAGGAAAGCATCCAAAATAGCCTGGATTTAAGAATAAAAATCTTTGTCTCTAATATAGAACCAAAAAATGACAAGCATAAGAAAAAGTTTCCTTTTCCACCTTGTGTTTACTCATCCTGTTCAAAAAATTGTTAGTGATTAGCGCAATATGAAAGCTACTTTTGGTACTTTGGGTTCTCAGCCATTTACTCCCTGGTAATAGCCAAAGAGGTGGGGGAGGGGAGGAATTTGATCAAGATTTGTAAAAATCCCCCTGTAACCTAATATTGAAAACTTTAAAGAGCCTTTCTGAAATTACTATTACTAAAATATTCACAGCAGCCAAGCCTTCTGTCAAAATCCTTAGACCCTGCTAAGTCAATGTAAGGGATGAAATCAATTACACAGGCTTAATTTGCAAAGAGAGAAAATTTAAACATCTAAATTGGGATTACTTAGTTTCACAAGATATATCCAGTTACTAAAGTTTCTATGAGCCTTGCATAGAGTAAGTCCCCAAATATTTGTTTAATGAGTTAACTAGTGAATGAGAATCAATGAATAAAAGTGAAGGAGGGAAGGAAATTCAGCTACAAGAATTAGCGATGTATAAATATGCTTTGAGTATTAGACATTAAATACAGTTTACATCCCTATCAGTATCCAAGTAACTGATGAGAGATGCCTGATATAAAATGAGCTATCAACTGAATGAGACTATTAAGAAAGCAAGTGACTGGAAACCAGGTTGTAGCACACAAGTCTTCCTTCTTCCTTATCTTCATGCTCTTACCTTCTAATTGTTTTTTTCCCCTCTTCTCCAATCTCACTTCTATAATCTCTGGTCCCCAGTATTTCTTTTAAAGTATCCAAAGAGGTAAAGACTCTTTATTCCCTTTCTGCTAGCAACACTCACACCTTAAGCTGGATGAGTCTGTTCAATTGTTCATTCATTGTTTAGTTGGCTCAACAGCAAGTGATTGAGCTGGGACTCAAGTACTGTTCTTGGGCTAGGGTCAAAAACAACCAAAAAACATACTTGGTCCCTACCCTTAGGCTGCTTAGAGTCTTTGCGGGGACATAGGTGAGTAAAGGACCAATTACATTACAAATACAGGTATATTTGGAACTCTGGGAAAACACAGCCTAATGTTAGAATTTATAATCTAGTTGCGGAGGAAGGACATTTGAAATGTAAAGGAAATGAGTGTTGGTTAATGGTTCAAGAGAACCACTATATATTAGTGGTTAGAGGGATATTGGCAAAAGGAGGTAAGATCTAAGATGGAATCTGGAGATGAGAAAGCATTAGCCAGGTGGGAATATAGGGGAAAGATAAGGGAAATGTAGGAAGAGTAAATAGAGCTAAATCTGCATGTGAAGGACCGGAGCTGATGGATTAGTATTTTGAGGGAATCTGTCTGGATAAGGCCTGTGCTTTACATCAAACAAAGCAAACTCACCACTTTGTTAAGCACATTCTCACTGTGCTTGTCTGTCTCCTCACCAATGGCCACATGGGAATATCCTTCCCATCTTGCCCCCATCCCACCCTTCCTTTAAGGCATAACTTTGCAATTCATCATGTGCTGTCTTAAACCTTACATTTCTGTGGCTCTTTTTAGTGTTCACATATGTGCTTTGTCAATGCTTGTGATATCTGTACTGTTTCAAATGACCCTTCTCTTCCACTAATAGATTGTAAGTAGTTCCTTAAGAACAGGATGATCTTAAAACAACCTGATTGACATAGAATTGTCTTTGTCTTTGTTCCTGGTACAGTACTTTCCAAGAGCAAATACTTACTATTTATTAATTGTTTAGTAACACAGTTTAGGTAAGCAAAAATAACAAAATTACTACCCAAAACTACCTAGTCATCCAGGTTCTGGACTATTCTCAAGGGAGAAATGGAAAAAACTAATTTTTCTTGGTGTCACTTCCAGTGGATCTATGTAGGGATTCACTGTGATGAGAAAGTAAACAGGTGGTTCTGTTCCATAAACAATACACATTTGGACTAAGCAAAAATAACAAAATTACTACCCAAAACTACCTAGTCATCCAGGTTCTGGACTATTCTCAAGGGAGAAATGGAAAAAACTAATTTTTCTTGGTGTCACTTCCAGTGGATCTATGTAGGGATTCACTGTGATGAGAAAGTAAACAGGTGGTTCTGTTCCATAAACAATACACATTTGGACTAGGGGTCCACATTGTTAGATTAGTATGACACTAAAACCATTTTTACTTAAGAATAATTCGGGGTTGGGGTCAAGTGTTTATCCTCTTTGTTGAGATGCTGGTGACACCTAAATCTCCAGTACACCTGCAAATTCCAGAGGAAAGGAGGATTCTCTTCTATGACCAGTTGAAGAGAGAGATATACTTGGGACATGTGGCAGTAAATTTTCAAAAGATTGATGCCCAGAAATTGCAAGCAAAATTTCTAGTCATAATAAAATGATACATGTAGCCAGCTCTCTTAGATAAGTTTTTGAGTCAAAAACAAAATTAAGATGGAACTTTGAGAAAGATTATTTTTCTTGAGGCAGCATCAGAGGACTTTGTACATTTCTTCAGTTCACTGGTTTACAAAGTTGTGGATGCATGTAGTTCAAAAGAAGTTCCAGTATTCTGTAAGAAATGCTCAATGGCCAAAATACCCATTCCATGGCTCATAGGTATCCTTTTATGAAACAGAAATTTCCACTTAAAGTAAAAATTATATTATCATACTTATACGGACAGGAGACGGAAATACTGGGTAGAAGAAGGTAGTTCCCCAGCAAAGGCCCTATCCTCAAGCCTGAAGACCTGCGACCCTAAGTGAGGACAGGCATTTCTGTTTTCAGGCCCAAAAAGTTGCCTTTTGGCCCATCATGTCCCCCATCCTGCCCCTATATAAACCCGAGACACAAGCAGCTGAACGTCAGGACCAGCAGACCAGTGGCAGCGGAACAACGTGGCAGAGAAAGAGAGAAGAGGAGGGATGTCTGAATGCTGAGGGAAGTTCAGCTGGGGGCGGTCAGAGAAGAGTCTGGCCACTGGGTGGCCCAACTCCAGGGGAAGACAACCCTCCCACTCCATCCTCGCCTTCCAGTTCCCCATCTGTCTCACTGAGAGCCACCTCTATCACTCAATAAAACCTTGCACTCATCCTTTGAGCCCACGTGTGACCCAATTCTTCTGGTACACTGGGCAAGAACTTGGGATACAGAAGGCTGTCACACTGGTCCTCTGCCCTTGCTATAAGGTAGCGGATCCATTGAGCTGATGAACACACAAGCCATCTGCAGGTGGCAAATCTAAAAGAGCTTGGTAACACATGCTCACCTGGGCTTCAGGATTCGCAGACATCCACCCATAGATGCTGCTGTGGGGCTGGAGCCCAAAAGTGCTCACACCGGCCTCTGTACCTGCCTGTCTGCGTGCTCCCCCTAGGAGTTTGAGCTGTGGGGCAACCAAGCAGATGACACACCCCTGTAGCACATCCTACGAGGAGAATCAGGGAACTCTCCGTTTCAATACCAGCATACCAGTGCTGATTAAGTGATAGGCTTCAAATGCGTTTCCACATTTGGGGACTATCTAGCAGGATCAGCTCCTACAGATGATCATTGGCATTTGCCTGATAAGACAAGGTATGTATTTTGCCATTTAGGGCTTTGCAGACTGTGTTATAAAGGAAGCTTAGACTCTCTTGCAGTATTCACTATTCTTAATATATTGTCTCTGAGAGGCTTGTAATTTTTTTACTAACTCAACAAATATTTATTAAGCACCTATCATGTTCCAAGTGCTGAGCTGTGGCAAAGGTGATTCCATTCTGGCCTTGCCTTCCAGGAACTAACAATCCAGTGGTGGAGGCAAACAAGTAAAACAGATAATTTTGCTAAATAGTGGTAAGTGCCATAATAGAAGTAGGGAGAGAATACAGTGGGTTCAAGAGAAGCAAAGAAGATTATTAATCATTCTGCGAAATGTTAGACTACAAAAACGGATATCAGCAACTGATGTTATTGAAAACATTCTTCAATTGCTTTCTTGATAAACACTTAACTATCAGCAACTTTACTTAGTGATTAATCCCTTGATCAATCACAAGACCTAAAAAGATTTTTTTAATAGAGTAGGACAAACTTCACCACTCCCAGGTAACCCGTCCACCTACAATTCAAAATGTGGTTCAACCCCAGTTTGACTCAGAGGGATCAAGGTCACTCAAAATACCCCAGAGATGCCCAGGTGACCACTGGTCACCTTTAATCAGAAAAGCAAGAGAAGACCTTGTCAACTCCAAAAGCAACCTAAAACACAGCTGGAATTCTCTGCACTCCCAAGGCCACCCAAATTTACCTTCTTACCTTTCCAGGGCATAATTGCCTAAACAGTCTCCCATCCTCTCATTGATGGCCCTCTAGCCATAAAGTTAACATTCCCCAAATGTGCTCAAAACTCCTAACCATGTATCTCTTATGCACAGAATATTGCATATAATGAGAGCTCACTTACACTTGTACAATAAATGAATGAATGAGTTTTTCTACTTTTATCCACTTTATCAGGCTTTTCTCTCTATGTCAAATGGTATTTCCATGTCTCCCTCTCCTTCCTCTCCCACTACAAATCCCTGCCCCCCTCCTTTATATCATCTGTTAAGCAATATTTGAAGGGAGATGGCATAATAGGAAGAACAAGGATTCTGCAATTAGACATCTCTGATTCAAACCCTGAAAATATTACCTTATCAAGTCACTCAACATCTATGACTCCCAGTTCTCCACCTGTAAAATCAGAATAATGCCCCCTAATATATAGTATTGTTGTGAGAGAAAACAGATATGTCTAAAGTTCATGCTATGCTTTTGTGTCAAGCCCCTACTCCGTGTGCAATCAATGCTAATTTCTTTCCTTTTCTCAGGACCCAACTTAAATTCCTGCTCTTCTGAGAAGCCTGTCTGCTTACCCACTTAGAATTTATCTCTGCTGTAGCATGGGAGCACTTCCCCAGTCTCTGAATGCCTCCATGGGGAAACAAATCTACAGCTGAGAAACTTTAGACATTATAGAGAAAACAGGATAGGAAACTGAGGGCATTGTTAAGCCTGAACTGTTTTAATTTCGGTAAAATAAAACCATAACCCAACTTGCTAAATAAAAACACTATCAATGATATTTATGGATCTTAAATGAGCAATTATGCCTACTGTAGTATTATTTTTCGTTTACCACTCCCTGCTCATTAGAAGATTTCTAAAGAATTCCTTGCCTTGTAATTTATAAAGCTGCTTGTAAATTAATTTCAGTTTGAGGTAAATAATCCACATACTGCCAGAAGCTGTGTTTTATCTACAGCCAAATGTCCGATGCCTATCTGATTTTATGGCTCCCATTATCATCTCCTGCGTCTCAAGTTCCAACATGGTCTCCAAAATGAGGAAGCACATAGGGCTTAAGAGGAAAAACAGCTTTAAATAGGCTCTAATAAAGCACTGTATGTTGCTAATGAGCAGTGTACAAACCCCCACTTCTCAGTGCTCAGGATGATGCAGTTTTCTTTAGTCCACGATAACCTCAGGCTTTAAGATTTCCTGACCTCCAATGCCCAAGGCTGCAGCCTGAAAATTGAACTTTTTTCAGCCTCCTTTATCAACTTCTTCCAGCTTCATGGACAAAAACACTAGTCCTTGCGAAATCATGCTTTTTGTTTTTTCCTTCTTCTTTACACTGTCTGATGTCAAATTAATGTTTCTTGATTGAGGCCCCACAAGAGTCACCTCAATTGGGTGGAATCACTAGAGGAGAGAAGTGCTTCCAGGTACCCCAAAGTCTCCTCTCCCTTAACCGATCTTTCACTGAGAGACATGGTCCTCTTTCTGAGGACACCAATAAAAATGTGATACAAAAGAATTTAAAAAATACAATTCTGGATCGAAGCATTAACTACTCTGTGCAGTATTCTGCTTTCTGACAGAGAACAACAAAGACCATTTTGTAAAAGGCATCTACAGCTGCCCACCACAATCCTTACTGCCTTTTAGTGAACTTATATGGGACCATCGTTCACTAATGTTTCACTTGCCTGTGGACCAGTTCATGCCATCCAGGCAGAAATTTCTATAGATTTTTCTGTACTTTCTCCAATGAACACAAAAAGTAACTTTTCATGTCAAGATTTATCCTCTTCTTCTGAATCATTCAACAAACACTTATTGAGTTCTGAGATACTGCAGTGAGCAAGATAGACAATGTCTTTTTTCTCATTGTGCTTAAATGTTAGGGTAGGACATGGACAACAAACAAGTACAGTTAGCCCTCCAATTCTATGGGTTCCTTATCCTTGGATTTAACCAAGCTCAGATCAAAAATATTCAGAAAAAAAATGGATGGTTTCATCTATAACGATCATGCACAGACTGTTTTGTCATTATTTCCCAAACAATGGAGTATAACAATTATTTACACAACATTTACATCGTATTAGGTGTGATAAGTAATCTAGAGATAATTGCAAGTGTGCCAGAGGATGTGTGTAGGTTATGTGCCAGCACTCCACCGGTTTATATGAGGGACTTGAGTATCTGTGGATTTTGGTATCCTAGGGGGATCCCGGAACCAATCTCCCGCAGATACTAGGATACTGAGGGATGGCTATAAGCACTTAATTGCAGATAATGATAAGTGCTGTGAAGAAAATTAGGCAGGATGATGTGTGTGTGAGAGAGAGTGTGAAGTGGGTATACTTAGTACAGATGAGGTCATCAAGGAAGGCCTCTCTGAAGAGGTGACATTTAGCTGAGACCTGAATAGTGAGAAGCAAGCATGCACATTCCAGACAGGAAATAGTGAATGGGAAGTCTTCAGGTAGGAACAAGACCAAGAAACTCCTGCCCCTGGGAGAGCTCACTGTCATGTGTGCTTCTTCATGACTTTATAAACTTTAGACATAAATCCTGTTAACCTTAATCTTTGTGGACAAAATAATGCAAATCACATCTATGAGTTTCTAGCCCTCTTGGTTCTTTCTGGTGCACTCCTACCAGGGCGAGCTGCAGACGTCCAGGAATACTTGTTGATGATTAACACCCACAGATGATGAAAAACAGATTTTGCTGGTTGATCAGCCATAAAATTCTAAGGAAGGCTGCAGGAGATTTAGCACAATCCTTAGGTAGCTGGGCCATTCATTTCTGTATAACTATTACCTTACCCAATCCCTCACGCCATCTCACCCGTCCCCAGGAACATAATAGCTGTGCTGAGTAATAACCTTTCTTAATCTGTGGGAAGTCAATAGTTAACAACTGAGGATTGTCTTTCACATTGCTTTATGTTGAAATACACCTAAGACTCTCAGATGTCATTTAGGAAAAGCTCTAAAACTTAACCTGATAAGGAGATAATTTACAAAAAGATAAGCTTTGATATTCCTGATGAGGCTGTACTCTAGGCTTACAAAGCATTGGAAACAGTTATGAGTACAAACATACGGTTAGATAAAGAAATAAGTTCTGTTTGACAACAGATAGTGTGACTATACTTAGCCACAATGTTATGTATATTTCAAAGTAACTAGAAGAGAGGACTTGAAATGATACCAGTACATAAAAATGATACTCACTCAAGGTAATGGATACCCCAATTACCCTGATTTGATTGTTACACACTCTTTGCATGTAGAAAACACTCACAGTACCCCACAAATATGTAAATTATTGTATATCAATAAAAGGAAAAATAACCATAAAACAAAAGTACATCATATTCCATATTAGTGATATTACTTCCTCATATTAAGAATGGATATGTTTTCTTTACATTCAATTCATTCATTATTCACACAGATGAATTCATCAGGCCTGAAATACACCAGTGTCTTAGACTTTTTTCCCTAATCCAGTATAAACTGCCACATTCCCAAGGTTATGGGAGCTGCCTCAGTGGTATCACCCTTGCTAACACTAGAGTGTGATATTTTCTTCCATTCACACCTTCACTCATTGGTCCACATACCTCTGGAGAATGATAAGATCTCTTTTACTTATATGTTTACAGAAAACTATCATAGCCTCTTACTGAAGAAATCTTTTAAAATACCCTGAAAGTCTGTGCTGCCCTAAATTGATGCAATCTATCCTTTCTGTCCTGAAGCCTAAGCTAGTGTTCAGTCCTGGAGACATTTTACTTTTATGATGACATAATTAAGTGCCAAACATAGTCAAGAGACCTAATTCCAGTCCTAGATTCATTTCTTCACTCAACAAGCACTTATTATATATATATACTATGCATCAGACTTTGCACCACTGATAGGTTTTTTTCACTTTGGGTAAGTAACTAAATTGCTTTATCCCCCAGCTTTCTTACCTGTACATAGTTCTATAAAAGGTCATTTACAAGATAATCTCTAAGGTCTTTTGCAGTTTTAAATACCTTTACTTCTAAGTCCAATTCTAATCTCCATATTGTTTCTGAATCATACTTGTTTCAAAGTAAACTGAGTTTGTCTCATAGAAATTTCCCATTAAAATAAAGATCAGTACTGGTTATTTCTCCTAAAGCATTAATATAATTTCTCTGGTTGGGAGCAAAATATGTAACAATATTTCTGGAATTCAGATGAATATTTGCAAGAATGTTCAATGAAGAAATCATACTTTATATATATGTACATACATACACACACACATACACATACTCAGCAGCCATCCATATTCACGAGTTCCACATCTGTGGATCTGGAGGGCCAACTAAGAAACTTGTACATCCTGGGATTTTGATATCCTGGGATTTTGATATCCTGGCAATAGGGGGTCCTGGAACCAATTCTCTGAGGATATGGAAGGCTCCACTGTATATATATTCACAAGAGTTAGAAAACAATAATATGTTACAAATGTCTCAGAACCAGTTTCCCTAAGCAAAAAGAGAAGTATATAAAAATAGATATATTTTGCTGGTCATATTGTATATTCTTTCTCAAGACTAATTTAACAATATGTAACCAAGATCATAAGACTGGTTGTGTAGATTAATTACAATAATAATCTTAATTCTTCATTTCACCATATCTTTTTTTTTTTGGTCATGGTGTAATATATTTTCTTTTTTTTTTTTTTAATTTTAGTTTAAGTTCTGGGATACATGTGCTGAACGTGCAGGTTTGTTACATAGGTATGCATGTGCCATGGTGGTTTGCTGCACCTATCAACCCATCATCTAGGTCTTAAGCCCCACATGCATTACGTATTTGTCCTAATGCTTTCCCTCCCTTGCCCCCACCCCCTGACAGGCCCCAGTGTGTGATGTTGCCCTCCCTGTGTCCATGTGTTCTCATTGTTCAACTCCCACTTATGAGTGAGAACATGCATGTTTGGTTTTCTGTTCCTGTGTGAGTTTGCTGAGGATAATGTTTTCCAGCTTCATCCATGTCCTTCCAAAAGACATTCTTTTTTATGGCTGCATAGTATTCCATGGTGTATATGTGCCACATTTTCTTAATCCAGTCTATCATTAATGGACACTTGGGTTGGTTCCGAGTCTTTGCTATTGTGAATAGTGCTGCAATAAACATACGCGTGCATGTGTCTTTATAGTAGAATGATTTATAATCCTTTGGGTATATACCCAGTAATGGGATTGCTGGGTCAAATGGTATTTCTGGTTCTAGATCCTTGAGGAATAGCCACGCTGCCTTCCATAATGGTTGAACTAATTTACACTCCCACCAATAGTGTCAAAGTGTTCCTATTCCTCCGCATCCTCGCCAGCATCTGTTGTTTCCTGACTTTTTAATAATTGCTACTCCTACTGGCGTGAGATGATATCTCATTGTGGTTTTGATGTGCATTTCTCTAATGACCAGTGATGATGAGCTTCTTTTCATGTTTGTTGGCCACATAAATGTCTTCTTTTGAGAAGTGTCTGTTCATATCCTTTGCCCACTTTTTGATGGGGTTGTTTGTTTTTCTTATAAATTTGTTTAAGTTCCTTGTAGATTCTGAATATTAGATCTTTGTCAGATGGATAGACTGCAAAAATTTTCTCCCATTCTGAGGGTTGCCTGTTCACTCTGATGATGGTTTCTTTTGCTGTGCAGAAGCTCTTTAGTTTAATTATGTCCCATTTGTCAATTTTGGCTTTTGTTGCCATTGCTTTTGGTGTTTTAGTCATGAAGTCTTTGCCCATGCCTATGTCCTGAATGGTATTACTTAGGTTTTCTTCTAGGATTTTTATGGTTTTAGGTTTTATGTTTAAGTCTTAATCCATCTCAAGTTAATTTCTGTATAAGGTGTAAGGAAGGGGTCCAGTTTCAGCTTTCTGCATATGGCTAGCCAGTTTTCCCAGCACCATTTGTTAAATAGGGAATCCTTTCCCCATTGCTTGTTTTGGTCAGGTTTGTCGAAGATCAGATGGTTGTAGATGTGTGGCGTTATTTCTGAGGTCTCTGTTCTGTTCCATTGGTCTATATATCTGTTTTGGTAACAGTACCAGGCTGTTTTGGTTACTGTAGCCTTGTAGTATAGTTTGAAGTCAAGTAGCGTGATGCCTCCAGCTTTGTTCTTTTTGCTTAGGATTGTCTTGGCTATATGGGCTCTTTTTTGGTTCTGTATGAAATTTAAAGCAGTTTTTTTTCTAGTTCTGTGAAGAAAGTCAATGGTAGCTTGATGGGAATAGCAGTGAATCTATAAATAACTTTGAGCAGTATGGCCATTTTCACGATATTGATTCTTCCTGGTTCACCCATGTAACTTCCTTTGGCCAATGAGCTTTCTCTCTTTCCAATCAGGCTACTTTGTCATAACCATGAGGACATGCCCATCTCAACCTGAGGAGTGAATGTGAGAGACACCTGGAAGAAAACCAAGCCGTTCCAGCGGGGACCAGCAGTTTCTACGAGTTAAGAAAATGTAGCCGGGAGTCCAGGAAGGCTAAAGCAGCTAGAATTTGCAAGGCAAAATACCAAAGAGAGAACGCTGCAAATCTGCAGAGCCCCTCTCAAGTCTGTGCAGCACATGACAAGTAATGATCAGCACATGTATGTCAGGAAACTACCTAAGGTTTGGGAAACAACCATGCCCCAAAACAATTAGAAAATATAATCTCTAGAGCTCACACAGAGCCAGAAACAGTTCTTGTTCCCACTAGCTAAAGTGAAAACTTCATAATTCATGAGGCATCAGACAGCGTGATTGGAAGGGCACGGCCTGTGTAATGGGGCAAAATCAACTCTGGACAAAATACTGCTCTGCTCTCACCTAACAAAACTTAAAAGCAAAATGGAAAGAATCAACCTATTTCCAAGTAATTTAACTGTGCCCTAGAACAAATCTCAAAAATATTTATAGAAATACAAAAATATCCAGTTCCCAACAAGGTAAAACTCATCATTTCTGCATCCAACGAAAACTTACCAGGTAGATTTGTTTGCTAGGGCTCCTGTAACAATGTACCACAAACTGGGTGACATTTATTGTGTCACAACTCTGGATTCCAAAAGTTCAAGGTCTAGTTGTTGGCAATGTCGGTTTCTTCTGAGGAATGGAGGGAAGGAAGAAAGGATCTACCACAAATTTTTATCAGGCTGCTGGAACTGGGGTAGGAAGAAAGTAGAATGGGGCCAAATAAGCCATTGGGACAGAAATAAAATTCTATCTTTTTAATAATCTGTGCCTTTTACAAAAGAATGTGAAGGTGCTCAGCAAGACACACACAATAATGCAATTAAAATGTAAATGGAAAGCAAAGCCATGAATATCTGGAGGAATTAAATAAATATGTTAGCCTTAAGTGCTAACTTAGTTACTATAATCATTAATAAACATGGCTTGGAGCTTCCTGGCAGCTGTAGACAAAGGGGAAATACAGTTTGTAAGAAATTATGCTTTGTGTTAGGGAGAAAAAATTATTAGTGCACAAATACTCCCTGCCTTCCTCTACCCTTTTCCTAGATGTCTTTAAATCTTACTTCTCCCACCCAGTCTTTTGATAGACCCTGGGGGTTGTGGAGGGGGGATCAAGAATATACACAATGATGGCCGGGTGCAGGGGCTCACGCCTGTAATCCCAGCTTTTGGGAGGCTGAGGTGGGTGGATCACCTGAGGTGAGAAGTTCGAGACCAGCCTGGCCAACATGGCAAAACCCCATCTCTATTAAAAATACAAAAATTAGCCAGGCATGGTGGCGCATGCCTGTAATCCCAGCTACTAGGGGGGCTGAGGCAGGAAGATAGTTCAAACATGGGAGGCGGAGGTTGCAGTGAGCCAGGATGCCAAGATCATGCCACTGCACTCCAGCCTGGGCAATAGAGTGAGACTCCATCTCAAAAAAAAAAAAAAAAAAAAAGAATATACAAGTGAGGAAACTCAGGTGTTCTATGTCACCATCTGAAGGAGGAATCATACATTTTGGTATCCAAAAAGAGGAAGTAGGTTACCCCTCTCAGAGCATACGTAAATCCTTACTCCATCATTTTACACCAGTTAAATGCTTTATTTACCTTTGTCAATGAGCAGATAAGCAAGTGCTCTTCTGCAAAACTATAAATAATTAGAAGCCAAAATGGTGGAATGCTGAAATCATCGTCTGCAAATTAGCAATGGCTATTTTTATGTCAGATTTTGATTTTAGGAGAAAGGAAAAATAATATATTCTAATCCACTTCCTAGGAACAGCTGTAATCAGCGATGATGGAGATGACAAAACTCAAGTAATTAAACTTCTTTCTCATTTAAAAATCTATTATTCAACAGCAAAAGCAAAAAAGACATCAGTGGATTTTTACTTTCGACTCCTGGAAAGTGTTCTATCTCTAAACGGACTATCATTAATTTGTATAATATATGTGATTAGGCAAACAAACAAAAAAGGAAGGAAGGAATAAATATAATTACGTTAGAAGAGAATGTTTTGTAGCTTACTTATTTCTTTTATGGCCTCAATATATTGAAAGATATGTGACTAAGGAAATATCAGTCTATCTCTTTTTTTCTCTTACACATTACTGTCAAGTCCTGCAGAATGCAAGATGGCACTGGAATACTATGTTCCATTCTGTTTCATTAAGAGACTTAACCCATTATTAGATTTCTGAGTTATTTTGCTGGTCCTTTGGCAAATAGGTAAATAAATTGCTGGAAAAAGTCCTCATCAGTCATTTGTTTATTAAACTAATATTTATTGACCCTACTATGAGCCGACAAGATTCTATTAGGTGAACGAAACAGACTAAAATCCCTGCCTTCATGGAGCTTACATCCCAGTGGAGGAAGGACAATAAAACAAGCAAATAGAGAGTTAAGTCATACGGTAATGAGAATGGAAGAGGAATGGGGTTGGGGAGAGGGCGCTAGGGAGGTGGTAGCAATTTTAAAGGGTGTGAAAAGGTCTCCATGAGAGGATGGCTTACGACATTCGAGCAAAGATCCAAAAGGTATGAGGGAGGGAGGCATGGAAATAACTGTAGAAAGAGCCTTCCAGGCAGAGGGAGCAGGGCTGGCAGGATTGAGGAATGGCAAGGAGGTCAGTGCAGCAGAGTAGAGCAGTCTAGGGGATGAGTGCGATGAGCTGAGCCAGGGAGGTGAGGGACAGAAGGGCAGGGCAGATTGTGGAGGGCACTGTGGGCCATTGTTAAGACTTTGGCTTTCACTCTGAGGCAGATGGGAAGTCACACAGGGGTTGAACTAAGGAGAAGCATAAAATGGCACATATATTTTAAATTATTGTATAGCCATTGTGTTGAGCACAGACTATAGAGGATCAAGGGGAGAAACAGGAGGCTCTGCAGGAAGCTGTTGCAGTTATCCAAGCAAGAGAGGATGGGGGCTCAGACCAGGGGGTTGCAGCATCCATGGTGAAAAGACCCCCTGCAGATGACTTCCCACCCAGCTGTTCATGGGACTAAGAGATGTCACAGGTTAAGTCATATTTTTTTGGAAAAGTTTTTCTTAAAAAATAGTCAGCAGGGTGCAGTGGCTCACGCCTGTAATCCCAACACTTTGGGAGACCAAGGCGGGCAGATTACCTGAGGTCAGGAGTTCGAGACCAGCCTGGCCAACATGGTGAAACCCTGTATCTACTAAAAATATAAAAATTAGCCAGGTGTGGTGGCAGCCGCCTGTAATCTCAGCTCCTCGGGAGGCTGAGGCAGGAGAATTGCTTGCACCCAGGAGATGGAGGTTGCAGTGAGCCGACATGGTGCTATTGCACTCCAGCCTGGGAGACAGAGTAAGACTCCATCTCAAAAAAAAAAAAAAAAAGTCATTGTCGGACAGGCACAGTGGCTCACACCTGTAATCCCAGCACTTTAGGAGGCTGAGGTGGATGAATCACCTGAAGTTAGGAGTTCAAGACCAGCCTGGCTAAGATGGTGAAACCCTGTCTCTACTTAAAAATACAAAAATTAGCCGGGTGTGGTGGTGGGCGCCTGTAATCTCAGCTACTCAGGAGGCTGAGACAGAGAATTGCCCGAACCCGGGAGGCAGAGGTTGCAGTGAGCCAAGATTGCACCACTGTACTCCAGCCTAGGAGACAGAGGGAGGCTCCATCTGACAAAAAAAAAAAAAAATAGTCATTGTGTTTTTTTGGGTTTGTTTGTTTTTTGTTTTTTGTTTTTTTGAGATGGAGTCTCACTCTGTCGCTCAGGCTGGAGTGCAGTGGCATGATCTTGGCTCACTGCAACCTCCGCCTCCCAGGTTCAAGCAATCCTCTGCCTCGGCCTCCTGAGTAGCTGAGATTACAGGTGCCTGCCACCACACCTGGCTAATTTTTGTATTTTTAGTAGAGACGGGGTTTCACCATCTTGGCCAGCCTGGTCTTGAACTCCCGAACTCGTGATCCACCCGCCTCAGCCTCCCAAAATACTGGGATTACAGGCGTGAGCAACTGCACCCGGCCTAGTCTTTGTCTTTAATAAAAGTATAGAAATTTTTTGAAAGCCAAAAAGTCAACATTTACAAATGGGAAAATGGTATCAAAGGGTTATTGTTAATGAAATCAGAACCACAGCAATACCTCTATTTTTAAGGGCCGAGGTTTATTCATTGGAGTTTCTATTTAGGCAACAATTAAATAAGAATTTTCATTTACTTGTACCCTCACTGTGGAAACTCTTTCTTACACATAATTGGCTCACTTCCCTACCTTTGTAAATGTTATATAGTGAGCAAAATCAAATTAATTCAATCTTTGATGATAGAAGTTTTGCATTACCTCAGAATCCTACTTCTCACCAATAATTCATACTAAACAGATGTTTGGATAAAGATGTAAAAGATACATGAGATAGGCCTGAATTTATACTGAATCACAGAACGTACCTTAGATATTTGATTATTTCTTTAAAATACCTTATATGTTTGGCTTCTCGTTATTGCAAATTTTTCTTCTAAGAGTAGATTACAAATGAACTCTAGTTAATGGAATTATAGAGAATCAAAATGTGGTTTTTTCCCTTTTGATTCCCAGCATTTGAGGGCCACAGTGCACATCACTTGCCAACTCTACAGAAGATTATAGCACATATCAAATAAGTACTGAAATTTATCATCTTGTTTCTGAAATAAACATACTGTATTACGGCCGGGCGTGGTGGCTCATGCCTGTAATTCCAGCACTTTGGGAGGCTGACGTGGGTGGATCACAAGGTCAGGAGATCGAGACCATCCTGGCTAACACGGTGAAACCCCATCTCTACTAAATATACAAAAAATTAGCCGGGCATGGTGGCGGGCGCCTGTAATCCCAGCTACTCGGGAGGCTGAGGCAGGAGAATGGCGTGAACCCAGGAGGTGGAGCTTGCACAGTGAGCCAAGATTGCGCCACTGCACTCCAGCCTGGGTGACAGAGCGAGACTCCGTCTCAAAAAAAAAAAAAAAAGAAAAGAAAAGAAAAAAAAACCATACTGTATTACTAAACTCAATCATGTTATTCAAAATATGGATCAAAACACCTCCTTTCCTGATGAGCCTGTACTTCTATAGCCTCCCCTGCTGTTCTCACTCCAGCAACATTTTTCTGGACTGTCAGGACCACTAACCAGATTTTCCAACCAAGAATTATTTATATCCTCCTGTGCACTTCAGTGAAACTAATTTGAGTTGTCTTTCTTTTTCACTGGCTTCTCAATAAATCTTGCTGGTAGTTTAAATAGAAATATCATCAAGTCAGGCTGGAATGTGGCAAAAATTACCATTGTTAAGCCCAGAGATTAAGTGGTAAAAGAAAAAAGAGACTGGAAAATATGAGGCAAGAACTTTTTGATAAACATGAGACACAACAGAAAATATGCAAAGCTTCACAGTGTATACATAAGAAAAAAATTCCAAAGGAATGGTGCAAACATAGTGTATTAGTTTTCTAGGGCTACCATAACAAAATACCGCAGACTGGGTGGTTTAAACAAGCAGTCCCCAAGCTTTTTGGCACCAGGGACTGGTTTCGTGGAAGACAATTTTTCCACATCCCAGGGGTATGGGGATGGTTTGGGGATGATTCAGACACATTACATTTATTGTGCACTTTATTTGCATTATGACACTGCAATATGTAATGAAATAACTATACAACTCACCATAATGTAGAATCAGTGGGAGCCCTGAGCCTGTTTTCCTGCAACTAGATGGTTCCATATGGGGGTGATGGGAGACAGTAACAGATCATCAAGTATTAGATTCTCATAAGGAACACGCAACCTAGATCCCTCTCCTGCGCAGTTCACAATAGGGTTTGCTTTCCTTTGAGAATCTAATGCCACCGCTGATCTGACAGGAAGCGGAGCTCAGGAAATAAAGGATGCAAACAATGGGAAGTGGCTATAACTACAGTTGAAGCTCTCCCACCACTAACCTCCTGCTGTGTGGCCCAGTTCCTCGCAGGCCACGGACCACTATCAGTCCGTAACCTGGGGGCTGTAGATCCCTGGCTTAAACAATAGTAATTCATTTTCTCACAGTACTAGAGGTCAGACATCTGAGACCTAGGTGTCAACAGGATTGCTTTCTCCCAAGGCCTCGCTCCTTGACTTGTAGACAGTTGTCTTCATGTTCACACAGCATTCCCTGCAATGTGTGTCTGCGTCTACATTTCCTCCTTTCCTTGGCTTATAGTTGGCTGTCTTCTCCTTGCGTCTCTTCACATGGAGTGCTCTGTGTATGTGCATCTGTCTCTAAATTTCCCCTTTTTATAAGGACTCCAATCATACTGAATTAGCGCCCACCCTGATGACCTCATTTTAACTCTTTAAAGCCTCTATCTCTAAATATAGTCACATTCCAAGATACTGGGAGTTAGGACTTCAATGTATGAATTGAAGGGCCATAAAATTCAGCTCATAACACACACCATTTAGGAAAAGTATAGAGAATACACCCATTGTCACCTGTTAGCTGTTTAATAAACTATGGTTTTTGATTGTTTGAACACCAAAAATATGCTAATCCCAGAATATAGCATTTGACATACTTACTCTATATGTGAAGAGTGACCACCAAGTCTTTGTGTGACCCACCAAACCCATGGTAGAAACAGAAAGTGGCTGAAGGCCCTGAAATCTAGCACACTCTCTGTTCAGCTCTGCCTTCAAGGAGCAGTCACTAGTCAGCCTCAGTATGTGCCTTATGAAGAATGTTTCTTAACCAAGTGTCCCAACATTTTGCATAATTCAGGAAGCCAGGTAGAAAGAATTGCCTTGTGTTTTCTGAAAGACACTTACCACAGAAAGAGACATCCCTTTGAGCTTTATTTTTTTTCCACTAACACTGCAGCTTCCATCTTGGGCCATAGATACGGAGTCCAAATTCAAATCAGGGCTAACATCAGACAGATATTCATGGTGGCCATCACTAATTATTTATGACTCTCATGAGCCTGGACCTGACTTCAGAATCTTTCTCAACACAGCCACTACCAATCGATTGGGGTTGACGCATAACGTAAAATTTATTTAGCATCTTTGGTCCAAACAAAGTAGGCTGCCAGAAGCCTCTTTCCATAAGCAGACCCTTCAGCCGGGATTACCAAACCAATTCAGTCTTAATTCTTGACTGGCTAAGCTGGTATTGGTCTCTTTGTTTATGAGAACCATTCTAAAAATGTTGGTCCGGGCAGGGGTAGATCTGGTTTTTGTGGAGACTGAAGCATACAATTTGGAGGAAGAAAATCTCCTTTAATGAAAAAAGTGAAAAATTATAAATTAGAATTTCTAGAGCCTCTCCCAGGGCCTTGGAAGAGTTCCATGCAAGTGAGAGGCCCAAAGCTTAAGTTTCATTAGCCTCAGCCTGGTATATCTGGCCCTGCCACAAGAAAAAAGCTGCCTCAAAATCAAAACTCTTCTGTAAAGAGGGTTCATTCCCTCACCCCCATCCCCTATTCACACACACTCGCCTCCTTTAGCTCCTGTATGTCTGTATCTTGCTCTAAATGGTCTCTATTACAATTGCCTTTCTTTGTCCCCCAATCAGTTTGGATTCATAGGTAGGTACAGGATGGGCAAGTTAGGAGATTCAAGACTAGGGCTGCGCTTGAGAAACACCCAAGCCTCAGAGGGTATTGTCATCTTATTTAGAAAGGGAAATGTATTTGGTTACCTCTGCTTCTGAGGTTAAACAGAGGTCACGTTTTTAGTGAATTAGAGACAAGTCTCCAGGACTTAGCATATAAAGACAAGCCAACCCTCTCATATACAATTGAGAAGCTGAGTGTGGAGGTTTGAAATGTAGTGTACAATTTACATAAAGAATCTAAAGCCTTCTTATTCTTAGGGAAAGGAATCAATATCACTGTGCACTTCCACAGATATTCAAAGTTATGAAAGCAGATGTGATAGACCAAATAGGCTTTGTCCAAGTCTGAACGTCAGAAAAGGCAATGGGACTCTTGAGGGAAAAAGAGTCTTTAAGAGTTGAAGGAGATAAAAATAGACAGTGGGTCCTTGCTCTAAGATGGTCAGAAGGGACCTTGGTGCTGGATTCACCTAAACTTCATGGAGATCACACTGACCCTAGTACCCTTCCAAAGTAGCTACAAACAAGTGGACAGGCTGGGAGACCACTGTTACTACGGAGCTGTAACTTTGGGAACACAAACCTTCTTTAGAACAGAATGTTCATAGCTGAACATAAAACTGATGATAGAGACACATATTTTACACATTTGCCTTCCCCTTCCCCCTAGCCTCTCCCTTCACAGATATCACTCTTTTTGTGTAGCATTTCCTGGAGCATCCATGACCCCGTGAATCCAGTTCTTCCCACAAGGGGCAGTGGTAGTGGTTTTGGTGACGGCAGCATGCCTGGGATTCTGTCGCATCCCCAGCATCTGGGAGTCCTTCACAGGCCCTATCTTAGGGAAGCTTTTTGGTATAGTGGAAAAGGATGTGGAAATACGGGCAACCTAGGTTTGAACCCTGGCTCCAACATGTACCAATTGTATGGCTGTAAGTAATTTAACTTACCTCTGTGAACCTCAGTTTCTTCATCTGTAAGCTGAAGTCACCGTGGGCAACAACCAAGTAGATTTGTCTAACATGCACAGCATGATCCCCAGCACAGCGTGTGCTCAGAAAATATTGGTTCCATAACTTTGCACTCCCAAAGACTTCCCTGGTAATGTTTGACCAATAACAAGTTTTAATTTGGAATACGGTCAAATTTAGAATGTAGTCAAAACAAGTCCTCTTATTATCACCATCACCTGTACATCACTGTTGTAATCCACCGGAAGCTATGGTCACACAGTTGTAAGGAGCTGTGGAGGATAAAAAGGCCATGCCCATCACCAGTGGGGCTTAGGTTTGAACACTGAATAAACACCGGGCAATGAGATAAGAAAACTAGGCATCACTCAGCTTGGATTGGATAATAAAAAACAAACCTCCCAAAACACAGATATGAGATATCAATAAAAAACAAAATGTATATGGAATCAATGACTATAACCTGAAGTAACTTGTTTTGGAGCAGACAGGAAAGCAAACAAGCAAGCTGGCTTCAAGAAACTTTACTGGCAATCCCCACCTTAGATGGATCATTTACTTACTGTGAATTCTCTCCACCCTTAAGTACAGAGGTTGGGCTGCCTCACCCTACACTTACCTATGTTCACTTGTCATTCTGTTTCAGGTTTTAGCTCCTTAAGTTAATTGTCAATTCCAGCAGGGAAGAAATAATTATTTGTTTCTTTGGTATGCTCCCCTTGAGTAGGAACACAAGAAATAAAAAGAAAAAAAGGAGCAAGAAGGAAGAAGGAAGGGGACAGGAAAGAAGGAAGAAGTAAAAAGAGAGCAGAAAGGAAGATCTGCTTCAAAAGGAAGGCTGAACTTTGCAGCAAAGTATCCTGTAGCAAAGTACCTCCATGCTAGGAACCTGGCCAGCTGCAAACTGCTCTTCGCTATTCTACTGAACTTGATGCATCCATCTTCCTATAATAGATACTTGTTGGAGGATTCAGCATAAGGAAGCATCTGCCATGTTTGACCTGAATCATCATCAATAAAGCAATAAACTCTTTTATAGCTTTTATTGGTCATTAGTGAGTAATTAAATGTGGGAAACAAATGCAATATTTTCCAGGACAGCTGTTACACAAAGGGATAAGGCAGCAGAAATAATTGCACAACCGCTTTTATAAAGAGATTTGTCTTTGAATCTAAATCCAGGTATTTTCCTATAATGGCAATACCTAAAACAAGAAATAAGTAACACTGGCAGAAGAACTTGAGAATGAGCAGTTCTCAAGTCCCCTTAGATCCTACACCACTATGATAGAAGGGATCTTTACACCTGCCCAAACATGCTGCCTTCTAGAAGTAACGCCTCCCACTACTTAAATTCCCTCAGCACACAGCTCATGAGGCTCTTATTAAGCACTGCATTGGATTATAATCCTCTGTGTCTGTGTCTTTTTATTTCTACCATTTGTAGATTCTTCAAGGCAAGGACTTTTCCACATTTAACTCTGAAACTTACATAAGACCAAACCTAGTGCTTTTTACTGAGTCTACAATAAAGAAATATTTGTTGCATAAATTAATAAAATTTGTATTATCTTTTAGTCTGAAATTTGTTCTCTTATCCATTTTTTTCATTTGGGCTTGAGCCGCCAAATCCAATAACTCTATGTAGACTTTGTTAAACAAGCACCAGACAGCATGGCCTAATAGTGAAAACACTGGGTAGAGGAGGTCAGGAAACACAAAGTGTAATTATGGTACTTTTTCTAAATGTAAAAGTGAACTTTGGTAAGTCACATAACTTTTCTACACCTTGATTTCTTTATCTATAAAACTAGGAAAAATAATATCTGCCCTCCAAAGAAACAAGGGAGGGGAAGGGAGGAGACATTTACTGGGTGCTTATTATATGCCAGACACTGAGTTAGGTGTACACACAAGAATCATCTCATGTGACTCTCGTAATAACTTTGTGTTTGTTTTCCAGCTATACAGATGAGGAAACTGAGACTCAAGTAAAGTAACTGGCAGAAAGTTATTCAACTAATAATTGACAAAGTGAAAACACACAATTCAAACCAAGCCATTCAACATTTGGTGAGAGCCACTGAGCTGGCATTATGATTGTAGTCAAGGATACGAGATAAACTAAACAGAACTCTTACTATCAAGAAAAGGAAACATATAAACAAATAATGATATGCAAGTATGCATTTAAGATTCCTTCCAACCACATCTGCTGCTTTTAACGAGACTGTGAAAGATCAAGTATGTAAAAGTATGTCACCAAGTCAAAAGGTATATTTTAAGTACCTGTGTCTAATACTGTAGAAACTCCACTAGGAAACATACTTTAAGTAAATAACTCTTGGTCACTGTCCTCAAGACACTTACAATCTTACTGAAAATATCAGTGCTTGAAGTAGTGGATTTCATTCATCTAGAAAACTCACTCACATGAAATAATACATTCTATTAAAATAATGAGCAAAATTGATATGAATAATTTTGCTTTTGAGACTGCTTGACAACTATAACAATGAAGACAAATAGTGTCTTTGCTGTACAATGAATACAGTGTTATCACACATCAGGGGCTGAGGTTTTCTGAATATTATGTCACCTACTTACAATTAATCTCCAGGTTTCATTGGGTTTATAGTAGGAAATATTCTACCACCCACATTCTGGCTTTGGCCATATATTCCTCTACAATTCAAGGAACTTTCTGGTTAAACAATATTTTAACATTTTCATAATGGCTCGCTCACTTGAAGCAGTAATATTAACTTTTATTCATAAAATCTTCGCTTCTTCCCATGAACCCAAGAACTGAGAATAGTACACGTGAAATTAAAATAACAAAATACATAAAGGAAATTTCAAAAGAAAGTCAAGCCAAAAACTAGGACATCATTAACTAGAAATTACAAAGCAAACGAGTTGTAAAAAGATGTTTTATATTATCTTTCCTTTAGTACTTTGCTTTCGTATTGTTATGGATCTTTTACAAGCATAATTTTCTGTAATCTCTTGTGTTATTGTTGAAGTGATATTTAAAGCATCCACACATAACCCATAGGCTTAAATTCGGTGACTGATACTTACATATTTATTATGTTAAAAATATGTGCAGTTTCAGGATGCTTCTCTCTCTGGTGTATCATGAGGATTGAATTGTGTCCCTCTATACAAAATTAGAACTGATTCCTCCTTTGTTCTGTAAGCATTTGGAAGAGAAGGCCTCAAAAAGCAATATATAGGAACACATCCACCACCACCTTCTAAAAAATAGACTGAAACATGTACACCTCTCTCTTCTGAACAGACAGAATTCCACTTATTAGCACAGTGAGTTCATATTTAATCTTTCACAATTGTCCTGCAAAACAAATATGCCCTCTAGGAGTACCTTGAAGTTTCTTCAGATATTAACAAAACTTTAAGAAAAGAGGGGTTTACTGTAAGCTCAATACTCTCTACTTTGGTGATTGTTTAGGAAAGTTAATTGCTTATGAAAGGAATCATGAAAGAATGGGGTTAGAATTTTCAGGGACTAAGTTAAGAAAGGTCCCATGAGGGTCGTGAGGGTCTAAGGCTCTCCATCTCTCCCCAGGACAGCCCTTTGCATGTGGACCTCAGATGCTACCAGGTGGAGTTAGGTGTTGTCCCTCTTTGCTCTTAGCCATCTTGCTCTAAATTTTATAGGGATGAGAAATCACATGGGAGAAAAAGCCTGGGACCCAGGTTCTCTTTATTGAAATTCATAGGGATTACCCAAAGTGATGCCTGGACGGGTTATGCTAAAAGACAAATTATACAATCCAGATCTTACTTAAAAAAATCTATCACAAGGCTAAGCACAGTGGCTCACACCTGTAATCCCAGCATTTTGGGAGGCTAAGGCAGGCAGATTGCTTGACTCCAGGAGTTCCAGACCAGCCTGGCCAACATGGTGAAACCCCATCTCTACTAAAAATAAAAAATTAGCCAGGCCTGGTGGCTGGCACCTGTAATTCCAGCTCTTTGGGAGGCTGAGCCACAAGAATCACTTGAACCCATGAGGCAGAGTTTGCAGTGAGCTGCGATCACACCATTGCACTCCACCCTGGGTGACAGAGCAAGACTCCATCTCAAAAAAAAAAAAAAATCTATTGCAAGTTTCAAAAAGTAAAAAAAGTAAAATTTTAATCCATTTATATTTTAAAGATAAAATTAACCAGCTAGCTACAGTTCTGGATCACAAACCCAAGTAGTTGTGCTTTCGGGTAATATAATGAAATAATATAATGAAAGTCACACAGCATGAAGAGGTCACAGGGTGAAAGGTCTCCCTGCCCTGGCTATCCAGCCACCCTCTTCACTGACAACCTTCCCCAGAGTAATCACTTTTTCCAGTTTCTTTGTATCATTCTCAAGATATTCTATGCATATACAGGCATAAATGTGTGTATCACTTTTTAAAACACAAATGGAAACACTACAGTAATATTAATAATAGTTTCAGGCAAAAATCATCAATGGATGCTCAAATTAGTGGATAAGAAAGTACAATGAGTAACAGGATATTTGCATAGTCTCAAGTTAACTCCCCACAAGACACTTGCTATGTACAGAATTGTGTCCTTCCAAAATTCATACAGTAAAGCTCTAACCCCCAGTGTGATGATATTTGGAGGTAGGGCCTTTGGGAAGTAATTAAGTTTGGATGAGGTTATAAAGGTGAGGCCCTTATGATGGGGTGAATATCCTGATAAGAAGAGACAGCAGAGAGCTTGCTTTTCTTCTCTCTCCACCATGTGAGGACAGAGCAAGAAGGCTGCTATCTGCAAGCCAGGAAGAGAGCCCTCACCAGAAATCAAACCCTTCTGGATATCCTGTTGGACCCTGCTGGATCTTGGTATTGGACTTCCAGCCTCCAGAACTATGAGAAAACAGATTTTTGTTGTTTAAGCCACTTAATTTATGGTATTTTGATATGGCAGCCCAAGCTGGCTAATTACAAAAGAAAAATAAAATAACCTGACCGTAGAGAAAGCTGGCAGATACCACCTTAACCAAGTGATCAAGTTAACTCTCCAGCAACAAGGCACATCAACATCATGTGCCTCCTGATGTGCACTGTGAAGAGCTAACAGCACTTCTGTGGTATTCTTGCCAAAAAAAAATCAAAACCTGTATGTAATCATGAGGAAACCTTAGACAGTCCCATTTTACAAAATATCTGATGCACAGTCTTCAAACGTGTCAAGATCATGAAAGGAGAAGAAAGATGATGAACTGGAGGAGCTATCCTGATTAAAGTATACTGAAGGGCATTAGTGGCGCAATTGAAAAAAATTTTGAAAAAAAATCTAAAAAGGTCTGTGGATTAGTTCTTGTGATTTCATCAATGTTAATTTCCTAGTTATGTAACTTTTTATAAGTATAAAGTTATTTTAAAAAAAGTAAATTTTAAAAATTAAAAACACAAGTGGTTTTGTTCTGTGTATACTATTTTCCATCTTTCATTTCTCCTCTAAACTATGTCATAAGCATCATTCCATATCAGTATAGATACTTCATTTTTAATGAATATGAAATGTTCCACTGTATGGATTTATGTCTTTCATCAGTTCCCTGTTAATGAATACTTTGAGCTATTTCCTAGCTTTTGCTATTACAGTGTTGCAGTTAACATTCTTTTCAATAAGACTTTTTGTGAACATGGTAAAGCCACTCTAAATGCACAATAAACCAGTGTTTCTCTTCCTTTAGGAAAGAGGTTCCCCAACCTTTTTGGCACCAGGGACCAGTTTTGTGGAAGACAATTTTTCCACAGATGGGGGTAACCAGGGAATGGTTTTGGGATGAAACTGTTCCAACCAAGCATTAGATTTTCATAAGGAGCTCGCAACCTAGATCCCTAACATGCACCACCGAGATCCCTTACAATAGGGGTCACGCGCCTATGACAATCTAATGCCACAGCTGATATGACAGGAGGCAGAGCTCAGGCGGTAATGCCTGCTTGCCGGCTGCTCACCTCCTACTGTGCAGCCTGGTTCCTAACAGGCCACAAACCAGTATCTGTCTGCGGCCTGGGGTTTGGGGACCCCTGCTGTAAGACTTAGAATTCGTGCCAAGCAAGTGTTCAGGACAGAATAACACATGTGGCCAAGCTCTTTATCAAAGCCAGATTTGATAAAAATAATACATGATTTATTTTTTAATATTATAAATTCTTGATGTTGTGGTTAAAATGAACCAGTTTTTAAGATTGTCTTACCGACTGAACATATATTCCTTGGCTTTTTACTTCTCTTCTAAATTATTTAATTTCAGGGTAGAAAACGCGAAATTATCACAAATGTTACTAGTTAGAGCATTTTTTTAAAAAATAGATGAAATTAATCCTAAATTTAAAATTCTAATGTACCTGCCTTCTCTGGTAATTAAGACTCTAATCAAATCTTTAGTGTGCAAATCAGCTGTTTTAATGATCTGAATCCTAAGGCATGTGCAAAAGTTTAAGATAAACTTAATAGGCCAGGTTCAGTGGCTCATCCCTGTAATTCCAGCACTTTGGGAGGCCAAGGCAGGCAGATCACCTGAGGTCAGGAGTTCGAGACCACCCTGGCCAACACACCACCCTGGCCAACACAGTGAAACCCTGTCTCTACTATAAATGCAAAAAATCAGCCAGGCATGGTGGCATGCACCTATAGTCCCAGCTACTTGGGAGGCTGAGGTGGGAGAATCGCTTGAATCTGGGAGGCATTGGCTGCAGAGAGCCAAGATCGCACCACTGCACTCCAGTCTGCGAGACAGAGTGAGACTCTGTCTCAAAAAAAAAAAAAAAAGATAAACTTAATAGGTAAAAAGATATAAATAAACCCTAAATACTGCAATAAAATGCTAAAATGCACTTATCTACAAGAAATATTGTATCAATAATCAGAAAACTCTGAACACATTATCCCTCTTCTCTCTGTACTGTAAACATAACCTTGCTTACTCTCCATTTACCACCTTAACTTACTTCAGCAAGTGGTCAAACAAGGCATTCTGATCCCAAGTTCATGCTTAAGGAAAGAGGAGAGATATTTTGAACTTGTTCTTTCCCTTTTAAAGTCTTCCACATGTTTTTTTATCATTGAAACAGCATCTATCAAGCACTATGCTGGGTATTTCACAAAGCTAATGAACACTTCCCACCCACTTTTTAGCTTATAACAACAAACCAAGAGCAAATATAATATAGCAAACCAATAAACATGTGGGTTTTCTGCTGAAGGTCAAGTAAATAGAGCACTGAATGAGGTGAAGGACTGTTATTAGGGGTCCTTTACTTTTTCAGGAAGGTCTTCATGGAAATTTCAAGATATTAGGAGTCATTTGAGGAAAAAGTTAGGAAGCTGTATTAATTTCCTCTGGCTGTTGTAACAAAGTATTACAAATAATAATAATTTGGTGGCTTGAAAACAATGGCAATTTATTCTCTTGAAACCAGAAGTCCAAAATCAGTATCACTAGACCCAAATCTCCTTTATGGCATCCCAGAGGCTCTAGGGGAGAATCTGTTCCTGCCTCTTCTAGAATCTGATAGCTGCCAGCTTTCCTTGGTTTGTGGCTGCAAGCCAATATCTGCCTCCATGTTCACACTGACTTTTCTTCTGTTTGTGTCAAACCTTCTTTTGTCTCTCTCTTATAAGGACACTTGTGACTGGATTTGGGGCCCACCCACCTAATCTGGAAAAATCTCCCCACCTTAAAAATCTCTTACTAAATCACATCTGCAAAGACCTTTCTTCCATTTGTGGTAACAATGACAGGTCCCAGAGATTAGGATCTGATATCTTTGGGGACTATTATTCAACCTACTCCAGAGTTCCTTCCCTTTTGTGGGGAGCAGTGTTCTAGGAAGCTTGAAGTCAAAGTAAGGGAAGTCAGCTGGTGCAGTGGCTCACGCCTATAATCCTAACACTTTGGGAGGCAGAGGTGGGTGGATCACCTGAGGTCAGGAGTTCGAGACCAGCCTGGCCAACATGGTGAAACCCCGTCTCTACTAAAAATACAAAAATTAGCCAGGCATGATGGCAGGCACCTGTAATCCCAGCTGCTCAGGAGGCTGAGGCGGGAGGATCTCTTGAACTGGGAAGCAGAGGCTGCAGTGAGCCGAGATCACGCCACTGGATTCCAGCCTGGGCGTCAGAGCGGGGCTTCATCTCAGAAACGAACAAATGAACAAAAAACAAAGTAGGGGAAGTAGAGGTTCTCACCAACACAGGAATAAAGAGTTTGACTTTGTGTTGCTTTTGTTGTTTATCAGAGTATCTAGCTGAAGCCTTGAAGGAGAAAGTACTGATTGAGATAAAATTTAATTTTATCAGGGGTTCTGGAGAAAGGTGTGGTCACCAAAGCCCAGAGATCACAGATCCCAGACTCATCAAGACTGTGGGCTGAGAACCAACAGTACTTTCACCGACTTGTTACTTTCCTAGGGTCTACCCTGACACCAGACCATCTTAGCCTCCCACCAGCACCCCCAGGACTCACACATACTCCAGAGACAGCCACAGCAACACCCCCACCCTCGCCCAACCCCAGTGCTCCTTACTGGATGGCCGTCTCCTTTCACAACTCTGTCTGCATTCCATTTCATTCTACTCTTTCCACCAGATGGTCTGCTTATTCTTATTATAGCTGAAAAGAATTCAGCCAGATTAAAATAAATCCTCTATAGTCATCACCTAAGTGTTAATTCAAGCCCAATGCTTGTCTCAATACCAATTTTTCTATTTATGGTCTTAGTACAATGTCTTGGGGGTGACAGGAGTGAATGGGATGACAAACTGCATGTTTTCTTTATACCCTTTGAATGAAACTAAGGAGACTTAGCAATTTTTCGAGGGACTTATGATTTTAAGTTCTTTTTACTATAACTAGGATGCTAGCTAATATCCTCCACATGACAGCCTGAGAACAGCCACCAATCCTAGTTATAAGGGACTTATTGCTCTCTAGGAAATACAAAGGGCCTGTTCCAGGAGATGTTTCAGAGGAGAACTTATGTGTGGCTTTGGCTTCTTGCCCATGGTGCATTCCAGCGTCGTGCACAATCCCTGGGTTCCATATCAGATCACCTAGGTTCAAACCCCTGCTCCAACACTCATCATTCTTGTGAATTGCTTCACAGAGGTTGCTTTGAGGATTCAATGAGATAACACATGTTTTATGTGTCAATTTGGCAAGGCTACAGTCTCCAGTTATTCAACCAAACATTAATCACAGTGCTCCTGCGAGAGTATTTTGTAGATGTGCTTAAAGTACATAAACCTGACTATAAGTAAGGGAGGTTATCCTCAATAATCTGAGTGGGTCTGATTCAATCAGCGAAAGACCTTAAAAACCAAATTGCAGTTTCCCAGAGGAAGAAGACATTCTGTCTGTGGCTGGTAGCCTCAGCTCGTGCCCCAGGGTTCCAGCCTGCCCTTCCTAACAGCCTCACCTACAGAGCCCCCACAATCACATAAGCCAATTCCTCTCAATAAATGTCTTTATATATGTCCTGCTGGTCTTGTGTCTCTGGTTGAACCTTGACTAATGCAAGACATAAAATATGCAGAACAGACACTGACACAGTGCTTAGAAGGCTTTTGCTCCTATTTTTGTAGGTGATGGCAGTGGTAGTGGTAATAGTGATGGTGGTGTTATATAACATAAACTGGTGTTTTCCTATTCCTATTGGAAATTTTCCAATGTCCAGTATTCTGTCCCATTGACCCCATAAGTACATTCTTTCTTGTCAGATCATGTGACTCAATGTTTCATTCAAAAAAATGCAGCCACTAAAAATTCTTCACTTAACAGACAGAACAACTCACATTCCAACCCATGTCATATGATTTCCACAGCCCAGTAATTAAAACATGTCCCAGTAGAAATATGTGCTTTAGACAATCATTAGCTTGGAGAAATTTTTCATCCCTTGAGTATTAGAACAAATTCTACATTTACTTTTTTTTTTTTTTTTTTTTTGAGGTGGAGTCTCACTCTGCAGTCAGGCTGGAATGCAGTGGCGCCATCTCAGCTCACTGCAACCTCCATCTCCCAGGTTCAAGCGATTCTCCTGTGTCAGCCTCCTGAGTAGCTGGGACTACAGGTGCACACCACCATGACCAGCTAATTTTTGTATTTTTAGTAGAGACGGGGTTTCACCATGTTGGCCAGGATGGTCTCAGTCTCTTGACCTGGTGATCCGCCTGCCTCAGCCTCCCAAAGTGCTGGGATTACAGGTGTGAGCCACTGCGCCTGGCCTCTACATTTACGTTTATGTTTTTTTTTAAAGCCTAAGAATTATAGTATTTCCTTCCACTTGTTCTTGTATTTTCAACATTCTTTCAAATACATTAATTTTCACCTCTTCCTTTCTTCCTCTGCTATTTTCCACTTAACATGGCAGAATTATTTCAACTCCATGAAGCTATCTGCATACAGCAATTAATTCTCTGCTAATAGATTTATTCTATCTGTAACTGACACAAGTTTGTGGCAACAGCCACACAAGCAACTCTTAGACCTGATGACATCACATTTTCCACTGACCTAAATGTCTCATGCAAATTTGAAATACAAGATTGTTTTCACTTTTTTTTTCTAATAAGTCTCCATTACTTCATGACTACTTTGTCCTCCAGAAGTATGCTTTACTGGTTCATTTGACAGACACTTATCAAGCACCTGCTATGAGCAAAAAGAATGTGTCACCTCTCCTATTCTCATGGTGTTTTCAACATATATGAGAGATAAACACAAATAACTCTATTAGTTAGAAGATGTTGATAACTGTCATGAGGGTGGTTCAGACAGTGTAACAGTGATTCTGAGAAGTGAAATGTCACTTCTGGTTGATTGGGTGATTACATTGAGAATAGCCTAATGACAGCTTCTGAGATAATTCTTAGAATGTCTAGGATTTCAACAGGCTGACAAGGAAGTAAGAACCATTCCCGAGAATGAGAATAGCACATGAGCACTGAAAATGACTCATTTTATACATGAGGAAAGCAGACAAGAATTGGCCCAAGGGCATGCAGCTAGTCAGTCACAATAAGAACCTCTAGCTGGTGGACCTCTAGCTGAGGCCAGAAACCCCAAGGAAGCTCATATAACACCTTTCATCTGTAGCTTCTCCACTCCTTCTAGTTATAGTATGGGACAGAGACCTGAACTTCTGGGCCTTCCATGAAGAGGCCATCAAAATGAATTTCTCATGCTTTATTCCCTTTTAACTCAACCACTCTCAGAAGCCTAAGACCCTATCATTCATCCACCCATCTCCCTCCGGTCTGGATCCCATACTCCTCCATTCATTCCCCCCACCTTCTCTATCCTCTCCTTTACTGGGCTACTGGGGACTCCCAGTTGGTGTTCATCTTCTTTTCATAACTGAAACCTTTTCCTTCCTATAACCACAAGCAAGGGTTGCTTTTTTCTTAATAACCCATGAACCTAGAGCCTGGTTGATGTCTTCCTAGCTCCTAGTACCATTTTCAAAGCTTTCTTTTGCCTCTCCTTCTTTAAAATATCCAGCTCATATCATTAGACCACAATTCACTCACATCTCCCTCCTTGTGGATGGTATATATCAACCTCCTGACCACTCCTCCACTCACTGGTGACATTTTTTCCAGTCCATTACCTTCATGTCCTCACTGCCATCTGTGCCCAGACACCTGCTTGCATGCAAACTCCTTTAATTACTTTCTGCCCCTTCCCTCCTTCTGACTTCCCCAGAAAACCTTCAAACCTGATTAAATTTAACTCTGGCCAAATTCTTGTAACTGAATTTTGCTAAAGAAAACCACTCAATGCCACTAAATAGTTCCACCATAAATTCATGACTCAGAGTCATGAATGGATATTTGACACTTCCCCAGTGTGCTTGTTTTCCAGCTCTCATAGACAGCTATTTTATTCTTTCTCTTCCTCAGACATCTCTGTCTCATCCCAGCTGTTGAACTTACCTCCTATTTTCCTGAGAAATTAGAAGCAATTTAAATGGAGTTACCTTATCTTCTCATCACCAAATCTATATATCTCCTTTCTTCTGTGCGTCTGCTTTCTACCTTCTTTCCTGAAGTTACTAAGGTAGATGTGTCCTTTCTTCCAAAAAAGCCCACCTACTCTACTTAGATCTCTGAATCTATGTTCTCCCACTACTTTGCAATTATACCCTCTCTGTCCTATATCACTGTATTTCTCCCATGCTTCTGAATCAGTTGCATCAGATCTAGTTTCTCTATTTAGAAAAATCACCCTCCCTTGACCCAATATGCTATCTAGTTATTACCCCATTTCTTTCCTTCTCTTTATAGCAAACACCTCAAAAGAATAACTCTATCTCCTGTCTCCACTTTCATACCTCCCAGTCTCATCTCAACCACTCCAATCAAGCTTCCATGTTCTTGTTGAGTTCGCCAATGACCTCCATGCTACCAAATTCAATGGACACATCCTGTGCCTTCGTCATGCTGAACTTCTTAGCAACATTTAGTGTTACTGACCACTCCTTAACTTTCTGAAACACTTTTCTCTCCCCAGAAGAATGTCGCCCCACTGTCCTAATTTTCCTCTTACCTCACTGGTCTTTTCCTCTTCAACTCCTCCTTTACTACCTACCTCTGAACTTTGGAACAGTCTTGGATTCTCTTCTTTTTCTCTACTTACATTTGTTTCCCAGGTGACCTCATCTGAGTCTCTGGTTCCAGTCACTTCCACCATCAGAGTACAGATTCTTGGCTGGGCCTCATAGTGCTTAAAGGGACAAGCAAGGATGAGCCCAGATGGGAATTAGGCTGCACTCAACCAAGTGTACTCCCCACCAAAATTAACGGGGTTCCCAAAGTCACATCCTGAGGCTCATTCACATACTCGCTTCTCCCTATGCAGTGTTTTTTTTCCCAGGACAGGGCATCACACAGACTTATCCAGAGCCATCCTTTGTGTTGAACTTCCATGGTCCCCACTCTGAAGCTGTGAAATCCCTCCTTCTTCCTCTCCCAAGTCTGCTTCCTGTCACAGAATGAGTTAACTCCTTTCAGAGCGCAGTCCCCACAACCACCTCTTGTTTACACAGACCTCCTGATTCTGCATCCAAGATTTTTTTACACTGTCATATCCTTGCTTATACATTAAATTCCATTTTATGCTACCCTGTATATATGTTGTTTGCATGAAATTCTTATCCTCTACAACAAACCACCTTCCAAAAAATAATCGACCATTCATTCCTATGTGGCCCCATAAAATGCCAGCAGGGAATGCCATGTGGCACAGAGAAATTTATTTCTCCAAACAGGTAAAACAAAAAGCTTGGTTTAACAATAATAAGTACTTTATACTTATGCATACAAACAACACCAAAAAATCATATTTCTTTATTCTTGTTTTCCTTTGCAATAGTCCATTACTATGTCATATTTCAAAACAAAAGCTAGTTCCATAGGAAGGAAAAACAGATTAAGTAATACAATGAAGAAAGGAATAATGTGTTTAAGGTTTGAATGTGAAATCTTATGTAGCTTTTCCAAAAATACCAATTTGGCTGGCACTTTACTATCTTTAATCCTGAGCATGAAATTTAAACTTCTATGGAGATAAAACTATATTACCCATAAACGAAACAAGCAAAACAGTGATCCCTTCCTGATTGAACTCAGGATGAATTTCTCTTGCAACACTTTTCACATTTGAGTAATGTACTTTTTTCTCTAGCCATTTTAAAATAGATTAGATTTGAAGCTCTCAAGGAGTCAAGTGACAACTAAACTAAAATAGGGTAGGAAGAAAGGTCTCATTTCACGTTCCTCAAAGCATATTCCACTGACAATTAGTGCATTGGATAGTAATAATGTTTATGACAAAGCCTATACTACTTTTGTTTGGGTTATGAATTATTTATTTATTACCTTTAATGAAAACCAGACACTGCCTCATTACTGTCCCATCCAAGAATTTGTCTTGCAATGAATTCTGGCAATATCTATTTTTCCCCCATTAGAGTGGTATGCATTTTAAAAATTAGAAGTGATATGATTAGGTGATCTGTTCAGGTCAATGTTTCTAGGACTATAAATTTATGGTTAGTAGGTGCCAATTCATGTTATTAGAAATTTGGAGACTATATAAGAAAGAAGTACTGGAGCAGTCAGATTCCTGAGTCTTACTGACCATCATTAAATTAGGAACATAGGAAGGGGCCACAAAACAGCTTTGTTCCAACCTTGAGTGCCTTAAGAGCTCAGGAGAGGTAGACATGTATTATTAAATACCGTATCCATTTCATATTTAATCTTTGTGTTCAAGGAATACTCTTGAGCTAATGGTTCAATCAGATAGTGCACTATGATAAGGGCAGGAATGAGCTTGGGTGGCATACACGTTTGGAGTTAGGTAGACCTATATTTTAATCTCAACTCCACCTTAGACCTTACGTGACTTCGGACAAATGGAATAATCTCTTAGCTTCAATTTATCTTTCTGAAAATCAAAAGGCTAATACATAACCTCAGTAAGCCTGTAGTTTGGATTTCATGATGTAAATGTATGTACAGTGCCTGGTTTCTCTCTTTTTTTTCTTTTTTAGCCTGGAGCTCCTTCCTGCCAGTCCTAAGGGTGGGTCCCTGGGTACAGTAAGCAGAATTGAGGTCATACAGGTTCAGCCTTTGACCTCTGGCGATTGGGCCCAATGGAACAGCAGGTACAAAAGTCCAAATGCTCTCACTTCAGGTATGGCCAGTGCTCAGCCAGGCTGCAGCAGGTGGATGGGGCACCATGGTTCTCTTTTGGTGAAGAGTTCACCATGGTAGTGTTTCTTCTCAGGCAGCTGCTATGACCATTTGATGATTCTAGCCAGGAACTGCTGCACCCACCACTCCATCCAGGCCAATGGGCACAAATCTGTGCAGCAGGGGCTAGGGTTCTTCTCCATGCACTGCATAGGCCTTGGCTCACTCTCCTGGCTGGGCCACCATCTGGCTGCAGTTCCACCTGCTGCCAGGCTTCAGACACCCAGTGAACATTCTCCCCATGGGTATAGTGCCTGGCTTCTAACAAGAGTTAGTTCCCTTCCCTTGAACAATTTCACATCAGGAATCAGTGGTAGATACCATCATATCACAACTGCTCACTGATTCTCTTAGGTATTCAGTAGAGTATTAGCCTATTTGTTGCCTCTTTAGAGACAAAAAGATTTCTAGGGCTTTAGAACTCAATGATAAGCCAATCTCCATCTAATGATCCATTTCACAGATAGAACTCATGGCTCACAAATGGTTTTGTTAACTAAGATAATAAAAATATTAAAGCCTTTCTATAACAAAGTAATGTCTGTGGGCCCAGCTACATTTTTTAATTAGACGTAGATTTCTAACACTCATTGAGTTCACTAATGCATATGCTCCAGAACAAAGGCAGGGGATTTTTTTTATTATTATTAATGCAGAATAGACAAGACTAAGAGTACACACAACAACAATATTTCTGCGGGGGCTGAAGTTTGTCAAATTTATTAAAAGGTTAAAAGTGCTCTATGCTTTAGACTCAACAAATAATATATTCCAATGAAATAATCATGGTTGTGCACAAAATTTTACCTATAAAAGTGTTCAAAATGCTACATTTGTAATAATAATAAAAAACTGAAAACTAGTGCTCCAAAATAGAGGATTGCTAATTAAATTATGTTATATCCATACAACAGAGCTGTACACAGCCATCAAAATGATGTTGTAGAATACTGGCAGAGTGTTATAGAATATTGTTGTAGAATAGATATTGTAGAAATACATTAATAGTTAGTTAAGTGAAAACAAGCTATAAAATGCTATGAATAGCATTCTTCCATAAAGAAAGACAAGGAAGAGAAGGAAGGAAGGGAGGGAGGGAGGGAGAGGGAAGAGAGGGAAGAGGGGGAAGAAAAAAAAACAATATTAATAGTAGTTTACTCTGGACAGTAGAAATTTGGGTGTTTGTTTTTAATTTGCTTTTCTTTTTATACTTATCTGTTTATTACAATGTATTGTAATTATGTATTCAATTATGCATAAGTATGGTAATTTTGAGCTAGTTTTAAAGAAATAAATTGTCCAAATATCCCAATCAGTTAAAACATCATGGAGAAAAAGAATAACAGGCCAGGCGAGTTGTTCACACCTGTAATCCCAACACTTTGGAAAGCCGAGGTGGGAGGATCACTTGAGCTCAGGAGTTCAAGACCAGCCTAGGCAACACAGTGAGACCTCATCTCTACAAAAAAATTTTAAAATTAGCCAGGCGGGGTGGTGTGTGGCTGTAGTACCAGCTATTCCTTAGGAGGCTGAGGCAAGAGGATTGCTTGAGTCAGGGAGCTGGAGGCCACAGTGAGCCATGTTCACACCACTGCACTCCAGCCTGGGTAACAGAGTAAGACTCTGTCTCAAAAAAAAAAGAATAACAGAAGGGGAGGAAAGATGAGAACCTGTAAAATATAGACTACTCCCTGACAAATGTCTAGAGAAAATTTTTAAACATGTTTTGTGAAAATTGGACATTAGTTAATAATAATTACATAATAATATAATTTTTTGCATGTGGGGTTTTCCAGTGAAAACCAGAAAATCTAGTATATAAATTCTAAAACAGCTGTAACATTATTGTAATAATATTAATAACAAATATTTTACTGTTCATAAAGTGATTTCAAACTAACTTCACTGCCTTTATTAAGTGACTGCTATGTTGATCAAAAACTCCAGACACCATGTAAATAGATTTCTGCAAAGCATGTGGAGTTTCTCATAATATTCATTGCAGAAGATGGTGAAAGTAAACGTAAGTGGATTATAAATTTGCTGAACAATTGAAACACTCAGGAGATTCAAACACTTATATATTTAACAACTGCTCACATAGAGTTTCCTACATGCCAGACACTGCTTCAGAAATATTAGAGGCTTCAGAAATATTAAATTACTTCATTCTCACAACAGTCATAGGAGATAGGAGATGACAAAACCCTATTATAACTTCCTTTCTACAGAGGGCAGGTTAGGTAACTTGACCAAGGTCAGAGGGCTAGCAAAGGGCACAGCGAGATTAAAGCCCAGGCAGACTGTTTTCAGAGAGGGTGCCCCTAACCACCACACTATCATGAACAACATCTTCACAGTATATGGGCCATGATTATGCACTTAATAGATTTTACAAAGCAAATTTTAAATCTTAAATTTACAGAAAATATAACATGTTATATAAATATAGAATGAGAGAGACAGATTTATATAAAAAAAATTTGGATTTATTTCAGGTCCAAAATAATAATAACATAGTAGCTAAGAAAACTAATTAATAAATTTTCAGACTTCATTAATAGAGAAGTAAGAGAGAGCAATGGAAGAAAAAAGAACTAGGTTTATTGATTGCCTACTGTGTATCAGATCATTTATACATAATATTTATTTTTCGTTAAAATTCTTGGAAGTAGGTAATTGTGGTAGATTAAATGCATTATCGGCTTCAATGGCCTCCCTCTATTCACATCCATTACAACATGATTTTTTAACTACTCCACCCCCATCAAGAGATGAAATCTTCACCTTTTCAATCTAGGCTAGATTTGCTTTGGCCAAAAAAAATGCAACCAAAGTGATGTTGTGCCACTTCTGAGCATGAGTCTCACAAAGCCGCCTATGCTTCCACCCTCCCTTTCTTGGAACCCTGCTCATCTCCATAGAAACAAGCCCAGAGTAGCCTGTGAGGAGATGAGAAACCACTTAAGTCATGACAGCTGAAGTCATCCTAGACCAGACCAGCCCCCACCAACCTACTGACTTTAGATACATAAGTCCAGGTTGGGCACAGTGGCTCACACCTGTAATCCCAGCACTTTGGGAGTCTGAGGGGGACAGATCGCTTGAGCCCAGGAATTTGAGACCAGCCTGGCCAACATGGTGAAACCCTGTCTCTACCAAAATTACAAAAACTTAATTGGGTGTGGTGGTACATGCTACCTATCCCGGAGGATCTCCTGAGCCCAGGAGGTTGAGGCTGCAGTGAGCCATGATCACACCACTGTACTCCAGCCTGGGCAATAGAGTGAGATGCTGTCTCAAAAAAAAAATAAAGAAGAGTCCAGCCAAGATCAACCAACTCTCCCATAGTCTCTTGGGAAGTAATATACAGATGTCTTTTTAAATCATTACATTTTAGGGTGCTTTGTTACACAGCAATCGCCATGTGATTCAGCATAATTTTTTCTCTTATAAATGTAGAAATTGAGGCTCAGAGAAGTATTTTACCCAAAATCACCCAGTTTGTAAGTGGCAGAAGTCAGCCCCAGTCTCTTTTATTTCAAAGCACATAATATTCAGATGTTAGAATAATCATCTCACTGAGCTCTATACTAGACTGGCCATATATGAAGTGCTATATTTAATTCTATACAACCTAACATGAATCCAGAAGAAAATACAAAGAATTTTATGATGTCTATAAACTAAAACAAAAAAACAAAAAACAAGAGAAAGGTTTGCTGGCTGAGTACAGAAGCTCATGCCTGTAATCCCAGTACTTTGGGAGGCCGAGATGGGAGGACTGCTTGGGGCCAGGAGTTTGAGACACACCTAGGCAAAGTAGTGAGACTTCATCTCTACAATAAATAAAAAAATTAGCCAAGCACGGTGGTGCACACCTGTAGTCCCAGCTACTCTGGAAGCTGAGGTAGGAGGATTGCCTGAGCCCAGGAAGTGGAGGCTGCTGTGAGCTATGATTATGCCACTGTACTTCAGCCTGGGTGATACCACGAGACCCTGTCTCAAAAATAATAACAATAAAAAATTTAAAAAAAGAAATAAAAAGAAAGGTCTGCTTAGGTTGGAGAAGATAAAGTTCATGGAGGACATAAATAAAGGACATAAATAAAGGAGGACATAAATAAAGGAGCAGATTTTTTTCTGTTGCTCCTGTCTCATCTACTCCGATTCCTTCAAGCAACAGCTCCCTACCACTCATGAAAAGACACATCTAACCCCTCATGATGATTACTGGGTTTAGATGTTAACCTCAGTCTTCCTGGTATTCATCACATAAGGATCTACTCAACCCTTATAGACTCACTTTGAGCTTCTAGACAGCCTCTCTCAAGTCCATCTCTGCATCTAACCACAACTGTATTCAGTGTGACGTTTTCTCAAATTCCTTTCCAGGCAACACTGTTCCAAGCTAGACTTGGCCTCCGAAATCGGCCTCTTCCACCACAAAAAGAAGCCTCCATATCACAAACGCACTCACATTTTCTTTCCTGGTCTTGCTCCAGAGATCAGTGGCTAAAACTAACAGGACTTCATCAGATTTTAGCTTAATAAAAGGGAGATGTACCTACCAATGACATTTGTCAAGTAAAAGCACTAGCCCTTCATGACAATAAAGACCCAAACCCAGGAAGCATGGTATGTTGCATAAGGGAATCTTCCTCATGTGATAGCTTGGATAACATAAGGTACTGAAACAAACAAAACCCCCCAAATTTTAGTAGCTTAAAATAATATGATATTATGTCTCACTCCTGTATCAATCCAATGAGAGTATTTCTAGTTGCCTGACGGCTTTCCTGAATGTGGTGACCCAAGGACCCAGTTCCTTCTGTCTTGTGGCTCCACCATCCTTTGAAAACATGGAGCATTTTATTTTTTATTTAGTCCACCTAGAAGGCAAGAGAAGGCAAACTAGAAAAGGTACCCATTTTTTTAACCACCTCAGCCAGTAAGTTATGCATGTCAGATTCCATTAGTGAGACCTAGTCATACGTCCCTGTCTTGACGTAAGGTGAATTGGGAAATGCAGTCCTTGGCTGGAAAGCCACGGCCCAGTAACTATTCCTCACTGCAGAAGGGGAGTATAAATGTTTAGTGGGCAGACAACCATTTCTACTGCCATTTGTAATAAAATAAATGGGTTCTAAGTTCTGTTTTAACTCCAATGTTCACGTTTCAACTTTCGCCAAGGTTCAGTAAAAAACAAAAACAAAAACAAAACAAAACAAACAAACAAACAAAAACAATCCACTTAAAAGTATCAATTTAACTGCAAACTCTTCACATTTCTAGTTGGAGATATTAATCAGAAGCTCTTATACTAGACCCTAAGGACTTTGAGGGCAAGAATTGACTCCTTCAAGCTTTGTATGCCCAGAGCTTCCCACATACAGTAGCTGCCCACGGAACATTTGCTGAGTAAATAAACTGGGCGTTAGGTTATCCTATCCCAGATTCCTTTTTTTTTTTTAAGTTAGTCTGCTTTTTATTTTTATATTTATTTACTTATTTTTTAACTTTTTTTAAAAGGCAAGATCACTGAGACTTTAAAAAATTTTTTTTATTATTATTATTGAGATGGAGTCTTGCTCTGAGGCCCAGGCTGGAGTGCAGTAGGGTGATCTCAGCTCACTGCAACCTCTGCCTCCCAGGTTCAACCAATTCTCCTGCCTCAGCCTCCCGAGTAGCTGGGATTACAGGCGCATGCCACCATGCCCAGTTAATTTTTATATTTTTAGTAGAGATGTGGTTTCACCATGTTGGCCAGGCTGGTCTCAAACTCCTGGTCTCAACTGATCCACCTGCCTCAGCCTCCCAAAGTGCTGGGATTACAAGCGTGAGCCCCCGTGCCCTATTTGTTAACTTCTAAGTTCAGGGGTACATGTGCAAGTTTGCTATACAGGTACATGTGCAGGTTTGTTATACAGGTAACCTTGTATCATTAGAGTTTGTTGTACACATCATTTCATCACTCCAGGTATCAAGCCTAGTGCCCATTAGTTATTTTTCCTTATCGTCTCCCTCCTCTCACCCTCCACCCTTCGATAGGCCCCAGTGTGTTTTGTTCCCCTTTATGTGTCATGTGTTGTCACCATTTAGCTCCCACTTATAAATGAGAATATGCAGTATTTGGTTTCCTGTTCCTGCATTAGTTTGCTGAGGATAATGGCCTCCAGCTCCATCCCTGTTCCTGCAAAAGATATGATCTCATTCCTTTTTATGGCTGCATAGTATGCCATGGTGTATATGTAGCACATTTTCTTTATCCTGTCCCTACCATTGATGGGCATTTAGGTTGATTCCATGTCTTTTCCATTGTGAATAGTGTTGCAATGAACATACATGTGCATGTGTGTTCATAATAGAACAATTTATATTCCACTGGATATATACCCAGTAATGGAATTGCTGGGGTGAATGGTATTTCTGTTTTTAGCTCTTTCAGGAATCGCCACACTGTCTTCCACAATAGTTGAATTGATTTATACTCCCAACAACAGTGTATAAGTGTTCCTTTTTTTCCACAACCTCACCAGCATCTGTTATGTTTTGACTTTTTAATAATAGCCATTCTGACTAGTGTGAGATGGTATCTCATTGTGGTTTTGATTTGCATTTCTCTAATGATCAGTGATGTTGAACTTTTTCCCATATGAGTGTTGGCCAAATGTATGTCTTCTTTTGTAAAACGTCTGTTCATGCCCCTTGCAAACTTTTTAGTGGTTTGTTTTTCTCTTGTAAATTTGTTTAAGTTCCTTATAGATGCTGGATATTAGACCTTTGTTAGATGCATAGTTGGCAAAACTTTTCTCCCATTCTGTAGGATGTTTGTTCACTCTATCCAGGGTTCTTTATATGAAATGAACTTGAACCCATACTTGAATTCAATGCTGGGGATGTTGTTTCTCAAGATAAATTTCTTCTATGCCTGTCTGCTCCTGCAATGCTAAGCTACTCAAGGTTCTGTGAGAATGCAATATTTTGGTACTTCATTCATTTCCAGGTACAGTCTCCTTTGCCTGGGTTGCCCTACCCCACATTCACCTGGAAAAGGCTTTCTCCTTCCTGAAGAGTTGGCTCAAGAACCACCACTTCCCTTCCACACCATTTACCCAATTCTCCCAGCAGACTTAAGCACCCCTTCCCTTGTGCTTCCACCAAGACCGTTACTATTCTTATCTTAATTTATAGTAATTACACATTTATTTTCTGCCTGTCCATTAGATAAGGGTAGGAACCATGGCTTTTCATATTTATATTGGCAAAATCTTGGCCACTGTATGACATATCAAAAAGGCTCAATTAATATTTGTTAAAAAAATTATCATTGTTTTAATCTATTCTATACCTACCTAAAAACCATACAAATGTCTTAAAGAATGATATGCCCCCCTCTTTCATACTCTTTGCCCCACACATATAGTGGTCTGATGTATTTTAACAAATCAGAGATGTTGAAAGCAGAAAATCTTCAGTACCTTATTTAAGGTGATAAGCTTCTAATAACATTCATACTATAATACCCATGACTTTAAGCACAATGATACATTATCTGTTGCATTATGTTATAGTTTCATACTTCATTGGAAACTTAACTGGATATTAACCAGCATTTTGTCTATGTGATAATCATTTTGGACATATTTTTAGTATTTTGTATTTGTGCTACACCATTTATAAAGTTCAAAGACCCACCGCCTTCGAACTAAAATATTTAATTTTTCAGATATTATCAAAGGAGATGAGCAAAAAGGAAATTAAAGTTAACAGAACATCTATGGGGGTACTTGGTTGGTGGTAGCACTTAACATACTTAACTCATCAAAATCTTACATCAACCTAATGAGAGATAAACATTATTAACACCATTTAGATAAACCTAAGGCTTAGAAAGAATAAAACATTGTTAGAGCCAGGATTCAAATTCAGATGCATCAAGCTATGTACTAGGCTGAAGAGTGGTCCCACAAGATGTCCACATCCCAATCCCTGAAGCTTGTAAATGTTACCTTATATGGCAAAAGTGATTTTGCAGATATGATTAACGATCCTGAGATGGAAAGATTATACTGGATTGCCTCGGAGGACCCTAAGTATAATCACAGGGACCTAAGAGAGAGGCAGAGGGAATTTGATTACAGCAGAGGAGAAAGCAGTGTGAGCATGAAAGCAGAGATTGGAGTCATGCAGCGAGCAGCCAAGGACTGCTGGTGGCCTCCAGAAGTGGCCAAGGTAAGGAATAGATTCTGCCAGGTAGCTTCCAGAAAGATCCAGCCTTGCTGACACCTTCCTTGATTTTAGCCTTTTATGATTCATTTGGCGTTCTGAACAGTAAGAAAATAAATTTGTGTTGTTTTAATTGTGGGATTTGTTGCACCAGCAACAGGAAACTAACATACAGTCTCCAAACTTAGGGAGATCTTTGATTAAATCAGTTTAGTGCAACAAACAAGGCAGAGTAATTAAACACCTCCGCTAACAGGAAAAGAAAACAGCTGGAGCCACGTCAGACCACATAAGGAAGTTCCAAATGTGAACATCCTCCAAGAACACTTGAGCCATCATCATGACTATTCCAAAGTAATATCTGGAAAGTTTTAGCCAAGTGCTCTAGCAGATCTTCCCAGCTGGGAGGAAGGAACAGCATGAGGGCCAGTCCCTCAGGTAGCCAAGTCATAAACCTTGCAGAACTAAACTAAAACTTTGAACTGAGCCCACAAGCCTGAGGTGGCCAACACAAACCTCAGTGGAACTAGTTGTACTTCCAGTAGCAAAACACTTTTAAACAAGGGCCATATTCCATTTGCAACTTTTGGGATAAAGCTTTGTCTATGTCCTACAGCAGCCCAAGACTGGAATTTACCAGGGAATGAATAACTCAGAAAAAAAGTTTGCAAACTCTGTGCCTAGCCCAGATGGAAAAACAAGCTACTGGCTTTAATGCAGTACAAACTCCAGACTTTGTGCCAGCAATAGCCTCCTCCAGGATTGCATTTGGCATAAGAATGGGAATTATAGTGGTGTGAATTACACATATTTTCCAATGCAAAATAAGGACTACCACAAATTGAAAGAAAGTTTGTGTATGTCTTCTGTTGTTCATTAAGACAATTCTCACGGGCTCTCGTGTCTGCTGTCCAGGGTTACCCTCTCGGGGGAAGTGACTCAAGCGGGAAACAAGCGCCAAGGCCAAGAGAAAACAGAATCTTCTGAATGAAATTAGCTTTTGTTTGCCTGCCACCTTTTGACCTGGATGGATATTTCTACATAAAAAAATGTTAAGTCTTAGCCTTCTGAAATATTTGGAAAGGTAAAGCTCAGAGGTATAAGCAATAAGGTTGTCTCCGTAGTTACTAAGTTTCCCTGGTAGAGGTGGACTGTGATCTGATTAAAGGAAAAACGAAAACATAACAAGGAAGTTGATGGATATCTACGGGGATTTTTAACAGTAAAGCGCTAAAGTAATGAAATATCTCACTGAAATCCTTAATGATATAGCTAATCTCAAAATTTAAAAATCCGTTTATTTCTTCACCAATCTCTCTGAATTACTAACACTGTGGGTGTAACAATTGTCAGAAGTCCCATGAAAAGTATCTTAAATACCTCAAAACAATCTTGACTATGACTTTTATATCAGATCAACTATAGCTTAGAAACGATCTCCTTCACACTAATTAAAATCAAATCAATAGGTAGTAATCGAGCATCAGTTATTCACAAAATGGTGTGGGAACTACAACAATCAAAGTCAGTGCCCTCATGGGGCTTATCATCCACTAAAGAGAAAAGCAATACACATGCAAAACATTAAAAAACAAAGTTTCAAATATGGGTTAAAAAATAGAAACCCATCACAAAGCAGTATGTGTTCAGTCAACATATGATTCCATAGGAAAGGGCCAGTGTGGGAGTTTAAGAGAGAAGGAGGTTAGAGCAGCAAGGCTAGATGGAACCTAGGGAATTTCAGTTGCTTCTATTTTATCTCAGTGTGGCTAAAGGCAGTAGGTATCTGGTGTGATGGGAAGTGTCAGACATCAGTTCCACAACTCGCCAGGCTTCAGACCTTGATAGTTACTTAAATACTCTGAGCCTGATTATTTTACTCTACAAAATATAGATCAAGCCTACCTCCAAGGTTGTACTGAGGTTAAAGTGAGAAATGTATATAAAGGTCTCAGCAGATTGTAGATGCTCAATAATACTAGTTGTTTTTCTTTCTGTAGTTATTAAGTCTTCAATACAATTTTTTTTCTGAGAGTGTTGTGATATTTTGTTATTTTCCATAAATCCAAACATGTATTTTATCTCACAGGTCTCTTGAAGCATTATTTGTCTGTAAATGCTAATTACTTCCTGGTGAATTTTAGGTTCCAGGAAACATGGAGAGTCCTGTTTAAATTTGTCTATGCACCTTAAGCTGAGAGTAAAGTCACCAAGGTGCTATCTAGTTTAAGAGACTAAAGTTTTTCCTGACTTCTAGACACTTAAAAAATCTCTTTCATACTTCAGGCTTTTAAAAATGCAATGCTTCTCTCATAGGTACTGGTCTTGCCACATGTTTGCTCTGACACATTAAATTACCTTTGCAGCATCAACCCAATCAGATAGAACTGAGTGCTAATGAGACAATAGCCCCCTCTCAGGCCTCCTGTCAGTTCATGAGCTTTGCTCATTTCCATGGTCACACAGCACATGGAGAAAGCTAACCATCTGTCTTAGAATTTCTTGCCCATAATTACAAGAAAGACTGGGTAGGACAGTATGGATACAATTAACACAGATCTATCACCAATACCAGGCATTTGTGCGGGGACTCCCTCCTGCTGATAGCTGGGTAGAGGCTCAGGGCTGGAAACCAGTGAGGAAGAAAAAGGAAATCGCTTCTATAAGCCAAAGTTTAAATAAAAATGAAAAATCCGTCATTGATTATGTGTTCTGCCAAATGCAGTCTTTTCCACCATAACCAAGCCAGGCGACAGAGCTGGCCCTCCGCTCTTCACTCTTCCCCTACCCTACTCTCAAGCTGACTTCTCCCTTTTAGTTCCAAGCTTGCCTGTGCTCTTCTCTTTAATGTGGATTTCTCCTAATAGGAAGAACCCATCTTTCTCGTTTCAAAATATCAACATTCATTTCATGCAGCCTCACACCTATGCTACCCTTTGTCTACACATTCTGCAGTTTCTGTCAACACCATATGGAAAGGGAATAAGGCATGTGAAGCCACCAAGGCAATGAAGATTAGACGGTAGAGTATTTGACTCCCCTCAGCCGGAAGATGGCTAATGGGGTTGCCTGGATAGTATCGTGGTGCTCCTATGACTGCCCAGCCAAGTGTAGGATTCCAGCTTGATCATCATGTACACCATGCAGAAAGTGACTCTCCCCTCAGAAACAGTTTTTGAAACTCCTGCCATTGCCATGGAACAGAAAGAAGCCACATATTTCCTCCATTCTATGATGCATAATTTTCACTTCTGAAATAGGAGTGTGGCTTATAACTGACATCCAAAGAAACTTGCCAAGAATGTCTTCTTTAATAAAATATTGCTATGAATGTGCTTTGTTATACAATTAATGGCATCTTCGCATGGAGGAAATATGATCCTTCCACTGAAGAGATTGGAGTTTCAGTAGAGAAGAGGCATGGACTTAAGTTTAGAGGCAAGAAGCCCACAGTTTCATGCCACAGAGCTCTACGCTTAAAAATCGCTAAAATAATAAATTTTATGTTATATATATATTTACCAAAATTTAAAAAAAAATTAAGCCACAGAATCTGTACCTACTCCCTGGATGAACAGTTCAATATTGTGCAAGTGAGCCAGCATCATGCAGGGCTTATTGGAAAAAAAAGCAAAGCCTTCCATAGGAACCAACTTGTTCTCAGCCTTCAAGCTCATTCTTTGAGGAAGAGCATAGGCATAGGCTGAGGCATCTCTACAATTAGTTACCCAGGGTCTAAAGCAAGACATGGTTTTCCTACTCAGGTGGACAGACTGGAGAGTCACAGGAGATGATGGTGAACACTCTTCCCTTAGTCCTACCAGTCAAGAGTTTTCACCAGTTCACTTAGTGCAAAAGACCTAGAAACAATATTGGAACCCACCATGGATTCTTCACAGTGCTCTAGTGCTTTGTGAATGGCTCTCTGGAGTAACAGATAAGTCCCTCTAGAGAGCCAGACCCCCTCATTCACTGAGTCCTACTGTTGTTTCCAACAGGTGGTATGGATCCTAGCAGTTCAGCATTCCACTGTTGGTGCTGCTTGGTCAGAAGGGGTCCAAAAAGGTGGCTAATCCATCTGCCCCTCATTTGGCATGTGGTACCATGTGAAATGTTCGAGACTGGACATTGCTCAGCAAATTTGGCGTTCAGTGGGGCCAATGACCAGGTCAGCCATTGTAAGGGGGAATTTTGTTGTTGAAGACATGCACAGCCTCTAGCCCTGACTCCTACCTTGTTCACAGAACACTGAGCAAGCACTGGGGTGGCCACAGAGGAGGCTGAGTGACATCCACAGGACAGCTCAGCCTGTCTACCTTTCCCCTGAGTCTCCTCTGCAGCAGAAGCTCTTTGGTCTTCACTCATGAGGAACATGCCCTGGGGCCCACTCAAAGAGCATCACCCACTTGACTTCCGAAACCTCCTTGTCATCAACCTTCAAGTCTTCCCTCCTTTCAGGCAAAATGGACCCCAAGGTGTACTTCTCAAAGTGCTGGAGGGATTTTCCTTCTCATCTAAACTCCAGGGTACCTCAGCAGCCCAAGTCCAACTGCTATCAGCAGAGCCATCTGTAACCCTGTACCTAAATGAAGCAAACTCCCCATGAAGCCACAGGTGTGGGTGCTACAGGCATAATGGCAAAAACAATAGAAGCAACTGAAATGTCCAGAAACAGAGGTTGGTTAAATAAAGTATGCTATATAGAAATAATAGTCATCCATTTTAAATGATGCTACAAATACTCGATGAGATAAACTACTTGTTGCTACATGGTTAAATGGAAACATACATGTTAAAAACCAGTAATTATCTCTGAAGATGTAAAATTATGAAATATTACCTTTCTTCCTTCTGTTTATTTGCACATTTTGCGTACTATGAACATTTACTCATCTTGTAACATGTCATTAAAATAAACCCTTTTGGTAGACAAAACACTGCTACCAATCCTCCTAACAACAAGCATGTTCTGAGTATCACACTGTAGGGTAGTGCTGAGGTCAGTGAAATGATTTAAATGCTTTTGCTTGCTACAGGGAGTATATTAAACAGGGGGAAAAGTCATTTTCTGCAGAAAATTGCTTGGAGTTATTTTTTAAGAGATCCAAGACATCCAACGGGACTTTCTACATTTCTGGACAACAAATTCAGTTCTTAATAAAATGCTTAATTCTAGTTAACAAATACATTTTTGGTAAGATACAGCTGATATGTATCTTTAGATCTATATCCTTTCCACAGTCCACATATGGTATATTTATATATCTATATATATGTAATTTATTAAGATTTAGAAAATACATTTACTTATTTGGATGCTACTTGTTTGCTTTTATAACATACTATTGGCCATAACAATGACTTAATTGTTTCAAAGTTCCATTCTAACATTGTTTCTCTAGAGAAAATACAATCTACTCTGTACTGATTTATTTGATGATGGTGTCCAAGACGAGCTACCTAGGAAATTATCTAAATAAAAATATGGAATGGACTCTACTTAGCTAGAATCCCCCTAAAGATAGACTTGGCTTTGCACTCCTATGTAAAGAGTGCAAATTCTCTTATTTATGCAATTCTCTTATTATTTATGTCCAAGTCAGGCAGCCTCTCCAACAAGTTGACTGCCAATAGATAGACCCACATAATGTATTAACAGAGTTCATCTTTGTCATTTGGGCCAGAGACTAAAAGAAGTATGGTACAGATTCCAAAAAGATTTTCTTCAAAATTGTCATTTTTGTGTTTATTCACATTCTTAATTAGCCTTCACAGATATACATTCAGTTTCTTTTAGGAAAGTTTTGAGGTTATTTTAAAAGAACTGCAACATCATAAAGAATGCCATATGATTTAGTCAAGGTATTTCTTTTCCCCCACGTTGTCAGTGGCTATTTCTCTCTCATCCATGAGCCCACACACTGAGAAAAATATGCATTTCTCACACCCTGGTGTGTGACCACTCCCTACACATTGGGGCCATACGTTGGCAGATGGTTATTCCATCACCCCACCTAGAAAGAAAACAAATGACTACCATTCAAAGAAAATGAAGGGTTTTAAGTGAAATGGTATAAAAATAATTACCTAGATCATTTCTTTCCTATAATTTGTAACATTCTATTTGACCCAGAACAGAGTGTGATGCATATTTCTTCCTTTTGAGGAAGCTATCTCTGTTGCCACTCATTCGTATACAATCATGCTGATTCTTCTCCATCTCAGCATCCTCTGTTTCATTCCTGTGCAGAACTCTTGTTGATTATAGACTGACCTATTGGAAACATTGGGAGGGTTCCCTTCCTCACCATATGTGTCCCAGTGGTCTGAAATTATATCCTTAGTTATAATTTGTTTTAGGATCTTAAAGGCTTTTTTTGTTTTCAGTCTCCAACAATCTCATGAAAAGTCAAGAGTAAATCCAAGAAGCTGCTAGCACCCTGAGAGTGTGGAGATAGCCTGCCATGCTAGGGGAAGGAATCCAGCGGAAGGAAGGCAGAGGAGAGAGGGCAGTGACAGAAATCTTACTGGAGGACAAATTTAATCTGACTTCAATACAAAAGCATTTCTACAGGCTACTCAGCACTTTATTTACTGCTGTTGAACTCTCCTTTACATTCACATTTAAGCCAAAACAATGACAAACAAAAATACCAAAGTTATAAACACACTGGAGTCAGTAGTAAGAAAAAAAGACGGATATTTTCCTTCTAGAGGCCCAAAAAAGAGATAAGGTAAAAGAAAAAAGGTTGGGGAGCTTAAGAACTTTAGTAGCGGCAGGGACAGAAGTGTGTTGTTTTACTGAACTATGTATGGCTGGCCAGTGTGCTTTCCTTTGTTTGTTCTCCACACTTCCCTCCCCAATTGCACCACATCCCTTACACTAAAAACCCCAATAGCACCTTCCCCAATTGCACCACATCCCTTATACTAAAAACCCCAATAGCACCTTCCCCAATTGCACCACATCCCTTACACTAAAAACCCCAATAGCACCTTCCCCAATTGCACCACATCCCTTACACAAAAAGCAAAAACTTCTGATCAAAATGTTGTAGAGCCTGAAAGGTCAAAAGAAGGATCTCAAAGACTCCACCACCAAACAATGAAGCAATCACTGTAGCCTTGTGCCCCCAGCCCAGAGCCTCACATTCAGAGAAGTAAGTATTAATACCTTCAAGGAAGAACCAAAACACCCTTCTTTCTGTAAGCCCCATGAGAAGCTCATCCAGGCTGGTCCTGGGCAAAGCTGGAAGGGAGAGAACCTAAAGATCTGGCCCATCTGTCCTTCACTGCCGGCTTCCCTGCAGTCCTTTTCCAGAAACCACACCCCACATTCTCAGCCTATCAACAGCGTCCTGGTGACCAGGTACATTCTCATTCTATCATGAGATTGCTGAAAACTAAAGAAGGCATCAAGACCCCCACATGAATTTCTACTGATACAATTTCAGACCTGTGCAGGAAAATATTTAAGACAGAAAACGCTTTCTCGAGAGGGTGCCTTCAAAGTTCCCGGAGCTCTTGTCCCTCAGCTGACTCTCACAAACCTGAAACCAAGTGACCCGGCAGCTGCGGGCTCCTCCATTGACTCAGGCTTCATCAGAGAGCACCATAAGTGCCGTATCTCCTGCTTCAGACCACCTGAGGACCATTCTACCTGTATTATTCATCTGCTAGGGCTGCCATAACAGAATATCACAATCCTAGCACATAAAATATGGAAGAGGTCCTCCACAATGGAGAAAACTATTGGGGATATGCCTTCTGGAGTTTGATCAAGGAAGATGGACACAAACAGAAAAGAAAAACAGTCCAGAGGAAGCTGAAGGGTCTCCTACATTGCACCAGATGCTGCAGATGGGGAGGACCATTCCACTGGATGCATTCGGGACTGTAAACAGCAGACTGTGAGTGCGGCAGGCAGGGATCACCCAGGCTTGACAACTCAACAGAGTGAGTAATCTGCTGTTCTCCCAGACCCAGCAAGAGCATCCGGCATTACTTTAGGGCTGTTTCTCATTTAAAGCAGCCAAGCCACTCTTTTTTATTTTTGTTTACTTTCAGTAGTAATAACAATAATAGTAGTAACAAAAATTGTACCACCTATTGAACACTTGCTGTATAGCAAGCATTGGTTTAATTGCTGTGTATACTTTGTCCCATTTAATTCTCACATTATCTCTATTTTATATAGGAAGAAATTGAAGCAGAGAGAAGTTAGATTAGTTATCCAAGGTCACACAGCTAGTAAGAATAAGAGCCAGTATTTAAACCAGCAACTTTGACTACAGAGTGCTTAGCTACTTCTCTTCATCATTCTACCCTCAGGAGGCAATATGGTTTGACTAGAGCAATGTAGTGAGAAAAACATAAGCTTTAGCCTCACAGACTATTGTTCAAATCCTAGCCCTATGACCAAGGGCAAGTTCACCTGTCTACACTTGGTTGCCTCCTATTTGAAGTGAGGATAATTTATGAAAAGTGCAATCAAAGTAACTCATAAATAGTATCTATCATTATTTTTCTCTCCTAGCTCTGTTTTATGATTAAATTTGTGACAATATAGACGAATAACATTTCAGTGAAATATAAAATAAAGTAGGCTGGGCATGGTAGCTTATCCCTGTAATCCCAACAGTTTGAAAGCCTGAGGCATGATGATCAAAACTTCAAGACCAGCCTGGTCAATGTAGATGGACCTGATCTCTACCAAAAATAAAAAAATTAGCTGGGCATGGTGGTGCGTGCTTGTGGTCCCAGCTATCTGGGAGGCTGAGGCAGGAGAACTCCTTGAGCCCAGGAGGTTGAGGTTGCAGTGAGCCATGATCACACCAGTGCACTCCAGCCTGGGCAACAGAGCGAGACTCTGTCTCAAAAAATAAAAAATAAAAATCATAAAATAAAATAAAGTAATAGCTTTCGTTGCAAGTTTACATTAATTAGTGCTAATTTAAAGCTGTCCTTTTAACTCATTCTTCAGCAAAAGTGAAATGTAGATGGACCCTTCTTTTTCACCTCCTTTTTAAAATTACAACTGATTGCTTATTAACATTGCATTTTCATTATCCCTACAGCATCACAATCCCTCAGGAAGGTAATGAATAATTTAAAATTCATGTTTAATTTATTATACATGCTTATGGCAACTATTTTCATGGGCTGATCCTTGTTAAAGTTCTCAGGGGCCTTGAGGCACAGGTGGCTCCATTAAAAATGTATTTCTGTTTTCTGGAGGGATTCTGTTTTAAAGTGCTGGAATGAGCATGTTTATAGTTAATTGACAGTAGATTAGATGCTACCCTGTTCACTATACCCGGAAAAAAAGAAAACAACATTGCTTTTTTTCTGCCCCAAAATGAGTTATGTGTCAATACTTTTTGTTTCCTTCTTTAGGGATTGTAATTAACACATATAACATAAGACAACATGACTGCTTCATTGATTTTTTTGGGAAATGGTTAAAGGGAGAGTTACAGAGGAAAATTGAGAGCAGGGGAGAGGAGGAGAAAATGTATGCTTCTGAGTAGAACCTTAGGAAGTTAGCATAGCTGGAGACAGCAAAGAGGCCAGGAGCTTTCTTGGCATTGTCCAGATGCTCTGAATGGAATAATGAAGATGGAGAGCACTTTGGTCTGGTCGTGACCTCCACTCTGGGGCCAAGATGCATCCTCAGTCAGGTATCAGCCACTTGCCTGCAACAGAACTGAAGCCGGAACACAGCATGTGTTTCTCCTGAACCTAGTTCCATAGTCTACCAAATGGTTTATGTTTCATTATCACTTAGCTTAAGTTTGCGGTCTCCTCATACCTAAACTGGGCCCCCTTATAAGCTTTCTATTTATTGAGTAAATAGTTATTTATTTTGTAGAGATGTGAAAACCCTGACTACAAAAAAGGATGTCAGTTCCAATTAACATGGTGTGTGAGGCATTGGTTGTATGTGGATTATTGTATATTAATTTTTTTAAAGAATGTACCTATGGTTAAAAGTCTTCCTTACTTGATGTTTTTGTGCCATCAAAACTATGAGAGGTGTAAACAGCCTTGGAAAAGGCTTTTTCCCCAGGTGAGGGACTTAGGGAAGCTCTACACTACTACAATAGAGTTTTCACTTTACTTGCCAGACAGGTGGACCAGACTTAGGATTGGCTCTAGAATTGTCTATAAAATAATTGTGATTATTCCCCAAAACATATCAAATTACTTCCATTAAGTTAATATGAACAATGGCCCAGGATTGAGAACAAAAACTTAAGTGATCTATTCATGAATATTCCCTGGGGTGAAAAATCATGTATATTTTTACTGAGACCTTATTTAATGCAGAGTATTAAAAGCAGCTCTTGAGAGCAACAATGTTGATTTCATTTATCGTTATATCTCTAATACCTGGCATAGGGCATATAACACAGTGGGAGATTTCAAAATATTTGTTAAATAGGGAAAAGGTGCATGCTTAAAACTAAGCACATTCCAACATCCTAATTCATCTTATATAATATATTCAATTAGATAATAAATGTATTTTTTTCTTTAACACATCAACACTGCAACTTGCTGTGAGGTTGGTCTTCTCTCAGTAGAGAGTAGCAATTAGCTTTGGAACAGACTTTTTTGTATACAGATCATAAGAACACTAAGGGAACAATAAGAACAAAAGGGGACATAGTCCTTAATCTTTTCAAATTCCTTGATGTAGAATTTCATTAGCCATTTTAAGAATAAGACCCAGGAATTCCAGCAGCAGTAACCCATTTTACAGATGAAAAAGGAAAATCCAAAGGTAATAATCACAGGTGACACTAACTGAGCACTTATATGTTCAATGCTTACAAATCCCTAAGTGTACTATCTATCCTCACAACCATTCCTGTGAAGTAGGTATAATTTTAGTCCCATGTTACATTGGAGAAAACCAAAGCTTAAAGAGGTTATGTGACTTGCCAAATGTTATGTGGCTTCATAGTGGTGAAGACAGGATTTGAACCAAGGTCTGTCTGGCTCCAGAGTTCAGGCACGTAACCACTGTCCTTTCCTGCCTCTGTGCTCTTCTGTCTTCTGAAAGTCCACAAAGGCATTGATAAAATCCATTCCTGGATATGGTATACTTTACTGAAACAGAGTCTTCCAAGATGTCAAAGCAAAAATTGTTTAAAAAATAAAAACAGGCGGGGTGCAGTGGCTCACACCTGTAATCCCAGCACTTTGGGAAGCCGAGGCAGGCAGATCACCTGAGATCAGGAGTTTGAGACCAGGCTGGCAACATGGTGAGACCCCGTCTCTACTAAAACTACAAAAAATTATCTAGGCATGGTGGTGCATGCCTGTAATCTCAGCTACATGAGAGGCTGAGGCAGGAGAATCACTTGAACCCAGGAGGCAAAAGTTGCAGTTAGCCGAGATCGCACCACTGCACTCCAGCCTGGGCAACAGAGTGAGACTCCGTCTCAATAAATAATACAATACAATTACAATACAATACAATACAATACAATACAATACAATACAATACAATACAATACAATACAATACAATACAGTACAATACAGAAGATGAATTAAAAGGAACTCTGAGGCTGTGATCTGGGATCCACAATGAGCTTTGCTAACCCTTACTTCAAAGTCCTGGTCCCAAGTTTACAGTGTTTGGGCCTCTTAGGCTGCATACCCAGTTTCATTTCAAGCTGCTCATCAACAAGCCTCCTCTATTTAAATCAGGCTAGACTCTAAAATTCCTACTACAACTTTCATGTATTCCTACCTCTATTCCCTTCCAGAAGCTGTTCTCCCCATTGGAAATGCCCTATGTTGAGATAAATCTGGCCACGAATTCTTTAAAGCTCTTCCCATCAAAAGGCAGAATCTATTTCCCCACTCCCTGGGATCTGGGCTGATTTTGTGACTTGTTTTGAGCAATAGGATATGGCAGAAGCAATATCATATGACTACCAAGGTTTGGCTTCCAGAGGCCCTGTAGCTTCCACTTTCGCCTTCTTTGAATAATGCTGTCTGTGAACAAGTCCTTTGTTAAGGATGAGAGGTACCACATGGAGAAAGAGACCCAGCCATCCAGCCATTACAGGACTCTCTCCCCAGGTCCCAGGCGGACAGAGAGGCCATCTATGATGGACCAACCCATCAACAACTGCAAACAGATACAGAGTAGAAATGAGCCATCCTAGCTGTGCTCTGCCCAAATTGCCAAGCCAAAGAATGGTAACGAATAAATGACTGTGGTTTTAAGCCTTTAAGCTTTGGGGTGGTTTGTAAAGCAGCAGTAGGTCACTCACATGTCTTTTTATTCCTTCTTTTCTAATATGTCCACTTCCTACTTGCAAATTGAGCTCCAAAGTCACTTCTCCAAGAAATGTTCCTGGATGGAATCTTCCCCGACAAAGCCAGCCTCACTCAGGGCTAAGCAAATGGCCTTGTCTAAGTTAGTGATTCTAAGGGCACGGAGACCAGACTGTCTCCCTAAATACCTTCCCCATCCACTAGCTGATGCCTGGGATTTCATCATTACAGTTTAATGGCTTACATAAAAGCATAATTCCTATTAAATTTTAAGATTCCCTGGAAGGCATAGCAAGTTTGTGCTTTTGATTTTGCTCTTGTTATAAAAGCATACAGGAATAAAAAGTAACACTAACATAAGGTTACTTTCCCAAAGAGAAAAAAAATTTTTTAATAATGTGGACCAACTCAAATATAAGCCTTTAGGAAGATAGATGAAATAGTTATGTACCTAATTTCAATGTTTAATTTATTAATTTAATTAAGTATACATATTTAAAGTCACATTGTATAAAATAATTCAATTTAGAAATATTCTTCCACTTTTCCATCCCATGAAGGTGTCTGATTTAAAGTTGCCATCTGTGTGTCTAGTGACAAGTGTCTTCCATTTCATGAGACATGTTTTTAGGCATCTGATAGTTTTCCAGACATAATCTTCTCTTCCATCTAATTTGTTTTATTTTAAACCATGATGCTGCCATTGCAATTTTCATCCCAAGCCACAAGTACTATTTACAAAACACTAAAATAATTTTTTGTTCTATTCATCCTACAAATGTATATTTATGGTTGTCACAATGTAATCACTTATAGCATTGCTTGGTAAAGGGACCTTCAGAAAGCCGGTTTACAATGACATCTAGAACTTGCAAATTAATTTGGAGGCCTGTTCCCAAATAAGGGATTCGTTAAACTTATGTTAATGCTTTCTGGTCCTTTATTTTTATTTTTAATTTTTTTCCTTTTCTTCCTCCTCCCTCCATGGTCCTTTTTTTTTAAGCAAACAACCATAATTATCTAAAAGTTTATGATTTGTTAGGGTCAATTCAAGCTAATGTGTCCTCCCCACCCACCTAGCACTTTGTGTTTCAAAAAAAGTCGGCGACCGCACCATAGTGCAAAGGACTTTGGAAGAGCTCAAATGCAACTCCTTTTCTGAGAGATACTGTTTGAGGGGGAAACCAAATTTTCTTATGTGTTATATATGAATACATGTTCATTCTAGAAACTTTGAACAATACAGAAAATTAAGGAGGTGAAAATAAAAATCATTCATAACGCTCACAATTAGAAATCATGATTTCAACAGTTTGGTTCATTTCCTTCTAGACCTTCTTTCTATGCATTATTACATATTATGTTAAACTCAATCAGCTGTTTCTACTTATTACTATAACATATGCATTTCCCTTATTAGAAATTCTTTGTATAAAGATATGCCATTATTCACTCAAACTCCCTCCTATTGTGGTAGATTTAGGTTATCTGGGGAAACTGCAATATCTCAAGGCACGCACCACCACACCTGTCTAAGTTTTTATATTTTTAGTAGAGAGGGGGTTTCACCTTGTTGGCCAGGCTTGCACCTTAGCATTAATGGTTTTAGATTCTTTTCTCCCTTTTTTAGTTTATTGAGCATCTACCCAAGTAAAAATATACCAAACATGAATAAAGGGAAGTCCCTGTCTCAAAACAGACAGAGCTATCAATAATTAATTGCGCCGGGCATGGTGGCTCACGCCTGTAATCCCAGCAAGTTGGGAGGCTGAAGCAGGTGGATTACCTGAGGTCAGGAGTTTAGGACCAGCCTGTCCAACATGGTAAAACCCCATCTCTACTAAAAAAAATACAAAAATTAGCTGGGCATGGTGGTGGGCGCCTGTAATCCCAGCTACTTGGGAGACTGAGTCAGGAAAATTGCTTGAACCCAGGAGGCGGAGGTTGCAGTGAGCCAAGATTGTGCCATTGCACTCCAGCCTGGGCAACAAGAGTGAAACTCATCTCAAATAAATAAATAAATGAATAAATGCATGAAATATGATGAGAACTTGAAAAAAGGTATGGTCACATGCCACACAACGTTTTGGTCAACAATGGACTGCATATACATCAGTGGTCCCATAAGACTGTAATCTTTTCTATGCTTAGACACACAAATTCCACCAGAGAGTGTCCTTACCATAGAGTGTAAGGACACTCTATGTTGTTCTCACAACAACAAAATTGCCTAATAATGCATGTCCCGAACATATCCCTGTCATTACATGATAATGTATATCAAAAGCTGTATACACAAAAAGCTCTGGCAACAAAAAGAGAGAAGGTTGACAGCTCAGGGGAGTGGTCCGAGGAAATTTCATGGAGTAAACATTTGAGGATTTGGGGACTTCTTGTTTGCTTGTTAATTGCTTCTTTTTAAAATATTAAGACTTAATTTTGAAAATATTTGCAAGAAGAAACTTTTAAGAATCTTTCCCCATCTAAATTCCCAGAACAGAGTACCTCTGCTGTGTGGAAACCAGCCAGGCCACACCTTGGTTGTGCAACAACTGAAGGCTTCCTGACTTTTCTCTGAGAGCAGGTTTGGATGGGAGGGAAAGAGTATAGGGACACCTGGGGCCTGAAGGGTGGATCAAGAAAGACACCAGGACAAGTGCCAGCATGACAGGCCAGAACAATCCTGACTTCTTCCTTGTCTGGCTGGGATGAGCCCTGCCACTCCCATGCTCTTCAATGCCTTGTTTTGCATTTCCGTGTCCCACATGCAGCACAGTGACACCCACTGACTGTGCTTTCTGGTTCTTAACGTATGCATGTCTTGTGTTCTTCTAGTAAGTTCCTGGAGTTTAGTGGAGACAGAAATAACATAACCGTGTTAAGCCCGTGGGGCTGGGTTCCACGCCAACTCCACTACTGACCGTGGGCTCTCTGTGAACCTGGGTTAACCCCAGCTCCCTCAGTGCTCTCATTTCTGCCCAAGCAACCTTGCTATTCTCCTCTCTTTGTCTGTAGACATAGCCACAGGCAGGTGATGAATGTGTCCCTCTGACCACACTAACCCTACAGATTCTTCACCTCAGATCTGCTTCTTGCTTTTATACGGCACTTTGAACTTGACATTTGCTCATGCTCCCTTAAAAAAACTTTAAGATGGTCAATTTAATTGAGAACAAATATCTAAAGGATTGATCATGAAATAATTCAACCTGCCAATTAGCCTCAAGGACCCCGTGGCATTTTATCAAACGCAAATATCCCTATAGCAACTATTTTTAGACATCAGACTGGCAGAACTGATAGACTTAGTGTGTGGGAAGGTAAAAGTAAAAGAAGATTGAAAACAATTGGTGCAATTTAGAAGAAAGATTTCCTTTCTCTGCTTAGGGCACAGCCTTCTGCGAGGCATCCAAGACTTTTGTTTTAAGTTCCTCCTGCAGCATCAAGAAAGCTTCGTGTCTATCTCCACATGCCTCTCAGAAATAACCCGAACTTAGCTGTTCATCAAAAATTCCACTGGTTCCTGTTTTGAAAGTGGCCTGGGAGGTGATATACACAAGGTATCAAGACAACACATACATGGCTGGTTCTAAAACAAAGAAACACCTCTGGGAAGAATCTCCCCTCCCCCCGGCCCGCCCCTCAAAAAATATTTAGAATAGAGGATAAAATTTCTCATAAAATTTCTCTCCCACAACTTCTGGGGGAAACAGCAGTGGTTGGCCAGATTTTAAATTTTGGTTTGAAGCCCTCTTATATCCACATGAAAATGCTTGCCCCAACCCTACCCCCCTCACAAAAAAGAATTGAATCTACTTGAACATCATTTGCTGACATTTCCAATCTCCTAATTCAGAGAGACCTGTTCAGAATAGATACTACCTACTACATTAGAGGATTTATAGAACATAATGTTACCTCTGCAGGAAAAAAAAACTAAATATCACACAATTCAGATAATTCATTCAGCCATTTCTCAACTTCTCTCATCATATAATAAAGAAAAGCATGAAATTAGCATTTTATTCTTACCAGTAATCACTAACATTTATTGAGCACTTACTATATTATGGATTATACTTAGTCCTTTTCAGTTTTAGCTCATTTAATCACAGTAACCCTACTGAGTACTATTATTACCCCCACTTTATAGATGGGGAAGCTAAAACTTAGATATATAGCCAGTAAGTCATAGAGCCAAGTTTTGTCACATAGTCAAGGTCAGAGAACTAGAAAGTGGCAGAGAGGGAATGCAAACAACCCATAAGAGAAATTCCAAAGCTCAGCCTCTGAGCCACTGCACTAGAAGAATCTGGTAGCATGAAAAACCTTGAATATATTTGGATTTAGGATGATATTTATTTACAGTTTGACCTTGAAAAGAATGAACTGGGAACTCCCTGGTAATACCCAAGACCTCCTAAATGTAGAGTGCTTTTAACCCTGTTACCACGTGCGTCTTGTATGGGAGACAAGAAATGACCTTCTGGGCAGCAGGGGAAAGTGTTCACTCAAAAGTGGCAAGAAATACTTGAAAACTAGATTCTTATTTTTGTTTTAAGAAGTACTAAGCAAAACAACCAATAAAAAGGGAAATGAGACATGTTAGCATTTGAATCTGCTCTCTTAACTGCTCTAATTCTGTGCCTCTGTGCATTATTAATATTTGGATGCATGCAATGCCGGCATGGAAATTGGTCTTCACACACCGTGGTTTTCCAGAAACACTCACAAACCAATACATGTAACAGACATTCCATTTGTTAATGGGCACATATGTGAAAAGCAGTATAGAAAAGAGGCTAATGTTAGAAAATTGTTAAGTCCTTAACTTCAAGTGTGTTTATATAATGGACACTGTTAATGTTCACAACTTAAATTTGGGTATGTGGTCAAAATAATGCTTGGGAAACATTTTATTAAAATTGAGTTAAATTGTTAAAAAAATGGAAGAAAGGAATATTTGAAAACTAACAAAATGAGGAAACAGTCACACATTGGTTTAACTGCAGAAGGCTGATATTAATTAGAGTCATTTGTGTGTTGTGTTTACATTTATTGTGCAACATGACATCAGACTGCACAGATTTTAGGCATTTGTTGTACATGGTTTTGTTTTACAGCACCAAGGTCTTCACACTGAACCTCTCAGACCACATGTGAGATGGCTAAAGAGAAAGCCTTGTCCAGTCCTTAGGCAACACCCCTGTCTTGTCACACAGAATTACCCAGTGTCCAGATATAACCAAACTGATTACACCAGGAGACAGACAAGGCATCTGACTAGGACACACATTAACTGAAAGGCATAGTTTGTGGGATTTTGAAAGCTTAAACAGGGAGAACAAAGAGATATTGTTCCAGGGCTTGATACTGGCCCCAGGCACTTGATATTAAACATGTGGAAGTTAGAGGTAATAAGAGAGACCTTCAAAAAGTGTACAGGAACACATTAAGTGCTTAGTAATCTTTAGGAAACTCTGATGCCCAAGACTTGCTTTATTACCAGGGAAGAGAAAGAAAGTCATAGGGTCTTGGCTTAGAAGGGAGTTTGGACTGAAGAGCAGTTGGGCTGAACATCTGAGCCTATTGAGAAAGAGTATGCTTCAGGGGGCAAGAGGGAAGAGAAAGGGAACACTCCCAAGAGTCCGTGTTAGAATCATCACAAGGTTGTCATTTGTGCTTAGAAGAGTGTTTGTTATGTTTATCTGAGATTTATTATAGAAGAAGAATATTGCCAATGCACCAACATCTAAGTTATTTATGGATAGCTAAGAAGCCAAGCATTCTGCCTTTGGTTCTTACATTTATCACTGACTCATTGTTTTATTCCTGGGAAAGCTATTTAATCTCTATCACTCAAATGCATCCATCAGTAAACTGTGGGGAAGATAATAGCCTCAGCCTACATCCTAAGAATATAAGAACCACACAAGATGGCTGCTGCCCATCAGGAGAGCCACCACTCAAGCTCCACTGAATTCCACCGAGCCTGTCATGAAAAATTCTGCTCTGCTACCACACCTGCCGGTGGAGGAGGGAAAATGAGTAGGTTGTGAAATCTCACGCAGTAATTCAAAAAGTAACCGAAGTGAGAAGAGTGGATGAGAATATGAATGGCCTGAAACATCAAAGGAATTTGAGATAAATGATAAAAAATAAAAGACAAAGCAAATATAAGACACAGATGAAAGCACAGTACAATATCCAAATAATAATAAATAATATCCAAAATAAAAATAAAGAAACTGCCCCACTTTCTAGTATATGATAAGGATATAATAATAACAGTCATCAAGCAGCACAACGTTTAGCACTGATTGTTACAGAGTTTTGCAAGCCAAAGGCATAAATAAAAATAACAGCCAATTAAAAATTGGAAGTTAAAACGGAGGTGGGGGGAGGATTACAGTAAAAGACAATGTAAAGGAAATCTTAGACGCTTATTTCAAGAATAAAAAAGATGCAGAATTAAATGAGGAACAGAAAGTAAAACAGTCATGAATATGGAGTATGTCTCTTTGGCATCTTTCTCTTTCACTAACTTTTCACTCCTTTTCCTTAAATAAACGATTTCAGGTATTGCCCATTTCTTCTGACTTTTAAAAATTGCCTTACAGAACCACAGACACAGTGACTCAGACTGACCAAATATTTTTAATGGTAAATGTAAAACGGCTAACTGAAGGGTGGTGGTTCTTGAGGAGCCAAAGAAACTGATAGCTCACAAATAAGAATGTGTCAGGGTTTACTCAGTGCTGTGCAGGGAGAGAGACTCTGGGACACATTTTTATTTGGACTTTATGTTGTTGCCTTAGGGGTTCACCTCAAGGTGAATCAATGGGTTGGATTTTTTTAAATGGGTAAAATTGAGTACCAGATCATGGACCCACTATGAGGGAACAAATTGAAGTAACATTTGGATCTCTCTATGCCATGTTGTAACCAGCCCTGTGCAGTTCTATCACCGTGCCTTCCAGGTGTCATTGTGCAGTGATTTCTAGCCGGGCCTTATTACAGACCCCAAATGGGTCAATAATTTCTTCCATTCCTGAGCAGTGTTCTTCGATTGTGACGTTAAGAGAAACAAATAAATTCCGAGGTTTTTTATTGTTACACCCTAGGCAGACTACTAGACCAATTCTATTCTACAATTAGCTGCAAATATCTCAACTAATTAAGGATATGCCATATACATATAAGTGTTATTTTAGTTCTGACCACCAATCTCTCTGGCCCCAGGTGGCTAAGTGGGCATTTCATCTCTATGTCTGTCTTCAGAGTCTTTATCTGTTGTCTGATTCTGAGCATTTTTCACAGGTATATTCACATACAACACAGACATATGTCCTTCCAGATAACCTCTGAATTTACTTAATGGCCAGGCATTAAATAAGGCTTTACCATGCTAACTGAAAAAGTTTTTAAGCTGTCCTTACTATCTTCTATTTCCCAATGCCAGTCTGTAGAATATACAGAAAAAAACTACTGGAGATCAGGTTCAAAACACAGATTTCTGGGGCCCATCTCCAAAGATGCAGATTCAGAAGTAAGACCCAGAAACCTGTATGTTTAACATATTACCTACAAGGAGTACAAAAATGGACAAGGGGATTGGCAACATGGTGTAATTGTTACAAATACAAAGTGCCTGAACTTAAATATCAACTCCCACTTTTACTTTCTGTGTGCACTTGGGCAAGTGACTTTATCCCTCTCTGCTTTGTATGCCCATTTAGAGATGGGACGGTAGTTGTATTGATATGGTTTGGATGTTTTTGTCCCCTCCAAATGTTGAAATGTGACCTCCAATGTTGGAGGTGGGTCTTGTGTGAAGTGTTTGGGTTATGGGGGTGGATCTCTCATGAATGGCTTGGTGCTGTCCTCATTGTAATGAGTGCTCAATCTATGAGTTCCCACGAGATCTGGTTGCTTAAAAGAGCCTGGTGCCTCCTCCCTCTCTCTTATTTCTGCTCTCAACGTTTGATAGGTTGGCTCCACATTTGCCTTCCACTGTGATTGTAAGCTTCCTGAGGACTCACTAGAGGCTGAGCAGATGCTGGCACCAAACTTCCTGTACAGCCTGCAGAACTGTGAGCCAATTAAACTTCTTTACTTCTTTAAAAACTGGCCGGGCGCGGTGGCTCACGCCTGTAATCCCAGCACTTTGGGAGGCCGAGGCGGGTGGATCACGAGGTCAGGAGATCAAGACCATCCTGGCTAACACGGTGAAACCCCGTCTCTACTAAAAATACAAAAAATTAGCCGGGCATGGTGGCGGGCGCCTGTAGTTCCAGCTACTCGGGAGGCTGAGGCAGGAGAATGGTGTGAACCCGGGAGGCGGAGCTTGCAGTGAGGCGAGATAGCGCCACTGCACTCCAGCCTGGGTGACAGAGCGAGACTCCGTCTCAAAAAAAAAAAAAAAAAAAACTGCCCAGTCTCAGTTATTCCTTTACAGCAATGCAAAATGGATGAATACAAATATATATGGCATTTTGTAAGTATCAAATGGGTTAAGACTTGTTGATCCTTGAAATGGTATTAATATCTTGAAACAATATTAATGAGTATTCAAAAAAACCCATTCCTTGCTTCATACACTTCTATGTATTGTTTAAAGGGTTTTTTTTCAAATATACATGTAATAACATTTGTAATGTTTAAAAAAAAAATCTTGCCCTTCCCAGGGGATTTTGACACTAGGGGAAATTTGTACAAATCCCCCTTTGCCACTAGGGGATTTGTAAGCTAGGTTGCATGGATGATGGCACTCCCTTCTCCCCTGTCCATTTATGCATTTAGCTGTGTTGTATGGACCTTGGTTTTCTTGTGCCCCATGCTCCTTTTGCGCTGCCCTGGGTGAGTGTCCACTCTCAAAGGTGATCTTTCTTCTTGTACTCTTTCTCCTTCAGGACTGGCCTCATGTGTCCTGGAAAATTAAGCAAGGCCAACCCAACTGCTGGGCCACAGGCCACTTCTCTGCTCTGTCTCTTCCCCCTTATGTCACTGGCCAGCCTATTCCACAGGCTCATGCCCTACTCTACCCCACCCCATTTTGCTCTAACACAGAATCTTATAGCTTTCTAGTCCTTAGCACAAGTCCTAATTTTACATGAGTTTACTAATAGGGACAGGATCCTCATCTAGTTTTTTCCTCATTGTATTTTAGTTCTTAGGACTGTTCTTGGCACATAGATGGCAATCATTAAAACATTTTAAATAGATGGATGAATAAATCCATCCACCAGGCCACTCCATGCAGCTTGACCCTATTGACTATCTCAGACAACCCACTTGTGGTCAGATGCAGCCTGCACAAGAGGAGGATTTGACCTTTAGGTTTGCCACGAGGAGAAATTCACTTACGGAGACAAAGGAGCCCTATCTCTGGGCTAGTTCCCATGCTGCCACTCTGCAATTATCCCTCCCACAGCTACAGGAAGAGGAATGGAATCGCCATGTTTCAAAAGGAACCCACTCTATTCAACTACCATCATTTTAACAGAAACATCTTGGAACATTTTAAACCCCTGTAGTCCTTCCAACCAATCCCCAGCTCAGACAGACCCATGCCTGAGGGGCTGGGAGACCAGCTCTCAGACTCCTCGCTGATGACCGGTCCTCTTTAAAGCCGTAAAGTAACTTGTGACACTCGATCACTGGATAAAATCAAATTGCTTTTAAAACATTCCTGTGATTTGTGAATTAGCCAATAAATGCTTTTTCTAACCAAATAATCCAGATGTATTAGATAGTTTTGAGCTTCTTGGATGAGATATACTAAAACAAACATTACCTTTCATGCTACTGTAGCAGTGAAAGTGAATTATGCTCTGAATTCCAATCTGTCAAAAGGTAGGTATTTTACCCAGTTCCTGGTCTAGATCTTTAATCCATTGATTTTCATCCTCAAGAAACACCAATTCACATTGTCTTGTCAAAGATGTAGAAGACTGGAAGGAATTTGTTCTAACTTTGCCACCTAGGATATGTTGCTTCCTCGCCTATTAAATTTTATGTTTCAGTATTGTGAGATCATTTTCAAATTTCCTTATTTGAATCTCAAAGTTTTACATAATTTCTCAGCATGAAGAGAAAAAGGACAATTAAAATACATGCTTGCTGGCAAGTTACTCTTCTGATCCTGAGAACTGCATTTGCGTCACTTTCATCCTCCCTTATTAAGTATACCTCTAAGTAGTGACTTCATGCATTTTGCAACACACCACACCCTTTAAAGTGAAGGCTTCCATGGGGCAGGGACTAAACCTCTGTGTTGTTTTGCATAACGCTACCAGAGCCCTTATATTAAAAGATAGGCATCTTCCAGGGACTTGTACTCTGCCCATTCCTAAAGTCACAAAGCACGACCTCCATGTCTCAGGCTTCATATAAGCAGGAAAATCCATTGCCACAGGATTTGCTGCACTTGCTGAATGTCATTGTAAACTATTGCAATATTTTGCTTCTCTGCTTACAAGGGCACACATCACGACTGGGTGTGTAGGAGAGCGAAGAGATGCACAATGACTCCATCCTCTATTGTTTCTGTACCTGCAGAGCTCATCTTAGCAAAGATTCTTCATTCAAAGTCACCTTTTCCCCTTCTCATTACTCCTTCTTTTCTCCAATACTAACCAGTTTTGTTTAGACTGAGATAATCCTGTCTCATAAAACTTCAAAGTTATTTGCTCGCTAAATAAAGAGAGAAAAGAAAAGCAGTCTGAACAAGGATGTTAACCAGGATTAAGAACATATTCAAGAAAATGAAAGTAACACACTTTTTAATTTCTTCAATCCAACTTCTAGCTGGGAAAAATATAGTAGAGAAATAATACAATGAAGGACAAACAAAAAATGAGAATTATACTGAGTTGTTTGCCAGGACCCCACAATTTCCTGTTTTATTCCTTTTACTCTGGCCACTCCTTCTCACAGATCCTTCACTAGTTACTCCCCATCTCTTTGCCTCCTTTTTCCGTCGTGTGTGTGTGTGTGTGTGTGTGTGTGTGTGGTTTTTTTGTAAACGGCCGAGGCTGTTAACTCGAGGGATAATTTATATACCACAAACTTCACTTGTTTTATAACATTTCCAGAAAGCCCTGGGTCTGCTTAGCAGCCCAGGCTCTCCTCCGACTGCCCTGCCAAACTCCACATCATTCTGCTGGTCGATAGCCTGCTGGCGTGCCAGTGCCTGCGGTGTGCTCCCGGCATCCTCTCGACTTCCAGCCGCTTGTGTGTTTGCCTGCTAGAATCTTGGGTTTTTTTTTGTTTTGTTTTTTTTTTTTTTTTTTTTTTTTTGAGACGGAGTCTCGCTCTGTCGCCCAGGCCGGACTGCGGACTGCAGTGGCGCAATCTCGGCTCACTGCAAGCTCCGCTTCCCGGGTTCACGCCATTCTCCTGCCTCAGCCTCCCGAGTAGCTGGGACTACAGGCGCCTGCCACCGCGCCCAGCTAATTTTTTGTATTTTTAGTAGAGACGGGGTTTCACCTTGTTAGCCAGGATGGTCTCGATCTCCTGACCTCATGATCCACCCGCCTCGGCCTCCCAAAGTGCTGGGATTACAGGCGTGAGCCACCGCGCCCGGCCGAATCTTGGGGTTTTTATAGGCACAGAATGGGGGCCTGGCAGGCCAGGGTGGTCTTGGGAAATGCAACATTTGGGCAGGAAAACAAAAATGCCTGTCCTCGCCGAGGTCCGCAGGCACAGGCCAGGGGATAGAGCCCTAGCCAGGGACCACGCCCTTCCCCCATTCCATATCATTTAAAGGGACGATGCCCTTCCCTTGCCAGCACTTCCCTTCCCCGCTTCTGTGTCATTACGAAGGAGCTTAGTCTTTGGACCACTTTTCTTTATACTCACTCCCTAGATTATCTCATCTGGTCTCCACATTTTAAATACCAGGTATATAAGCTAATGACTCCCAAATCTATAGCCCCACCCTGCCCCTCTCCCCTAAACTCCAGATTCATCTCTTAGATGTCTGATAGGTATTGCAAACTTAGCATGCTCAGAACCAAGTTTTGATCTTTACCTAAAACTGTTCCTCCCACAGTCTTCCCTAAACCAGCTAATAGCAACACTATATTCCAGTTGCTCATAAAACCCTTGGAGTAATCCTTGACTCCGCTCTCCTCCCCACTCCTACAACAATCCATCAGAAATCCTATTGACTCGACTTGTGAAATATATCCAGAATCCAGCCACTTTTCACATCTACACTGCTGCCACCCAGGTCAAGCCACCACTTCCCTCCCCTGGTTTATCGCAATAGCCACATTACTGGTCCTCTTCTTACTCCCTACACTCAATTCTTAACATGGGAGCCAGAGTGATTCTTTTAAAACTTGAGTCAGACCACAGCACAACTTTATTCAAAACCCTGCAATGACTTCCCATCTCACACAGAACAAAAGCCGACATCCCTACCATGGCTTACTGGACTCTGACCACAGGCACTCTGACCTCAGCTCCTTGGCCTCTCCCCTTGTTCATGCTGCTTCAGTCTCTCTGGCCTACTTGCTCTTCCTCAATCCCATCTGCCTCAGAATCTTGATACTGATTGTTCCCTCTGCCTGTAAGACGTGTCACCAGAAAACTGGCTGATTTCTTTATCTCCTACAAGTCTTTGCTCAGATCTTAACTTTTCAATGAAACCTATCCACACTACCCTATTTAATACCATAACCTGACGCCCTTCCCTCTCAATCCCCTTTACCTTGTTCTATTTTTTAATTTTTGCATGGAATTTTTCACGCTTTAACTTGACAAACTACTTCTAAATTTAATGTGAAAGAGCAAAGGGCCAGAAAAAGCCGATAAAATTTTGAAGGAGAATAAAGAAGAATATTATCCCTACCAGATAGAAAACCTATTATAAAGCCACAGCCATTAAATGGGTAGAGCAATGGTGCAGAGATGGAAAAATAGACCAATGGAACAAAGAGCCCAGAAACAAACTCATGTCTACACAGAAACTTGGGATATGGCATGTTGGCATCACAAATCATTGAGAAAGGAAAACTATTTGAAAACTTGTGCCAGGACAACTGGCTTTCTATTTGAAAAAAGATAAAAAGATAAAATTAGATCCCTATTTTACTTCATATACAAGATAAATTCTAGAGAGATTGAAGAACTAAACATAAAAAGAGAAACTTTCAACCTTTAGCAGAAAATATAGGAATATATTTATGACATCCAGCTATGAATGTTTTCAAAAACAAGACAAAAATGCACAAACTATAAAGAAAAATACTGACATATTTTGCTATATTAATATTTTAAAGTATGTGTATAACAGAAAGTACAATAAACCAAATTAAAAGATATACCACAATCTAAAAGATGGTACACAATAATGTCTCATTTCTAGTATTTATGTATTTTTAAACCACTAGCAATTTATAAAGATAAATAATTCAGTGAAAATATTTTTAATATTCAAGATAAAATTTAAATGTTGAAATATATGAACAAGCAATTAATTCACAGTAGAGGAAATTTATCAGGCCAGTATACAAATGAAAATACGTTCAATCTCATTCAATTAACATGAAATTAAAATGATGATACTCTCCAACTGGCTCTACAAAATAAAAATAAGACTGATAATGTGAAGCATACTTCATAAAGATATAGAGGAAATTAAGCTGTTATACACCCTGGAGGGGTGTGTGAACTCATCTAAACTACTTTGGAGAATAATTTGGCAATTAATATCCAATAAAGTTGAAAACGTATGTATCCTAGAACAATAGGTCCATTTTAAGTAGTGTATCTAGAGAAACTGTCATATATGCATATGAAATAGTGTACAAGCATACTCATTGCAAACTTGCTGGTGATTGCAAAAAATAATGGGAAATAATTTAAATGTTCATCAACAACAGAATGTATAGATATTACATGAGATGAATTTCATCAAAACAGTACATTTCAAAAACGTAATTGTGAATTTTAAAACAATGTGCAAAAGCATATATTGAATAGGGTATTAAATTATGCTAATTTTATAATAATACAAAATATTATTTATAAACATAAACACATCTACTAAAAATGTAAAACACATACATGGAAAAAATATATATGCTTTGCAGCAGATCACAAAATGGTCACAATTTTCCACCCCTCCTGGAAACCTACTCCCACTTACAATATGACTTTACTACTCCTTACATCAAAAAGCAAAGTGTATTTTCCCGTTCCTTGAATCTGGTGTCTTTGTGATTTGCTTTCACCAACAGAACACAGGAGATGGAATGTTTTGCCAGAGGCCTTGCATTCCTCCATGCTACTTTCCCTCCAAGGAACCCTGCTGCTACCTTGTAAATAAGCCTGGGCTAGCCTGCTGAATGATGAGCAATGCATGGCCCAGACAACCCCATTGCCCAGTCTGCAATCAGCTAACCGCCAGACATATGATTAAGGCCATACCAAGACAAGCCAGCACCCAGTTGATCTGCCAATTGACCACAGACAAAGGGGCAAGCACAGCTCAGATCAGCCTAGGCTAGCTCATGTCGATAGAACCACCCAGCTGACCTATGGACTATAAGCAATAATAAGCGGTTGTTGTTTTAAGTCACTGAGTTTTAGGGGCCATACTTTTTGACACAACAATGGACACATGATACATGTGCTATCTTCGGAACAATGATCTCTAAGGAAAGAAAGAAGGGAAGAATAACATGGGGAGTGAGCACCTTCACCTTTCACCTTTTATATTTATTTATTATTTTTTTTAAGACAGTCTCACTCTGTCACCCAGGCTGGAGTGCAGTGGCTCCATCTCGACTCACTGCAACTCTGCCTCCCAGGCTCAAGTAATCCTCCCACCTCAGCCTCCAGAGTAGCTGGGACTACAGGCACACACCACCACACCCAGCTAATTTTTGTATTTTTTTATAGAGATGGGGTTTTGTAGGTTGCCCAGGCTGGTCTCAAACCTGTGAGCTCAAGTGATCCTCCCACTTTGGCCTCCCAAAGTGCTGGGATTACAGGTGTAAGCTGCCACTCCCGGCCTACACTTAATTTTTTAAGAATTTAAAAGTCCTCAAATCCTGTGTTACATCTGGGTAGTAGCAACCGGGGAGTCTGTTCTATTATTTTTGGGATTATTTCTGAACACTTGAAATGCTGCCTAATTGTTTAAAGAAGCATGTCGCCATTCTTTATATTTTTGTCATGTTCATATAAATATGGTAGAAGTAGAAAGGGCTGAGAGGTCTGGTTCATCATTTGATTCTCATGTAGACTGGCTACACAGAAACTTGGAAATATTAGACCTTGCCTTATGTAACTGACCTCATGAGCCACAGTGACTCAGACTGACCAAATATTTTGGTCACAGCCCATTTTGTGGTAGAATATAAACATGAGCTAAGAGAAAAATATCAAACTCTCAATTAATTACATTCAAGAAACAAATATTCTTTGATGGAAAAAAAGATATTTTTAGGGCAAAACAAACTGGTATCAAAGGTATTCTTTAGTTTTCAGATTAAGTCCTGGCGTCAATGTTGATTCAAGGCAATTTTCTCATGTTCAATATTAAGGTAGGAGTGTGGTATGCTGCCGAAAAAATATTTTCATCAAAGACTGAAATAAAATGAGTTTTCTATTTGATCTTCACTTTACCAAAAAATTAATTGTGTATCACATACAACAATGCTGATTTTCTTGAAATAGAATTATTTCCATTTTATTTCAATGTAATTCCACGATTAAAAAAAAAAAACACTCACCCTGTGAGAGATGTAGGTGTAGGAACTGCAAATAATTTATGCAAAATGAGGCCTGTCCATAAATTTCAAGTCCCCAGTGAAACCTATTGAAAAAGTTCCATTAATCTTTACAAGGCAAGATATTTCTAAGGGGTCAATGTCCCTGATTTTGATAGGATCTTTTTACCCTAAACCCCACAAACAAATTAAATGAAGGACCAAATTTTTACCTAAAACTTTGAGTGAAAACATAGACAGGCAGTAATCAATCTCTCTGCCGTCTAGAGCCAGTACTACAAACACTTCTTTTACATGGAAAGGAATGGAAAGTTCTAAAGCCAACATCATTCCAGGTGGTAAGAGATAAGAAAAGGCATTTGTGGCTAAAAGACAAGGTCTTCTGGGACTTGGGAGATGTTGATGTGAGACAAACAGGGACTTGGAAGAGGCTGGTGTGAGACAAACAGACAAAACGAAGTAGAAAGTACATGTTCTGAAGCAAGTCACATCACATACAAGGCTAGGCAGCAGAATAAGTCAAGGCTACACATAACTGAAAATAAATTAATTTGATTTACAAACAGAGGTGCAAGGCTAACTCTCTCCAATTTACTTATTAATTGTATATATATATATATATTTATGGCCTTTTTTCCTTTCTGCTGCTTCTACCATTCATAAGTGATTACAATACAGTCTGTTAATCAGCTTTTTAGGTTTAATTTCTAACAAAGAATATCTGTAAAGTTTTAAAAATTAGTATAGCAGAAGGTCAGGATAGCAGGATGAACCAAATTGCAAAATCACTTATCCCAATATTTGAGAAGACAAATCAAAAATCTATAACAAAAACAGTAAAATATAAATAGTACTTAGTATGTGCCAGGCATTATTCTAGGGACTTTGTACATTTTAACTCATTTAATAATAGCATATCTTTATGAAAAACAGTATTATATCCTCATTTTACAGATGTGGAAACTGAAACACAAAGTATAGCTAGTAAGTGGCAGGCCTGAAATTTGATTCCCAGCAGTCTCAATTCAGAGCTTGTGTTTTTAACCACCACACTATACTGCTCTCAGATAGACAAAATAGGCAAATAAGTGAAAAGCAAGAAAAAAAACCCACCATTACCAAACAAGGAAAGGACCAAAACTTATGCCTAAACAAACAAACAAACAAAAGAAATAAAAGGGATTGAGAAGGTATACTAATCCTGTTCCCAGTTACCAGAAGCAATATTGTATTAATATTTTGAATGAAACAAATCCAAAAAATTCTCACTAATATACCTCCCGTCGCCCAAAATAAGTAATTTGGGGAGAGGTAAAACAGTGGAGTGAATAGGCAACATCAGGAGTTAAATACTCCAGGCCTTATCATTTTCCAGAGCTCCATGAAGAATTAGAAAAATGATCTAAGGCCTGGGAGAATCAGTCCAAGAATAAAATACACCCCAAACTAGTTTGATGGATCTTTGGTATAGAATATTTAGCAGTATCTCAGATAAAAAACAAGCCTTCCAACAAAGACTGCATGTAGTTCCAATCTCAATATGCAGCCTACAAACCATGCCCCAAATGAAAGAGAAACAAATCTCATATAAGTTGGAAAGCATCCAAAAGAATGCACCTACATCAGAGAAAATTTAAATAAGCACATTCAAAATGAGCATGAGGTGGGCGCGGCTGCTCACACCTGTTTTCTCAGTACTTTCAGAGGCTGAGGCAGGTGGATTGCTTGGACTCAGGAGTTCAAGACCAGCCTGGGTGACAAATGGAGACCCCATCTCTACAAAAAATACAAAAATTATTCAGGCATGGTGGCACACACCTGTAGTCCCAGCTACTCAAGAGGCTGAGCTGAGCGGATTGCTTGAACCCAGGAGGTGGAGGCTGCAGTGAGTGTTAATGGCACCACTGCACTCCAGCCTAGGCGATAGACTGAGACCCTGTCTCAAGAAGAAAAAAAAATGACCATGATGTACTCGGGAGGCTAAGGTGGGGGGATTGCTTAAGCCCAAGAGTTCGAGGCTGCAGTGAGCTATGATCATGCCACTGCACTCCAGCCTTGAGACTTTGTTTCTAAAAAAAAGACCAAAAAAAATGAGCATGACAAAAATTAATGATACAACAGTGGCAAACACTACACACACAAGCACATAAGAAAGGAATATGACATACAAAAAAGCAAATTAAAAACCCAATCTGGAAGAAATCACAACCTGAGGAAAATTCCCTGTGTGTGTGTTTTATCATAAAACATTAAAAGAACATAAATTCAATGAAACACCATCTCAATCAATCAATAAAACTGGAGAATAAAACAATAAAATAAGACGAAAAGACTGTCTGTAGAGTTACGAAAACTAATTGAGCACCAAAACTACACCACTGGAGTCGGGATCTGAAAACTATGGCCCCTGAGACAAATCCAGGCTACTGCTTATTTTTATAAATAAAGTTTTATTGGAACACAGCCACATCCATTTATTTATGTATTGTCTATGGCTGCTTTTGCACTACAACAGCAGAGCTGAGTAGTTGCAATGGAAACTTGATAGTCCACAAAACCCAAAATATTTACCAAGTAATCTTTTACAGAAAAAATTTGCCTGGCTGGGCGCTGTGGCTCATGACTAAATCCCAGCACTTTGGGAAGCTAAGGTGGGAGGATCACTTGAGGACAGGTTCAAGACCAGCCTGGGAAACATAGCTAGACCCCATTTCTACCAAAAAAAAAAAGTTTGCCTAAAGTATTAATACATTATAAATGACCTGGGCCTTCCTGTCCTTGGCTCTTCTACCCCATTTCTGTGCTGCTATTAATACTTTCTTGTTACACTCTGGAATTGAATGCTCACTAGTTTTAAATGCAGTATGAGTTGGTTGGTCACACTTTGGACCTCTGGAACTTCAAACCAGGCCCTTGGGAACTACCACATTATTAGATGCCTTGAAATACATAGACTTCTCACCCTCAGCTTAAGCCAAGTATCTTTGATAACATATAATTATCATAGGTAGCATTTATTTTATTATTTTGGGGGGAAATAAGAGCCAACAAACATTTATTTGGTGCTATATGCTGGGTAATATTGTGCATTTTTAAGAATATAGGAAAAAATGGTAAAGGTGCTATATAAATAAAGTTTAGGCAATATTACCAAAGTGGAAAATACTTTCCTATTGCATAATAACCTAAAAAATGAGACAATAAAGGATAAAAACCAGGCTCAAATTTTGTAACACTTTATTCTATGTATATAAACATGTTTTACTGGAAGTATCATTGTAGTAAACATTTTAGAGACTTATTTACTTTATTAATTTTCAGAGAAAAGTAATAGGCTGTAACTTCAATTATGAAAGATTTATAATTCTTTCAAAAGTTTACAAAGTACAGTGCAAATTATATGTTACTACTTTAACCTTGGCTAGGAATAAACAGCACATTTTATTTTCACTGGTCATTGGATTGGAATTTACTACTTTGAGGCAAAATAACCCATTGGACTAGTCTGATACCAAGTCCTCAAATCCCTAATCCAAGCTCCACAGCTCCCTTGGATGTTTCTTATTATTGAACAGAACATAAGTTTATTTATTCGACAATAATTTTGAAGTATTGTCAAGAAAGCAATTTTTGTTCAGAAACAACATTTTTCAAAATGTACATAACTGATCGTAACATCACTGTTTTCTATATTCTCTGTGAACATTATGTTACAATTTTTATTGCACTCAGTTTTTAAGGTATGACAAAATATACTTAGATATTGTTAGCTAATCTAACATTTTAGCTTTCATTCTGCAAATATTTATCCAATGCAAACCATGTTCTCTAGGCCCTATGAGAGGAGTTGGATACACTAATAAATAAGCCGTAGGCTTTTTGGAATTTAAAGTCAAGAGTACAGATGAGATCTTCCAAGATAGTTATGTAAAACAGGAGTAGAGAAAATGTTTCTTTTGATGTGCAAACTCTGATCATTTGATGGCTGCCTGAAGCATGTTTTAGAATTCTAGGATAGAATCAGGATTGAGAGAAAATTGTCAAAATCAATTAACAACGTCTGCTGTGGGCATGTGTGATTTGATGCATATTGTATGTTCATAACTTCTGGTAGCATTAATAGAAAAAAGGACCAAGTATGGAATATTGGATATCAATAATTAATTATGGTATGGGTGAAGGAAGAATAAGAATAGCAGAAAACTATTCAGTGGCAACACCATGGACGCTAGAGATTATAAAGTACAGTACAAATTATATGAATTTATAAGAAGTGAATTTTCAGGAGGAAGTACTCAATGTCAAATTTTTTCCTTGCAGAAGAAAGTTTGGCAAATTGTAATTCATTGGTGACCTCTCTGAAAGCAGTTTCAGTTGATTGGTAGTTGAAACAAGTATAGTGACTAAGGAAGTAAGAAAGTAGGTACAAACTACATAGTTCTAGAAATCAAAGATTCTTCACACTTCCTACTGCTTAATAATATATAATAATGCACTGGGTCTGGACTTATTTCTGTGTTTTTTGTTTTTGTTTTTGTTTTTTTGAGACAGAGTCTCGCTTTGTTGCCCAGTTTGGAGTGCAATGGCATGATCTCGGCTCACTGCAACCTCCGCCTCCCGGGTTCAAGCGATTCTCCTGCCTCAGCCTCCCAAGTAGCTGGGATTACAGGCGCCCACCACTACACACGGCTAATTGTTTTTTTGTTTTTTTTGTTTTTTTTGCATTTTTAGTGGAGACGGGGTTCCGCCATACTAATCAGGCTGGTCTCAAACTCCTGAACTCAGGTGATCCGCCCGCCTCGACCTCCCAAAGTGCTGGGATTACAGGCGTGAGCCCCCGCACCCAGCCTGGGCTTATTTCTTTGTTCACAATTATGTACCCTGAAATTGGAACATCTAGGCTGCATTCTTCTGGTACATCCATATCCCCATTATACAATTTTTCTCTGTAAACACAGATAGTTCTGGGAATCCATTTTACATTATTCTGATGCTACACTCATACATCTACTTTGCCTTTTATTTGCTAAATTATTGACTTTTATTTTTGCTAAATAGTGTCGTCTGTTTAATAATATGAAATATGCTATTACTATACAATATTTACAACTCCCAGGATATCAGATTAGCATTTCTAAAGGCCTTCCTCAATTAAAGTTCAATAATGAGTTCTGAGTCTCAGAATCTAATTTATTAATCAAGATCTTAGACTTTCAAAAATCCTTTTACAATATAAAAAAATCCTCAATTTGGTTAGGGTTCTCTAGTGTAATTAATTCAGTAAGAAACATTTAATCTAAATCATACTGTGGAAAAAAGGAGAAATAGTATGTGCCTTAAATATGATTTCTAGGCCAGGTGTGGTGGCTCACGCCTGTAATCCCAGCACTTTGGGAGGCCGAGGCAGGTGGATCATGAGGTCAAGAGATCAAGACCATCCTGGCCAACATGATGAAACCCTGTCTCTACTAAAAATAAAAAATTAGCCATGTGTGGTGGCACGCCCCTGTAGTCCCAGCTACTCGGAAGGCTGAGGCAGAAGAATCATTTGAACCCGGGAGGCGGAGGTTGCAGTGAGCCGAGATCGTGCCACTGCACTCCAGCCTGGGCAACAAGAGCTAAACTCCATCTAAATACAAAAAAAAAGATTTCTGAATGTGAATATTCACTAAAATTGTAGACAATTTTATACTCAATTTTGAAGAGTCATAATACTAAAAATATACAACCATGGGATGAATATAACCAGTTCCAATAGCAGATCATGGCACAATTTGCCACACCTCATTGATGAGAACTGGAAATACCAGTTTCCACTCACGTATCAAGTCTTGTTCTAGGGAAAGAACTGCACACAGTGTTTCAGGTTAATCTGATTTTACCACACTTTTATACATCTGAACAAAAAAAATTAAATCGGGAGTCAGAGAAATTGAACAAATACTATTTGCTGGGAGAAATAAACCATAAGCAGAGCTGCAAATCATGACCTTGAGTGTATTCTCCCCTCCGAGGTTGATGAAAATGATCAACTAACATGCCTGGGTCATAGAGGTGAATTAGATCTCTAAGTTTCTTTCCCGTTCTAATGCTGTATGCCACTATGAGTCTACAATGCTAGGAAAGCACAACAAGATACAAAGAGAAATTAGAACAAAGATTAGCTTCAAACTCAGGCAACAGAAGAGAGCCCTTGTTTTAAAGATTAGGTTTGTACTTAGGATATTTAAGGAAAATGGCATGCAAATTCACTCCGAAACAAATACTGGTCAGCCTTTTGGTCTTTTTTTTTTTTTTTTTTTTTTTTAGCTGTGGACCTATTATGAAGGTAAGTTATGATCAGCTAAAATGTGCCTATATAATCAAATCCTCCTTGTAAAATTCAGGATGAAGGAAATGCCAGTTTATTACATCACGCATCACTAAGTGAGTAATTTAAGCTACGTCAATAGCTTGTGTAACAAGAATAAATCCATTGTTATTAAATATTAGGGTAAGATTCGTGTTATATAATTTAAAAGTCAGGATCAAAGCTTTGTTGTGGCACATATAAACTACCAACTCATGGCTTCATTATCACATTTTATTACATTAGCAAGATCTTTTCCATTTATTCTTATGTCTAGTAAATATTTAGTCTTAATTTGGGGGGCAGTTCTTAAATATAGACCAATCTCAAACACAGCCAAAAACTTCATTCTGCCAAGCAAGTCATTATTAATTCCCTAACTAAATTTTTTTAAGAAAATCTATCTTTGAACTTTATTCTTAATGACCAATATAAGAAAGTTAGTCAGATAAAAGATAAAAGGTCTCACGCCTGTATTCTCATTACTTTGGAAGGCCAAGGTGGGTGGATTGCTTGAGCCTAGGAGTTCGAGACCAGCCTGGGTAACATGGCAAAACCCTGTCTCTACAAAAAATACAAAAAAGTAGCCAGGTGTGGTGGCACGCCCCTGTAATCCCAGGGACTCAGGAGGCTGAGGCAGGAGAATCACCTGAGCCTGGGAGATCAATGCTGCAGTGAGGCACGTTCACACCACTGTACTCCAGCCTGGGCAACAGAGCAAGACCCTGTCTCAAAAAAATTTAAAAAAGAATAGATATAAGGTCAAATCACTTGGTTCTTTAGAATCCCCAAGTGAAATCTAGGTCTAAACAGATGTATCAGGTTTCAGTTCGCATTTGCCAAAATGTTGAAAAAGAACCTCACCATATTTTCCATTTAAGTAATAATATATTCAATTTTTACTATGTTTCAATTGTACCAAGCATTTTACATGATTTATCTCATTTAATTCTCACTAATTTCAGGGGTAAATATCATTATCCTCTTTTTACAGATAAGGTAACAAAGGCTTAAGGAAATTAAATGACAAAATGGCAAAGCCAGGCTTTGAAGTCACATCCCTTAACCTTTGTGGCAGTGGAGAGGTGACAGATGGAAGGTGAGCAGTTGATTTCAGGATAATAAGAACTTGATTTCTAGCAAAATCAGGAAAAGTGGAATTGTACTTACCTGATGATGCTTTGGAACATCCATCAGGCGTTCAATAAATCCATAGTGATTGACAGCTGATTGATTAAACCTGGAATTCAATGCTATCATTATCAAAGATGAGGAGAGTTTGACTATGATAGCAAAAAGATGTTTGCTATTATAATCAAACTCATTGATTGATTAAACCTGGAATTCAATGTGATTATCAAAGATGAGGAGAGTTTGATTATGATAGCAAAAAGATGTTATCATTCTTGTTCTACAAAACAGCAAACAGACACTCAATGAGGGTAAGCAATTTACAGAAGTTCACAGAGTAAGAAATGAAGCCAGACCCACATGCAGATCCTCCAAGACCAAGTCCAGCATTCTTTCCACAGGGCCACATAACCTTCCCAAAGATGGTGCTCTGGGCTGTTCAGTGAGGGCCACTTATCTATTGTAACCTCATTGTGTAGGTCCTTAGTGACATACCAAGACTGTCTTGGACTTTCCCCCCAACCCAAATATTCTGTTAAGTTATAGTTTGACCTTGAATATAGCCTTGAACTAGATGCAGCACTGCTCCTACTGCCTGGAGGAGGCAACCTGAACCTTCCTACCAACAGAACTTAGCAAGAACAAAGGGTTTACACCTGATGATGTGATGATGCTATCAGCACTTCAGCATGATGGAAGGAGATGATCACCACAGTGAGGCCTTGGAGCCTAGGACAAGCCCAGCATTTGGAAGGAATTCTATAATGTTTGCTTAATAAGTGATTGAATGAACACAACCATAGTGCCCACTTCTGATTAAGACCAGTGGTCTCTGGTGTAGGGAGTACAAATTCCAAGGGATATATCATACGATCCACTGGAACGTGGAAAGAAAATATTAAAATTTCTACATTGAATTTTTATCTCATCTTTTTAAAATTTCTATTTTGTTTTATAATGTATATATTAGCATAGTGGTACTTGTATGTAATTTTAAAATAAATGTATAAGGAAATATATAAACATTAGGATTACATTACACAAAATATTTTATTGATGGGGATGCATAAGTTTTTAAAATATAGAAACTTCTGGTTAAGATCAATTTATCTAGCTTGTCCTCTGTGAGCCTCATAAGGGCTCCAAAACACCTTATGTAGAGGTTTTCAAACTTTAGTGGGCATAAGAATCATTTGGATAGTTTGTTAAAAATATAGATTCAGACTTCGATTTTTTATACACTCAGTTGATCTGTGGCAGGATCTAAGACTTTGCATTTTTAACCAATAACTAGGTAATTCTGCTCCAGGTGGTCTCAGGAGAAACACTACCTCACAAGGCTACAGTGACCTGGAGAATCTCCTACTCCTGCTACCAACACAGATCAGATACCCCAATGTAATTTTGAGAACTAAAGGGATAAATGTTCTCTTAGGTAGGAATAACCACATATTGCTTATGAGCCTAAAGCCTTGAATAAAAAATATAATTGTAATAGTAATAATAAAATCAGCCACCATTTATTGGACACCTACATAGGATAGCTTATTTCTGATTATCAGAATTCAATAAGGTTTCCATCATCAGCCTGATTTTACAGAAAAAGAAATGGGTCTTAGCAAGGTTAAGCAAGTTACCCAATATTTTCAATTACAGGTTGAGCATCCTAAATCTGAAAATCCAAAATCTGAAATGCTCCAAAATCCAAAACTTATTGAGTGCCAACATAATGCTCAAAGGAAATGCTCCTTGGAGCCTTGGAGCATTTCAGATTCCAGATTTTCAGATTTTGGATGTTCAATTGGTATAATGCAAATATCCTAAAATCTGAAAAAAATCAGGAATTCAAAACACTTCTGGTCTCAAGCATTTAGAATAAGGAGTACTCAACCTGCATTGTTTCTAAAAGCTTTGAGGCCTAGAAGAAGAAACTTTCTTTACAACTTTCCAACTACTTATTATCCCAGTAATGTGTGGGAGACTTAGTGTTATGATCTTGATTCTTTTTCTGCATTCAGATTCACATGACTCAAAGGTGGCTGAGAATCAGATATACAGTTTCTTCATGGCCAGCCACTATCTTGTCTTTGTTCATAATGACCTTGGAAAGTCCAGAGATTGCTTATCTATACTGTGCTATAACAACCTACCTACAAAGAGACGTTAATTAAAGAGGATGACTCTTTTAAATACAAATACTCCAAGGTATTTATGTAGAATTTCATCTCTCATGTCTTCAACTGGTATCTGTAAAATGGGAGGTTTGGACTAAATATTTGGTCAAATCCTTCTCTTCCAGAAGTTAGACAATTATAACTTTATTAGGCAATGAATGACGGTCATTTATTTAGGAGGCTTCTCCTAGTTGCGGTGCCCACATCATCACCCACCTCTCACATCTTCCAATGCAGACTCATTTGCTTCCTTTGAAAGCAAGTGAGTAACCCTTGGAAAGTCCATATCACCCCCAATACTATATTGGCTGCCAGGGGCATGAAGCCATGAAGCAACTTAGTGATACCAAGATGCTGTAAATCTCAAAAATGCAATTTAAAAAGCCATGTTAATTGCAGTCCTCCCTTCTCTCTTAGGTTGTTCACTTTGAGGGAAGCTAGTTGCCTTGCCATGAAGACACTCAAGCAACCACACAGATAGGTTGATGGCAAGATGGAAGAAGCTGAGGCCTCCAGCCAATAGCCATATGAATGAGCCAGCTTGAGCCAAAGATGCACTGTCTTAGAGCGGACCCTAGAGCCCCTGTCAAGCTTTCAGACAATGAAGCACCGACTGACACTTTGACTGCAACCTCATGAAAGACCCTGGGCCAAAACCACCCAGCTAAGCTGCCCCCAGATTCCTGACCCTCAGAACTTATGAGATCATAAATGTTTGGAGCTTTAACTTTAAACACACATATTCACATACACAATAACAAAATTCCTAAGACTAATTTCTGAGATAAAGGGCCCAAAACAGCCCCTCAGAGATTTGTCCTAGCAGGGAGTCTAGTCTGAACACCAAAACAATGTTTTATAATCATGTTTTGTTGGCTCATTTTCCAGTGTCAGCAACCCCCAAAATGGGTTCAAGAATTAACACACCCTTAGAGCTAGGTTCACTGGTATGCACCCTGCAGTCCCAGCTACTCAGGAGGCTGAGGCAGAAGGACTGCTTGAGCCTAAGAGTTCTGGGCTGTAGTGTGCAATGATCATGCCTGTGAATAGCCACTGCACTCCAGCCTGGGCAACATAGTGAGATCATGTCTCAAAAAAAGAATTAACACATCCCTCCCTTCCTGCAGCCTTCCTGGATCTAATCAGAAGGGGAATGGCAAGTGCTGGGGCAGTGTGGGTGTGCTTTTTTAACCATAAACTCATTGTTAGGTGCTGGCACCTCATATCAGATCATTCTGATCCTGAGCTATTCACCAAGCTTGTATTTAAGTGCCTTACACCTACATGCTTTCTACCCATAATAAAGACAGCTTCCATTGATCTCCAGTCTCTAGGAGCCTCTCAGAGTTTGCAAGGAACCTGGGTTGGCCTCTGTGGTTTGTGAGTATGACATTCATGCTATTTACACTATTGGGCCATTGCCTCTATCCTACTCTGTTGAGATTCCTAGGAATTTACACAAACAGGTGTCAAAGATGAACCATGTTTGGCCCCAAAGAAAGCAAGGTAAATGAAAGAAGATTCTCATTATTCAGACAAGAAACTGGTGAGTCTTTGGACCTTAATAATACCTCTTTGTGACTGTTAATATGACCAGTAAGTTCTCTGGCTGGTGCAGCATGCTGGTGTAATAAGATAAGAGTCAGCCTTGCATTTACTTGCTCCTTATGTGCCTGGAGCATAGCCTCACTACAGAGTTTATTCTCTAACTTCAAGGAGAATTCTGTTATGAAAAAGAGATGCTGTTGAAAATGAAGAATAAAGCCAAGTATGTGTCAATGGATAACTATGGTTGGAAAGGTTGTTTTTAACATTTTGGCTATGTTTTGCAAGTAATAGGTATTTTTTAAATGTGCATCGACCAAATGAAATGGCTCAGATACTATCTAGTAGCCTTTTTGATAATGAATTTTCCTTTTTCAATTCCACTGTCCTTCAGTGAAAGGACATAATTTGCATCGAGTTTCAGCAATGTGAGCATTCAGTAGTTTATTATCATTTGATTTCATAAACAAAAAGCAGAGTATGAAATAACTTCTGTTGGATTTAGATTTTAGTGATCATTTTTCTTTGTCCCATGAAACATTTTTTTGCTGGAAATGCATCTTAAAGATGCTGTCACCTTCCCTTATCACTCTATTGGTGCCCTCCTACACAATTCTGAACAGGCCAGTTTGAACTCTTCTGCCACAGTGATTAAGGTCCCTTCTCATAGTAATATTCTATGGACACAAAATCTGGGTTTTGTTTTTTGTGTTTTTAAAGCAAAGCTGGTGAAAAATTAACCCTTAACCTCAGCTACAAAACTTAAGTACATTAAAAAATTCTGGTTCAAGACAATTCCATATAACTTTCCAACATTTCCTTAGATTGTGTGCAACCTTTAAGAGCACTCGGCCTGTTCTTTTTAGCCTCTGCTTCTGTTTACCTCCCACTCTTCAAAGAAAGGCTCTCTCCCCTGTGTGTTCCTTGGTCGAAGTTCAGCTGAAAAAAAAAAAAAAAGCCAACCTTATAGCATTGTTACCAGTTCATTCCAATTGTTTGTAATCTAGCTGTGGCTATCAGATATGGACTATGGGGACAGTGGAAGTGAGTACATTGGTAGTGCTTTTGTCCATGTATATGTAGTCTCTCATAATCAAATATTTTTCCATTCCTTTGAAAATATGTCTATGTGGGAGCAAGACTCCATCTCAAAAAAAAAAAAAAAAAAGAAAGAAAGTATGTCGGTGTGGCCAGGCACGGTGGCTCACACCTGTAATCCCAACACTTTGGGAGGCCGAGGCAGATGGATCACCTGAGGTCAGGAGTTCGAGACCAGCCTGGCCAACATGGTGAAACCCTATCTCTACTAAAAATACAAAAATTAGCCAGGTGTGGTGGCACACCCTTGTAATCCCAGCTACTTGGGAGGCTGAGACAGGAGAATCACTTGAACCCGGGAGGAGGAGGTTACAGTGAGCCGAGATTGCACCATTGCACTCCAGCCTGAGCGACAAGAGTGAAACTCCAACTGAAAAAAAATAAAATGAAATAAAGAAAAGAAAATATGTCTATGTCAATCCTATTCTGGTTTGCTGTCCTATTCCTCAGAGGTCACAGGCTGACCACCTGCAGACTTTATTTGGCCCATATAGATGTTTTGTTTGTCCTCCACATTCTAGGAGGACCAACCATTCCAGTTTGGCCTGGACTCTCCTTGTTTTAGCACTGAAAGACCCATGTCCCAGGTAACCCCTCAGTCCCAGGAAAACCTGAATGGTTGGTCACCTATTTAAAAGGTTGGCCCAAGACTTTTGTTGTTGTTTTAATTTTAAATTGGTTGCCAATATGTAAATATCTGAGGATTTTACAGAAACATCCAGATTTCTGGCTTCTCTTTAAAAATAGAAATATCTGACACAACTGGACCCTCTTGCATGGCAACTATAAGCGGGAACTGAGTCGCAGCTGCCCCATTAGGTAAGTCATGTTATTTCCAGGGTCCCACAGGCCCTGCCACTTTATACTGCCCCCCTAGACTGAGGTGGAACATCGGCCATTCATTATTGCTCTCTGGCTATTGTTTTTCTTATGGTAAAGGTGAAAGTGAAGTTCCCTATATCTACGTTTCTATTGCAAGGGGGAAAATGAAAGATCTAACAATAGGAGAAAATACACTGTGTGTATGTAGCAATGAAGACTATTCTTACCTGTTAATAGTCCTGGCCCTCTGTAACTGGGTATGCAGCCTACTGGTCCCTCTGGGCACTGAAGTCCTGACATACATCATGGGTTCTGTCATTTGTAGTTGATAGCTTGTGAGGTTGGTACCTTTACTCAGGAATCTGGCAGTGTTGCCCAGAGCGTACAGGCTGCTAGCACTCCAGAAATATCATTAAGCAAGGTCTTAAATGCTTGGTCCTTCCTAACAGGAACTCAATTTCTATCATTTGCTTCAACTCCATGTAAAAATCCGATCAGCTATATCTTCCCCACCAGGGATTTCATGAGTTTCAGCCACTAATTAATTTCTGTGCTTCATTCATCTTGAAGTCATTAAGGAATCTAGTCAAACACATAACCTATGCCTAGTAATCAATTTTAATGTTCTTTCACATGGAAATATTCATAAAATGTTCATCTCCTATATTAAAAACATTTTTTTCCCTCACTCTACATTCTTATCTGTGTTTGCAGGGAGCTAATCCTCATCTGTAAATACTGAAAAAGCAACTAACCTGGAGGGAACAAGGTTCTCAACTTTGTGGAAGCTGAGATGATGCCCTTTTCATGGCTCATCATTTTAATATTGGCACATGCCTGGCCCATAATAAGCATTCAAGTAGCACTGACTGACTAACTGAATGAATGAATAAATGAATTAATGCTCAAATGAATAAATAAATGGTGCAAAAGGTGGTGGCCTTTTTTTTTTCATTAGGGCTATGATGGCTGCTGAAGAAGGTGTAGGCTTTGAGGTTGGGAAGATATGAGTTCAAACCCTAGTTTTTAATCCCAGCTCTGCCTTCCCTTGCCAGATGTCTTTGAACAAGCAGTTCCTCTGAGCTTTGGTATCCATGTTGGCCTAACAGAAATAATACTATCTATGCCTCATAGGGAAGCTGTGAAGATTATATGAGAAAATGTTCAAGGCCTCATACAAAGGAGGTACCCAATAAAGAGTAGCTAATTAAAAAGTCGTTCACAAGGGAAGTCGGACACAGTGGTCATGCCTGTAATCTCAGCACTCTGTGAGACCAAGGTGAGCAGATTGCTTCAGCTCAGGAGTTCGAGACCAAGCTGGGCAACATGGCAAAACCCCGTCTCTACTAAAAACACACGAAAAAATAGCCGGGTGTGTTGGCATGCACCTGTTTCTCCCAGCTACTGGGGAGGCTGAGGTTGGAGGATCACTTGAGCACAGGGGACAGAGGTTGCAGTGAGCTGAGACTGTACAGTGCAGTGAGAGCCACTGCACTCCAGCCTGAGTGACAGAGTGAGACCCTGTAACAAAAAAAAAAAAAAAAAATGAAAGAAAGAAGTCCTTAAGCTACCTCTAAGTGTGAACTGCTTAAAATGGAGAATGCAAAAGTTTTAGAGTTTTAAGTTTCCTAACTTTGATAAAATCACATTCTTAAAAAGCACATTCCAAAATTTTGTTTAGGTTCTTCTATATTGCTATACTTTTTGATAAGCTGGAGCTCCCCAATTATTATTTCATATTGATTCTATTTAAAGTTAGGTTTTAAATATGTAAAACAGATAAACCAACAATATCTATAATTGCAATGGGCTTTTTAAATAAAAAGCCCACAGATGCAAGGTTAAGAATAAAACGAATTTTACTTGGGAGGCTGAGGAGCAGGGATTGTTTGAGCTCAGGAGGTCAAGACCAGCCTGGGCAAAAACAAGACCCCATCTCTTAAAAAATGAAAAAGAATGGGAGGTGGAGCCAAGATGGCTGAATAGGAACAGCTCCGGTCTACAGCTCCCAGTGTGAGCGACGCAGAAGATGGGTGATTTCTGCATTTCCATCTGAGGTACCAGGTTCATCTCACTAGGGAGTGCCAGAAAGTGGGTGCAGGACAGTGGGTGCAGCACACCGTGCGCGAGCTGAAGCACGGCGAGGCATTGCCTCACTCGGGAAGTGCAAGGGGTCAGGGAGTTCCCTTTCCTAGTCAAAGAAAGGGGTGACAGACGGCACCTGGAAAATCGGGTCACTCCCACCCTAATACTGTGCTTTTCCAAAGGGCTTAAAAAAACGGCACAGCAGGAGATTATATCCCGCACCTGGCTCAGAGGGTCCTACGCCCACAGAGTCTCACTGATTGCTAGCACAGCAGTCTGAGATCAAACTGCAAGGCAGCAGCAAGGCTGGGGGAGGGGCACCTGCCATTGCCCAGGCTTGATTAGGTAAACAAAGCAGCCAGGAAGCTCGAACTGGGTGGAGCCCACCACAGCTCAAGGAGGCCTGCCTGCCTCTGTAGGCTCCACCTCTGGGGGCAGGGCACAGACAAACAAAAAGACAGCAGTAACCTCTGCAGACTTAAATGTCCCTGTCTGACAGCTTTGAAGAGAGCAGTGGTTCTCCCAGCACACAGCTGGAGATCTGAGAACAGGCAGACTGCCTCCTCAACAGGCAGTCTGCACCCCCAGTAGGGGCAGACTGACACCTCACACGGCCGGGTACTCCTCTGAGACAAAACCTCCAGAGGAATGATCAGGCGGCAGCATTTGCGGTTCACCAAGATCCGCTGTCCTACAGCCACCACTGTTCTGCAGCCACCGCTGTTGATACCCAGGCAAACAGGGTCTGGAGTGGACCTCTAGCAAACTCCAACAGACCTGCAGCTGAGGGTCCTGTCTGTTAGAAGGAAAACTAACAAACAGAAAGGACATCCACACCAAAAACCCTTCTGTACATCACCATCATCAAAGACCAAAAGTAGATAAAACCACAAAGATGGGGAAAAAACAGAGCAGAAAAACTGGAAACTCTAAAAAGCAGAGCGCCTCTCCTCCTCTAAAGGAATGCAGCTCCTCACCAGCAACGGAACAAAGCTGGACGGAGAATGACTTTGATGAGCTGAGAGAAGAGGGCTTCAGACGATCAAACGACTCCGAGCTACAGGAGGAAATTCAAACCAATGGCAAAGAAGTTAAAAACTTTGAAAAAAAATTAGACGAATGGATAACTAGAATAACGAATACAGAGAAGTCCTTAAAGGAGCTGACGGAGCTGAAAGCCAAGGCTCGAGAACTATGTGAAGAATGCAGAAGCCTCAGGAGCCGATGCAATCAACTGGAAGAAAGGGTATCAGCGATGGAAGATGAAATGAGTGAAATGAATCGAGAAGGGAAGTTTAGAGAAAAAAGAATTAAAAGAAATGAACAAAGCCTCCAAGAAATATGGGATTATGTGAAAAGACCAAATCTACATCTGATTGGTGTACCTGAAAGTGACGGGGAGAATGGAACCAAGTTGAAAAACACTCTGCATGATATTATCCAGGAGAACTTCCCCAATCTAGCAAGGCAGGCCAACATTCAGATTCAGGAAATACAGAGAATGCCACAAAGATACTCCTCAAGAAGAGCAACTCCAAGACACATAATTGTCAGATTCACCAAAGTTGAAATGAAGGAAAAAATGTTAAGGGCAGCCAGAGAGAAAGGTCGGGTTACCCACAAAGGGAAGCCCATCAGACTAACAGCAGATCTCTCGGCAGAAACTCTACAAGCCAGAAGAGAGTGGGGGCCAATATTCAACATTCTTAAAGAAAAGAATTTTCAACCCAGAATTTCATATCCAGCCAAACTAAGCTTCATAAGTGAAGGAGAAATAAAATACTTTACAGCCAAGCAAATGCTGAGAGATTTTGTCACCACCAGGCTTGCCCTAAAAGAGCTCCTGAAGGAAGCACCAAACATGGAAAGGAACAACTGGTACCAGCCACTACAAAAACATGCCAAAGTGTAAAGACCATCAAGGCTAGGAAGAAACTGCATCAACTAACGAGCAAAATAACCAGCTAACATCATAATGACAGGACCAAATACACACATAACAATATTAACTTTAAATGTAAATGGGCTAAATGCTCCAATTAAAAGACACAGACTGGCAAATTGGATAAAGAGTCAAGACCCATCAGTGTGCTGTATCCAGGAAACCCATCTCATGTGCAGAGACACACATAGGCTCAAAATAAAGGGGTGGGGGAAGATCTACCAAGCAAATGGAAAACAAAAAAAGGCAGGGGTTGCAATCCTAGTCTCTGATAAAACAGACTTTAAACCAACAAAGATCAAAAGAGACAAAGAAGGCCATTACATAATGGTAAAAGGATCAATTCAACAAGAAGAGCTAACTATCCTAAATATATATGCACCCAACACAGGAGCACCCAGATTCATAAAGCAAGTCCTGAGTGACCTACAAAGAGACTTAGACTCCCACACAATAATAATGGGAGACTTTAACACCCCACTGTCAACATTAGACAGATCAATGAGACACAAAGTTAACAAGGATACCCAGGAATTGAACTCACCTCTGCACCAAGTGGACCTAATAGACATCTACAGAACTCTCCACCCCAAATCAACAGAATATACATTTTTTTCAGCACCACACTACACCTATTCCAAAATTGACCACATAGTTGGAAGTAAAGCACCCCTCAGCAAATGTAAAAGAACAGAAATTATAACAAACTCTCAGACCACGGTGCAATCAAACTAGAACTCAGCATTAAGAAACTCACTCAAAACCCCTCAACTACATGGAAACTGAACAACCTGCTCCTGAATGACTACTGGGTACATAACGAAATGAAGGCAGAAATAAAGATGTTCTTTGAAACCAACGAGAACAGGCACAACATACCAGAATCTCTGGGACACATTCAAAGCAGTGTGTAGAGGGAAATTTATAGCACTAAATGCCCACAAGAGAAAGCAGGAAAGATCCAAAATTGACACCCTAACGTCGCAATTAAAAGAACTAGAAAAGCAAGAGCAAACACATTCAAAAGCTAGCCAAAGGAAAGAAATAACTAAAATCAGAGCAGAACTGAAGGAAATAGAGACACAAAAAACCCTTCAAAAAATTAATGAATCCAGGAGCTGGTTTTTCGAAAAGATCAACAAAATCGATAGACTGACAGCAAGAATAATAAAGAAGAAAAGAGAGAAGAATCAAATAGATGCAATAAAAAATGAAAAAGGGGATATCACCACCGATCCCACAGAAATACAAACTACCATCAGAGAATACTACAAACAACTCTACTCAAATAAACTAGAAAATCTAGAAGAAATGGATAAATTCCTCGACACACACACTCTCCCAAGACTAAACCAGGAAGAAGTTGAATCTCTGAATAGACCAATAACAGGATCTGAAATTGTGGCAATAATCAATAGCTTACCAACTGAAAAAAGTCCAGGACCAGATGGATTCACAGCCAAATTCTACCAGAGGTACAAGGAGGAGCTGGTACCATTCCTTCTGAAACTATTCCAATCAATAGAAAAAGAGGGAATCCTCCCTAACTCATTTTATGAGACCAGCATCATCCTGATACCAAAGCCTGGCAGAGACACAACCAAAAAAGAGAATTTTAGACCAATATCCTTGATGAACATTGATGCAAAAATCCTCAATAAAATACTGGCAAACCAAATCCAGCAGCACATCAAAAAGCTTATCCACCATGATCAAGTGGGCTTCATCCCTGGGATGCAAGGCTGGTTCAATATACGCAAATCAATAAATGTAATCCAGCATATAAACAGAGCCAAAGACAAAAACCACATGATTATCTCAATAGATGCAGAAAAGCCTTTGACAAAATTCAACAACCTTTCATGCTAAAAACTCTCAATAAATTAGGTATTGATGGGACGTATTTCAAAATGATAAGAGCTATCTATGACAAACCCACAGCCAATATCATACTGAATGGGCAAAAACTGGAAGCATTCCCCTTGAAAACTGGCACAAGACAGGGATGCCCTCTCTCACCACTCCTATTCAACATAGTGTTGGAAGTTCTGGCCAGGGCAATTAGGCAGGAGAAGGAAATAAAAGGTATTCAATTAGGAAAAGAGGAAGTCAAATTGTCCCTGTTTGCAGACGACATGATTGTATATCTAGAAAACCCCATCGTCTCAGCCCAAAATCTCCTTAAGCTGATAAGCAACTTCAGCAAAGTCTCAGGATACAAAATCAATGTACAAAAATCACAAGCATTCTTATACACCAATAACAGACAAACAGAGAGCCAAATCATGAGTGAACTCCCATTCACAATTGCTTCAAAGAGAATAAAATACCTAGGAATCCAACTTACAAGGGATGTGAAGGACCTCTTCAAGGAGAACTACAAACCACTGCTCAAGGAAATAAAAGAGGATACAAACAAATGGAAGAACATTCCATGCTCATGGGTAGGAAGAATCAATATCGTGAAAATGGCCATACTGCCCAAGGTAATTTACAGATTCAATGCCATCCCCATCAAGCTACCAATGACTTTCTTCCCAGAATTGGAAAAAACTACTTTAAAGTTCATATGGAACCAAAAAAGAGCCCTCATCGCCAAGTCAATCCTGAGCCAAAAGAACAAAGCCAGAAGCATCACGCTACCTGACTTCGAACTATACTACAAGGCTACAGTAACCAAAACAGCCTGGTACTGGTACCAAAACAGAGATATAGACCAATGGAACAGAACAGAGCCCTCAGAAATAATGCCGCATATCTACAACTATCTGATCTTTGACAAACCTCACAAAAACAAGCAATGGGGAAAGGATTCCCTATTTAATAAATGGTGCTGGGAAAAATGGCTAACCATATGTAGAAAGCTGAAACTGGATCCCTTCCTTACACCTTATACAAAAATTAATTCAAGATGGATTAAAGACTTACATGTTAGAGCTAAAACCATAAAAACCCTAGAAGAAAAACTAGGCAATACCATTCAGGACATAGGCATGGGCAAGGACTTCATGTCTAAACCACCAAAAGCAACGGCAGCAAAAGCCAAAATTGACAAATGGGATCTAATTAAACTAAAGAACTTCTGCACAGCAAAAGAAACTACCATCAGAGTGAACAGGCAACCTACAAAATGGGAGAAAATTTTCACAACCTACTCATCTGACAAAGGGCTAATATCCAGAATCTACAATGAACTCCAGCAAATTTACAAGAAAAAAACAAACAACCCCATCAAAAAGTGGGCGAAGGACATGAACAGACACTTCTCAAAAGAAGACATTTATGCAGCCAAAAAACACATGAAAAAATGCTCACCATCACTGGCCATCAGAGAAATGCAAATCAAAACCACAATGAGATACCATCTCACACCAGTTAGAATGGCAATCATTAAAAAGTCAGGAAACAACAGGTGCTGGAGAGGATGTGGAGAAATAGGAACACTTTCACACTGTTGGTGGGACTGTAAACTAGTTCAACCATTGTGGAAGTCAGTGTGGTGATTCCTCAGGGATCTAGAACTAGAAATACCATTTGACCCAGCCATCCCATTACTGGGTATATACCCAAAGGATTATAAATCATGCTGCTATAAAGACACATGCACACTTATGTTTACTGCAGCACTATTCACAATAGCAAAGACTTGGAACCAACCCAAATGTCCAACAATGATAGACTGGATTAAGAAAATGTGGCACATATACACCATGGAATACTATGCAGCCATAAAAAATGAAGAGTTCATGTCCTTTGCAGGGACATGGATGAAACTGGAAACCATCATTCTCAGCAAACTAACGCAAGGACAAAAAACCAAACACCGCATGTTCTCACTCATAGGTGGGAACTGAACAATGAGAACACATGGACACAGGAAGGGGAACATCACACTCCGGGGACGGTTGTGGGGTGGGGGGAGGGGGGAGAGATAGCATTAGGAGATATACCTAATGCTAAATGACGAGTTAATGGGTGCAGCACACCAACATGGCACATGTATACATATGTAACAAACCTGCACATTGTGCACATGTACCCTAAAACTTAAAGTATAATAATAATAAAATAAAATAAAATAAAATAAAATAAAATAAAATAAAATAAAAAAATAAAAAAGAATGAAAAAAACTTGTGGATTTTCATCCCTCTAATATATGTATACACACTCTATATTATGTGATCCAGTAAAAATGAAAATAAATAATAAATAGATTCATACAAGTAAACATTTAGGAATATCAAATAATAAAAACAAAATCAAGTAATGGATTTCTTTTTTGCCAATACAAAAATTCCCAATCTCAGCTTCTGTGCAATTAAAGCCCTCCTTAAGACTTAAATTTAACCACTGCCTTATGTTGGAAAAAAATGTACATGACCAGCTATGAAAAACAGTGCCCAGGCTGATTGATTTCGTACTTTTCTGGGAGAGATAGAAGATGTAAACAGTTTCACTCTCCAGGAGATCTCAGATCATGGCTTTATTGAGTTTAGTTTGTCAGACTGATACTTTAGAAATGGTGATGCCATTCATGGTCACAAACTTATGCTATTGCATCTTAGGGGAAAAGTAATCATTCCTGAAATTGTATGTACACTGTCCATCAGTATCAAGTGAAGAATCTCTTGACTATTTGTTTTTTGTTTTTTTAATTTTTTTTAAGACTGAATCTCGCTCTGTCATCCAGGCTGGAATGCAGTGGCACAATCTCGGCTCACTGCAACCTCCTGCTCCCTGATTCAAGCAATTCGCCTGCCTCAGCCTCCTGAGTAGCTGGGATTACAGGCACCCACCACTATGCCTGGCTTTTTTTTTTTTTTTTTTTTTTTTTTTGTATTTTTAGTAGATACAGGGTTTTGCCATGTTGGCCAGGCTGGTCTTGAACTCCTGACCTCAGGTGATCTGCCCACCTCGGCCTCCCAAAGTGCTGGGATTACAGGCATGAGCCTCGTAATAGTGCCTGGCCCTTTTTGGTTTGGTTTTACTGAGACCTTCTTGCCTGGCAAATATAAACTTGAAGATTCATTAACTTTTTAATAATCAATCATCTGTCCATCCTATGTATAGTGGATTAGCAGCCCTCACAGCCATTCTAACCTGTTCCCAATGTGCCCTCCATGCTACAGAGACTGGAAAGCTAAAAGCCACATCTCCCAGACTTCCTAGTAGCCGAGGTTTTGTTCCACCAATCATGCGTACTGGCATGAGAGCTAGAAGACAAGACAAATAAGCTTCCGCTGCTTTGTCGCTTCCTGTTAGCCAACACTAGAGTGGAAGTGTCTGGTTTTTCTGACGCAGTTTTTTGAGAGTATTCATTTATTTCTTCTGAGTCAACTTGCTAGGGAATTTTTTTTTAATTGGAGAAAAGGGATATACATTTTATTAACATGTACACGGGGAGAACCACACAGAGTCATTACCCCAGTCTCTTGATCTTGTCAGTTCCCAGTAGTGCTGACCTCCTTTTCATGCAGGTGTGATCTTCCCAGAAGTGGTCATTTGGTCCCAGACCCAGCAGCTGACCCCTCAGTGTCCCAGCTTGGCTGTAGTTCTCCCAATCAAAGAAGAGCAGTCTCTACCTTGGTGGCCCAGTCAGTGTGTGGTTTCCAAGGTGGTTCCTGAAAGCTCACTGTGGAGGATGTTGCTGCAGCCTTCTCGATGGTGAACCACATTCTCTAATTAATCCCTTTCTGTTCAAATTAGCTAGAGCAGACTCTTTTTTTTTCTTTTTTCTTTTTTTTTGCTACTGGACCTTGACAGACACAGCCCTTAAACCCTTTCTATAGAGACTCTCTTCCACCCTGAATTGATTAAAAGACAGGCATACTTATTTAATCAGCCCATCAACGATGGGCCTTGCACTGTTTTAGACTACTGTTTTAGATTACTGCCGTTAATAAACAAAGCAGATAATGTGGAGTGGTCAAGGAGCATTCATTTAAGGGAGCAAGATGTACACCTGCCACGTAAACAAGATAATTTCCAAGACAAATGTAATGCAGAAACTAAAACACAGTAACAATATAGACAGTGACTCTGGCTGGCAGGGAGGGTCATGTAGGATACGGTGATCAGGGAAGCCTCTCTAAGCAGGTGTTATTGGACCTGAGTAACAAGTAAACAGAGACCTGCGAATAGAGCTTTCCAGGAGTGAGATCTGAAAGAAAAAGACTGAAAGGTGAGAAGGAGCTTCAGATGTCTGAGAGGTGGAAGAAAGGTCAGTGTGGCTAGAGCTTAATGAGCACAGAGGAACAAGGTCAGAGCACATTTCATTTATTCACCAGTGAAATATCTGTTTGAGCACCTACTATGCATCATACCCTATTCAGAGTGCCTGCATTACATCAGTGGAAAATAGACACAAAAATTCCTGTTCTCATGGAGATTATATTTTATTGGTGGGGAAGGGAGGAACAATAAACAAATACATAGGTAAAATGCATATTTACATTATATCAAAGATTCTCAACCAGGGGTGGTTTTGTCCCCCAGGAGACATTTGGCAGTGTCTGGAGACATTTCTGGCTGTCACAACCTAGGGAGGAAAGTTGCAGGTATTGAGTGGGTCGAGGGTGGTGATGCTGCTAAACATCCTGCAAGGCACAGGATAATAGCCCGCAACAAAGAACTGTCCCAAAATGCCAATCATGCCAAGCTTGAGAAGCCCTGTATGAGGTGGTGGCAAGAGTTACAGGGAAAACAATCCGAGAAAGGTCAAAGGGAGTCCCAGGGGCAAGGTGGAGGGGGTGAGGAGTTGTTCAGGGAAGAGCTCACCAGGAAGATGACATCTGAACAAAAACCTGCAAAAGGAGCAGCGGGGAGCTGCTGTAGATATCTGCAGGAAGAGCATCATAGGACAGGAAATGACAAATGTGAAGGCCCTGAGGGAGGAACATGTTGGGCAAGTTCCGGGAAAGCAGGAGACCAATGTGGCAGGGGCAGAGTGAGCAAAAGGAGGAGGAGCAGAAATGAAAATCTTACGGGGCCCAGATGTGTCGAGCGTCAGCTTGTGCTCTGAGTGACTGGGAAGTCATTTGGGAACTTTGGGCAGAGCAGTGACATGATTTCTGAATCCATTTTTGAAAGGATCACTCTGGCTGCTGTTTGGAAAATGATTCGTTAAGAGAACAAGGGCAGAAGCCAGGGATACCAATTAGGTGGCATCAAGTAGACTGCACGAGAAGGAGGTGGTACAGATAACAACAAAATGTCTGGTGTAAGCAAGGCAAAGGTCTGAGATGCTGGGCCCCGAGATGGGAGAGCCGTGAGAGAAGCCGGTTTAGGAGGCAATGGAGATCAGGCATTCCAGGTTAGACATATGGAGTCTGAGATGCCAATAAGAAATCCAAATGGAGATGTCACAGACTGTAGAATGAGTCTAGGGTTTACCAAAATCTGGGTTGGACATACTAATCTACTGGAAACGAAAAAACAAATGGCATCTAAATTGGCAAAGAGTATAAAATCGCCAAAGATGTGAGCATAGAGAGTAGTAGTCTGAAGACTGGGGAGTTATACAGGGCCCAGATTGTAGAGAATGTTATCAAAATGCTAGAGACATATGGTCTGGCCGGGTACAGTGGCTCACACCTGTCATCCCAGCACTTTAGGAGGCCAAGGTGGGCAGATCACTTGAGCCCAAGAGTTTGAGACCAGCCTGGGCAACATGGCAAAACCCCACCTCTATTTTTATTTAAGAAAAAAAAAGTAGATAATTGTCACTATAAATTCCTTAGAGGAAAGCTAAAACCAAGATTTTTAAAGCAACAGTATCATGGATTAGTGGAGTTGTTTAAAGAATTCCATTGCGGGACCATAAAAATCAACTAACTTAAATCCAAAATATTAGAGATGAGGAGGCTGATGCCCCACATAGCAAGGTCACAGAACAGTGGGATTTTGGAGTGCATTAGCCCGGGGTCCCACAGCTGATTATGGGCATAATCAAAACAAGAAGCTTAATCTTCTTTCTTATTCTAATGCTCTTTCTTCTTTATCATGCTGAGAAGTCCAACTCAGAAGTCCAATTCAAAACAAAGAAGAAATTCTTCTGAAATAATCATTTCAACTGGGGGAGAAATTTGATTTGCTTACAAATATTTGATACTCACAAAACTTGTCTTATAGACAACTTGCAGCATAAAGCAGTGCACCTCTCTATCTGCAGAAGAATAAGAACAATCCTGTGTACTAAACTCAAGGATGAAACACCAATCTTGTTTTGGGGAGGTAAAATAAGCTCTCTGGCAACTGGTCCTGTTGCTTTAGCACCTAGGAGGAAAGTAAGGAAGTGAGTCAACATGGGGACATAACTTGGTTAGCCCAGGATTTCATCTGTACTCTGCAATAAACAAGCCAACATTAATTCAGAAGGCTGCTGTGTGTCCCTGATAGAATTACCCGTGAATGTTGCTGGTGCTAACAGTAATAGGAGGCACAGTGATTCTGTGCTTTCCCTGAAGAGGACAAAAACTAATCTCCTTTTCATCCTTGTCTCAAAGCACACTCACAAATATACACATTTATTTCCATGGAATGAAGAAAGACGGTGAGGACTGCTATGGTCCCACCGTACACTAAGGAACAAAAACATCAGAAGGGGAAGTGAGCTGGCCCTGCCATCCTGTGAGTCAGTGGTGAAGAGACAGTATTCTATCCACAGCTTAGCCACTGACCGTGCCCAGCAAGCAAACCCAGAGAGGCAGAGCAGACCTAGGTCTGGACTAGCTCAGCATAGGGGGAGATGAACAAGAGTGTGCATTCACACAGTGAGTAGCCCATATGGTACAACATGAACCAAAACATCTCAGACCTCAAACCTCTGCTTTCAAGGATGCCAAGGTTCTCACTCTTAGATGCCATTTGTATACTACAGGACGAATTGTGGGTTGTTCACCTTTTTCCTTATTTCTTTTTTAAAAATTTCTGAATAAAAATACCTTTTAAAATGTCTCCCTTGTTTTTGTTTTGTTTTCTTTTTCAAAATGAGTATTTGCAGTTGCTTTCTGGAACTCTGTTTACTTCTTTTCTTCAATCAGCATAAAATTACTCTGGGAACAGGAAATATGGTTTAGTAAGAAAACAGCATTTGTTGAAAAAGAGAAATACTAACTGCATCTTCTGAAAATCAAAGGGTACAGTAATCTACATCTCCAAAGCAGGTCTTCGAATGGTAAACTCCCCACTGTTGTCTTCTGGGAAATGGTGTTCTTAAGCAAGTGACCTGAATCTTATTGAAATATTTTCCCAGGTAATACAACTTTGCTTATTTTCTAGGCCACTCTTGGAAAAGTCTTTCCAAATTCTACCCACACTTCAAGGCTAAGTCCGCATACTATCTCTTTCCTGAAACTTCCCTGATTATTCCTCTCAGCCAACGTGTATGTGTGTCTAAATTTCTCTACTAGGCTGAAATGTCCTTCAAGTCAAAAGTCTAGTATATATTATTGAATCCTATTCTCTCCTTATAGTATCTAACATGGTGCTTTTGTATAAAAACAGAGGAATCCCATATATTAATAGCTAGAAAGAGAAGGTTACTTGGTTACCAGACTGAAGGGTACATTCTTAGAAGATTATAGATATCTTTGGGGCATAAGTAAATATATCTAGAAAGGCTACTACCAAAATGGGGCATTTAAATGCACTACGTATCATGGAAGGTGTTCAAATAGAAAGTGGATAATCACTTATGAGATGTTAGACAGCAGCTGGGAAGGTAGAGCAGATGACCTCTTGGCCCTTTCCAACTCTAAGTTTCAAAATGATTTTTAGAAAGATTGGTTAGCTGGATAACCCTGTTTTGCTATTGTCTCTGTGGACACTGCCACTCTAGCAGGAAACTCTAAGAGCTTTTCCAAACAGTCTGATCGAAACACCCCAGCTTACAGCTTCTAAGGAATGCATCCTAGAACCTTCTCACTTTGACATTATTCTACCTTCACTTTACTTGGTCATCACAAAAGGTCATGATTCAGAAAGACCACAAAGTAGTTGGCATCTGAACTCTTCAACTCTCAATCCCAGATAGAGAAATTTAAGTTCTGGGTCAATTTTGCGCTCACTTGCTCTGTGCTCTTGGTCTCTCCTAGAATAAGCCAGATACAATAGAGGGTCTGAGAATCATTTTCCTAATATTTGCCATTGTTGCTTTTTTCTATATCTCATCAGTGGGAAATACTGCAGGGACTTTGACTAGCTTCATCCTTTCTCAATAATTGTATGCGTCAGATTAGTGGCACAAAGGAAAAAGTAGCAGAAGAGTTGAAAACATGCTCATTGAGTATGCCATACTTCTTGATTGTTGGTGTTCCTTAAGGTAACATCCTCACTCTCTGAAGGACATGCCCAAAACACTACTGAGGAGGACTACGCCTAACACTATGGAGGCATGCATTAACAGTGGGATTTCAGGCATCAGTGGGATTTGGGAACTAAGTTAAGAGTGTTTCATTGTTGTCTGTCTATCTATTTCTGTTCTAATCACAACCCAGACCATAGTAATGCTAGTCCCTAAGTGCTGTGTATGCAGATTTGTATAGAACAAACAGTTGAAGGTGTCAAAATTAATCAGGACTCAAATAGCAATATGTTATAATATGATAATCTGTTTCATTATTCTAATTGTTTTTACTATTTTGAAAGACTGATAAAGCTAAAAACAGAAATGACAGACCTGTCACATGTTTCTTTCCATGAATCTACTTCACAATATAAGTGTTTTTGTGAGATTAATGCAGATTTCTCCAGCTAGAGATTGTTTTTATTACCATAAAGCTAAACACCCTATATATTAAATTCTAAAGTATAGTGATCACAAATTACTTAAATCACAAATTACTTAAAGTAATTCCAGCTAATTGAAAAACATGCTCTCCATTTAAAAATTATTTATTATATTTTCAAGAGCCTCTTAATTATCCTTGGGAAAATATGATCAGTGTGGACATCTGTGGAAGTAGTTACAGTGCAAAATAATCAAGCTACCTCTTACGTTAAACAATCCAACAAATGAGAGCAAAATCAATTATTGCTTCAACTTTTTTTTCTTTCTTTTTTTTTTTTTTTGAGATGGAGTCTCGCTCCATCACCCAGGCTGGAGTGCAGTGGTGCCATCTCAGCTCACTACAAGCTCCGCCTCCTGGGTTCACGCCATTCTCCTGCCTCAGCCTCCCAAGTAGCTGGGACTACAGGTGCCCACCACCACGCCCGGCTAATTTTTGTTGTATTTTTTAGTAGAGACAGGGTTTCACCATGTTAGCCATGCTTCAACTTTTAAAAAGTCTTCTCCCATGATATTAGACCAGGCTCAAGAAGACATTGTGTTGATTCATTGCTCATGTATGAATACACTGAAAAGACATATCCTAATAGGATTATCATGAATCTAGCAAAAAGACAGGCTCAAGCCCCTTTTATAAGAATGAAAGATATGCCTAGGCATGGTGGCTCATGTCTGTAATCCCAGCGCTTTGGGAGGCCAAGACAGACATATCCCTTGGGCCTAGGAGTTTGAGACCAGCCTGGGCAACATAGTGAAACCCCATCTCTACAAAGAATACAAAAATTGCACTCTGGAAGGCCAAGGCAGGTGGATCATGAGGTCAAGAAACTGAGACCATCCTGGCCAACATGGTGAAACCCCATCTCTACTAAAAATACAAAAATTAGCTGGGCGTGGTGGTGCACGCCTATAGTCCCAGCTACTTGGGAGGCTGAGGCAGGAGAATCACTTGAGCCCAGGAGGCAGAGGTTGCAGTGAGCCGAGATAGTGCCACTGCACTCCACCCTGGCAACAGAGCAAGACTCCATGTCAAAAAAAAAGAAAGAAAGAAAGAAAGAAAGAAAAGAAAAATTAGCCAGGCATGGTGGCACTCACCTGTGGTCCCAGTTGCTTCAGGGGACTGGAGTGGGAGGATCACTTGAGGCTGGGAGCCAGGGAGGCAGAAGTTGCAGTGAGCCATGATCATGCCACTCCAGCCTAGGTGACAGAACAAGACCCTGTCTCGAAAAAAGAAAAAGTAAAGAAAGATATGTTCACAGTATCTCCAAACCCTGACTGACTTCCCTAGATGCTAAATCAAACATGGGATTCTGTAGCCTAGCACATGTTGGTTATTTATTAAACAATTATTAAATTAATTCAAATAGCCACCAAATTGTGTTACTCAAACCAGCAGTTGGGGGGAAGGAGGACAATGTACTTGGATTTATCTTTTTCACCAAAGGCTTTAATTTCATCTGGGCTGTGGATCATCTTTCCATTGCATAAGTGCTACTATTGCTGTTGCCCATGCTGGACATGGCCCTGAGTTCTTCACATCCACACCTCACTTTATGCTGACAAAAAAAAGAAAAAGAATTGACACATCTCACTTCAGATGCTAAAGAAGTGAGGCATCTCACCTCAGTTGCTATAAACCTGGTGCGTTTATGCTGACACAAGTGACCAGAATCAGATAAGTTATGGGACTTTCAATAATTTTTCGGGCAGCTATAAAGGAGGAAGCACATCCCTTCATTTTCCTGCTGAAAATCACCAACCAGGGCATGGAAAAATCCCAAACCCGGCACCTCTGCTTTAACCAGCCTTGCTGGTGTCCTGGCAGACCAATTTGGAAACCATGATTAATTCCTTAGTAAACAGAAAATAGACTCTGGAGCCAAGAGAAGCCAAATTTGAGTCACTCTCTGGAGACTACATTTGGCCGATCTAGCTCTACCTCCTCCTCCAGGAGCTGGCTCACTTGCCTGGTGACTTTCAGCAAACAGAAAGGCCTTTCCATGGTGGCAGACTAGCACAGTGAAGCAGAGACCAAAGCATGGTTGCCAGTGATGACCATGAGCTGCGGTAGCCCAGATCTATGCAGGGATCACCATGGCCTATATGGATCAAATGAAATTGGTTGAAACCCTAACCTATATGAAATGGAAAACTCAACAAGCTTCCCATTTTCTCCAGCAACTCTGGGGAAAGAAGACAATGTGCCTGGGTTTCTCTTTGTCATCAAGGGAGAACTTCATCTGGTCTGTGGGTCATGTTGCCTTTGCATAAATATTGCTACTCTGTTGTCCATGCTGGACATGGCCCTGAGTCCTACACATCTGCACCTCACTTTAGGTACTTCCCCAAAATACCACCCATTCCAGGTTCTGGGTGTAACTAACTTTTATGGAAGATTCAGAGCAATGGAGAAGTTTTACATGGAAACACCAAAAATAATTTAAAATATCATTGTTCTGTAAAGCCTTTCTACCACTCTGGCCCCAGAAGTTTCTGACCAGTTGTCCTTTCTCCTCAGGCTCTGGCCTCCTGCTCTGCCCACTTCTTCACTTCCTGCTTCCTCCCCTTCCCTCTATCTCCAGTTAAGCCTCTCTCCCTAATTCATGTCACTTTATGTAAACGTAATTTTGATTTCCCATCTCCTTGCAGACTGTGTCCTCACCTTGAACTCTTAAAACATTTTCATAAAGAAAGACACCTCTTTTGCAAACAGGAAATGTATGGCTCATGGTTCAAATACATTTACAAACACATACACCTGTACCTGTTTATTACCATCAGAAAACACAGGAGCAGAGGTACAAGCTTCCAGAGGGTGGACCCATAGGACAAGAATGGTAGGGCTGGGCAAAAGGTGAGGTTTTTAAAATGCATTTTAATTTTTACATGTGAGTACTACTTTTCCCTTACTTTCCTAGGGTGTGTATTCACTGGAAATACTAAAGATTCTTGGTTGCTGTGAGACTGTCTGAGGCCAGGTGGGCCCTGAGAAGCCAGCTCCCCCTACTCACCAACATATACATGGTGCTCCTGGCACCTCAGGCTGTCACTTCACTTTCTCTGGGTGCCACCTGTTATTTCAATCTCTACGCTTTTGTTCATGCTGTTTCACTCCCGCCACTCCCCAACACACTCTTTTGCCTCCTGCAATGCTTTTCTAACTTTCACCTCCTGAATCACATCCATTCTTCAAGGTTTTTCTGCATGAAATCTCCCAGATTGAGGCATTTGGTTTTATTCTTTCTCCTTCTTATTTGTTTCATTTACATAGGCATTTCCTCCCTACCAGTAATATGTCTGGCACTTTCTCTGTGTTCCCCTAGATGAACTAGCACAGTTTCAGACACACAATAGATGCTCAGCAATGCCTATTGAATTGGTTGAAACAGATCACAGTGTCTCTAAACCAGAGTGTAATTAACCACAAATATTAATTTGCCCAGTTGAGGTCAGCTGAAGAAACCTGAAACCCTGGAAATAGCATTGTCAGGAGATTTAGGTAGTTTCTAATACAAAATCTAGTATCTACATTTTTTTGTGAATTTGGGCCGGTTATTTAACTTCTTTGAGCATCACTTTTTAATCTGTAATATAAGAAAAATAAAAATACTTGACCTGCTCATCTCATATAGTATGCAGTTGTAAGAATTAAATGGGTACATATTTATATACATATTCTTTTATATATTCATATATAGAGCTATCTATATATATATAACAATGATCTGAGAAGCATTGTGCAGAAGACAAATTATTACAAGTTCCAGGTGTTCCAGATCTCTTTTTAAAAGCTCGACTATTTTATCAAGTAGCATAGATTATACATAGACTATCTTCTAATATTTATTGTGAAACATTTTCCTATAAATAAATGCCAATATTATTTCCCACAAAACATTTCCTTAACCATAAAAAAGCTTTATGACAGCTTTCTAACCTATGCAAATCTCACCTATAAGCAAAATATGTCCTGTTTTTTTTTCCCTCCTGTCAAGAGAATTTATTTTCTTTCCTGTGGGATGTGCTATCATATGAAAATTAAGATATATAAAGGCCATGTTTGATGCCAATATTATGAAAATTATTACACTTTAACATTTGATGGCAAGCTGTGTTGGGAAAAATGTTTAAGAAGTGGCAAATTTTACAAAAGGATCACTAATTTTAGATATTTAGAAAATAATAACAAGTATATTTTCTTATAAGACTCTAACAAATTTTTAAGTAGTTTAGCATATATCTCCTCATTCTTTATGAGGAGTGTATTCCTTTCCTGTGGCTTCTGTAACAAATTGCCACAAACTTGATAGCTTAAAACAACGGAAATTCACTTTCTCACAGTTCTAATTCAGAACTATGATTCGGAAATTTGAAGTCAGTTTCACTGGGCTGAAATCAAGAGGTCAGCAAAGCCGCCTGTGTTCCTTCCACATGCTGTAGGGGAGAATCCATTCATTTCCTTTTCCAGTTTCCGGTGGCTGCCCTCATCCCTTGGTTGTTACTGCGTCACTCCAGGCTCTGCCTCTGTGATCACAGTGCCTCCTCCTCTTCCATGTGTGTAATCTCCCTCTGTCTCTCTCTTAAAAGGGTCCTTGTGCCGGTATTTAGGATTCATCCAGGTAATCTAGGATAATTTCTTGTCTTAAGATCTTTAATCAGATCTGCAAAGACCCTATTGCCAAATAAGATAATATTTTATAAGTTCCAGGGATTCAGATGCACTGTCTTTTGAGGTGCCATTTTCAGCCTATCAAACGGTGGTTCGCAAACTTTAGCATTCATTAACCTTCTCTGGGCCTGGCGCGGTGGCTCACGCCTGTAATCCCAGCACTTTGGGAGGCCGAGGTGGGCGGATCACGAGGGGAGACCATCCTGGCTAACACAGTGAAACCCCGTCTCTATTAAAAATAAAAAAAATTAGCCGGCCATGGTGGCGGGCGCCTGTAGTCCCAGCTACTCGGGAGGCTGAGGCAGGAGAATGGCGTGAACTCGGGAGGCGGAACTTGCAGTGAGCCGAGATTGTGCCACTGCGCTCCAGCCTGGGCGACAGAGCAAGACTTCGTCTCAAAAAAAAAAAAAAAACATTGTCTGAAGGGCTTGTTAAAACACTGGTTGCTGGGCTCCACTCCCAGAGCCTCTGACTCAGTAAGTCTGGGGTGGGGCTCAAGATTTTGAATTATTAACAAACTTCCAGGTGACAAATGCTGCTGGTCATGAGGCCACACTTGGCGAACCTGTAAGAATTATCTTCTTGCTTATTTTTCCCACTTTAAGCTATATGTAGCCAACTTTTTGTGCCCATTTTTTGTACATATTCTAACATCAGAGGTTTTGACAGAAACAAAGCAGCAAGCACCTATTTTCTCCTTTCAGATACTGCCACACGTTCCTCCAATTAGAGCTCTGCAATTAGACATGTCCAGAGATGAAAAATCTTCTATAGACTCATTTAATGCAGCCATTGGTTTCTGTGAGAGAAACCACAGGATAATTAGTACACATTCCTTAGCCTGACATTCAAGATCCTCCATAATATAACTTTAATCCCCACCTTCGGTTTGCAGCTAGATTCTTTGCAGCTCCCCAAATGCCCTCTGCACACCTCTCCCAAGTAGAAGACTTCCTCATGTAGTTTCAGCTAGATAGAGTATCCTTTCATCACTGTTCAAAGTGCCAGCTCTGCCCATCAAAATCCCAGTGTCCCAAAGCCCAAATCATCTGCCTAGCCTTTTCCATTCAAATTAATAAGGTCTCTCCCTTGGCACTGAACTCCCTAGAGCCCTTTGTAAGCTTTTTGTGATAATTAGTATAGTCTCTCTTGAATCATAATTGCCTGTGCACTTTCTAATCCCTCCATGGATTATAAAATTCTTTAGGATAAAGATTATTCCTTGTTTATGTTCGTTTCTTGCGTGGCAGTGATAAATGTTTGTAAAATTGGCAAAAGAATTTTGTCTGTTGTTTAGCACTTCATATCTTCTCCAACTTCCTTGCAGTTAAAAGGCACAGAGATGTCATGGTTGTCTTTTTGGTGACCCTGTAGCACACGACTTTGGGGGAACTCCTCCCACCTCATTCCAGCAATGTGGTTTTGATGATGGCTGTTAATCACAATAACCCACATATAACCCATATTCCTCCCTCTCTCTCCTACAGAGGTGAGCCCCTTTCCTAGATTTTTTACCTTGGCTTCTAGAGAAAATGAGCCCTTTCCTCTCATGGAAGCAGCTGGGAATAAGTTGGCCTTTTGGGGAAAACAGTCTTCAGATAATGAGATTAACATATAAAGAGAAGAATGAGAAGAAGGGAGATGTGAGTCCTTACACCATCACATCTCCAGCAGTTTCATTTTATGGGCTAATATGTTTGCCATTTTGCATACTCTAGTTCAAGTTAGATTCTGCCACTTTCAGTCAAAAGTTCTATCTAATAATCGATGTGAAGCGTAGAGGAACTCATTATCCTTGTTATCCTTTTAGATTGTCTGGATTAGCGTGAGGCTAAACACCACAATAGAGAGCTTCTAACCCTCTGTGTATATAGATAATGCACTGTTTGTGATTATATTAGGTATAATGGAAACTTACACATAATTAATTGTTACAAAGCTATGACAACAGAAAAATAAAAACAGAAGAATCCAACACTTTTTTTTTTTTTCAGGGGAAATATCCCCAGGAATCTTGGTAAGGAAGGCAAATATTATTACTTTTGATAGCTTAAACAGGTAAAGCCCAGATAAGTCAATCGGTTTTAATTATGCAATGTAAAGATAACAAAAGAAATGATTCCTCTTAAAAGAGTGGTAATAAAGAACCAAGAATGGTAGGTAGATAAATACATTTAGAAGATCAGAAAGGCACATACCAAAGAAGTTTGACCAGAAAAATCGCAATTTTCCCAAAGTATTTTTTCAATTGCTAGATGTTTTTGTTTGTTTGTTTGTTTGTTTTTGTTTTTTGGTAGAACAATGTGTTTTCTTTTGGATATATACCCAGTAATGGAATTGCTGGGTCAAATGGTAGTTCTGTTTTAAGTTCTTTGAGAAATCTCCAAACTGCTTTCCGCAGTGGCTAAACTAATTTACATTCCTGCAACCTCATCAACATGCTTTTTGTTTTTTTACTTTTTAATAATAGCCATTCTGGTTTAATAATAGCTTTCACCGGTATGAGATGGTATTTCATTGTGGTTTTGATTTGCATTTTCTCCAATGATTAGTGATGTTGAGCATTTTTTCATGTTCGTTGGCTGCATGTGTGTCTTCTTTTGAGAAGTGTCTGTTTATGTCCTTTTCCTATTTTTGAAATGGGATTGTTTGTTTTTTTACCTGCTGATTTGCTTAAGTTCCTTACAAATTCTGGATATTTGACCTTTGTTACATGTAAAGTTTGAGAATATTTTCTCCCATGCTGTAGGTTGTCTGTTTACTGTATTGATAGTTTCTTTTGCTGTGCAAAAGGTCATTAATTAGGTCCTACTTGTCAATTTTTATTTTTGTTGCAATTGCTTTTAGAGTCTTTATCATGAAATCTTTGCCAAGGTCTAGGTCCAGAATGATATTTCCTAGGTTTTCTTCTAGCGTTTTTAGTTTTAGGTCTTATATTTAAGTCTTTAATCCATTTGGAGTTGATTTTTGCATATAGTGAAAGGAATAGGTCCAGATTCAATCTTCTGCATATGACCAGCCAGTTATCCCAACACGATTTATTGAATAGGGAGTCCTTTCCCTGTTGCTTGTTATTGTCAGCTTGTTGAAGATCAGATGGTCGTAGCTGTGCAGCTTGGTTTCTGGGTTCTCTAACCTGTTCTATAGGTTTATGTGTCTGTTTTTGTACAACTACCATGCTGTTTTGGTTTTGTTCTCTGGCTTTGTTCTTTTTGCTTAGGATTGCTTTGGCTATTTGGGCTCATTTTTTGTTCCATGTGAATTTCTGAAGTTTTTTCTAATTCTATGAAAAATGATGTTGGTAGTTTGAAAGGAATAGTATTGAGTCTGTACATTGCTTCTGGCACTGTGGCCTTTTTAACAATATTGATTCTTCCTGTCCATGAGCATGCAATGTTTTTCCATTTGTGTTATCTCTTATTTCTTTCAGGAGTGTTTTGTGATTCTAATTGTAGAGATATTTCATCTGCCTGGTTAGCTGCATTCCTAGGTATTTTCTTTTTTCTGTGGCTATTGTGAATGGGACTGCATTCTTGATTTGGCTCTTAGCTTGACATTATTGGCATAAAGAAATGCTACTGATTTCTGTACATTAATTTTCTATCCTGAAATGTTACTGAAGTTGTTTATTAGTTCTAGGAGCCTTTGGGCAGAAACTATGGGGGTTTTCTAGGTATAGAATCATATCATCTGTGGAAGGAGATAGTTTGGCTTCCTCTCTTCCTATTTGGGTGCTGTTTATTTTTTTCTCTTGCCTGACTGCTTTGGCTAGGACTTCCAGTACTATGTTGAATAGGAGTGGTGAGAGTCAGCATTCTTTGTCTTGTTTCAGTTCTCAAAGGAAATACTTCTAGCTTTTGCCTGTTCAGCATGATGTTGGTTGTGGGTTTGTCATAGATGGCTCTTATTATTTTGAGGATTGTTCCTTCAATATCTAGTTTGTTGAGGGTTTTTAACATGAATGTATGTTGAATTTTATTTTTAAAAAAAGTGTTTTCTGTATCTATTGAGATTATCATGTGGTTCTTGTTTTTAGTTTTGTTTATGAGATGAATTACTTTTATTACATAAAAGTGATTTGCATATGTTGAACCAACCTTGCATCCCAGGGATAAAGCCTACATGATCATAGTGGATTAGCTTTTTGATGTGCTGCTAGATTTGGTTTGCTAGTATTTTGTTGAAGATTTTTGCATCTATATTTATAAGGTATTTTGGCCTGAAGTTTCCTTTTTTCATTGTGTCTCTGCCAGGCTTCAGTGCCAGAATGATGTTGGCCTCATAGAATAAGTTACGGAGGAATCCTTCCTCCTCAATTTTTTGGAGTAGTTTCAGTAGGATTGGTACTAGCTCTTCTTTGTACATCTGGTAGAATTTGGCTGTAAATCCTTCTGGTCCAGAGCTTGTTCTGGTTGGTTAAGTTTTTAATTACTGACTCAGTTTCAGAACTCATTATTTGTCTGTTCGGGATTTCAATTTCTTCCCGGTTCAATCTTGGGAGGTTTTATGTTCCAGGAATTTATCCATTTCTTGTAGGTTTCCTAGTTTGTGTGCACAGAGGTGTTCATAATAGACTCTGAGAGTTTTTTGTATTTCTGTGGGGTCAGTGGTAATGTCACCTTTATTATTTCTGATTGTGTTTATTTGGATCTTCTCTCTTTTTTCTTTATTAATCTAGCTAGTATTCTATCAATCTTGTTTATTGTTTCAAAAAACCAAGTTCATGTCTCAATTTCAATCAGTTCAGCTCTGATTTTGGTTATTCCTTTTCTTCTACTAGTTTTGGGACTGGTTTGCTCTTGCTCTTCTAGTCTCTCTAAGTGTGATGTTAGTTTGTTAATTTGAGGATCTTTTTAACATCTTGATATAGGAATTTAGCACTATAAACTTTCCTCTTAACATTACATTAGAATCTCTGAGTAAATGAAGATTCTAGTAATGCTGTATCTTTGTTTTCATTAGTTTCAAAGAATTTTTTGATATCTGTCTTAATTTCATTCTTTATTCAAAATCATTCAGGACCACGTTGTTTAATTTCCATGTAATTTATGGTTTTTGAGAGATCTTTGTATTGATTTCTATTTTTATTGCTCTGTAGCCCAAGAGTGTGGTTGATATGATTTTGGTTTTTTAAAATTTGTTTGGAATTGCTTTATGGCCGAGCATATTGTCCATCTTAAAGTATGTGCTGATGAGAAGAATGTATATTCTTATTGTTGGGTGGAGTGTTCTGTAGATGTCTGTTAGGTCTGTTGGTCAAGTGTCAAGTTTTGCTCCTGAATATCTTTGTTAGTTTTCTACCTCAATGATCTAACACTGTCAGTGGGGTGTTGAAGTCTCCCACTGTTATTGTGTGGCTATCTAAGTTTCTTCAGAGGTCTCTAAGAACTTGTTTTTATGAATCTGGGTGCTCCAATGTTGAGTGCATATATATTTAGGATAGTTAAGTCTTCTTGTTGAATTAAACCCTTTATCAGTATGTAATGCCCTTCTTTGTCCTTTTTAATCATTGTTGGTTAAGTCTGCTTGTCTGAAATAAGAACAGCAACCCTGCTCTTTTTTGTTTTTCATTTACTTGATAGATCTTTCTCCATCCTTTTATTTTGAGCCTATAGGAGTCATCAGATATGAGATGGGTCTCTTGAAGACAGCATACGGTCAGATCTTCCTTCTTTATCCAAGTTGCCACTCTGTGCCTTTTAAGTTGGGTGTTTAGTCCATTTACAATCAAGGTCAATATTGATATGTAAGAATTTGATCCTATCATCTTGTTGTTAGCTGGTTGTTATGTAGACTTGATTGCATAGCTGTTTTATAGTGTCAGTGGGCTGTGTACCTAAGTGTGTTTATGTGTGGTAGGTATCAGTCTTTCCTTTCCATGTTTAGCACTCCCTTAACAAACTCTTGTAAGGCAGGTCTCATGGTAATGAATTCCCTTAGCATTTGTTTGTCTAAAAAGGATTTCATTTCTCCTTTGCTTATTAAGCTTAGTTTGGCTGGCTATGAAATTCTTGGTTGGAATTTCTGTGCTTTAGTGATGCTCTATGTAGGCCCCTAATCTCTTCTGGCTTGTAAGGTTTCTGCTGAAAGATCCACTGTTAATCTGATGGGGTTCTCTTTGTATATGACCTGCCCCTTCTCTCTGGCTGCCTTTAAGATTTTTTTATTTCATACTGAACTTGCAGTATGTGATGACTATGTATCTCGGAGATGGTCATCTTGTATAGTATCTTACAGGGGTTCTCTGAACTTCCTGAATTTGCAAGTCAACCTCTGTAGCAAGATTGGGGAAATTTTCATGGACAATATCCTCAAATATGTTTTCCAAGTTGCTTACTTGCTCTCCATCCCTTTCAGGAATGCCAATGAGTCATAGGTTTGGCCTCTTTACATAATCCCATATTTCTCAGAGGTTTTGTTCATTTTTTTAAATTATTTTTTCTTTATTTTTGTCTGTCTGCACTGATTTGAGAGAGTGGTCTTTAAACTCTGAGATTCTTTCCTCAGCTTGGTCTAGTCTGTTATTAATGCTTCCAATTGCATTATGAAACTCCTGTAGTAAATTTTTCATTTCCAGAACTTCAGTTTGGTTCTTTCTTTTTTTTTAGACGGAGTTTTGCTCTTGTTGCCCAGGCTGGAGTGAAATGGCATGATCTCAGCTCACTGCAACCTCTGACTCCCAGGCTCAAGCAATTCTCCTGCCTCAGCCTCCCAAGCAGCTGGGATTATAGGCACCGGCCACCATGTCTGGCTAATTTTTTGTATTTTTAACAGAGGTGAGATTTTACCATGTTGGCCAGGCTGGTCTCAAACTCCTGACCTCAGGTGCTCCACCCACCTCAGCCTCCCAAATTGCTGGGATTACAGGCGTGAGCCACCATGCCCAGCCCAGTTTGGTTCTTTCTTAAAGTGGCTAGATTTGGAAGCAGCCTAGGTGTTCATCAACAGATGAATGGATAAAGAAAATGTGGTACTTATACACAATGGAGTACTATTCAGTCATAAAAAGAATGAGATTCTGTCATTTGCAACAACATGGTTGGAACTGGAGATCATTATGCTAATGAAATAAGTCAGGCACAGAAAGAAAAACATCACACATTCTCATTTATAGGATCTAAAAATCAAAATGATTGAACTTCTGAAGAGAGAAGATACAAGGATGGTTACCAGAGGCTGGGAGAGGTAGTGCGGGGCTGGGAGGAGGTAGGGATGGTTAATGGGTACAAAAAAATACACAGTATGAATAAGACCTAGTATTTGATAGCACAACAGGGGGACTATAGTCAATAATAATTTAATTGTACATTTTAAAAATAACTAAGAGTATAACTGGATTGTTTGTAACAGAAAGGATAAATGCTTGAGCGGATAGATACCCAATTTTCCATGATGTGGTTATTATGCATTGCATGCCTGTATCAAAATATCTCATGTACTCCAGAATTATATATAGCTACTATGTACCCACAAAAAGTCAAAAGTTAAAAAAAATTTTTTAGTTTTTAAATGGTTTCATCTTTCAACTGTTGGATCATTTTACTGGTTTCCTTGGATTGGGTTTCAACTTTCTCCTGTATCTTGTTGAGCTTCCTTGCCATGCAGATTCTGAATTCTATGTCTGTCATTTCAGCCATTTCAATCTTGTTAAGAACCATATCTGGGTAGTTAGTGTGGTCATTTGGAGGTAAGAAGACACTCTGACTGTTACAGTTGCCAGAACTCTTGTGCTGGTTCTTTCTCATCTGTGTGGGCTGATGTTCTTTTAATCTTTGAAGTTGCTGTCCTTGAATGTGGCTTTTTGCTTTTATATTTTTTGATGCCCTTGAGGGTTTGACTTTGGTATAAGTTGGGTTTACTCAATTGGCTTCCTTTCTGGATACTTTTAGGGGCCCAGGGGTCAGCTCAACACTCCTGGGCTGCATGTTCTAACCCTGTGGGGCTGAGACTCGGCCCGTGGCTTTGTTCTCTGGCTTCTTGAGATTAAGCACTGCTGTGCTGGAAGGGCCAAAGTGTTCCAGTCCACTGGCAACAATAGGCCCACAAGGACTGCCAGCAAAAGCCTCTGATGGGGCAGCAGGGGGTGGGGGAGTCCAGAAGAGTGTGCTGCAGTGCAGAGGCCATGGGGGAGTAAGCAGCAGCAGGATGGTATGACAGAGGGAGGGTATGGGCATGGGCACAGTGGTGAGGTGGCAGCAGTCCACACACATGCACACTGCCAGGATGGTGGTGGTCTCAATGGGACTGCGCACTGGTAGGGCAGCTGGGGGAGGCTGCAGGCAGGTGTCTGCCAGCTAGGGTGTGTCTGCAAAAGTGCTCCAATGGGAACATGGCTGCTGCCAAGCATTCCAGCAGGGCAGCTGAGGCCTGCTGCAAGTGGATGTGTCCAGGCCTGGACCCTAGGAGAGGCCAGCAGACAGGAAGGTGTTCAGATCATACTGACCCTATCCCACAGGCATGACTGCCCTGCTCTCTCCAAATCTGGCAGCTAACAAAGTTTATAGACACCTAGAGGAGTATGGCAAGCCTTGGGGGATGAGTACTCCAAGGCTATGTTCCAGAGCAGACGTTCTCACACCAAACCCTCTGGGCTTTGTGCAAGCTAGAGCTCTGTCTCTGCCAATTCTCTGGGCAGTTCTCCCTGACAACTCAAATATCCATCCATCGGGGTCGTGGGGTCTCCCACAGCTAGGATCCTGGAGGTCCATGGTGAGAGTGGGCTGCTCCATGCCTATTCAACTTACTGCTTCCCTAAGAGCCACTTGTGGTCAGGATTGAGTTCCAGTGCTTGGCAACCCTGTGCAGGATTTCCAACTTTCTCTCCTTTCAGCCCCAGGGTCTGCATCCTCCCTCTGTCCACTCTCAATGCCTTCTTTCCAAAGATCTGTTTGGAGTGTGCTGGTCTACTTGATGGTCTTGTCTCTCTTGGTGGGAGAAGGACGGGGAAGATCAGGAGGGGTCATCCAAGGGGTACAAAGTTAGAGTTAGGCAGAATAAGTTCTATCTTCTATTACATAGTAGAGTGGCCATAGCTAATAACAGTGTATTGTACGGCTGGGCACAGTAGCTCACGCCTGTAATCCCAGCACTTTGAGAGGCTGAGGCGGGTGGATCACCAGGTCAGGAGATCAAGACCATCCTGGCTAACACGGTGAAACCCCGTCTCTACTAAAAATACAAAAAAAAAAAAAAAATTAGCCGGGCGTGGTGGCGGGCGCCTGTAGTCCCAGCTACTCGGGAGGCTGAGGCAGGAGAATGGCGTGAACCCGGGAGGCAGAGCTTGCAGTGAGCCAAGATCAGGCCACTGCACTCCAGCCTGAGCAACTGAGCAAGACTCCGTCTCAAAAAAAAAAAACAAAACCAAAAACAAAAAAAAAAAACAGTGTATTGTACATTTCAAGATAGCTGGAAAAGAAGATCTTGAAAGTTTTCACCACAAAGAAATGATAAAGGTTTGAGGTGATGGACATGCTACATGCTAACTAATACTGATTTAATCATTATACAATATATACATGTATTGAAACATCACATTGTACCCCATAAACATGTACAATTATTATGCGTCAATTATAAACAAAATAAAAGAATATTCACAGCGTTAATTTATAAACTTTGAATCATACTATCATATGATTTTCAAATATATATATTTCACTTAATGATGTATTTTGAGCATCTTTCCATGTCAATAGCGAATATTTCTGTACCTGTTTTTGTTTTTTGTTTTTTGTTTTTGAGACAGGGTCTCACTTTGTCACCCAGGCTGGAGTGCAGTGGTGCGATCATGGCTCACTGCAGCCTCAATCTCCTAGGCTCAAGCAATCCTCCTGCCTCTGCCCCACAAGTAGCTGCAACTACAGGTGCACACCACCATGCCAGGCTAATTTTTGTATCTTTCTGTAGAGATGGGGTTTTGCCATATTGCCCAGGCTTGTCTCGAACTCCTAATCACAAGTGATCCACTCACCTCAGCCTCCCAAAGTGGTGGGATTACAGGCGTGAACCACCACATCTGGCCTACCTATCATTTTTAATGGCAGTGAGACATTCTATTGTGTTGATATAACTTATGTACAGTTTCCTTTTACAGGATATATAGATTATTTTTAATCTTTCATTGCAACAAACTACTTTGCAATAAATATCTTTATGAATCATTTCCTTCATCCCCAATGTTTTCCTTAGGACAAACTCCTAAAAGTAGTGTTTTTATAGTATTTTGGGGTCAAAGGGAGTGTACATTTGTAAAGCTTTTGATAAAAGACCCTATGTTTTTCTGAGGACCCTTTGAAACACTTGTCTAGAATTTCAGCAACATGACAGTGAAACATAGAGTCTGAAAATGGCAGAACTACACCTAAAGATGCCCTTAATCATCCACTTTCAGAGGATAACTCTGAGGTGCCAGCAGGTCAATTAATTTTTTCTTTTTTTTTGACGGGGCCTTGTTCTGTCACCAAGGCTGGAGTGCAGTGGTGCAATCACGGCTCATTGCAACCTTGACCTCTTGGGCTCAAGTGACCCTTTTATCTCAGCCTCCTGAGTAGCTGGGACTACAGGCACATGCCACCATGCCTGGCTAATTGTCTTATTTTCTTGTAGAGACAGGGTCTCCCTATGCTGCCCAGGCTGGTCTTGAACTCCTGGGCTCAAGTAATCCTCCCACCTCAGCCTCCCAGAGTGCTGGGATTATAGATGTGAGCCACTGCGCCTGGCCCTGATTACTTCCTTAGTATATTATGTATTACCTTGATAGTCTGAAAGACAACAGTTTAGTTTATATGTACAGAATACACAATACAAGAATTTTCTCACTATTTTCTAATGTTAGTTAATTTGATTTAGGGTTTGTTTCTTTGGATTGACATTTGGGTTGCTATTGCTGTGTTTTAATAAGTAGACATTTTCTGGTTTAGCACGATAAGATAGTAGTAAGTTTGTAATGGAATGGTATGCCAGAAAACTTCCACTCTACCAGTCTACAACAGCTAAGAGCTATACTTTCCATTTTGGTTACAACTAGGGGTGGCCATGTGACTTGGCACATGTTATGCAAGCTGCAAGGATATGAGCCCTCCCCTTGGCCCTTCTCCTCTTCCCGCTGGTTGGAATGCAGATGGTGGCAGTTGCAGGAGCAGCTACATTAGACCACAAGATGGAAACTTCATGTTGAGAATGGCAGAGCACCCAGATGGAAAGAGCCTGATCCCTTGCACTATGAAATGGCCATATCAGCTCTAGTCTATTTAAGCTTGACTATTTTGTGAGAAAGAAAGAAATTTCCATCTTGTCTGACACTGTTATGTTGGCCTTTGTTTCAGGAGCTGACCTGGTATCCTAACACAGAAGATTTGGGGTGTTTGGTCATTTATTTTCACCGGCCACTACCAGAATATTCCATGTGGCAGATTCAAATTGCAACAAAGATTTTTTTAGGTTAAATGACAAGGACTATCGTTGACAGCCAAGTAAGTGAAAGCCAAAATATTTTAATAAGAAATAGGTACAAATTCTTTCACTATTTAATGAGTTTTTTCCTTTGAAACTAAAATCCACTTACAGTATATAAAAGGAATGATTTGGTTCACTGACTTTTTGGCTTGCTCTGTGGTGAGTGAAAAGTTAGACTCCATGGCTTTGGTCTCTTTTTGATATAATTCTTGGTGATTCTATAGATTTCCCCAATGTCTTTGATATTCAGGGATCTTATAAAGATAAAGCTTCAAATCATAAAAATCAACTCAAATTGCATATGAAAACATGCAAACATCACTGCTTTATAAATTCTAACCATACTTACATATTACCTCATAGGCTAAAAAGATCTAGATACCACTGACTAAATGATAATTTTTATAGTATTTAGTAAATACATGAAGTTGATGATTTTTATATACATGTTAGAGGTGAGGAACATGAGAAGAAAAAAAGCAATTAGGCCACAAATGAGTTGATTTGTAGGCACTACAGATTTACCAAAATGGAGATTTTTATATACAGTTGGCCACTGAACAATACAGGTTTGAACAGCATGGGTCCACTTATACACAGATTTTTTTTTTTTTTTTTGAGACAGGGTCTCACCCTGTCGCCCAGGCTGGAAAGCAGTGGCATGATCACAGCTCACTGCAGCCTCAGCCTCCCAGGCTGAAGTGATCCTCCCACCTCAGCCTCCTGAATAACTGGGACTACAGGTATGTGCCACCATAGCTGGCTAATTCGTGTTTTGTTTTATTTTTGTAGAGACAGGGTTTCACTATGTTGCCCAGGCTGGTTTCAAACTCCTGGACTCAAGTGTCTGCTCACCTCGGCCTCCCAAAGTGCTGTGATTATAGGCGTGAGCCACTGTGCCCAGCCAACAGATATTTTTCAATAAATATATTGGAACATTTTTTGGAGATTTGCGACAATTTGAAAAAACTTGCAGACAAAATGTGCAGCCTAGAAATATCAAAAAATTAAGAAAAAAATTAGATAGGTCATACATGCATAAAATGTACGTAGATACTAGTCTATTTGATTATCTACCATCACAAAATATATACAAATCTATTATAAAAAGTTAAAATTTATCAAAACTTATGCACACAGACCATTCATGGTCTCATTTGCAGTTGAGAGAAATGTAAACAAACATAGAAATGCAGTATTCAATTATAACTACACAAAATTAACTGCAGCAAATACTATACTGCTGTAATAATTTTGTGGCCACCTCCTGTTGCTGTTGCGATGAGTTCAAGTGTTGTGAGTATCTGCTTAAAACACTGTGTGATGCTAATTATCTCCACGTGAGCCATTTTTCTTTCCAGTAGAACTGAAGTAAAAAGTATCTCTCACAGTTCTTGCCTATTTTTCACCATGCTTAGGGAAATACCTCAAACTTGAATAACACCAAGGGACCCATACAAATGCCACCAATGATGCTGGAAGTGCTCCCAAGAATCAGAGAAAGTCATGACATGGCCGGGCGCGGAGGCTCACGCCTGTAATCCCAGCACTTTGGGAGGCCGAGGCGGGCAGATCATGAGGTCAGGAGATCAAGACCATCCTGGCTAACACGGTGAAACCCCGTCTCTACTGAAGATTCAAAAAAAATTAGCCGGGTGTGGTGGCAGGCACCTGTAGTCCCAGCTACTCAGGAGGCTGAGGCAGGAGAACGCCATGAAGCCGGGAAGTGCAGCTTGCCATGAGCCAAGATCACATGACTGCACTCCAGCATGGGCGACAGAGCAAGACTCCGTCTCAAAAAAAAAAAAAAAAACAGAAAGTCGTGACATGACAAGAAGTTGAATTGCTTGATGTGTACCGTAACTTGAGATCTGCAGCTGCAGTGTCTGCCATTTCAGACAGAGGATTCATCTTGGAAACTGATGACATAAACTTAATAAACACAGAATGGTACCATAAACATATTTATCTTCCTTATGATTTTCTTAATAACCTTTTCTCTAGCTTACTTTATTGTAAGATGACAGCATATAATATAACATACAAAATGTGTTAAGCAACTGTTTTTGTTATTGGTAAGGCCCACGGTAGGCTAGCAGTAGTCAAGTTTTTGGGGAGTCAAAACTTATAGGAGAATTTTTGACTGCAGGGGCATCGGCATCCCTAACCCTTACAATGCTCAAGGGTCAACTGTACATAATATCTCCATACTGTATATCTATCTCTCCAGCTATACATCTCTAGCATCCATTTCTTTCTTTCTAATAGCACCCGGAATTCCTTTTGGAGAAAGGAAACCCCCTATGCAGTGTTCTGTCCTGTAAATACAGATGCATGTCTCCGTGGAAATGGAAGGGACCATATCCTCCCTGGCCCCTGACTCACCTCGGCCAAGGAGCAGGCAGTGAGGAATCAGCCAGGCAATGCTCTCCCCTGGCCTTTTGAAACTTGAGAGAGACACAAGGAAACAGCTGTGGCTCTGGCCTCAAGCAGTATTTTTGAGTGCCCAAGGTTCTAGCCTGTTTCCAAACCTGGCTCTGCAATATCCCATCAATTCCAAGCACACCACCACCGGCACCAAATCTTTCATGCCTATAAATATTCTTTAGCTTCAGTTAGTCAGTTTTTGTTAGCAACAGCCAAGAGACTCTCATCATTATACAACTTCTCATTCTCTAGCAAGTTCTCTTTGTTAAAAACCTAAATAAATGAATATATATAAAATTATGTTAAAAAGTTTTATAGGGTGTATGTCTATGTTTTGTTGGATACAATTCAAGAATTTGTTATGTGTATTTTAGTTTTTTCCCCTTTAAGATAAAAATATTTTCTGCCTGAAACTTTTTTTTTTTTTGGAGACAAAGTCTTGCTCTGTGGCCCAGACTGGAGTGTAGTGGCGTGATCTTGGCTCACTGCAACCTCCACCTTGTGGGTTCAAGCAATTCTCCTGCCTCACCCTCCCAAGTAGCCAGGACTACAGGCATGTGCCACCATGCCCAGTTAATTTTATATTTTTAGTAGAGATAGGGCTTCACCATGTTGGCCAGGCTGGTCTTGAACTCCTGACCCCAGGTGATCCACCTGCCTTGGCCTCCCAAAGTGCTGGGATTACAGGCATTAGCTACCATGTCTGGCCTGTCTGAAACTTTTAACTTGTACTTTAACACTTAAGTAACTTTTTTAAGTCCCTGAATTATTCTTTTTTTATATACTAATTTACATATTCTTAATTAATCTGTATTCTTTAAAATAATTAGTAAATATCATGATACAGCTTCGGATTTTATCTTTTCCACACTAGGAACCCTAAACCAAATTGGGAAACAATTTAATAGTTAAAACAAGTAACTTAGCACTCCTAATGCACAAAATTATTTGCCTCTGATTTGCACAGTTTTCCATTTTACACATCAGCCAAGCGGAAACAACTGGTTGCTAAGCAACAGCTTTTCCCTCAACAACCAGAAATAGAATACATAGAAGGTCAATTTAAAAATATATAATATACACATATATGAAGTTAAAGAGGGCACATGCCTCATAGTTTGGCTATTTGCCCAGAATTCTTGTCATGAATATTGAATTCTTGATGATAGTTTGTGAATTCTGGATACATTTGATGTATGAATCCTTGGGTAACTATATCATTTTGTATTTTCTTCCAGTATGTTCCTCACTACTGAAAAACTATGAAGTAACACGGAAATCAGGATTTTAAAGCAAATCTCTTTTGAAAAACTGTTTGTAAATTGTACAGTTAGGTTTGGTTGAACCAAGTCATTCTTAAAGTAGCATTAACATTCCTGTTGCACTGCTGCTCACTCTGTTAAAACTACATACATATTTAATGCTCTGGAAAGATATAGTCTGGGTGGTTAATAGTGACTACCACAGGCAAATGACCATTCACTTTCATATCTATGTATTCTTTACAAAGAAAATAATAATTGCTAGTAATGATTGGGTGTTTACAAAGTACTAGGCACTGTTCTAAGCTCAATATACATATTAACTTGCATTAATATTCCCCATTTGGCAGATGAGGACAAAGGCTCAGAGAGATTATATAACTTGCTCACAGTCATGAATCTAAGAAGCAGCAGAGCCAGTATCTGAAGTCAAGCAGTGAGCCTCCAGGTCTTCACCACTTCACTGTTCTGCCTTTTACAAGGTGGTTCCCATATTGCCTAAATACTTTCTTAAAAAATTATACTGCCCCAGGACATACAGAATTGTAGTTATCTCTGGGTGCTCAATTCATTAGCAGCTTTTCACCACTGGCTTTAATCAGTTTTACACCAGCAGGAATTAAGAGCATAACGGAAATGGGAGTGATGAAGATCAACATGTGGATTGATTCAGTCAACAGAGAACTAAAATTGTGCCAAATCAATGGAACCTGTGGCCACATGCTATGCTTACTCAAAATAGATCATGCAGCTACAGAAGTTTCTAAGGAATCTCTTTGAATAAATACCATTTCTGGGAATTGATTTCCTTCTTAAAGGTATATTTAGTGATTTCTTTTCAAAATGTACTTAATATACAAAAAAGAATAAAAGACAAACATTATTATTCTTAGCAGCTAGAGTGAGATACCATCTTAATGAGAGCCAATCATTTGTTCAGAAAGTGTTTTACTTTGCTTACAGTCTAGGCTGACAAGGATTTGCACACCTGTGGTCTAGCTACACACACGAGAATGTTGGATAAAATGTAGATATTTTTTAAGTTTGGAAGAAGATTGAAAGAAAAGGAGACAGGGTAACTGACAGGAGAGAAGAGATGTCCAGTGGGTATTTGGAGGTGAAATGTTTTGAGTGACATAGATTCCTGTATAAATTCATAAAAAATTTCCATATTTCTAAATAAACATTGTTTTCATTTAGAGTACTTGATAACAAATATCCTTTAAAGGAACTTTACCCTCCCTTTATATTGTTATTTAAATTTCTGAAGTGATACAAATTAATAAAAAGCCATGTCCTGGTATATAAGTTTCTCTTCTTCTTTCTCACTTTTGGGATCAATGTAGAAAAGATGAGTGTTTAACAGCAATACAGGCAGAAATTATTTTCTCCTTAAATTATTCCCCCACGGAGGTAGATAAGGTATTCAAGTAAAGAAAAATATAAACCAGACTGGAAAAAGACCACTGAAAATTTTGCTGATTAAAATCAATTTAGGAAAGATGTAAAACGCCAAATACGCTGGTTAATCTCTTTGTTAGAATATTTTTGTGTTCATTCAGTCATTCATTCTGTGTGAGGACACTTCCTTGGACACTGGAGACACAGAAATGAAATGCACACTCCTATACTCACACTGGAGAAGCAGCAGCAGATATATAAACATGAAATTGCAGCTTAATGTAAAGCCTCCTAATGGAGGTAGAAAGAGGGTAGTGGGAACATGTGGGGATGGATTGACCACATAGGAAAATGAGATCTAGGCCTTGAAGCATGAAAACAAATTTGCTAGAGAGTTAAAAACATGTGCAAAGTCCCAGGAAGACATATATATGATGTCAGCGAGAACTCTTTGTACTGCATATTAGGCCGGGGAGACAGGATGGGGCTGGGTAGCTGGGATTTTATTTACTATGTAGAAAATGTGGACTTTATCCTGAGGGCAAGTAGTAACTGACAGAGATGCCAAAAGACAATGAAGCATGTTATAAATGTGAATGTTATAAGTCATGGCAACATACAAATAAAAACATAACTTAAAAAAAATTAGAAGAGAGTGAAACAATGGATACGTGTGCTAATGTACTCAGTTTTCATAGCAAGGAGTCAATAGCTATATCTAAAAATCAGTTAGAAAATAGAGGCCATCTGTATTATGCAAAGTCATAAGAGACAACCAGTAGACAAAGTGAATAAGCTAGACCTGACAAATATGAGAAGGTAAAAGACAGTAATTTAGGTACAGGGTTCTATGAGAATGCTTCCCATTCTTTACAGCAAGGAGTCAGGAGATATTGCCCCGAGGTGATAAATCATGAATGAGAAATTGGCAGAACTTAAAATCGCTGCCTCTGCAAAAGAACACTTGGTTAGAAGGAGTGCCTGGGGAATGAGATGTTTATTTTCATTGGCTATGCTTTTACATAGTTTGAATGATGATTTTTTCTTCTATGCTTGTAGCTCCCACCTGTAATCCTAGCACTTTGAGAGGCTGAGATGGGCAGATCACTTGACTAGGCAGACACACCAGCCTGGTCAACATGGCAAAACCCCATCTCTACTAAAGATACAAAAATTAGCTGGGCATGGTGGTATGCACCTGTAATCCCAGCTACTTGGGAGGCTGAGGCAGGATAATAGCTTGAACCTGGGCAGTGAGCCAATATCACGCCACTGCACTCCAACCTGGGCGACAGAGTGACACCTTGTCTCAAAAAAAAAAAAAATTTATGCTTGAAGGAGAGAAATGGGGAGGGAAAAGGGAAGAGGAGAGAGAGGAAACAAAAGAGTGAGGAGAGAGAAAGAGAGAAATTGGAAAAAGGCTACCACTAGGTAGAAATCTGCCTGGCATTGGTCAGACAAGGTAGATATACAGCTCCTACCCATCCCCCTTCCTAGAGCAGTCTCATCAAACATTTACCCAGGCCTTTTATCTTGAGTTATTATTCACAGTTTAACTAGGTCTTTGATTAAAAACAAATAGGAAATAGTCTAAAAGGAAATATATGTAGAATGTGCTCTACAAATTAAGATGACACCAAATATAAAACATTAAGTAGCTCTGACTTTTTTGAAACAGAAGTAATAAAGTTACCAAAGTTACATTTTAGCTCCCAGCTTCACAAGTAAAATTGCTTAACATATCACATAAAATATATAAGTACCATATTTTTACAACCATAAACTGAGATGTGAAATCGGACAATGAGTTTTTTCGGAGCTGTGAATGTATTATAGAAAATATGTGTTAGAAGTATAATGTTAAAAAAAGTTAACTTGAATAAATCACCTTTATTGAAAAGAATATTATTCTAAAAAAGATCATCCCCAATATCCTATAACAAAGTGCTTTCTGCTGGACACAGCGGCTCACTCACACCAGTAAACCCAACTCTTTGGGAGGCCAAGGTTGGAGAATGGTTTCAGCCCAGGAATTCAAGACCAGCCTCAGCAACACAGTGAGGCCCCCATCTCTAAAATAAATCTTTTTTAATTAGCTGGGCATGGTGGCACATGCCTGTACTCCCAGCTACTCAGGAGGCTGAGGTGGAAGAATTGTTTGAAACTAGGAGGTCAAGGCTGCAGTGAGCGGTGATTGTGTCACTGTACTCCAGCCTGGGTGACAGAGAGCAAGATACTATCTAAAAAAAAAACAACAACAACAAAAATTGAAAGTACTTTCTGTTGGTTTTGATACCTGGAATTCTTTCCCTATATCTGGTGCAAAAGGCAAAAGGGGCACAGATGTCTTTTCTTTTTCTTTCATCACTTTCTCCAACAGCATTATTTATCACTGTACAATCTTTAAAATTCAATCTCTCACCTCCTCTCTTAGGAGTAGGTCTCCAAAGAGATGTTTATTACTCTTCCAGTAATAAACAGCCTTCACTGATATAATGAGAAAGATTGTCTTTAACCCATGCACTCATGGTAAAATATAGACTCCTGAAGACTTCAATGAACTTAAATAATTAGTACTGGTGTCATTTCTCTACTTTAGATATAGAAAACCTAAGGAACAAGAAATGCAAAGCCTTTAATCATAAATTATAATGTAGATGCTAACTTTATTGTTTTTTATTTCTTCATAATTTTGTATGTATATTAGGGATGATTCAAATCTTATTTAAAACAGTCTTAATGAGTTAGAATGAAAAAATGTCATGGGAGTTTTAACTTTCCCTTGGAAATAATATCTTTCTCTAGTGACAAAATTCAAGCTAACTTTTTTAAAATACAGTTTAAAGAAATCAACAACAATCTGTTGGAAGATTTTGCTAAAAAGCAAAGAGCCAACATCCCCAAAAAGAAAAGATTCATGCCATCATTCTGAGACAAAAAATGACATCGATTACACTCAAGGCAAAACAATTTTTTAATGCTTCTCATGGTAGGATCATCTACATAAAACCTGACATGACCAATAAGCCCTTCCTCTTCGCATGTAAAAACATATATATATATATATAATATATATATTTATGAGGCTATATTCTATAATATTCAAGAGTCTGAGGGCTGACTCTGCAAGACCTGAGTTGAAAGCTCAGCTTTGACACCAGCTAGGTGACCTCAGACCAGTTATTCAATCTAAGTCTTGGTTTCCTAAAAGCACCTGTTTCACAGAGTTGTGGTGGGGGGTAAATAGAAAAATGGATATAAAGTGCTTAGCATAGTGAATGGCACAATGTTAGCTTTTGCTCTAAGTAAACTTTATTTAGTTGTTTTAACAGAAATATTTTCTATTTTAAAAAGTACCTTTTAATGCAAATATCCTAGGCTGGCAGTTAACTTTTAATAAGTGGAAAAAAAACACAGAATTGTGCTTAGTTACCTACTATGGATCTAACAAAGGAAATCTAAATGGTAACAATCTAGAAGCCACAGAGGAAGTTATAACATCACCCAGCCCCTCACTGGCCATCTTCATCAGGAACCATCTCCTTTTCATTGAGAAACTATTTTCTCACTAGCAAGAAATGATTGTTATTGTCTGTTGGGATGAGAAGAGTGCTTAGTGATCAAGGGTAACTCCTACAAAACACTTTATAAATGCAAATGTCAACATGATTTTCCTTTGACGTTTCTATCTGAGCATGTTGACAATTCCACCATCAGACAATCTCCTCTGGGCAGGGAGGGGAGGTGGTCCAGTGGAAGAGGTATTGAGAAGACACATATATACCAATAATATGTAGCCCACAAAGCCTAAAACATTTTCTTTCTGGCCCTTGACAGAAAAAGTTTGTCAACCCATGCTTTAGAGCCTAAACACTAAACTTTGAGAGCCCCTGCTTTAAGAATTTCAAGCTCTGTAAGCAAATCAAATAGAATCATTGGTTCCTGCATAATGAATGATGTGAACAAATTCTAGTTATAGGTCTGAGATATTGACTAGAAAAGGACATTTTTTCTTCTTGCATCTATTTGTTTGAATTATTATAGATGAAATAATTGGTTTTGTGGCACAGAGTTGTCATTCAATCAGAATCATGTGTCATCTGTCCTATCACTGGGACTGGAACTGAGAACTGGAACAGGAACTTTCCTAAAGCCAGCAGTCCTCTGGGTCATGCAGCCCTAAGAACTGCCACTCAGCAGTAACACTCCCAGCCAGAAAAACAACTCAGAAGTTCTGAAAACTGAGAGTTTTCCATGCTTTTGTCTCTAAAACTCACTGTTGTGGAAAAACCTGAATGCAACTGATGTGGGCAATTTGTTGCCTTTACCCACCTAGGGTAGCTGTTCACACTTTCGCTGCAGAAGTGTTGGCATGTTTGAGTACAGGGCCCTACCCTAAAGTCTGCTGAGTGTGTAACAAATTGGAGTTCATGCACTGCCTTCTAAAACCTGAAGAAAAGAAATCTGAATTCTGAACACAGCTGGTCCCAAAGGTTTTCAATAAGGAACTATAAACCTATGTTCCATTTGATTATGGTTACAGCAAAACAGGAACTATGCAGGCGCCACCACTTTGAAACGGGTGAATTATTTTTTCCATGACACTCCCACGTGATAACCCCCCACCTTCAGTTTTTTAGTGTTTGCAAACACTAAAAGCCTAACATTAATTCCAGTAAACAAGTGAATGCATCATACTAATAGGTTTCTCTTTTAAGAAGGATTGTGTACACAGTGGTAACATCAGGGTTACAAACACTAGGAATATAAACAGAAGTATTTTTAAGGTTATACACACTCTTCCCTCTCCATTGTTACCACTTGCAATTTAAATGAATTTAAATCAAAAAATTATTTTTTGAGACCTTCTTATGTGCCAGGCACTAAGGTAGATACATTGTAAACAGAACAGGCATTTTCTCTCATAAGAAAACTAACAAGATTCATGTAGTTACTCATTCATTTACACAACAAATACATTTATTGAATGCCTTCTACAAACCAAGCACTATTCTAGGTGCTAGGGATTTGGCTATTGATAAGGTAGAGAAAAATCACAAATTCTACATCCTAATAGAGAGAGATAGATAATAAGCAAAATAAAAAAATAAGTAAAATAAATAAATACAAAGCAGAGCAGAAAATGGGGAGTGCCAGACTGGGGGATGCTATTTTAAATAGGGGGATCAGAGAAGGCCTCATTGACAAGAAGACATTTTAGGAAAGTGACATAAATGAGAGACTGCCATGGATATTGGGGGGGCGGGGGCTCCAGTCAGAGAATTAACAGGTGCCAAGGTCCTGAGGTAGGGGAGAGTGCTGCCACCTTTGAGGAATAACAAGGAGGACAGGGTGGCTGCAGAAGAGTAAATAAAGAGAAAAATTAGTAGAAGACAAGGTCAAAGAAATGGGAGTAGCTCATGTAGGACCATGTAGGCCACCGTCAAGACTGGATTTTAGTCTGAATGAAATGGAGAGCCTTGGGAGGATTTTGAGCAGTTGAGCAGTTCACTAATACTTTAGAACTTTCTTTTTGCCATGAAAGCACTGTGGAAGAACATCCAGTAAAGCGATTTCCCTCCACTAAGAGGTCTGTGAAGGCCTCCCTGAAGAAATGCCATTGAGACCTGAAGAACTTGTTCTCTGTGGGAGATCAATTCTAAGGTAAAGGGAGAAGCACCCTCTGGCTAAGAGGACTACCTAATGGAAGGGAGAACAGAGCAAGTGGGAGGCTTTTAAAGTCATGATAAGCATCTCATACTTCATCTGCTAAGAGTAATGAGTATGAAATTATTGAAGGTTTTAAGCAAGAGAGCGACATGGTCTGCCCAGGGTTTATAGACACTATCCTGGTTGTTTTTTATAAAATGGAATAGGCAGTGTTTTTAAATTGCAGGCCATCCCTCATCAATGCAAGAGGTTACCAACTAGCTTTTTTTTTTTTTAAAAGAAACATTAGACAACATCAGAATATCCTGCAAGTTGTGAGGGTAAGTATAGTTTGCAGGGAACTTGATTCTGTATATGCACATATGTCTGAAGTTTGAAGTCACTTCGGTTAGAAGGAAGGACCTACAGAAGAGGAAAGCAGTAGAGACTGTGCTGTAACTTTAGTAAAGGTATTGCTGGCTGCTGAGACTAACTAGGGAGAGAAGCAAAAGGGCCCACCTAATGGATGTGGGGCAAAGGGAATGGTCAAGGGCAGTTTCAAGAACTGGATGGATGGAGGCAACATCACTGAAAGTGAGAAGACAGGCGGGGCAAATTATGAGTTAAATTTTCAACATGTTGCCTGCAAGACTTCACAATGGAGATTTTCAGTTTAAAACACATGATGAGGCTGGATACTGAGATTTGGAAGTGGTCAGCATTAATTGTGAAACAAATTTTTTAAGGATTTCGTGACAATTTATTTCATATAATGTTGTAGCCATCCCATGTAATACTTTGGGAGAAATTTATACTTAAAAAAATTGGTGGTATATCCGAATTCATATTTAATAGAGCATCCTGTATTTTATCTGGCAATCTTAGAGTTCAAGTCCCCTGAGAACAGAGGCAGACACACCAGTTAAGACAGAATGACCACAATCCAGGCAAGAGGGAAGAAAACACTAAAACTAGTGTTTCATAGGAATTCTTTGCTTGACATTTTTTAAGAGACTGGGTCTTGCTCTGTCACCAAGGCTGGAGTGCAGTAGGGGATCACAGCTCACTGCATCCGTGAGCTCCTGGGCTCAAGTCATTCTCCTGCCTCAGCTTTCTGATTTACTAGCACTATAGGCACATGCCACCACACCTGGCCTTTTTTTTTTTTTTGGTAGTGACACGGCCTTACTATACTACCTGGGCTGATCACAAACTCATGGCCTCAAGCGATTCTCCCGCCTCAGCCTCTCAAATTTCCTAGATTACAGGTGTAAGCCTCTGTGCCTGGCCTGCTTGCTTAGTATAAATGCAGATTCTCAAATGTAAATTTAAATGATTAACTTTTAAATTAATTATAAGCACAATGCCATCCTACTGACTACTTCTCTGTCAGGGTCGGGATGTATACCTGGTGTCTTGGAGTGTGTGGCTGGCTCCAGCTACGGGGCTCAGATGCATGATGGGCACTGCCGTCTGCTATTGCAGATTCTCACAGAACACGTCACCCTAGAGAGGGAATTGAGAGCTGGTTGGGCTGTCCTAAAGGGACTTAACTGTGGGAAGAAAGATCCGTTTGTGTTTTTCACTTCAATAGAACTTGTTTACAGTGTTGAACTTGACATAAAAACAAAAACTGAATGGTCCTATTGTAGATATAACTTTCCTTCAGGAAAATGTTTAAACCACACACATTCTCAATATGTAAACCCATGATTTTAGTTATTTGGTTAAAAAAAAAAGCCATGGAAAAACAAAATAAAAATAAATGCTACATATCAAAACTATTTCAAAATACATAATATTTTCTTCTTTCAGGGCAGCTGTGCTCCTACTGCCCTGAAGTTTCTTATAATACACACTATAAATGGAATTCCATGGCCTTGATCTATCAGCAAACACTAAAGACCTCACTGTCCCTGGGCTCCGTCTCCAGAGGGCTCCTGGGAAAAAAAAAAAAAAAAGAGCAAACAATTGCATACACATGTACACATTCTCAAAGTGGATTGGCACGTCCCACAATGACAGTATCTTGGTTTTTGCAGGCCTAAGTTCCATGAACAGAAATGTCTACAATGGCAAAAGAATTTTTAAAAACTTGTAAATAGATGTGGAATAGAAACATGACTAAAAAAACATGAGTGACATCTGTCATTTAATCACATGACATCTTCAACACTCACATTCAAATGCAATTTCAGTAAGGGCAGTAATGCTAATCTGGGCTCTGTTTTCTCTTCACAAAGGAGGCGAGGTGAAGAGTCCAAGGTAGCCAGTCAGCATGTTCAAGGGGATGCTGAAAGTATTCAAGCTTTTCATCTTTAAGCTGTCAAGAGCAACTCAGTAACCAAAAGTGGCCATTTCAATTCTTTCATTCATTCAGTAAATACCTACCGAGAGCCAAGTTTTGATATGTGGCATTTATTTTTATTTTGCTTTTCCATGGCTTTTTTTTTTTAAAAAAACCAAATAACTAAAATCATGGGTCTACGTATTGAGAATGTGTGTGGTTTAAACATTTTCCTGAAGGAAAGTAATACCTACGATAGGACCGTAGGCACTGTGATGGGACCTGTGCTTCAAGAATAGAAAAGGCCATTCTGTTGGGGCACAGAAAATGATTCCCCAAAACATAGTGCTTGGACATGCTGAGTGCTTTGAAAATGGAAAGGCCTCAGAAATAAGCCTCAGAAGTAGCCTCAGAACCGAGGTCTCTGTCAGACATTCCCACCTCTGAATCTTTCTGATCTTCCCGCCCAAAGCACCAGGAGGTACTCCCAGAGGAATTTTCTTATCTAAGAAAGCTTCTTTCCAACAGCTTTCCAAAAATTGTCTTAAGACCTCCTCCCTAGGAATCTCATTAAATAACCAGGAAAAATCAACCTCAACCACCAAAGAGAAAAGAAAACAGTGGGAGTTGTCACCATGCCCAGACAGACTTTTAATCTATTCTTCTGAGGCAGTTCCTAGCAATTACCTGGGGGACTTTACCTGCATAAGACAAACTTTGTTCCTGTGCAGTTCTTCCCTCACTTTCCCATAACTTGTCCCATCTAGCTTCCAGAGAGAATCATTTACAAAATAATGTCTGCCTCCTGGGTTCATACATCACTCCCCTATGAAGAGAGTATTTAAGCCTCAACCATCTGGCCCCTCTTTGAGTCTCATACTGTGTGTTTGGCTTCCATGTCTATGCACGTCAAATGAATTTTGTATGCCTTTTTCTCCTATTCTGACTTTTGTCAGTTCATTTTCAGCAAACTTTCAGTGGGTGAAGAGGAAGCTTTCTTTCTGCCCCTACAATATGTAAAGAACTTTACTGCAGAAATCCATACTTTTAAACACTAGTCCTAGGTGCTGTTAAACAAAATTCATGGAAGACCATTGTTTTGAGCTAAGTTCCTGCACTAGGCCCCAACAGACCAAACCAAAATGGAGTCACTCATGCTAAAGTTCCATGCCACCAAATCAAAACTAAGTTGCTTATCTGACCTTCAGAGAAATCAGGAGAGAGAGAGAGAGAATAGCCAAATTCCCAAACAGGCCAGTTTTAGCCAGCATAAGGAAATTCCCTGTTTTTAACTCTTACAAAGAAAGTAACCTGAAGTAATCTGGTGTTAACCTATGAGTCTGAGTTTTATTATGCTGTTTCCTTGTTCCTGATCAAACTACCTTTATAAAAACAGATTTTTCTGCCTTGCCCAGCTTAGCATCTATTTTTAGATTAGATAACACCTGATTCAAGAATTGCAATAAAAGCCAGTTCAATCATTTAAATTTGTTGAAATTTTGTCTTTGACAATGCTATCTTAAAAGAAAGTCAGTATACTAAAACCACCAAATTGTACATTTTAAAAGGTTTAATCCTATGTGAGTTATATTTCAATTTTTAAAAAGTGGTTAAAAAATAAATATAGGCATGGCAGTATGTGTCTGTAGTCCCACCTTCTCAGGAGGCTGAGGCAGGAGGATCAATTGAGCCTAGGAATTTGAACCTATAGAGCACTATGATCACACCGTGAATAGCCACTGCACTTTAGCCCGCACAACACAGACTCTACCTTTAAAAGTAAAATAAAATAACAGTTAAAAGTTTTAAAAAGTGGGAAGCTAAAATGTAATTAGATACTATCCTTTTTTATGCAAGTGGATAGAGGCAGTAAAATTAATACTTTTTAATTAACAAAAAAACCTAGAAATTTTCAAGTTAACCTAAGATACTACCCAAAACCAAACAATATAATTAACGTTTTTTTAAAGACAAAAGAATGAATGTCTTAATTTCAAAGTAAAAACTGATTTCTGACTGCCCAGGAAAAACAAATAAAATGACTGACATCAAGTAAGAGAACAGAAAAGCAAGACGGGGGGAGAGTCTCTAAAATGAAAAGTTTTTCTGGATTCTTGGCCAGCTATTTTTAAAGGGAAATGATTTTCAAAATCCTTAGGAGTAATTTTAAGACAATTTTTAAAATAAAGGCTATGAAAGAACTGCTGGCTCTTTTGTTCCATTACTTAGTAAATTTAAAAAACTAGAAAATTGTTTTATGAATTACCAAGTGCTATCGTTTGAATGTTTGACCCTCGAAACCTCATACTGAAATTGATCCCCCCCGTCAGAGTGGGGCCTAATGGGAGGTATTTGGATCATGGAGATGTATCCCTCACAAATGGCTTGGTGTCATCCTCACAGTAGTGAGTTATTCTATCAGTTACTACAAGAATTCCAGCAAGAGTTCCCCTGAGAGCTAATTGTTAGAAAAGGACCCGACACCTTCTCCCTCTTTCTTGCTTCCTCCTCACCATGTTATCTCTACATGGTGGCTCCCCTTCACCTTGCACCATGAGTGGAAGTTTCTTGAGGCCCTAATCAGAAGCAAATGTTGCCGCCATGCTTCTTGTATTGTCTGCAGCACCGTGAGCCACATAAACCTCTTTATACGTTACCCTGCCTTAGGTATTGCTTTACAGCAACACAAAGATACCAAGTCTGTGTTTTATAAATTACCACATCAAAATAATATGCAGATCTAAGTAAATGAAATTGCCTCCAAGGTTATCTAAAGCCCTACAAGAGTGTTAAAGAAAAAAAAATTCATGACACTTATTAAAGATGGTAAGGAAGACTATTCAAGCGGGGCAGGATGGCGGGCGCTATTACAATGAGGTTTTTGTTATCAGGGGAACGAGATCAGGTTCAACTCCAAGTACAACAAGAAAAAGGGGGAATTTATAGACAGGGAGCACAGTGCAGGAGTAGGTGGATGGAAAATTGCCAAGAGAAAGCATCAAGGGTAAGGGGATTCTCTAGTTAAACAAACATAATGGGATTCTTGCTGAAGGCAGGTCAGGGTGATCTGATGTTACGTAGTGGATGGTGGAGGATGAGAATGTTGATCAGATTTTGAGGATGATCAGATATTAAGGTGGGAGATTCTGGCTAAACTGATTCAGCAGGATTCTTGCTAAAATTGGACACTTGGGGGACTTGCCCAAGGTCACAGAAGCCTGACTAAGTTTTCGTCAAGGGGAGACTCAGTAGCACAGATACAGCCCTAAAAAGGCACTATTACAGATATGGCTGTAAAAAGGCACTGTTTCTCTCATTAAGTTGGAAACCACAAGCAGGAAATGGTCTACAAACGCTGAGGTTTCCTTTCAGATCCTCCTTTCAATCCACGAGCTCAGCTGACCATGTCTTATGCAACTAAGAAAGTTTTTGTGGCAGGAACAAAAGTTAATTTAGGGATTAGGAGTATCCCAGTCTGGCTCCTGAGTCTTCTGCTACCTGAGTTATCTGTAACAAGGTCTTCAGGAAGACAAACTTATAAAGGTAAGCCACTTGGTACATTGTAAATATTCAACAAACATGAAGGCCTAATCTAAGAGCTGCAATCAGATCTGCGTGGGCACATCCCAGACTCAACTGGAGTAAGTGGAGGGGTCTAAAGAAGTGGTCTTCAAACTGGGGTACTCATAACTCTGGGGATATAAAGACCTTCCAAGGGTTCACAGGCATGGATAGCTTAAACAGAAGCAATGTTCAAATCCCCAGCTCCCACGTGTCCTCTCATAACACTGCTCTACAGAAGAGAAGTCTGCAGCGGCCTGTGGTTCCCTTTCCCACATCCTCTCTCGCAACCAAAGGCCCTGCAACCATTTTGTAAAAGAAAGGGAAGGCAAAGCCCCACTGGGACCTAAGCTTCCTGTGTGCTTGCTCCAGGGGTAAACACCTCTGGGCCACCAAGCAGAGGGACCAGGGAATGGAGATTTCGGGAGAGGTAGGGCAAGGTGAAGAAAGCCAAAGCAAGGCTCCATGCCTTTACCCTGATTTTCTCTCCCACCCTCCCCAACATTGTGTCTCTTACATTCAGAAGTGAGGTTGCACAGACATGCATGTAATCACATTTATTTTCAGTAAAAATAAATAAATAAAGTCAACTTTTTCCTGACAGAAACAGCCAGTGTAATTTGATGCAGATAATTTGCTCTATGAACAATTTCTGACCTGAGACAAATCTGAAACTCTGTGATTTTAAGGAAAAGGTATTTAAAGCACGAAGATAATACTGTTAAATAAAAATCACAAGAGGCCATTGTTTTGGACTAAGTTTCTGCACCAGGCCTCAACAGACCAGATAAAAAATCAGAATGGGATCACTCATACTAAAGTTCACTTCTACCAAACTCAAACTAAGTATTTATTTGACCTTCTGAGAAATCAGGAGAAAGAGGTAACAGCTGATTTTCCAAACAAGCCAGTTTAAATCTTCAATCAGTACGAAAAACTTCTACTTAAATCCTTACACATATAAACAGTTAAAAGTTTTAAAAAGTGGTAAGTTAAAATATAATTAGATACTATCCTTTTTTACGCAAGTAGATACAGAGGTAGTAAAACTAAAAATTTTTAATTAACAAAAAACCTAGAAATTGTCAACTTACCCAAAGATAGTACCCAAAACCGAACAATATAATTAACAATTTTTAAAGCCAAAAATGAGTGTCTTAGTTCCAAAGTAAAAACTGATTTCTGACTGCCCAGGAAAAACAAAATGACTGACATCAGGTAAGAGAACAGAAAAGCAAGAGAGAGGAAGATTCTCTAAAATGAAAAGGTTTTCTGGATTCTTGGCCAGCTACTTTTAAAAGGAAATGTTTTTCAAAATACTTAGGAGTAGTTTCAAGACAATTTATCTTTTTTTCTTTTTTTAAATAAAGGCTATGTAAGAACTGTTGGATCTTTTGTTTCATTACTTAGTAAATTTGAAAAAACACACACACACACAAAAGAAGTAGCCTGATGTTAACTAATCAGTTCTCTGTCTCTTTTTTTCTTTTTTCTTTTTTCTTTTTTTTTTAACAGGGGTTCTTGCTCTGTCACGCAGGCTGGAGTGCAGTGGCATGATCGTAGCTTGCTGTAGCCTAGAACTCTTGGCTTCAAGTGATCCTCCCACCTCAACCTCCTGGGTAGCTGGGATTATAGATGGGAGCCACATTTTTTTCTATTATTCTGCTTCCCTGTCCTGCCTTACAGAAAAGTAGCTGTGGAATGACTAATATCCTCTTTGCTCTCTTCGTTTCTGCTTTCTTCAGCCGTCCTCTGCCTACAAAGCTAACTCCTTCTGCTCAGCTCATCAGAACACTTATTATATTTTATGGAATGAAGTGTTGCCCAATTCTAGAACTACAATACAGCCAACTGAGCTATTTAAACTGTTTGTTGTAATTTTGTCTGTTGACAACATAAAATAGATCCTTTACACAATATGTTCATGTTGACTTGAAAATCTGCAAAGAGATACTAAGTTTTACAAGTCTTTTAAAGCTTTTGAGAGCAAAAACTTTGAAGACTATTGGTCTAAGGAACTTAACTGAAAGGTCTACACCAGCTTATACACACGATTTAATGACAAGCACAGGTCTTCTTAAGGAAAAGGTGATTTTGAATGGAGTTAGATTGTTCCCAGCCCAATCTTCAGGAAGCTGTGTCCCTGTCAGGGGAAAAATGGCTTACAAATAGTGCTGGTAAAAAACATGGAGCCACATCACCCAGATATCTGTGGGAAACATCTCAAACCAGCACAGTTTTCAGACAGACAAATGAGGGGTGAAGGACTAGCATCATTATAGTGCCTATGCCAAGAGCCACAGGGCACCAGAAATACCACAAGGTAGCCAGAGAGACCACAGAAATTCAAATCGCTGTCTGACAAACCTTGGGAACCTTCTGCATTAGTTGGGAGAAGTTGTGGGGAGCAGGATGCATGTGGTTCTAGCTCCCTCTATTTCATCCAATCTGTAGGATTAGCATCTCATTGCTGTTCTTGATAGCTCATTGGGCATGGCCTGGGGAAATGCAGGTAACACTTTAGATAAAATGTCTAGAAGTCATTGAATAGTCAATCCCTTTCTTCATTGTCTCCACCTCCAGCCTCCCTCTCTTCCCAATCAAATATGAGGAAACTGAGGCCCAACAAAGTTGAACTGTCAAAAGTTCTGAGGCAGTGCCTGGTCAAAATGAGAAAGGAACACAGACATTTCCATTTCTGTTTCTACTCAGCTCTCCTAATTTCAAGTCCAGAATTTTAGCCACAAACCAGACACTACTGCAAATAAACTCCCAGAAGGACATTACTTTGTATTTTTCTCAAGTTGATTTTTATGTCATTTGGCTAAGACACAGAATTGGATGTGGACAACAAGCTGCGTGTGAAGTTGTAACTCTTCCTGAATCACCAGGTGCACCACTCCACTTGGGCAGCAGCTCACCCATCAATAGGACAAGCCCTACTAGGAGATGGTGGCAGGGATTTGTCTGGATGCTGTGTGATCAACAACGACACAACAAGTACTGGTTTTCTTCCTTCATTCCCAGTCTAGTATACCTCCTCTTGATAGTGTCACCTGTTGTAGGGACTCTGGGAGATCCCTATGGGTAACAGAGGCCCCATTTGTAAAAGGAAAGAAAATTATTTATATTGAGAACTTCATCAAGAATTTTCAGTACTGCTTGGCAAAGTACAGATTAATTAACATGAATTTGTTAATTCATGTTATTAACATGAATAAGAAAGACCAACTATACAATCTCCAGCAGAAATTCTCATACAGACACTATACAAAATTTGAAGACGTACACTTCATGTGCTAAAAGATATTTGTAGACTTCTTTGTCAAGGACTCCTTTCTATGGGGTCCCGGGTTGTACCACATTTCTGCAAAGTTCACACTTCTAATCTAAATCAACGTTACTTGGCTCCCTTGTACACCAGTTTCTTCTAGACCTATAGGGTTACATACATTCTGCACAATTTGACAAAATCTTGTGAATCATTCTATTTCTCAAATTTTTGTTTCTGATCCAATCCAGCTCACAGCACCCTTTACAACTTAACATACTTCCAAGTATAACTTAGAAAGGGGATGGAAACTACAAGGATGGGGAGCTTCACACATTTCCCCCAGATAAGGCAGATATTGCTCATCAATTGCCACATTTGTTTCATGGATTCAGTTGAGGTTCAGTCTCAACTCTTCTCGTCCTAATACTCCAGGCAACACTGACAACTAATTAGAATTGACATCTAAATATCTCAATTAAAATCTATTTGCTTGGGTAAGCATATGCACAGAAGAAAAGAAAGAAAAAATCTATTTTCAACCCCAGGATTAGATTTAATCACTAAAAAATCTAGTTCTTGAGAGTTTTTTGTATTTGGGGTTTTTTTTTTTTTTTTTTTTTTGAAGATGAGGGCTCACTATTTTACCTTGAACTCCTGGGCTCAAGCAATCCTCCTGCCTCAGCATCCCAAATAATTGGGATTACAGGCATGTGCCACTGCACTGGCCTTAGAGTTTGTTGAGGATCCCAAATCTTATTCCTGGCACTTAAATGTTACATTCCCAATGGCAACATTCTTTAGATGACTCCAAAGTTCCACCTCTCTTTGAATACACGTTAGAATTCTAACCTCCTGAGTTTTGACATGTACCAAGAAATATCTTCAGGTGTGGAGATAAGGGACGGTTTATCTATTCCCTCTTTTCCTTTCATTCTTTGGAGTGAGTAGACCTGCTATTTCCCAAAATTTCTACTAAGTTGGCCCTTAGGATTTTAGTTTGATTTGAGTTTAAGGTGGACATCATATCTGTTCATATTTTATCTGACTTATCCACCCTTCAGAACTCTGAGAAATAGTCACTGCATAGTTATTATTAAATATCAACAGACTTGAGAGCTTATCTATGCCCCAGATAGGCAGATATTGAATGAATGAGCATAATTCCATGATGAATAAGCATTATGGAAAAATAAGTCCAAATCTTATTTTTTTTAGGATTTCAGAACCTAAGGAAGATTCTTAGAGTTTGTAACAGAATCAAATGTATCTGGTTCAGTATTTTACCAAGAGTGCTCCTTAGAACAGAAGACCACAAGTTCCCTATATAAAAGGGATCCTGTAATCAAGTTTGGGGACCCTGAATCCAATGTTTCACTGAAATATTCATAGTTTGCATTATCATATTAAATGTTGTTTTAAAAAATACTGCAGTAAATAGATAGGCCTATTCAGTTGTGCCTAAGCCAAACTTCTGGGGAGCACTGAAACTTTGTTTTCTGTTATCTGTTAACAGATGGAATGACTCTTCTAAAGAACACGCTGTAGGAAGTCTGAATATATCCAACCTCTTGCCTCAACCAGAAACGAAACTTACAATGTGAAAGACGATGACCACCCTTTATAAAACATCCTCAGGTCTGAAAAGGCTACCAATTCCCTTCATGACCTCTGTCTAATCCCCACAGGGTCAAGTTCTTACTTTGTCTAATCGAACTCTCTCTTGCAACAATTCATTCCCTGCATGTTATCTTTTCCCTCTTACTCTCTCCCTTGTGGATATGGAGAAGTCAACAGCCTTCTCTTTAAGAAAACCATCCACAAAGGCTTAAAAAAAAAAAAAGAAGCAAATATGAGAATATTCCTCCCTAGATTAATGAGTTTCTCATTGCCTTTAAGACAATCCAAATGCTGGGACTGCCCTTTCTATTTCATAGAATGGGTTGTTGCCTGATTCTAAAAAATAAAACTAATAATAATAAAAAGACAATCCAAATTCTAAGGAATAACAGTTGCAAGCAAGGCACCCTTTTCCTTCCCTGTTCATCTTCTTCTTTCTTTCTTTTTTTTTTTTTTTTTTTTTTTTTAAGAGACAGGGTCTTGCTATGTCTCCCAGGCTGATCTGGAACTCCTGGGCTCAAGCAATTTTCCTGTCTCAGCCTCCTGAGTAGCTGGGATTACAGGCATGCACTACTGTGCCAGCTTCACCTCTCTTTCTTTGGCATCCAACCTGCTTTCTTCTTACCCCCTGTCCATCATACTCTATTTAGGAGTCCTCAAATATACTGTTTCTATTTTGCACATGCTTTCTAAAATGCCTTCCCCTATCCACCAGGTAAACTCATACCCATCTTTCAGTCTCAGGTCAAATCCCACCTTCTCTGGAATCTTCCCTGATCACTGGCTCACCTGCCCTTCTTCCAGGCTCCAATAGCATTTGGAATCTTTCTTCCCTCAGCATATCACAGTGATTATAGACATATATTTCAATATCTAACTTCGACCCCATAGGACAAAACCTTACCACAGTACCTGGTGTATGATAAGCATGTAATCAATATTTGCTTAAGGAATTAAACAGGACCCTCTGCTTGGCCATAGCCCTTGTCCAGCCTTGCGTGGCATGAGATTGGAGAAGACCTTCAAGCAGTGTCACTCCTTCGAACAAAGAGTGGGGGTCCCACTTATCTGACAGCAGCATCCTACCAAAATCCCAGTGACAAAAGAATGACACAGGCGTGAAAAGCAGCTTCCTGTCCTGGAAAAACCAAGTAATTTTGTACCTGATCAGGTCAACATGAGTAAACTCGTCAAGATAATTAGAAGGCCCTTAAAGCTCGATAGTAATCAAGCCCTCTTCCTAGTGGTGAGCAGAGACAGCTTGGTGAGTATTTCCATGCTGATTTATGAAGTGTATGAAAGTGAGAAGGATGAAGACGAATTCCTGTATGTGATAGTATATACCTCTAGGGAGACATTTGGAGTGAAGCTGTCATTATAAGACTAGAAACACACACACACAAAATGCATCTATTCCAGAATGTTTAAATCATTCCCAGAGTCGGGGGGAGGGGGGGAAGGATAACAAGGGGATGTTACCAATTGAGATTGATCAGTTCATCTAATCACAGATCATCAAAACAGCAGTGTTCCCACCTAGGAGTTTAGAAAGTTGCATTTGCATTTAAAGCAGAAAAACTGAGCTCTGAATGAGCAAATTCAATTTTAGAAAACTATATTATTTATCCTAGGCTATCTTGTTTTCAAATTTTAGAAGTTCAAAAATAAAATACTTTGCATTTGATGTTGCCAGTGAAATAATTCTTCAAGTTCTTTTAATGCTCCTTTCCCCAGCCCCCTGCCCCCCAAATAGGCACTTGCAATTGGAGCAGTAACTTAAAGGCATTCAGAGAGACAATGAGTCTTCTCTTTAGGTTCATAGAACCTGCCACGTTTTATCAGAAGGATTCTTACCTAACTAGAGAAATCTGCTTAAGAAGATCTCTAAGCATAAATAGTCCAGCAACCCCCTCCAAAATACATTTGCCATAAGACTTGGCACAAAGCAGGGAAAATGGGGGCATATAAGAAAATGAGACTGACTGTGAACTGCTGTTAAAGATTCCTAATTCCTAATAGAAATATACCAAAAGGCAATGCTCTTGCAGTGTTAGAAAGTTCTTATTTGGTTTGTTCTTTAGACAATTAGTTACACAGAAAAACACCACTACTGTATAGGAACTTTGAATAATTTATAAATTTGGTCTAGTTTCTTTAAAGGCCCTACAGAAAAAGAGGGGAATTTCTTGTTTTGTATTTTCTCTAATCTAAGAGCTCAAACTACTGCCTGCTTTGGTAAATGAAGAAGCAGTTGTATCTCTTTCATTCTTTAGGATAATATTAGAAACTATAGAAAATGAAAACTAAAATCATTAAAATTTAGATGCATTCCTTTCTACCTCTTAGCACAGTTATAGATGACCCACATTTTGTGTTAAGTATGTGACTAAAATGTATTAGTAAAAAGTAGTTCAGTCATGACTGTTAGGTCAAACAACTATCAAAATTATCCCACTCTGATAAAAGACTACAAATTGGGTTCGATGTATACTGCTCGGGTGATGGGTGCACTAGAATCTCACAAATCACCACTGAAAACTTACTCATGTAACCAAATATCATCTGTTTCCCCAAAAAACTATGGAAATAAAAATTTTTTTTTAAATCCCCCACTCTAAGTGCAGGTCAGTTGTGAGGAAAACATAGCAAAAGGAAACATGCTCTTTACAAATATTAATGTCAAGAGTTAAACATCTTCCAGGCTCAAACTAGAATAAGCTACCAGTGCTTCCCACTGCCTACATGGGGTTCGCTATTTACTATTTTCATGGGAGTATCACAGAAAGATCGCAGTTATACCACTTTAGGTTATACATGTAGCAGGTCATAATTTACTCTGTCTACTGAATATGTATGGAATACCTGTATCTGTTAGTGAAAGTTATTTTCTTTAATGGAACAGGGAAAAGCAACATAACTGTACATGAACCCTCAACTGATCATTAAAGGGATTCCCATCACCTACTCTCCTCGCTGCAGGTGTCTGTCCACATGTCTCACTTTTGAAATGGACTATACTTTTACATTATGTAAGTTTTTTGTTGTTGTTTTTGTTATTGTTGTTTTGAGATGGCGTTTCGCTCTTGTTGCCCAGGCTGGAGTGCAATGGCGCAATCTCGGCTCACCGCAACCTCTGCCTCCGGGTTCAAGCAATTCTCCTGCCTCAGCCACCCGAGTAGCTGGGATTACAGGCATGCACCACCACACCCGGCTAATTTTGTATTTTCAGTAGAGACAAGGTTTCTCTGTGTTAGTCAGGCGGGTCTCAAACTCCCTACCTTAGGTGATCTGCCCACGTCGGCCTCCCAAAGTGCTGGGATTACAGGTATGAGCCACTGCGCCCAGCCGACATTATGTAAATTCTTAATCAGCCTGTCTGGTTTGGATTGTATATGTCATCACATCTGACATTCTTGTAACTACTAGTGATCAATAAGACTCCTATAAGAAATACTGCTTGAAAAAAAAATACTACGTTGAGAGGTGACCTATATCCCACATAAGCAGATAGTCATTTATAGGATCTTTAAAACAAGTATATTTTTAATGAAATAGAGTGACTAAAGGCACAACTGTCAAAAAAAAAATGTCAGAACTTTGGTGGATGTATAAAGTCACAGTATTAGTGATAATTTCAGACTTCTCCCAGAAAATTCTCCCAATAGTAGCATTGCTAAGAATTCTCAAAGACGTAAACCACTTTTGACTGGACTATTACTTTAGAACTCTTTTTATTAGAGAACTATGTTTCAGGCACTAGGAGGAACACATTCTTTTTAATGTTGAAGGACTTTGGGTTCTGTAGAAGAAAACATTTTTATTACCTTTATAGTTAGGTATATAACATATATCAGAACATAAAACATTAATAAAGATAGTCACATACTTTATAAAGACTAGTGAAAATGATTACTAAAAATAATGTAGGCTGGGCACAGTGGCTTAGGCACGTAATCCCAGCAGTTTGGGAGGCCAAGGCAGGTGGATCACTTGAGTTCATGAGTTGGAAACCAGCCTGGGCAACATGCTGAAACCCCATCTCTAAAAAAAATACAAAAATTAGCTGGGCATGGTGGTGTGCACCTGTGATCCCAGCTACTCAGGAGGCTGAGGTGGAAGATGGTTTGAGCCCGGGTGGTAGAGGATGCAGTGAGCCAAGATTCTGCCACTGCACCCCAGCCTGGGTAACAGAGCCAGGCCCTGTCTCTAAATAAATAAATAAATAAATAATGCAAACCTGCTTTTTTTTTGAGACAGAGTCTCGTTCTGTTGCCCGGGCTGAAGTGCAGTTGCGTGATCTTGGCTCACTCCAACCTCCATCTCCCGGGTTCAAGTGATTCTTCTGCCTCTGCCTCCCGAGTAGCTGGGACTACAGGCATGTGTCACCATGCCCAGCTAATTTTTTTTATATTTTTAGTGGAGACGGGGTTTCACTATGTTGGTCAGGCTGGTCTCAAACTCCTGACCTCAAATGATCCACCAACCTCAGCCTCCCAAAGTGCTAGTATTACAGGTGTGAGCCACTGTGCCTAGCCAAACCTGCTATTTTGGATTGCTATGTAAAAGGAATAAGAAGATTTCTTTAGCCACATCTATAGAACAGTAAAATTCAGAATCACAAACATAACTATGCATCCAAACATAACATTGGTGAATTTGTCAAAACAATTAACTATATTTTTTATTGTTCTCAGTAGCCAGGAGGATCCCAGAATGGGACATTAATAAATTCTTTCAGTTATCAGCACTCACTGGAATAAATCCATCTTGAGAAAATATGCCAAGAACATAGCAGTTCTGACGACAATGCACCACAGGCAACGGTTTAAGTTGAGAAGTGGGATGCATTACAAAAGCCAGGACTATTGGGTTACAAGTGATGAAAAGCCAAGTCACCTGGCTTAAAAAAAAAAAAAAAAGGAAGTTAATTGACGTATGTAAGTATAAGTCTAAGCATTGACTTCATGACTGGATCCAGGCCCAATGTCACCGTACCTTGGCCTTGGCCTCTCTTCATCTTACAACCCCTTTCCTCTTTACTCAAAGGCAGCTTCTCTCCAAGTGACGGCCCCAGCAACACCAGGCATATATCTCCCAGATTCCTGTCCAGTCAATATGCAAGGATTCATTCTACTTGGATCAATTTTGGTCACATATCCATTAATGAACATTCACTGTGGCTAAAGGGTTGTAGTCCCAGAAGGAGGAGTGAATGCTAGACAGCCAGAAAAAATAAATTTCCACCATGGTAACTGCATAACAAATTTTATATTGCTTTTCAGATGTGTAAATACCTCAGATCCTAGTTCTTAAAAATTAGACATCCTGAATTCATGGAGCCATCTGTCACATCATCATGGTTATCTCAAATTCAAGTGTTCTCTTTGTGACAATTAAAGCATGCTAGCTTTATTTGTGAGAAGGTTCTTATTTAACAGCATGCTGTATGAAGTTTTGTTTTGTTTATATTTTAGCCTAAGTCTCAAAGCTGAAAATAAGAGACAACTATCCCCATATTTTAAAGAGAAGTGTCTGACACATCCATGCCACTTAGTATAAAAAGCCAGATCAGTCTAGTATTTATAAAACTCTTACCTCCAGATTCTATATGCCAAAGTCAATGAGAACAGGAATTCAAAAGAGTAAAGAATGTGTTGGCCTTTTTTCACCCCTTCTCATAGAGGGGAGAAGGGAGATATGGTTAGGCTTTTTGTCCCCACCCAAATCTCATCTTGACTTGTAATTCCCATAATCCCCACATGTCAAGGGAGAGACTAGGTTGGGGCAACAGAATCATGGGGGCGGATTCCCCCATGCTGTTCTTGTGATAGTGAGTTCTCACAAGATCTGATGGTTTCGTAAGGGGCTCTTCCTGATTCACTCGACACTTCTCCTTCCTGCCACCTTGTGAAGAAAGTGCCTTGCTTCTTCTTCACCTTCTCCCATGATTGAAAGCTTCCTGAGGCCTCCCGAGCCATGCTGAACCATGAGTCAATGAAACCTCTTTCCTTTATAAATTACCCAGACTTGGGCAGTTCTTTATGGCTATATGAAAACAGACTAATACAGTGTATTATCTCCCAACCTCCCTCATAAAGACGGAAGGCACCTGCAGAAGGTGAAACAGACACCTAGCTTCCCAACAGAAGTATAATGTATCAGATGGTGAGATGAGAAAAATAAAGCAGAATAAGGAAATGATGGTTGTGGGCATGTACCACCTGAGACGGGGTAGTTAGGGAAGGGCTTGCTGATAAAGTGACATTTGAGCAGAGGCTTAAAAGTGAGGGAGCAAGCCACGCTAGCTGGAGGGAAAAGCTTTAAGCAGAAAGAAGAGTAAATCCAAAGGTTCTTGGAAAATGGTTAATATATTCTGGGATGGAAAGAAAGACACTGGAACTGGAAAGAAATGAGCAGCAAAGAAAGTGGCAGGAATTAAGAAGACAGATTAAAATGGAGTTGCCATTTACTACCATGTGGTAAAGAGTAAAGTAAAAGTCAGAAAAAGATCACACTCCCCATGCCCACTGTGGGTTCCTGAGCCTTGGGAAGTAAGGGAAGCCAGGGAAAACTTTGAATTAGATGTGAGATTAAAGTCTTGATTTAGACCTAACTGTATTTGTTTTACTTTTACTATCTGAAAATAAACCTTAAATATCCAAAAGGACTAAAAGTTTTTGGGATCTTAAGGTTTATCTAAAAGGCAAGAATGAAAGAGTTATCAGCGAATGTTTGAAGATCAGAAAAAAATAAACCCACTCCCCATTTGTACCCCACAGATTCTACCCTATTCAATAAACTGGTTACTTTCTAAAAAATCCAAAACTTCACAACACATCTGTAAACTTCACGGTATTCAGCACAATGCTTTACACAAAACAGACACTCAGTAAATATTTGCTATAGCCCATCAAGTAGGCCAATATGCCATTTGGGAGAGTAAAAATGATGTGGCACTAGATTAACGGTCAGATAAGAGAGAGGTGGGGTAGGGCTTAACCTTCTAAATTGCAAAGTTCAAAATTTGAGATTGTAGACTTTGCATGTGGTCTTGACTTTTAATCAGAGTCACCTACAAACAACTTACTGCAAACTTGATAGAATGAGTAACCAGTCTTTAGCACTGAACCTATGTTTGCAATTTGCTAGTTTCAAATGCACGGTGTGGACTCAAGGAAATACAAACAGCTACTGTATTATAAAATGAAATAAATTGAACAGAAAGAATAGGATACAAAAAGGATACTTTTAAAAAGTGACAGAGATCACTAAATTGGCTATTTCCATTTCCATTTTTGACTTAAACAAATCAAAGTTTGTTTCCTTTTCACATAGAGGAAGTCTAGAGTTTGGGAGTCCAGAGCATGTATGGCAGCTTAAAGGTCACTGGGAGCTAGATTTGTTCTATGGCACTTCTCGGATCATCCTTGGTGTGTCACCTCATGGTCTAAAATGGTAACTTGAATTCAAGACACTTTTTCTAAGCCTATCAGCTCATTTGGAAGTAACATAGGAAGCACTATACCCTTTTGTTTGTAAAACAAATATTCTAAAAAGCTTTCAATTCATTCTGACTTGCCTAACCTTTCAATAACTTGAATTTCATTCTTTATACCACTTTAAGTATAAAGTGGTATAGTATGGCAAAGAAATGACCATGGTTCTTTGATATCTTTGAAGATTTTCTTAACCTATATGTAACTGGCTTTTCTGATATAGACCCTAAGGCATGTCTACATTACTATTCCATTGGGTGAGGGGGCATCATGCTTTAAACTTGGTGAGACCAATAAGAGATTATCTAGAAATTTCTATATACAGTAGTGACAATGTGGTCAATTAATGAAGCCAATTTCCCAGTAGACAATCTGGTACCTTTAAAAAATGTATATAAACTAAAAGATATTTCTCTTTCATTTATATTTAACATGCAAATTGGACATCCATAAATTCATTCCAGATAGAGTAAAACTAATAAAAGTTGTATGATTCAGTAGATCTTAAATCATTTAAGACACTATAAGTTCTTGAAGAAAGCATTTTAAAATTTACAGGATCCTCTTAAAAGCAAAGAAAATATTAGTTCTTTGCAGAAAAGGAAATTTCCTATTCAATTGACATAAAGAAAATCACTTCTAGGCTGGGCACGGTGGTGGACGCCTATAATCCCAGCACTTTGGGAGGCCAAAGCGGGTGGATCACGAGGTCAGGGGATCGAGACCATCCTGGCCAACATGGGGAAACCCTGTCTCTACTAAAAATACAAAAATTAGCTGGGCGTGGTGGCAGGTGCCTGTAGTCCCAGCTACTCGGGAGGTTGAGGCAGGAGAATAGCTTGAACCTGGGAGGCAGAGGTTGCAGTGAGCCGAGATCACGCCACTGCACTCCAGCATGGTGAAAGAGCGAGACTCTGTCTCAAAAAAAAAAAAAAATTAAAAAGAAAATCACTTCTAAAAGTTCAATTCATCTATTTTTTTAGAAGACAAAAATTATGTGCAAAAACACTGGGATAGAAATTACAGCTAGATGCAAAATGAACCATGGTCTTTATCCCCACAGACCACAAAGCAAAATACGTTTCCCTTTCCATTCCCACAGTAGTTTCCTATTAACAGAGAGAGCTACAAGAGGCACAGATGATTAGGACATGAATTCATTCAACACTTCTGAGGTCAGAGGCACAGCCCACTTAGGAGTCTGGACTGCTTCCATGTACTCAAAGATCGTAATCACTTAATTCTTTTTTTTTTTTTTCCCCTCTGTAGCCCAGGCTGGAGTGCAGTGGCATGATCTCGGCTCACTGCAACCTCTGCTTCCCGGGTTCAAATGATTCTCCTGCCTCAGCCTCCCAAGTAGCTGGGGCTATAAGAATGTGCCACCATGCCCAGCTAATTTTTGTATTTTTGGTAGAGACGGGGTTTCACCGTGTTAGCCAGGATGGTCTCGATCTCCTGACCTCATGATCCTCCCATCTTGGCCTCCCAAAATGCTGGGATTACAGGCGTGTACCACTGCACCCAGCCTCACTTAATTCTTAAATTTGTAAGTATAAAAGTACCCTGCGTTGGATTAAGTATCAAATAAATGTTACTAATGATATGTCAGGGTTCGTAGATTTGGAAGAAAAGCTATATATGCTGGAGTAATTGGAGGAAGCCTTAAAATAAATAAGTAAACAAATACTCATAACACTATATGTCAAGTACATATATAGGTTGGTGCAAAAGTAATTGCAGTTTTGGCCATTAGAAGTAAACATTTGCACCAACTTTATTTCTGTGAGATAAGTTTTATTGCTCCCATTTTAAATATTAGAAAACAATCACCAAGAAGACAAGAGATCTGACTTAGGTAGTTGAGTAACAGAGCCAAGATTTGAGACTAGGCCTCAAGTCTAGCATTCTTTCAATTATACCAGCCCACTTCTTGGAAATGAAAAGGTACTAACTGGGTCTAAAAGGACAGGAGCAAGGTATTGAGAACAGAGAAGTGCTATTGTGGGACAAGGGTGACTCAGGCATAGTGACCCAATAAGGCCTGTTGGTAGAATATCTTGCCACAATAGTTTTCCTTTCACATTTTTCTTTTTAGTAAGATATTGGAGATGGTTGAGAAAGAAAACATTTCATTCAATAATTCGTTCCCCAATGGCACCGATTTTGGAGTAGTACAGCAGGGAGGAATTATTTTCAAGGGGCAGGAACCTCTAGCTAACAGCTTTGTGACTTTCTTTCATAGTTAGAAAGTCTAATTCAGGCCGGGTGCCCTGGCTCACGCCTATAATCCAGGCACTTTGACAGGCCAAGGTGTGTAGATTGCTTGAGCTCAGGAGTTCAAGGGCAACATGGCAGAACCCTGTCTCTAGAAAAAATACAAAACTTAGCAGGGGATGGTGGCACGCGCCTGTAGTCCCAGCTACAGGGAAGTCAAGGCTGCAGTGAACTGTGATTGTGCCACTGCACTCTAGCCTAGGTGACTGGAATGAGACCCTGTCTCAAAAAAAAAAAAAAAGAAAGTCCAGTTCACTCAACTCTTGCAAAACATCATTTTCTCCTTGTACTTTACTCTGCTCATCTTTAGACAATAAGAATACAAGAAAGGAGAACTCATGTTTACAACCCAACAGCTCTGTTCTTTCTGGTTTTTTTCATTGAAGTAGTCTCTTGACTTCATGTTGAGTGATCAGTTTACACAGGCAACAGTTGGCTAGCTAGTCCAATTGAATTATTATTCTTTTTGTTTTTATTTCCTGCAGCACTACTTCCTGAAGAGTCCAACTGAATTATATTGGGTAACTTTCATTCACCAGGTATCCAGTTTTGAATGCGATCACAACAAAAGATCTCTTTCTGAATTGTATAGATTGTGCTATATGTTACCACACTTTTGTTTATACATTTAATTTAGTGATTACATTAAAAACTCAGCTTAGTATAAAGGCTGCTTATTCCATGCCTTGCTCATTCTCAGCAATCAAGTTGATTAAAAAATAAGGTTTTTTGATTGAAGCCTAGGCTATACATCAGAGTTCACAGCTGAATATGACATTTCCAAAGATGGAGCAGGCTTGAAGGTTATACAGTGTTACAGGATACATGCTTGAATGACATAAGAAGTTTTAATTCCTAAGAAACTGTTGAAAGAAAGAGCAACTATTAGGGAATCCTGGTTGTTGGATGAGGAGGCTAGAATTGTTCTCAAAAACTTTAACAGTAATTACTTTAGAAAACTAGCAAAAAGTTATTAGTAAAAGTTTGCTTGGATAATGTAATAGCCGACAGGAATAATTCAAGACCGAAGTATTCTGAGGCATGTATTTGGAGAATTATAACCCTTGGATTTTTTATTTTTTAGAAAGGGGGTCTCACTCACTATGTTGCCCAGGCTGGTCTTGAATTCCTGGGCTCAAGAGATCCTCCTGCCTCAGCATCCCTAGTAGCTGGGGTTACACAGGCAGGCACCACCTTGCCCAAATCCTTGAATTTTATTTTTTTTTGTAATAATCACAGTTTGCCTTATTCTGATGAGGTATTTATGGAAGCCTTATCTGGAAAATGGAAGATTTTCTCTGAAAGGGAATACTAATTTTAAAAGCCTTTTTTTTTTTTTTTTTACAGAGGCATCAAGTTCTCAATTTATTATACATTGTAACACAATTTCCAATGACCTACTTTAGTGGAAGTAAGTATGGGCGTTTCAAGATTTTTCCCTAGGCTTCTTGTGACTTTTATGACACTACCATTTTCTTGTTTTGGCTCTTAAGACACCATTAATATACCCGAACAATATTTTCAAGTGCCAAAAGGAAAGAAGAGAAAGAAATTGAGAACAGTAGCACTGACTGCAAGGGATGAAAGAAATATACGACAGAAGAGTCAGTCACTTAGAGTACAGGAGAAGCTAGCAGACTGGAGGAGGCAGGCAAAGCATTGCTTTTTTGCCAAGTCACAAATTGGCAACAGCTTTTCATTAGGCAAATGACACCCAGAAAATGCAGACAGTTGATCAAAAATAATGTAATGTGGCACAGAAGTTTTAAAATGTAAATAAGATTCCAACTTAAATTAAGACTATGACTGGTAAACTGAATTGCTAAGTAGCAGTATTGAATAAAATCAGCTTATCATAATTAGCATGGTTAATAAATAAGAGAGATAACTAATATCCGAGGAGAAATGGAGCATGTTCATACGCCTAGAAAATGCTTTTGCGTTTGCAGTGGTTTTCAGGCTTTAGTAGAGGTACAAGATGCTATGGTGTTTGTCAGAATGTAGGTTTCCAGGCCACTTTCCTAGAGACTAGACTTACCAATTTTAGGACAGGGTTTCTCAATCTTGGCACGACTGACATTTCAGGTGGAATCATTTTTTGCTGTGGGACAGTGTCCTGTGCTTTGTAGGATGTTCAACAGCATTCCAGGTCCACTAGATACCTGTAGTACGTCTCCCCCAGTCATGTTTCCAGGGATTGCCAAATATTCCCCAGGGGAAAACCACTCTCTTCCTTTGAAAATCATTAGTCTAGGGTAAAGCCTAAGTGAGAGGTGACAGCATGCTGGCAGTCCTCACAGCCCTCGCTCGCTCTCAGTGCCTCCTCTGCCTGGGCTCCCACTTTGGCGGCACTTGAGGAGCCCTTCAGCCCGCGGTTGCACTGTGGGAGCCTCTTTCTGGGCTGGCCAAGGCCAGAGCCAGCTCCCTCAGCTTGCGGGGAGGTGTGGAGGGAGAGACGCGGGTGGGAACCAGGGCTGCCCATGGCGCTTGAGGGCCAGCGCGAGTTCCGGGTGGGCATGGGTTCGGCGTGTCCCGCACTCAGAGCAGCCAGCCGCCCCGCCATCCCTGCCGGCCCTGGGCAGTGAGGGGCTTAGCACCTGGGCCAGCAGCTGCTGTGCTCGACTTCTCGCTGGGCCTTAGCTGCATCCCCGCGGGGCAGGGCTCGGGAACTGCAGCCCGCCATGCCTGAGCCTCCGCCGCCCAACCGTGGGCTCCTGAGCAGCCCGAGCCTCCCCCACGAGCGCCGCCCCCTGCTCCACGGCGCCCAGTCCCATCGACCACCCAAGGGCTGAGGAGTGCGGGTGAACGGGGTGGGACTGACAAGCAGCTCCACCTGTGCCCCTGTGCAGGATCCACTGGGTGAAGCCAGCTGGGCTCCTGAGTCTGGTGGGGACTTAGAGAACCTTTATGTCTAGCCAAGGGATTGTAAATACACCAATGGGCACTCTGTATCTAGCTCAAGGTTTGTAAATACACCAATCAGTACCCTGTGTCTAGCTCAGGGTTTGTGAATGCACCAATGGACACTCTGTATCTGGCTACTCTGGTGGGGACTTGGAGAACCTTTGTGTGGACACTCTGTATCTAGCTAATCTAGTGGTGACGTGGAGAACTTTTGTGTCTAGATCAGGGATTGTAAACGCACCAATCAGCATCCTGTCAAAACGGACCAATCAGCTCTTTGTAAAATGGACCAATCGGCTCTCTGTAAAATGGACCAATCAGCAGGATGTGGGTGGGGCCAGACAAGAGAATAAAAGCAGGCTGCCCAGCCAGCAGTGGCAACCCGCTGGGGTCCCCTTTGATCCTGTGGAGGTTTTGTTCTTTCACTCATTGTAATAAATCTTGCTGCTGCTCACTCTTTGGGTCCACACTGCCTTTAAGAGCTGTAACACTCACCGCGAAGGTCTGCAGCTTCACTCCTGAAGCCAATGAGACCATGAATGCACCAGAAGGAAGAAACTCCGAACAAGTCTGAACGTCAGAAGGAACAAACTCCGGACACGCTGCCTTTAAGAACTGTAACACTCACCGCTAGGGTCCATGGCTTCATTCTTGAAGTCAGTGAGACCAAGAACCCCCCAATTGTGGACACATAAGGACCTGCATTTCTAGGAAGAATACACAGGTGATTCCAAAGAATGTGTTCAGTGGACCACACTTAAAAAATGAACTAAGGTTTTATGAGTTGAGCTGTGTTCCCTCAACATTTGTATGTTAAAGTCCTAACCCCCAGTATCTCAAAATATGACCTTATTTGGAAACACAGTAGTTGCAGGTTTAGTTAAAATGATGTCATACTGGAGTAGGGTGGGCCCCTAATTCAATTAACCCTGGTGTCCACAGAAAAAGGGGAAATCTGAACAACAGATACCCAGACAGGGAGAACATGTGAAAACTGGAGTTATGTTGACAAGCCAAGGAACTACCAGAAGTTAGGAGAGTGGCCTAGAGCCTTCAGAGGGAATAGGGCCCTGACAATACCTTGATCTCAGACTTCTAGCCTTCCGAACTGTAAGACAAATTTCTGGAGGGTTTTTGTTTTTGTTTTTTTAGAAACAAGGTCTTACTCTGTTGTCTGAATGCAGTGGCACGATCATAGCTCACTGCAGTCTTGAACTCCTGGGCTCAAGTGATCCTCTCCCCACCACCAGTAGCTGGGCTTATAGGTGCAAGCCATCATGCTTGACAACTTTCTGTTGTTTAAGCCATTCAGTCTGTTATGGCAGCCCTAGCAAACTAATACATCAAGAATAAACAAAACACAAGTCAGTTAAGGATGGAGACAACATCTGAAGCAGGATCAGGGTGAATAAAGAAAAGATGGCAGATTGACACCAATTCCTGATTATCTTTCTCAGGACCTGACACAAAATAGGTATGCAAGAAATTCATAATTTTTATTAAGCACTCTCCAAATAAATCTTACCTAAGTATAGTAGTCACCCCCACCCCCTTATGCCTGGTGGATGTGTTCCAAGACACTCAGTGGATGCCTGAAACCTTAGTATTGAACTCTAAATGCACTATGTTTTTTCCTATACATACATACCTATGATAAAGTTTCACTTATAAATTAGGCACAGTAAGATATTAACAACAATAATAATAAAATAGAACAGGCTGGGCGCCATGGCTCATGCCTGTAATCCCAGCACTTTGGGAGGCCGAGGTGGGCAGATCACCTGGGGTCAGGAGTTCGAGACCAGCCTGGCCAACACAGCAAAACCCTACCTCTACTAAAAATACAAAAATTAGCCAGGCGTGGTGGCGGGCACCTGTAATCCCAGCTACTCGGGAGGCTGAGGCAGAAGAATCACTTGAAACCTGGAGGCGGAGGTTGCAGTGAACTGAGATTGTGCCATTATAGTCCTGGTTGGGAGACAAGAAGCTCTGTCTCAAAAAATAATAATAATAAAATAAAACAATTTTAAGAGTGTACTGTAATAAAAGTTATGTATGGTCTCCCTCTCAAAGCATCTTAGTGTACTGAACTCACCCTTCTCCTTCTTGTGATGTGAGATGATAAAATACCTACATGATGAGATGAAGTGAGGTGAATGACATAAGTATTGTGACATAAATAGCAAATTCCAGAAATAAACGATTCATAAGTTTTAAATTGTGCACCATTCTGAGGAGCACAGTCTGCTCTGTCCCTGCCCAGATTGCCATTAGCCAGTTGCTGTCTGGGTTGTCAGACTGTTGCAGTGTGACAGTGCTTGTGTTCATATAACTATCATTTTATGTAATAATACCCCCCAAATGCAAGAGTAGTGATGTAACATTTTTGGGCCATGGTTGACAAAATCTTGGAAAGTGAAACCAAGGATAAGGGGGACTGCTATATTAAGAGCAAAATCTTACAACATAATGTGTTACTTTAAGAGGTAGAAATTAACCATCAGGTTCCCTGAAAGGCATAAATGGAATGCATAAGTTATGCTATTATTCATAGAGAAGGTAATAAGTAAATTTGAAATTCCATACAAAGCAAAAATACAATGAGTGTGGGCACACTGTAGCTTTAAGAAAAGTGTTGACTGTTTCAGGTCACAAAGACACTATTTAGAGTATAGCAAGTGTGACCATGTGTCCAACAGGCCAGCAGTCATGTGTCTACGCAGAGTGGGCAATTCATACTCTCCCACTGGAAGGATGAAACCCATTGTATTAAAGAGCTTAAAAGTACGTACCCTGATAGTTTCATTTGTAAGAAAAGTAAACATTGCTGTCAGTTATTATCAGCAAGACAAAACAAGAGCACAGTGTCAAATGTCAGTCTTTTTCTCCTTAAGAAAGATATAAAAAATCACTCGAATAGACATCTTAGTTCTTGTTTCCTCCTACAATTAATTGTCCGGGGGCGGGGGGACGGGGTGCGGGCGGGGCGAGGGAGACATACAAGAAATCTGTGAGAAAAAAAGGGGCGGGGGAATAAGTCTCCTTGCCTCAAGATTTTAGAAAAAAAGTTGTAAACCTATTGCAGATGAAGGCTCCCACAATTTATTTTTCCTGCTTCTATAAGCATAAATAGTTAATGATAAAAATGGTAAGAGGCATTGACAAAGAGCTCCTAGAATGTCTACAAATTAAGGTGAGTGATCAAACACAAGGTTAGGCCTAGACAGCTTAAGTGTCCTCCACAAATCAGGATAAGCGTTAACAGGACATTAACCTGGAAGCCTTTACCAAACTCTAATTTGGATATAATTTTACCTCACTAAATCCCTCACCTTCAATCAAAACTCCTTTCCCACGTGCCCTTCAGAGTCCACGAAGTTGCTGCCAGATCCCAGCTTAAATCACGTTTCGCTTTCACAGATCTCCCTCCCGGGCAAGGTGGTGGGGTGGATAATGAAGTTTGGCACCTGGTATAAAGGGCCCCAGTAGGTTAGGATAGGAACTACCACTTCTCAGGTGTGTTTTCTTTTTCCGGAAGAGGGCAAGACCAGTAGAGAACTGACTCAGCGTCTCCGACACGAGGAGAGCTGCACGCAGACAAAACAGACCCGGGGGGTGAAAAGTGGAAGTAAACTGGTGTTTGTGGCACCACTGATTTACACCTTCTCTGACTTCTCCAATATTTTTTTCCCCAAGTGACTCAATCTTCTCACCCAAACCAGGCCAAATGAGGGGTTAGTTGTTCGACTTCTTCTCAGAGTGCCTCTCTTCTTCCTCACACTCTCCACGCCTCCTCTCCGCACCCGCCACTTCCCCCCCGACCCTTAAGTTAAGGGCTCATGCCCAACTAGATCCTAATGTCCACGACGAGCAGCTCCAGTCTAGGGGGGGTTGCCTAGAAGTAGGTCTGACGCCGAGCAATCTAATCTCCCACGTCTGATCTCTCAGGCTATTGTGCCTCGAGGGGAAGTCAGAACAGGTGAGGGCGGCTTGAGGGAACCAGTTCCGGGACAGGCAACGCACAGGGCGGCGAAAGTGAGGGTGCGGGGCAAGGAACGGAGGGAGGGACAAAGGCGCGATAAGAGGAACGAGGGCGCCCCCCGAGCGCCGCCTATCTCCTCAGGATCACCTTGCGCTGACCTAGTTACACCGAGAAGGAAGGAACCCCAGTAGACCAGGGAGGAAGGCGGGGCGGGATGTGGGCGGGGCCGCGGGTGGGGCGGGGCTTAGAGTGGGATCTTTATGGAGCTCGCCTGTGATTTGCAGATGGATTCGAGACGGAAGCGGGCTGGGAGGCGTCGGCGGCGGCAGCGCACGTGGTGACGTGCGAGGGGGTGCGGCGCGAGCGGTCGGCGGCGGCGGAGGCAGTGTCTCCCGGTCGCGCGTGGAGGTCGGTCGCTCAGAGCTGCTGGGCGCAGTTTCTCCGCCTGCTGCTTCGGCGCGGCTGTATCGGCGAGCGAGCGAGTTCCCGCGAGTTCTCGGTGGCGCTCCCCCTTCCTTTCAGTCTCCACGGACTGGCCCCTCGTCCTTCTACTTGACCGCTCCCGTCTTCCGCCGCCTTCTGGCGCTTTCCGTTGGGCCGATTCCCGCCCGCTTCCTCCTGCTTCCCATCGAAGCTCTAGAAATGAATGTTTCCATCTCTTCAGAGATGAACCAGGTAATACGCGCTGGTTCTACGAACGACAGATGAGGGAGACGGCGCGGCTAGAATCCGAGAAGAAGGGATGGCGCCGGCGGATGGGAAGAGGGTGGGAGGCGCGGAAGCGGTGTCCTCATCAGGGGAGGCAGCCCCAAGCGGCCGCCGCCGCCCTCTGGGACGTGAAGCCCGCGCCGCGCTGGGCCCGCGCTCCAGCGCTGCCATGGTTGCCAAGTTGCGTTGGCGGCCGAGAGCGGGCGCCGGTCGCCTCGGAGAGCGCGGAGGCTGGAGCCCCTTTGCTACACTGGCGCGGGTGAGGCAGGCTGGGAGGAACAAGAGTTTTTTGTTCGAAGGGTTTTGGGGGGCCTGGGTTAGGGCGCCGCGGGCGGGGATGACCCGCCGGAAGGAGGGCGCGGGACTCCCCGTTCTTGCTGTCAGGAACGGACGCCTCGCCTCGGGTTTGCCTGGGGTTTGGGATTCTCTTCTGGAAGAGCTCTCGAGACTCGGCTCGTGTGGGCGGGCAGCCAGCCCCGGGCCTGGAGTAGGGTGGCACGGAGTCCCCGATCGCCGTGGGCCGCGGGGTCCTTTGTTCCCGCTCCACGTTGCCCGCTTTTCTTGCCAAGCGCGGGGAGAAGGGGGCGGGAGGAGGGAGGGAGCGGCTGCCCTGACGTGTCGGTACTGAGTGACTGCGGGGCTGGCCAATCCGGGGCGGGGGTGTGCGGGTGCTGGGGGCCTCGCCTCGCAGCCTGCGGAGTGGGCGCCGGCCTGGCTGCGCGAGGAGGAAGGCCTGGGACGCTCTTTCTTTTTTATGAAAGAAATCAGTGGCAAGATTTGCTCTTTTTCCGTCCCTCCACGCTTTTGGTTAAGTGTCTCTGATTATAAGCTCTTGATGATAGGAAGGTATCAGGCTGAGGGTTGAACCTAGGGTAACTTGAACCACTACTTGAGAACTACATTTACTTTTTCCCCCAATAGGTAGTGGACATATCTATTGGTTTGAGACAGCTGACATTTCAAGGAGAAATCAGATGTCCAAAAGGGCGCATTTTTGTGATGGAGCGTGCAGTGATGGAGCGTTAGAACACCTTGGCATCAAGCTGTTCGTTGAGTGTGTCGTGGTCTTCTGTCTACTAATAGATGACAACTCTGGAAGCCTAGTACCACTCTTAACAGATGAATAAGTACAGCATGGACTAGACTGCCACAGGCCATGCTTTCTTTTAATAATTCTAGCACCAGTGATTGATTTAGGAAAAACAAAATACTGATGATTACTTTTAGGCTAAAGCCTGCTGACACTTCTGTCTTAAAGATACTGAAAGAGTAGTTGTATTTGTTAAGTCTGGACGTGAGGTAAACATGGACTTTAGAATTGAATTGAGACTAGTATCATTTAACGCCAGCTGGCAGGCTGCTTATCAAGCTTATAATTTGGTAGCCAGAGGTAAACGGAACTTGAGCCACTGACCAAAGAGAGCCCTGGAATGGTTTTCCTCTGTGTTTTCCTAATAGATGATATCTCTGGTTAACTAATAGATACTAATTTCTATAGCCATTGTCTTAATTTGTAGTTGATTTTCTAACTTTCCCCCCAAGACAAAACATTTCAGGTTTTAGTCTTAGTTTTAAATTAGTGTCTTTTTGGCTACTTGCTTTTGGAAGGTGGGATTTTTTCTTGCTTGAAGGATTTGTTAGATGGTAATTAAATGTAGTTTTGCAAATACGTTTTTAAATATAAATGTTTTCCTGTTAAGGAAGTATCTTAATTGATATTAAGATGAAGTAACACTAAGTAAGTCATTTCATCCACTTTTTAGCAGTGCGATTGTATAGTCAAATCCTGCAAGTAGGAATTATTAAAGGTTGGGGGTCTTCCCACCATGTCATGTGCATGTGCTAGTGTGTGTGTAGATTGAAGTATTGTGAGTAAGAGATTGATTTCTGGGTTTTTGTTAAAACAACAGAAAATACATACTTGTAAACTACAAGTTGTATATCTTGTAAATGTTTCTGAACCTATACTTAACATCATACTATTATATTTTTGTTATTAACATGCAGATACCTCAGCATTAGAACGTCTCAAACCAAATTCTTCCTTTCCTTCCTTCCCTTCTCCATGTAGCAAACTATAAACGACTTTGTGTTATGCTTTTTGGTAATTGATTTTAATAAGGATGCCACATATCTTAATTTTGATAATTGATGTTAATAAGGATGCCACATATCTAAGATAAAATATCTTAAGTCCTCACTGCCTTAAAGGAGCATGGGTGTACAGAATCTTAACTGCCCTGTTTCCATGCTTTACTCATTCCTCTAGACCATCCCCCACACTTCTGCTAGGATGCCCTATGCTTCCTTGTTTAAATCCTTCACCTACTTTCCATGCTTAGCATTGTTTAAACCTTGGAATTAGGCTCTCTTACTTCCTCGCCCACTATTACCATATGCATCCTGCAAATCTACAATCTATTGAAACTGAAATAGCTGCAGTTTCTGGAATATATTTGCTATCATACCTTTTTTCCTTTCTGCTTAAGCTATTTCACAGCTTGTTTTATCTTTCTGACTGGCCTGTGAAGTGTTCCAGGCTAGAGAACTGAGTTAACTTCTATTGTGTTATGATATGAGCATTCCATTTCAGTTTGTGCCTTCCATATGTTTGGTGCTACATATGTTTGTGTTGTAGTGAAAGAATTACAAAACTATGAGCATGGATAGAATGAATGAGTTCAGCGAGTTTTCATATACATGGATGGTGATGGTGGTTTTAGAGGTTACTTTGGAAAGCTGTAACTTCTGGTTTTAAAAAGATGTGTTGATTTACTTTGTATTATAAAGTCTTTCCTTTAAAAATGCAGCTGATGGCTACTTGGTGGGAGCTGACTGCCCTCAAACGATTGTCTTTTGTTTTATCTTGGTCTTACTGAAGGCCAGAGAAAAATTTTAGCAGAGGCCATATTGTGCCTACCTTTTTAACAACTCTTTGATAAGACCTGTTGAATTGTATTTCACTTAAGCTAATCTTTCCGGGCTGTGAACTTCTGGGTGTTATTAAAGCAGTTTAATTACTCATTTATGAGTCTTCGGTATCCCTTGCAGTGGCCATAGAAGTATGCTGAATTTATCTGAATATATTGTATTTGATCCTAGTTTTAATTTTAAATGTGTAAGAAAAGTGACCTAGGTGTAGATTTAGTTGAAAGTGTATTTTAAACACCAAACAATTCTACGTTTCATACTCTTATATGACTCTGGGATGTCTGGACTTTTGGTTTGGATTTTCAAAGAAAACAATTTTCCCCATTTTTTAATTCCACTAGTTATCGTGCTTGAGTTTTATAGACCAAATAAGATCTCCCGTCAATTTGGGGAGTAGTTTAAAACTCTTGATTTGCCCTAGCTCACTTTAATGAAAGTAAATAGGAACTTTCAAAAACATGGTTTTACAGACAGGAATTGATCTGATCCCCTCCAAACTTGAGGTGGGCGGGAAGTAGGTATATAGTGTATGAGGACAATAATTGAATAAAGTAAGTTTGCATTAACTTAAATGTCATCTAGATTTGGGCTGGCTTTTAAAATCAAGTAGCTTTGTACTCTGATCAGTAGATATTAAAGAGATGAGGTTCATATTATGACCTTGATGTACTAAAAATCAGGTACTGTCATGGAATTAGAGTAAAAACTAAATAAAAATCAAGCACTAAATACAGGATTCATTTTACTGCAAAACTCATAATAATATTGTACAAATTTGTCTGATGCAAATTGCCCCAAAAATTCTCCAGTGTTTTCTCCAAGGGCTGCAGTAATTTTAACCATTTTTTTCCAAAATAAATTTTAGGTAGATCATTCAATTTGTCAAATATAGTAAGTGGATACCATTTTTATTTTTTGTTAGATCAAGTTTACAAGTAAAAAGTGAGTAAAACTGGTCAAAGTTTAAAATAGTACCTTCATATTATAATGTTTTTGGCTTTTCAGAGGATGCATTTTAATATAACAATTTGCATGGGGACTCCTTCCTCTTATTTTAAGAGCAGCTTATGAAACTGAAGTTAGGAGTTGCCAACTATGCCTGTGAATTGACCATGCCAGTATAAATCATATATATATGAAAATTTTCTTAGTTTGAGCCAGGTCTTGGCTGAAAATGTTTGAAGGTTTCTTTAGGATAGTGTGTTCTCTCTGTGTAGAAAGAATTATGTATATTTGGAAAACATTTGTTAGAACTAGTTTCTTAGAGAAAAGCCAAATTAACTAACCTAGATAAAAGGTAGAGCAGAGGAAATCAATATTACCTAATGCTGTGATATAGTTTTGATGCAAGGGTAAGCATTCACAACAATCCCAACCCGAATTGGCATTATTGGGTTTCCTTGAAATGAAACCTGTTACAGAGAGACCTGTTAGGACACATGTTGAACTAAACATAGTAGGTTTGTTGAATTCGAACTGGACCAGCCTGCAGTGGAGTCCTGTGGTAAGTGATTATTCACTTTGACGTAATTGTTAGATTTAGAATTGTTGTATTGATGTATAAGGCAAATAATCTTAAGATATCCATAAAAATGAATATATTTGCACGTATTTCAGGTAAGTTATTCCTTAGTTCTGGTTTCCAGAGTTAATAGTGGTGTAATAGCAGTTCAGGTGATTACAAAATAAGTACCATCAGAATTTGACACTAGTAATTGATGATGTGAAAATGAGGGAGGGAGAATAGGTAGGAGGACTGATTACCTTGAAGATTAGGTTTGAACCAGAATGATTCCATTGGTAGTTTATTACTGTGTATGAGAAAAATGATTATACAAAGCACAGGCATCAGTATTTTCCCTTCTGTTTAGTTTATTCCAACAAATTACTCATCTTTATGTTCAAGTTTTTAGGCTAGTCCTGGTAGAGAGGAGATGGGATGGATACAAAAGATGAACAAGACAGAAGGTTTGCCCATGAGTCAAGGAAGATAAACAAGTATATATAAATACAGCATGAATATAAATACAGCATGAAACAGACCAGCTGGAAGATCATAAATACCCCTCAGATAGGGTTCTAAATGTGGAGGATGAGGAGAAACTGCTTCCCAACTGGGAGCATTTGGCAGAGGCTCTATGGCTGTAAGATTTCCTCTGGCAGAGGTTGGGTTAAGGGCCTTCCAGGTAGAGAGAAGAACTTGAACAAAGTTAACAGAGCCTGGGAAGTGCAGAGTTCATTTTGAGGAACAGTAACATAGTATATATGCTTGGGAATAATGCCTAAGGTTGCTTGCTGGCTCAAAACAGATCTCATGTTTGCATATTAGTTGGAAATTAATAATAAAGAATATTAGAATTAAACAGTATTGACATTTGTTTTGTAGTCTTGTGCTTTTATACCTCTCATAAACATAGGTCATTAGCCCCTGCCCTTTGGGAAAGGACTTTTTTTTTTTTTTTTAATCACTTGGGTTGTTGCAAGTTAAATGAAAAATGTTTATGTGGAATTGCATTTGTGTTCTTTTTTTATGTAATGGGAATATTTTTGCCATTTATGTCAAATCTCTTGAAGATCAGGACTTGTTTTACATGATCTGCTCTACCTAGATCAATGACAGTCTTTGATTATTCTGAATATCTAACTTAAATTTATCATTGTTATAGATTATGATGCATCATTATCACAGAAGAAATTCGTGTCTATAGCTTTTAAGGACTTGATTACATCATTTTCAAGCCTGATAGTTTTGGAATCACCATTAGAGCTTAAGACACACCTGCCTTCATTTCAACCACCTGTCTTCATACCCTGACGAAGTGCACCTTTTAACACTCCTTTGTCCTTGGATTACTTAAGAGTTCCCAGAAATACATTTGCCACCAACAGAGTAGGTAAGTGAATGTTCTCTGCCTAGTCCAGTATTAAGACACATTGTTTTTCTGAAGACGGATGTCGAGTACAGTAAACCTTTCATACTCTTTTTTTAAAGGCAGAGAAGTCAGTAATCATTTGAGTATAAAAAACATCATATTTTTCTTTTCTATATTTTGACTTTAAATAAATCAGTAACTTCAAATTAAAATTTCTTACTGCCTTTTTTTTTTTCCTTAAAGAGATAAGATCTCTGTTGTCCAGGCTGGAGTGCAGTGGTGGGATCATAGCTCACTGCAGCCTGGAACTCCTGGGCTCAAGTGCTTCTCCTGCCTCAGCCTTCCTAGTAACTGGGACTACAGGTGTGCGCCACCACCATGACTGCCTAATTTTTACATTTTTTGTAGAGACAGGATTTCACTATGTTTCCCAGACTGGTCTCAAACTCCTGGGCTCAAGCAATCTTCTTGCCTTGGCCTCCCTATTACTGTTCTTTATTTTATTTTATTTTTTTAAGATGGAGTCTCTCTGTTGCCCAGGCTGGAGTACAGTGGCACAATCTCAGCTGACTGCAACCTTTGCCTCCCAAGCAATTCTCCTGCCTCAGCCCCCACAAGTAGCTGGGATTACAGGCGCCCGCCACCATGCCTGGCTAAATTTTGTATTTTTAGTAGAGATAGGGTTTCACCATGTTGGCCAGGCTGGTCTTGAACTCCTGACCTCAAATGATCCACCTGTCTCGGCCTCCCAAAGTGCTGGGATTACAGGTGTGAGCCATAGCGCCCAGCCTATCACTGTTTTTTAATTATGCATTTTGTGTAGTCATTAGTCAGTTGTTTATAAGTAATGGTAAAATGCAAAAAAGTTGTAAGTTCCCATTTATATTTATATAATCTGATGAGATAAGTGATTTAGAATATATGAAAGAAAGGAACAGAATATAAGTTCATCTTTTTAAATCACTGTATATGTTTCAAAACATTTATAAAAATAATTTCGTAGATACAGTGACAAGACTAATCAGACTTTTTAAGTTTGTGTACTAGGCAAGGGAGGAAGACATTAGGCAATTTTCTGCATATAAATCTTGATTATATATAATTTTGAAGACTAGAAGCAAATTGGGGGCCCTTTAAGACAACTGAAAAAGGCTAGGATTAGGATAAGTAACAGTTTTTCTCATTTGTGGGTAAAGGAATGACAGGAGCCCAAATCCAAGGAAACCTATATGTACTGGCTATTTCACCCTTTCAGGCTTTTAGATTACTTATTATATGGGTTTGGGCAGGATGGAGTTTCGTTTCCTTCCCTTCCCTTCCCTTCAGAATGAATTTGCTTAATGGGCATGGGAACCTGGCCAAAATTGTCGAGATAGCTGCTACTGTTTGAATCCTTTAAAAGTCTTATGACCAAAGTATTAGGGAACAAAGACTTGGACATTCAACACAGGTGTTGTTTCAGCTAAGTTTTTGTGTGATGAAATTTTTATGTGTTGTTTATAGGATGGAATTTGAGAATAAAGAGACTGTATTACTCTTTAGCATTATATTTTTAAAACCATCAGTTGCAAGTAAAATAACTCAGCTTTCTTTTCATCATCTAGCCAAATTTATAAGGAAAAATGATTCCCAATGGATATTTGATGTTTGAGGATGAAAATTTTATTGAGTCTTCTGTTGCCAAATTAAATGCCCTGAGGAAAAGTGGCCAGTTCTGTGATGTTCGACTTCAGGTATTTAAAACTTAATTCAAAATTTATAGAATTTTTTATTACTAAAAGCCATAAGTTCTTAGATTTGCTTATTTCTTTTTCATAGGCATTTAATGAAATGATTTTTTAAAAGAATACTGAGAAATGTAAGATAAAGGAATCTGATATAGTAATTAGCTAGAGAAGCACATAATCCACAATACTTATAATTATAATTCTTCATAATTTCAGGTCTGTGGCCATGAAATGTTAGCACACAGAGCAGTGCTAGCTTGCTGCAGTCCCTATTTATTTGAAATCTTTAATAGTGATAGTGATCCTCATGGAATTTCTCACGTTAAATTTGATGATCTCAATCCAGAAGCTGTTGAAGTCTTGTTGAATTATGCCTACACTGCTCAGTAAGTACATTTGAAGTAAACCATATAATTAGGGAATATCTTCAGAAAATTCCAAGTCTTGCTACATATATTTAAATTAAGTGTGTTTTAAGGCTTTGGTATCATAAGTAACTTTTTTTTTAAATAGGTTGAAAGCAGATAAGGAATTGGTAAAAGATGTTTATTCTGCAGCAAAAAAGCTGAAGATGGATCGAGTAAAGCAGGTAGAGTATCAGAAGTAAATAAAATCATTTATGGAGTCTTATTTTGTGTGATTGCAATGCTGAATTTGTCATAAAACATCTTGTTAGTTTCAAGGACTTGAACATGTCCCTTTTTTCCCTCAGAGTAGTCAATATGTTATTTTAACTGTTTGGCTATAATAATGTAGCAAGATCACACTTCTTCTCAGATAATTTGGGCTGAAGTCTGACCCTTTCAGCAATCTTCTCTGGTAGGGTGGCTATGTCAGCCTTTGATAGCATGAATTAAAATTAATATTTTTCTTAAGAGTTAATCACATAACTTATATCCTCAATTCTGTGTTCTCCTAAACTTCCTGTGCTCTCTAAAAGTATTCCTTCTAGAATTTAATGCCAGTAAAAAGTACTTTTGGAAAACAGGCATTTAATCCCCTAATGCATGGGGGTCAGTAAACTTAAGGCCTACTGGCCAGCTGCCTATTTTTATAAAGTTTTATTCAAACACAGCCATGTGTGTTCATTTACATATGGTCTACACTGCTTTCCAGCTACAGTGACGGAATTGAGCAGTTGTGACAAACAGAATGGCCTACAAGCCTAAAATGCTTTTACTATCTGGCCCTTTAAGAAAAAGTTTGATTTGCTAGCCCTTCTTCTAATACCACTCCTTTGTTCAAAAATCCTTCCTTAATTTACAGTACATATCCCTGCATTTAGTTTCTAGATTTTCCCTTATATAGTTGCTGTCTTTCCAAAACTATTTCCTAGTTATCTTTTCTCCAACCAAATTAAATTGTTTGCAGCATCTTCTCTACTTCTGTCTGCATTCAACATCAACATCATCTCTCCTGTAGAGCCCAGTTCAGATACTGCGTTTCATGAAGCCTTACCAAATTATTCTACTTGAAAATACTTATGTGAACTTACATAGCATTTCAATTTGTTGTACCTCTCCTTAAACTAAAACTTACATATCTGTATGGCATAATTAGATGTTTATCATTTGTATACGTGTTATTACCACTATTAACATTTGTTGTATTAAGACAGTGATTTTTGATTCTTTGTATCTTCACATAGTCTTTACCACACTGAACATTAAATATTTGTTGAATAAAAGATATGTAAGTGTTGGCACTCATATATTTCTTTTCCAAGGTTTGTGGTGATTATTTACTGTCTAGAATGGATGTTACCAGCTGCATCTCTTACCGAAATTTTGCAAGTTGTATGGGAGACTCCCGTTTGTTGAATAAGGTTGATGCTTATATTCAGGAGCATTTGTTACAAATTTCTGAAGAGGAGGAGTTTCTTAAGCTTCCAAGGCTAAAGGTAAGGAGTAAAGTCTATAAACAGATATATACTATCTAGTTCCAGGCGTGGAATCTTGGTCTGTGTTTCAAGCAAGTGAGTAATGATTATGAAATAATACATTGAAATTATATTGTTATTCTTAGCAGCGTAATGGGTTTCTCCCTACCAGTTTGTTTACTTTGTTTTTGATTCAGTAATCAAATTCCTTACAAATTCCTGGTTCCTTACAAATTCCTGGTTCCTTACAAATTAGAGTAAATGTATGGAATGAATTGTGCATCTGTGACAACTTTATTATGAAATTGGGAATTAAGCTGAGAACTAGGAGCCCAACACTGATCCATGTCATTGTTTTTCCCAATTCTAGTTGGAGGTAATGCTTGAAGATAATGTTTGCTTGCCCAGCAATGGCAAATTATATACAAAGGTAATCAACTGGGTGCAGCGTAGCATCTGGGAGAATGGAGACAGTCTGGAAGAGCTGATGGAAGAGGTTAGTTTTAAAGTAAATGGGATTCAACCATTTTTAAAAATTATTTTGCTATAACATGAAGGATTCCCTTTCACTTTTATTTTATAACCATGACCCTAAAGAATTTAAATTTTGCTATAGGTACCCCTAAGCTGAGAAACAGGGGGGGTGTCCAGGTGAGCTGAATGAACTGTTCAGTTTGGTCTTCTGCTTTTCTTTTTTTATTTCTTTGCTTATTATGTGCTGTTAACTTTCTTTAAAGTAGCATGTAATTTGCTTTAGAAATGGGAAGTGGTACTGAAATTTTCTGTAGATTCTTAATTTTTCTTCACAGGTTTTTGCTTTAAATTTGACAAGTAGGTAAAAGCTTCTAATGGTTGTTCCTCCCCATTGATTTATCTCCCCATAGGTTTATTAACAAAACTAGGATACCCAAGACTGAAGAAACAAGAAGAAACCTCAAGTGTATTGACACGTAAAGAAGCAGCAGTCCTGCCCCAGTTCTCCTAAGAAAAATCCGCTGTGGGCAGAGAACGATGATGATTTAATGGTGTTTACTCCTTTACAGGATTCTTGTCTTTAAAGCTGTGTGTTTTTCAATGGTGTTGTTCATACATATAGTCACTCACTTAACTTGGGCTACTTTTAAAAAAAATACACAAGATAAAATTGATGGAGAAATGGTGGGAATTGAAAACACGCAGGTGGAGCAGTGGAGTAACCTTGAGTTTCTCTCTCCACTTAAACCTTTCGGAGTTCCTTTATGAGGGCTTACCAAATCTGTTAGGCCTGCAGAAACACTGTCATCATTATGGTCTAAAAGGGCTAACAGATTATCTTTAAATTCTATGATTCCCACTTGAAAGTCAGATGCATTTGCCATGTATTTGCATCTGTCTCAATGGAGATGACTCTACAGCTTGCTTGAATTTTTGCATTTGTTTTTTCTTTGTTTTTCTTGACATTGCTTACAGGAAGGAAATATGTTTATGCAAACCAGACCACTTATCTGCAAAGGTGTAAACTATATTCAGTATTTTATTGTAAATATGTATATTCTTTAAGAGTATATATTGTACTAGTGCTTTTTTTCTTACTGTTATATGATAGAAGCTATGAAAAAAATGAAGATTTCTTTCAAGCCAATCAAGCCAACGACTCTTCAGCCAGTATTGGAAGATTTTGTATTTGATTTTGGTTTTTTGTTTTTGTTTTTTAATTTTTACCACCATGACATGTATTTTTCTTTACCTCCGGATCCTGCCAGAGTAATATGTCAAGAAGCTCAAGAAGCACACTGGAGGTTACCTTGAGGCGTTTGTGTAATCTGCATACTAGTGGAGTAGCCATGGTGACCGTAGCCACATGGGTGTTCTGTTGCTGTTTTGCAGGTTCAAACCTTGTACTACTCAGCTGATCACAAGCTGCTTGATGGGAACCTACTAGATGGACAGGCTGAGGTGTTTGGCAGTGATGATGACCACATTCAGTTTGTGCAGGTACACATTGCACAGTCTGAGGTAACCTCAGGTTAAAATTTGACTAGAGAATTTGATAGCATACTTAAATTTTCCTTTAATAAAGGAAAGTGGACCAATTTCATTGGTATAACTGGACAGAAACATTTTTGGGAGAAAACAAGCATATCTTAGAGTTAGTATTTTTGCCACATGAAAAGATATTAACAAATTAGGAAACCCTATTGAAATTTTTTTCTCATAAAGCAGGAATTACAAACAGTAAAGGCCAATAAGATGGAACAATATAGAAATTATTTGGGAAGATTATGAAAAGCAGTTGTTTGTGTCAGGCATGACTGATAGTTTTTTTTAAAAAGGGGCAGGGGGACTTAAATTGTTGATGGCTATGAAAGAAATTTTTGGATGTTACCTTAACTACTGAGCTGTCTTACTGGAAATTAGAAATGGTATAGTTAAGATGGACTATACAATGTAATAAGTCTAAAAGTGGTGGATCATATGTTAAAACCTGATCTAGATGTTTCTTTAACCAAGATGAATTAAAATATAGTAGAGTTCCACTGTGCTGATTGAGTTACTTTGCCTTTTATAAAATCCAATTTCATTTTTCCCCTATGAGTAAACACATAATTATTCAGACACATTATCAACAATTACTAGAGAACAAACTTCTCAAGTATAAATTTTTTAAGTTTATGGACAAATACAGAAAAGTACACAAGTCATAATTACCACATAGTGAACCTACCAGTGTAAACACTACCCAAGTCAAGAAGAGGTTTCTAGCATCCCGGCAGCCTTTCTCTTGCCTCTTCCCAACCGTTTCCGTATAGTGCTCCCAAAGGAAACCATTATCCTACCTTCTGACACATTAAATTAGTTTGGCTATGCTTGAAAAAATTTATATAAATGGTCATATAGTATATATTTTTATTTGGCCTTTAGCTCAAATTATGTTTTTGAGGGACAAGCTATAAAGCAGTCGACTCAGCCCAGACTAAGGAATGCTTTTCTTTAAAAATCAGAGGGTAAGTGGTAGACTTAGTAGTAGCCTATATGGTTACAAATTATCAGGTGTTAGCTCTCTCAGGTGTCCTGTGGCAACAGTGAGTGAATATTTCTAAAAGTTTTGGAATTTGAATTAGTTGAGAACCTATGTTTGTGCATTTTGAATATATTGAGGATATTTTCCCCCTTAACTCTAAACATTTTGAGTTAACATTTTAAAAGTACATTTTCAACATGCAGAGGTTGAGTGCCCAATAAGTGGCAGGCCATAATGTTCGGTATGGCAACACAAAAATGTGTAAGAGACAGTTTCTGCTTGTAGGACCTTCTAAGAGTGGGCAAAACAATACAGGCTTATAAGAGGTAGCTACGAAAGGCCTAAAGGAGAGGACACAGTGAGACAGGAGAGAAGCCAGGGATATTTCACACAAGAGGTAACTTTTGAGCAGTGTTAGGATTTAGAGGAGTCTGCATAGCAGATAAAGGGAGAGGTGTTAGCAAAGAGTATCTGTGAGGATGATACTCTTGGAATTGCAGGTCATAAGACTGGGAAAGTAGGTAAATGCTCCCTGAATGGGGCTTATACTTTATCCTATAGGCAGTGGGAAGCCTTAGGTAAGAATACAGTGATACGAAAGTTTTGCATTCACTTTAGTAATGGTGAAAAACTGGGGAACAGTCTATTAGGTGGCAGTCTTTGGGCTGGAATATCCCAACTGATTTCTGGTTTTATTTTCTAAAATTGTTGCCTTGGACCCTTCCTATTTTTATAACCAGACACAGAAAATCAATAAAAGTTTGAGCCCAGTTTATAGACTATTGCCAGCAGTAGTTCAGGTTTTAAAAAAATGATGAGGGATTAATCTAGGGGCATGAAGGAGAAAGGATAGATTTTTTATTTATGTCTATATATAAATAGACATTTATATTTACAAAGGTTGACTTAGCAGGCCTTAGTGATTGCTTAGCAAGATTAGGGAAAAGAAAGAATTTGAGAATAAGTGGGATTCTGACATGTGTGACTCATTAGAATGTGATGCCATGAATAGAGATCATGAAGAGGATGCGAGGGACACATGTTAGACTTCAGGAATAGAAAAAGGAGGTTGAGAAGAAGCCATTAGAAAAGTCAGAGGACAATAAGAATCTAATCATGTTGTAAAAGCTACCTAAGGTAGGAGAAGAAAGTTTGAAGGAGGACTAAACACTGTCAAGTTCTCTGGGAGGTCATGTAAAATAAGGTTTAGGGATATATTCTTTACATATAAAGGATTTAATCAGCATTTCTATATTAGGCTTGTTATTAGGCATTGCTTTTGGGCCTTTCTCTTTCACAGTCATTTTCTCTTAATTATAGTTTGTACATTAGAACAGTTTTTTTACTTCAGTACAGCCTCAATGTAAGCATCATCCATTTGTGATATTTGGATCCCTTCTTCCCATAGGTTGGGATGAGGTTTTATGTACCTTGTAATTCATAATAATAGATAAGGTTAGATAAGTCTAACCTTATTTTTTATTCTTAATATTCATAGTATAAAAGTGATATGAAAGATGCATTCACAACTTTAGTAACAGTGGAAAACAGCCTGTCATAGTGTAAATCTGTTTTATAGTATGACATAACTTGTCATAGTATAAAAAGGATGGGGTTTATCTTCATAATTCCTAATCTTTATTTTAGTTGTATTGCCTTGGGCAATGCATATCTTCTTGAGTTTCAATATTTTTATCTATAAAATGGGTAGATAATATCACCCTCACTGGACTAAAAGAGATGATGTAAATAAAGTACCTAGTAATACCTAGGTACATAGTAAACATCTAAGTGGAATTTAATCATAACCATTGATAATGATACATTCCCTGCCTTTTCTCAAAATAGCCTACGTATGTTGTAACCACACTCAGGCCTAACTTTTGATATAGCTTTTTCTTAATAGCTTCAAGTAGCTAGCAAAATCTTTTTCTCAATTACTTGTTATATGGCTTTTTGCTTCCACTAGCAACAGAAATTTCCATTAGAAATTTTACCTATCCATGTGTTCTGGCCATCTGGACCAGCACAAGTGGGATGAGCAAACTAGGCCAGGTGCTGAAGTTGCTACCTGTTCATTTGGCAGTTCCTCTCAGAGTAGTCTTTACTCTTCCAATTCCATATGATCATATCCTTTGGAAGTGGCAAAGGCTAAAGTAATTGGAAGGAAGCCATCAAGGAAAACTCATACATGAGAACACATGTGTAAAGTAGTTCTCTTACAATCATTTGGAAATTGGCAGCTTTGTTCATTTCTCCCTCTTTAGTATTCCTGTATATTCTACTTTTGTGAATATTTGGTTGTTTTTAGTAATGTTTCATTTCTGATTACTATTTTCTTGTGTTTTGATGTAATTTTGTCTAGAAAACCACTCTATAATACCTATAAGGTAATCCTAAAGAAATATTCTTTAAGTGTTTCTTGTAATTGCCACTTTTTTCCTGTCAAGTACTTTCAGAGAAACTGGATGAATCTATATCTGCTTACGTTTTGCTGGCATTGTATGAAGGATACCTGTACATATGATTTAGTTAGGTTTGACAATTTCATGAAAATAGTGGGTTAAATGTATTCTCTGTTAATTCACACTATTTTAAATTTATAGCATTCTTTTAAAAGATTCTATACTTAATATAAAAATAATTATAGATTGGTTTTTTCTTCTGCTGAGGTCTTGATTTGCAACATGTTTTTCAAATTGTTAAAACTGAGCTTTTTCTTACCTAGGCTAATTGTGTAGGCGTAGTTGTCTCATCATTGAGTGGAGATGGAAGTATGCCAGTAATTTGTGTCATTTGGAAAGTGTTGGCTTGAGTTAAAGTTAGTGTCCTATAAATGTCATATATAGGTGAAGGATACTCAGTGTTGTGGAATAGCTCAGGAACAAAGGTACATCAGATGTGGTCTTTGGCTAGGTTTCTGTAGCTACCTTTTGATTTTGCAGAAAAAGCCACCACGTGAGAATGGCCATAAGCAGATAAGTAGCAGTTCAACTGGATGTCTCTCTTCTCCAAATGCTACAGTACAAAGCCCTAAGCATGAGTGGAAAATCGTTGCTTCAGAAAAGACTTCAAGTAAGTATATGACACTTGCCAGATTGTTTTCAGCTTACCTATTTTTAAGAAGGAGTGTTGCCAATTTAATACCTCTTAAATTGACTACTCGAGGAAAAAACTCAGAAGCAATTAAATTTGGAAAACGAGAGCAGATTGTTCCAGTCTGGGATGTGGAGACTGGAGTCCAATTCAGGATCATATACACAAACCAAAAGTAATAATTACATCTTAAACATGGAACTCTTGTGCTTACAGATAACACTTACTTGTGCCTGGCTGTGCTGGATGGTATATTCTGTGTCATTTTTCTTCATGGGAGAAACAGCCCACAGAGCTCACCAACAAGTACTCCAAAACTAAGTAAGAGTTTAAGCTTTGAGATGCAACAAGATGAGCTAATCGAAAAGCCCATGTCTCCTATGCAGTACGCACGATCTGGTCTGGGAACAGCAGAGATGAATGGCAAACTCATAGCTGCAGGTAAGAACAGAAGCATTCAACTGGCTAAGCATGTAGATGGGCATTTTTGTGACATGCAAACTTTCAAAGAGAGGGTTTAATATGCCATCTTTCACGGCAATCCAATAAGATAGGGAAATAACAATACTATTGAATATGGCTAACCTTCAGTTCAATGTCTGTATCTAATTTTTAAAAAAATTATGTCATGGCTAAATTTTTCTAATATTCAAGCCAAGACTAAGCAGTTTATTTGTACTGATAATGCGATTTTTCAGCTATTACAAGCACTTAGTTAAAAGATCAACTAAGGCATCCTTAAAAAGTTTTAATACTTTTTCTCATTGTGCAGATTTCTTAAACTTACAGGACTGGAAACCGTGGTCCAGTTTAATATTTTAAACATAAATCTTTATGGTTTTATTTTTTACCAGGTGGCTATAACAGAGAGGAATGTCTTCGAACAGTCGAATGCTATAATCCACATACAGATCACTGGTCCTTTCTTGCTCCCATGAGAACACCAAGAGCCCGATTTCAAATGGCTGTACTCATGGTAAGCGCATTATGTTGCAGGAGCAACCCCTATTTAGCTTTTTCCTCGTAACTTCAGGATGTTAGAAATTCTCATCTCTCACTTTTGGCATAGGGCCAGCTCTATGTGGTAGGTGGATCAAATGGCCACTCAGATGACCTGAGTTGTGGAGAGATGTATGATTCAAACATAGATGACTGGATTCCTGTTCCAGAATTGAGAACTAACCGTTGTAATGCAGGTAATAATAGTTTTCTCCTGAGATATCCAGTATTTAAATATGATAATTAAATTATCAATATGTAACTTTATTTTATACTTACATAGGAGTGTGTGCTCTGAATGGAAAGTTATACATCGTTGGTGGCTCTGATCCATATGGTCAAAAAGGACTGAAAAATTGTGATGTATTTGATCCTGTAACAAAGTTGTGGACAAGCTGTGCCCCTCTTAACATTCGTAAGTTGATTTTTTTTCCTTTTTTTTTTTAAAGACCTTCAAATCAACAGTATGTGTAGTATACACTTAGAGTCTGGGAGATGTAGCAATAATCTTGACTTGACTTTTCTTGTAGGGAGACACCAGTCTGCAGTCTGTGAGCTTGGTGGTTATTTGTACATAATCGGAGGTGCAGAATCTTGGAATTGTCTGAACACAGTAGAACGATACAATCCTGAAAATAATACCTGGACTTTAATTGCACCCATGAATGTGGCTAGGCGAGGAGCTGGAGTGGCTGTTCTTAATGGTGAGTGTTGGGATTTGGAGAGGTGAAGAGTAGATAGTGGCAAGACTTTGTTCTAAAACTCTGAGAGAAAAGGCCAATGACTATAGTTGTACAGTTAAGAATTCAGAAGCAGTCATCTCTTTTGATGCAATGGAGATTAGGGTGATTTGTCCTTTAGAAATATATTTTCTAATCAAAGACTTATAATACTTGATATATAACTTAATTCACCAGTCTTTTGATGGGTGCACTGAGTGAATTTCCAAGTCATTTTCTTCTATAAAACATATCCTTAATGCATCATCTTGAATTTTGAGTTTCCCCTTCTTTACAGCCAGAATTTAAAGAATCTGATCTGCAAAACAAAGGCAAATCCCTAGTCTTTTCCAACTGTCTACTCCATACCTAATTGGAAATACAACCTTTAGACTATTTTAACAAGTTTCCAAAGTATTAAACTTTTTAAATGTAGACATAGCTTTCTTTCCACCTCCATTTTATTGACTTTTAATGTCTAATTATATAATCATAATTTAAAAGTTAGCATTGTTTTTGGTACCAGGCTGAACCTTAGCAGGCTTATGGCTCAACTGGTGAAGGCTTAAGTGTAGACACAGCCTGTTGGCCTAGAGCATTGTCAGCGTGCTTTACAGATACATAGAATGCAAGCTGGTTAAGTGATGGTCAAATGAAAAAATAATGAATTTGAGAATCAGTAATAAAATTTTTTCTAAGCTACGGAGTATTTATTGCTAACATTTTATCTATTTGAAAATAATCATAACTCTGTTTCCAGAAGAAATTTCTGTACCACAATCATTTTATTTTTTTAATTGAGACATGGTCTCACTGTGTTGCCCAGGCTGGTCTCGAACCCCTGGGCTCATGCAGTCCTCCCACCTCAGGCTCCCATAGTATTGGGATTATAGGCATGAGCCACCGCATCTGGCCCCAAAATCATTTTATACAGTTGGAAAGCCCTAAGATATTTTTCTGCTTTCCTATAATCTCTTCTGAGTCTTAATTCTGTACATTGGGCTGATATAAAGTCCAGTGCACAGAACTATTCTGGTTTGCTACTTAGTAGCTGCATCTGTAGGATAATTGTCCAGCTTCTTCCTGCTTTTCTTCTTCTCTGAAATAATAATAGTAACTACCACAGAGTTGGTGAAAATTGTACTTATTTAGATGCTGCTACTGCTTCCTCTCCCTCCCCCTTTTAAGTTGCCTAAGTTCCACGTGGGAATGGTTTTTTTATTGATTTGATTCCCAGCTCTTAGAGAGTATTTGTCATATTAGGCATTTAATAAATTCTTTTTGACAAAATGAACAGGCATTTCTATTTTTAAAACCACTGATTTTTAAGCAAAAGACAGATTTAGGGGAGTTTTACCTTATTACACTTTAATCTCTGGATTTACCCCATCTCATTTCTCTTTTAGGAAAACTGTTTGTATGTGGTGGCTTTGATGGTTCTCATGCCATCAGTTGTGTGGAAATGTATGATCCAACTAGAAATGAATGGAAGATGATGGGAAATATGACTTCACCAAGGAGCAATGCTGGGATTGCAACTGTAGGGAACACCATTTATGCAGTGGGAGGATTCGATGGCAATGAATTTCTGAATACGGTGGAAGTCTATAACCTTGAGTCAAATGAATGGAGCCCCTATACAAAGATTTTCCAGTTTTAACAAATTTAAGACCCTCTCAAACTAACAGGCTTAGTGATGTAATTATGGTTAGTAGAGGTACACTTGTGAATAAAGAGGGTGGGTGGGTATAGATGTTGCTAACAGCAACACAAAGCTTTTGCATATTGCATACTATTAAACATGCTGTACATACTTTTTGGGTTTATTTGGAAAGGAATGCAAAGATGAAGGTCTGTTTTGTGTACTTTTAAGACTTTGGTTATTTTACTTTTTGGAAAAGAATAAACCAAGAATTGATTGGGCACATCATTTCAAGAAGTCCCCTCTCCTCCACATTTGTTTTGCCAATTTGCACATTAAATGACTCTTCCCTCAAATGTGTACTATGGGGTAAAAGGGGTAGGGTTTAAAGATGTAGACAGTTGGGTTTTTTAAGGGCCCTTTTTCAATAACTGGAACACTCTATAACAAAGGATACTTATTTAAATAGATGACATTGACTATTTTTGTTTTTATTAAAAGGAAGCTTACATGCCTACCAATATTTAATCTTTTATGATTGCCTTTTTATAACTTTTTATATTCTCAGCAGAGTGCTTTACCAATTGAAGTAAAATGTGGCAGGCTGGAGTTATTGAAGCAGAGTGGCAGTCTTCAGTTTGCAGAGTAGGGGTCTGTCTTTTAAACTCTGAGTGCAAACTTCAGAGTTCTTGCCTTGGCTGCAGTTTTTTTCCTTCAAGAATGCAGTACTAACATTTATTTGAGTGGAGTTACTGAACAGTAACATAGCTGTGATTTTTGGTATTTGAAACACTGGTTTTAAATATTTTGACTTGTTGAGGGTATGTTTTATATAGCAAGACATTATATAGCAGTAAAAAATGGTGTTTTATCTTCTATATAATTCCTGTTTTTATTATTAACAAAACAGTCCTAAATAGCAGCCCTCAATTGTGAAAAAATTTACTTTAAACTACATTAGGTTGTGAATGCAGGTTTTATCAGAACTATGTTTTTGTTCAGTTTATCTGTTCATATGGATAAATATTGGTTGGGATGACTTGGTGTCTAATGTGTAGTGCTACACACCTAACTTATGGGGCCAAAATAGCATGTCCTAATGCTTGCTGCTGATTTAAACACATTAAAGGTACTTTGCAGGAAATCCTTGCACCATGGGATTAATATCCAATTGCTGCTTGTACACTCATTCATTACTAAAAGTTTTGAGAAATTTTTTTTTCCAGTAATGAGCTTAAGAAATTTGTGGAAAATAACTCACCTGGCATCTTACATCTGAAATAAGGAATGATATAAGGTTTTTTTTTCTCACAGAAGATGAAGCACACAGGAACCTAATGGGCCAACTGGGATGAGGTGACTATTCTGAGATGACTATTCAGTGGCTAACTTGGGTTAGGAAGAAAATAATTAGGTATTTTCTCCAAATGTTCACTGGTACTCTGCCACTTTATTTCTCTCATCTGTTACACAAAGAACCACCAGGAAAGCAAATCAGTTTGGTTGGTAACTCTGTAATTCCTAACTATCACTGGTTTGGTTCTGGACTAAAACTACATTGACAGATTGAATTTGCCTAATATGATGACTGTTTTTAATATGGATCTGTATGTGTTCTATTCAGCACAAGGAAATAAAATTTTAGTTGAGGATTCAGCACTAAAATCCTTGAGATCACTTCTCATTTCATAAGTGACATGCTTAATGCAAATAATATATGGGAATACTTTGGGTCAAAGTTTTCCTGCATTACCTTGGATGCCAAAGAGGTAGTTTGGTGGCCAAAAAGTATCTTTTTTTAAGAAGCTGTTGTAGCTAGTCTGCATGAACATGAGAAGTTTCCATAAAGGAAAAAAAGCAGTGCTCAGTGGCCATTTGTTACTGTTAATCTGTATCTAAAAGGTACATACTTTCTTCAGAGAGGGAGAAAATGGCATAGCCTCAGCACAATTTAAAAAAAAAAAAAAGCTTTTTAACCAGTAGGAATTTTTGAATAGTTTCAAAATAATATTGATAATACCACACTTCTGGTCAACTTAATAAAACACTCTAAATTTCCTAAAAAGGTAGAAAAGCTATAAAATATCTAAACCAAATATTATTGGTTATACTCGGGTGGATCTTTTATTATGAACTTTAAATGTAGGGTTCTGATTTTTGGCTTCTAGTGTGTCATGTACTTTACCACTGCTCAACATGTTTTCAAATTCCCAATATAATAATCATATTTTAGGGAAAATCCAGGATTTGAGTATGTGATATATCATTAGAATCCTTGCTTAATTAACAAATTAGGTGTGTGCCCTATTACCTCTCCTGACCTCAGAATTCTTAAAATTGAAGTAGGCAAAGGAGGAGCCCCAGTAGGACATTTCTGTAACTGCATGCAGAGTTGCCTTCAGAAAAGTGAATATGATTCATGGAAAATTCAGTTGCTGTCGTAATTTACACGCAGCTGCTTTTTGTTCCAAAAAAAAAAGGTCTGAAGAGTCAGCAAGTGAGACATAAGATACAAGGTTAATTAACTAGGTGTAAAGGAGAAAGAAAAACACTCATATATGAATCCTTAAATCCTTGGTAAGACTGAGCTACAAGTTTCATCCTATAAACAGGTTTTATTAAGTTAAATCAGTGTCTCTAGGTTAAAAAGGAGTAATTGCTATGAATTGCAGATATCCTTCATAATAAAACTGCCAGTTTCTCAAGAATATTAATGACACTTTGAACAAGTAGAGTTTATAAACAGGAACATACAAACTCATGTGAATGTCATGGGTTCTTCAACCTATGAGCATCAATAATCTTGGCCAATAAAATAATGAACTTTATTAACAGCTCCACACCTTACTGGGTGGAGAGAACAAAGGTGAGAAGCAAAACTCAATCATTATGCTGGATCTGTGTGGAATGCCTTTAACAGAGGCATATATCTGAATAGAGGCCACACACTTGCTCAGGATGACCAAAGGAAGTAACATAATTTTAGCCAGAAAAAAAAGGCACACAGAAAGACCTAACTTGGAGTAATGAAACTACTGAGATGAAATGTCCAGCAAGGTAATAAGATGAGATCTGTTAAAACGATTTTTAAATGGGTAAAATATTTGAAGACACTTTGCAAAAGAAGTTGATGCCATAAGAACACAGGAAAATACTATCATAAATCATTAAGAAAATGTAAATTAAAACCAAAATGGCATACACCTATTGAAACTGAATATACCAAATTCTGCTTACGATGCAGAGCAACTTGAACTCTCATACATTGCTGGAGGAACTGCAAAGGTGCACAGGCAGTTTAAAAAACAATCCATCCATTTTCTAATAATCTGTGACAAAGCAATCCCATTCGTAGGTATTTACCCAAGTGAAGGAACATATTCACACAAACCTGTATGTGAATATAGCAACTTTATTCATAATCACCAAAAACTGAATTCAGTGAAGTAGCCTTCCACCTGGTGAATGAATAAATTTGTACATCCATGGCAATGCAATACTTCTTGGGAATAAAATAATGAACTACTGATAATATGGATAAGTCTCAAGCATCATGCTAAATAAAAAGCCAGACTCAAAAGCCTCCATTAGCTGGGCATAGTGGCATGCACTTGTAGTCCCAGCTACTCAGGAGGCTGAGGTGAGAGGATTGCCTGAGCCCAGGAGTTCAAGGCTGTAGTATGCTATAATGTCTGAACAGCCACTGCACTTGGGCAACATAGCAAGACCCTGTCTCTTAAAAAAACAGTCTCCATTTATATAGCATTCAGGAATAGGAAAAACTACAGGGAAGGCAAACACATCAATGGCCTCCTGAGCTGGGAATGGGAGTTAATTACAAAGGGACATGAGGGAATTTTTAGGGGTGGTGTGACTTCAATATCTTGACTGCTGATGATTGATTGATTACATGTTTGACAGAACTCACAGAACTCTACACTTACGAAGGAAAAAAAGTTTTGTTTTTCTAGCTTAACCAAAGTGGTACCAAACCTTTAAAATATCAAGCTTAGAAGAAGGGCTAGAACATGTCCATATTTTACCTCATTAGAAATAAAGAATAGGATGTTGAAAATGGTTTGTGCTTTAAGAAGACTGAACCAAGCTAGTAGCTCGGATTTGGGTGTCCACCACCTCACCTTCCAGGCTTATAACTGGTAATTCTGCTCAAGAATCTGTCCTCAGTGTTTTCAACATCGAGAATTAATTTGAGACAAACTACATCTAGTTCATAAACAAAGCTAGAATTAAAAAGGATTCCTGTCACAGGCCAAAACTAGTCTACAAACCCTCAGGGTGGCCAATTCTTGCTTTTAACAACAGCCAAAGATATTAAAGAATTCCATGAATACAGAGATGGATTTTTAAAAATACAAGTATATATAATACTAAAACCCTCAGGAAAGCCAACATCTTGAGGTACTCTGGCTCCAGAAGAATCCATTTCTGTGGGCCATATTCCAAGATCTAAGAGGTGTATCTGTTTGACTTTACTGAGTGGCTTTTCACCTGACAGACCAGACAAACTTAAAAGCTTTCAAGTCAAACTTTGGTAGGCAAAGGTAAAGTATGTCTTTTGTTTTAGAGTAGGTGAGCCTGCAGGTCAATTTGTCAAAAATATTAACTAACCACAACTATGAGACACTACACACAGTGTAGTTCCTGCCTTCATGGGGCTCAGTTCTGTTCACTGGAGTGGGTTTTATATATACCCAATAAATAGAAGTGTGACTGGCCTGTCCAATCTCGAAGTCAGAAAAGGGCCATGGGTAGCATCACATCCTTAGAGACTGGATGCAGTCACCAGACTTTGAGGAAAGAGGGAAATTCATCCCAACCTGTCATGCTAGCTAAGAGAGCAAAAAGTCAAGAATATGAACAATGTGACCTAGGCTCTGAAAGCTGACCAAGACACCATCTAAATAAACCTGGACTGACAATGAAAGGACTTTCGTTCTCCCTTAAAATAATGTTCAAAATAGCAAGGAAATAGAGCTTCAGATGTGTCTTGTGTCACCTGGTCTTTCATGTGACAGTCAAAGATCCACAATGTGAAAGTGGGATTAACCCATCTGTGAAGTTCTAGTCTGTGCAGTCACAATTGACCACTGCAGGTTTTAACAAGAGGACCCTGTGGGGACACAACAGACTTCAATTCTTTAGCCAGCTTTTCCTTGGCTCAGAATATGGAGAGAGCTGGAGGCCCTCCAAACCAGAGGATGTTCGCTGGTCTTCCCAGGAGAGAAATGAACTATCTTTTGTAAAAGTAAGTTTCAAAGGCCAAGTGTAGTGGCTCATGCCTGTAATCCCAGCACTTTGGGAGGCCAAGGCAGGTGGATAACTTGAGGTCAGGAGTTCAAAACCAGCTTGGCAAACATGGTGAGATCCTGTGTCTACTAAAAATACAAAAAAAAAATTAGCCAGGCATACTGGTACATGCCTGTAATCCCAGCTACTTGGGAAGCTGAGGTATGAGAACTGCTTGAATCCAAGAGGCGGAGGTTGCAGTGAGCCGAGATCGAGCCACTACGCTCCAGCCTGGGTGACAGAGTGAGACTCTGCCTCAAAAAAAAAAAAAAAAAAAGGAAGTTGCAAAACAGTAAAGGAACTCTCAACCCCTGCATTACATGATTAGGACAACAAATAGAAAAGTAATAAAGTTTACGATCATAAAAAAAAAAAAAAAGCAACAAAGAAGGGAGAGGGAAAAACAAACAAAAAAAAGCAAGACCTGACATTTCAAATGATTTCAAATGGAAGAAATAAAAGCTAAAACAAAAATTTTAAAACAATGTTTTTGAATAAAAAAGACTAGAAAGTTAAAAAAGGACATCTTCACATCTCAATAATATTGAAAAAGTTTTTTATATAAGACTGAAGTAGGCATAAGGGTAAATATGTGATAAGACTGAAAAGAAATTTTAAGGAAAGGATTAACCTATATTAAAGCGATAAAAAAAAAAAAAAGAGGAGTTACCAGAACAAGGAAAAACAAAAACCCAACAATAACAACTAGAAGTTGAAGGATAAGGGTCTGAAAAAACTTCTTTTCATGGGGGTCAGCAGGCAACAGATGAATGTATATTTATTTGGCTTCTCAGGAAAGAAAAGGAAAGAGGCAGAGAGCAGAGATGCCCTCTTAAAGCTTCCCCATTTGCCCAGAAGCTCATAATCTCTGACAGCACTTTGAGCCCCATCTGTGCGGCTGGTGGTGTGGTTCCCTAATCTGGCAAACCCAAAGCTTAACAGGTTCTACACCAACTAGTGAATATCCTGAACAAGTTCTCTTTTATTGCAGACAGTCACTTTTATAATCATACCTTATGTACATATCAGAAACAATTTGGAAGTAAAAAGCCAAATCTTACCAAAAATAAGTTATTTATTGCTTTAAAAAATAAACATTTATAATAGAATACCAAATTCTATTTAATCTAATGTGTTAACAAAAGCATAATATATTCCAGTAAACAAGGACTTCCAACTTATCCTATAACTAAAAAGTCAACTAAACAGTTGGTTTTAGCTAGAGACAAACATCAGTCACTGCCACCAAATTCCATTATATAAATTTATTTTGCTTCACATTTAAGGAGAAACCCAGCAGAGGGGTCGCCCTGCTCTTCCCCACTAGAAATGTACTGAAAAGTGACAAGCCCACAGAAGGAAAGGCTGTATAAGGAAGTAGGAGCTTCAGTCAAATTTCTACTTTCATTACCCTGAGGGAGGTGAAGGAGGGTGTTATTTTCATCAGGTCAACATGGATGACAGTTTGATCATAAAAAACAGCCCACATTAAGATTTCATTTGTGAAATATGGTGAGCATGATCATGCCCTAATGATTTCTTAGGGTTTGGCAGTGTCTCTGGTCACATGCCCATACTTAGGGTTGAAAGAAATGCTAATACTGTACCCTGGGTCTTCCTCAGATGCCACAGTGGCTCCTGCCCTAGGATGACTAAAAATACGGCTCTCCTTTCCTTAGAGATACTGGCTCACTATCAAGAATAGAGGTAGGGAGGCATTGTGAACTCCAGAAGAGTTGAGTCTATGGAGTTTATTCCACAGTGGATACATTAGGCTTTTTAGAGCTACAATGAGACTGTCAGTAATAGGCGATCACCTTTTTATACCTATGAAACATTTCTTAAAATTCTCTTGGGTTTGGCCCAAAAGAGTGACCAGATTGAAAACTACTCTGTTATTCTTAAGGACAAATGCAATTCCTTTAAAGTTACAAATCAGTACTTATATCCTATAGTTGAGCATGTCTTCACACCATCCCCTGTTTTTGGCCTCCATATAAACAGATGCATTGCACTGCTGCATGGTATATTCCATCTCAACCAGCTGGCGGCATCCAATGGTTAACTTTTCCCTAGGAGAAAAAGAAATATTAAATCATTGCAAGACAGCTAGTCAGAGAAATAAAAATTCTTTTTCATTTTATTTTACATTTTAATTGACAAATAAAAAATATATATATATTATGTATAACATGATATTCTGAACTAGGTATATATTGTAGAATGGCTCAATCAAGCTAAATAACATATGCATTATTCCACACACTTATTTTTGTGGCGAGGACATGTAAAATCTACATTTTTAAAATTACTATTTAAAAAAAAACTTTTTTTAGAGATAGAGTCTCAGCATCTTGCCCAGGCTGGCCTCGAACTCTTGGGCTCAAGTGATCCTCCTACCATGGCCTCCCAAAGTGCTAGGATTACATGCATGAGCCACCACGCCCAGCCTTAGTTATTATTTTTAAAAGACAGGGTCTCACTCCTGTTGTCCAGGCTGGAGTACAGTGGTGCAATCACAGCTCACCATAGCCTCAACCTCCTGGGCTCAAGTGATCCTCTAACCTTAGCCTCCCAAGTAGCTGGGATCACTGGTACACACCACCACATCTAATTTTGTTTTGTTTTGTTTTGCTTTTTTTTTTGGTAGAGACAGGGTCTCACTATGTTGCCCTGTCTGGTCTCATTCCTGGGCTCAAGCAATTCTCCCATGTTAGCCTCCAAAAGTGTTGGGATTGCAGGCATGAGCCAGTGCATCTAGCCAAACTCTACTTTCTTAGTGATTTTCAAAATACAATACATTGTCATTAACTAAAGTCACCATGTTGTACAATAGATCTCTGAACTTATTTCTCCTATCTGAAATTTTGTGTCCTTTCACCACCATCTCCTCAAAGCCCCCCATCCTCCTAGCCCCTGGTAACCACCATTTTATTTTCTACTCATACTTTTTTAGATTCCACATATCAGTGAGAACATGTGGGTATCTGTCTTTCTGTGCCTGGTTTATTAATGTCTTTTAGGTTCATCCATGTTGTTCCAGATGACAGGATTTTCTTCTTTTTTTAAGAGTGAATAGTATTCCACTGTGTATATATCCCACATTCTCTTTATCCATTCGTTCACTGATAGACATTTAGGTTGATTCTGTATCTTGGCTATTGTAAATGGTGCTGCAATGAACATTGGAGTGCAGATATCTTTTTGACATACTGATTTCATTTCCTTTGGATATATTAAAAATTCTATTCCAACTGTGTGGCTTACCCCTTGGATTAAAACATCTTAACATAAGCCCATTTCCTACTAAGAGAGGTCCTTCAGAGAGTAAGGTAGAACTAGATTGTTCAACCAAGCCCATTATATAAAAGGCTATGTTAGGCATCCAGCTTTGCCTGTTGGTGGCAGGTCCACCACGGAAGAAGCCCTAATTCCAGAATTCTAGGAATCACACCAAGGTTGTCTTCATGTTGGCTATGTAAGAATTTGTGCAACTAAGTGCTTTTATCTTCCTATGTTATTTGTTTGTGCTAATCATAATTGATGGTATTTTACCTCAAATATCAAAGAATGTATTTCAAATCCCAGTATTAGTCCATTATATTTTTATTTTTCTCTTATTTGGCTTGAGAGTAAAGAAGAGGCAGACTGGAGGATATTAAGAGGATGTACCTCCTGAAAGGAACAGATACTTGAGAGGGGTAAGGAAGTTGACAGAGTTTCAATTCTTAGAAATATTGCTGAGACAAGTTACCTAGCAGTTACCAAAGGAATGTTAGTAACCTTAAACCAAGGGTGGGGAAGCAGGGAGTGCTTAATATGTGCCATATCTACTTCACAATTTTACTTCAGGCAAAGCCAGCCAGGCTCTCAAAAGCTAACATGAGACTACAAATTGTGGAATCCCAAATTGTAGGACACCAATCCATTATATCTAGCATCTAGAATTCAAAGTGTCAAAGAATTCAATCCCGTAAATAACTCTTTTAATCTACTGGGAGATGGTCTATGTAAGTTCACAAAGAGCACCCAACATCTAGTATAGCATCTGGCATGTTAAGTATTCAAAACTGGCAGTCATTTTTATTTTAACAGTTACACTGTCATTACTTCCTTGGCTTCTGAGATAGCTCTGCCATATTCATGGTGTTGGAGAGAACCACTAGCTACCTCTCCCACTGCCCCTCCCACATGACAGATCTCTTGATGGAGAGTACAAAGGAAGAAGAACTGAGGGGACAATCAGAACTCGGGACAGGACAAGGAGTAGTGACAACACCGAAGTAAATAATAATAAAGTAAATGTACCATATTTGGAATAATGTCACTTCTTGACAATGTGTGGTTTCTCTGAGACTGATTAAAGCCTGACTTTTGGGTGGCTCACATCTGTAATCCTAGCAACTCAGAAGGCTGAGGCAGCAGGATCATGAAGGCCAGGAGTTTGAGAGCAGCCTAAGCAATACAGTGTGACCTGCTCCCTAAAAATAATAATAAAAAAAATTTAAATCTGACTTTTGGCTTTGTGTAACCCTAATCTCATTTTCTACATTTAAAGTTTAAAAATAGGGCTATGGTGCTGCCAATTCTTCACAACTACTCAAAAAAATGATTTTGAAACACTCTTAAGGGATTCAAAATAGCAGAGATATAAATGTTTTCTTACAAACTTAAAAACGAAACAAACTAAAAGGGTAGGCCCCTATTCCTGTCCTTATTTATTCCACATGTGAAAAAAATATCCTTCAGTAACTAGACTTTTGAATCTATTTCTGTGTCTTATGTTTTTCTTCCTCTCACCCCTTGTAATTAAGAAATGAGCTCTATCTTCTCTTTTCCTCCTAGTGGCATTTGTTTCTTAATTCACGTGAGTTAGTATTCTGGACAATGGATTATCACCTACAGATTTTGCTTCCTGTAGCAAGTTCCGTCATCACTGGCTGAGAAAAGTATTGGCTGTTTTTCATAGTGTCTGCTTGGCCTATACTTTTTATTAGATCATGGTGATAGGCATTCTTAAGTTCCTTTACCTGGTGGTTAATCTGTAGAATGACAGAATATTGGCTGCAGGGGCACCTTAACACCTCTGCTTGTCTTCTGCAGCATCTCCAGTGAGTCATCTGACCTCAGCTTTTCCCTCCTGGTGATGGGACACTCACTATTGTAAGACGCAGTTCACTGCTAGATAGTTCTTCCTTTATATTGGGCCTATAAAAACCATCTATCTGACCTGAGTCTGCCTAAAATAAAACAAAAACTCTCTTTCCCTTCTTCCTCTGATAGTACAAATATTTTATGTCCCTATTTCTTTTTTTCCAAGAGGAATTATTCCAATTCCTGATCCTTTCGAGAACAGAGCTCAAAACTGGAGGTTGCTTCTGGTTCTGCGATTCATGAGATTCTGCAAAATAACAGCCACTATTTCTCTAGATTTTCCTATTAATGGTATCAAATTTGCTTTGACCAAATCTCGGGTCAAAATAACTAGAAATTTTATCATACAATTTAAAAATAATTCCACACAGTTTTGTGATTCCTTTCGCATAACCAATTTGGTCAAAGTGGCATGGTACTAGTGAATTTACATGATCTAATTCCAGTGCTGGATGCAATTTTTCCAAAATCCAAGAATGAGGTCTATAATGGATATGTGTTTTACAACCCTCTGAATTTTTCTATTTTTCTGAATTTTCTATTGCAAATTTCTACATTTGCAATGTGTACGTCAAATAAAAGAAAAATGAAATACAATGTAATATATAAAATACAAATATAAAAGCAGTATATAATAGCTAACATCAACGGTAAAAGAATGAATGCTTTCCTCCTCAGATCAAGAACACGATAAGGAAGGCTTCTTTCACTATTCAACTTTGTACCATTTTGTACAACTTTGTACAACTTTGTACTATTCAACATTGTACTAGAAGTTCTAGCCAGAGCAATTAGGCATGAATAAGAAATAAAAGAGATCCAAACTGGAAACAAAGAAACAGAATAATTTCTATTTGTAGATCCTAAAGAAGTCACAAAATAACTGCTAGATCTAATAAACTAATTCAGCAAAGTTGCAATGTAAAAGATCAACACACAAAATCAATTGTATTTCTATACATTAGCAATGAACAAGCAGAAAAGGAAATAATTCCACTTATGATAGCATCAAAAATAATAAAATACTCGGGAATCAATTTAATCAAAGAGGTATAAGACCTGTACACTGCCCATATGCGGTGGCTCATGCCTGTAATCCCAGCACTTTGGGAGGCTGAGGCGGGCAGATCACAAGGTCAGGAGTTCGAGACCAGCCTGGCCAACATGGTGAAACCCCGTCTCTACTAAAAACATACAAAAATTAGCCGGGCCTGGTGGCGTGCACCTGTAATCCCAGCTACTCAGGAGGCTAAGGCAGGAAAATTGCTTGAACCCAAGAGGCAGAGGTTGCAGTGAGCCGAGATCGCGCCACTGCAATCCAGTCTGGGCGACAGAGTGAGACTCTGTCTCAAAAACAAAAACAAAAACCACTGCTGAAGGAAATTAAAGAATATCTAAATAAGAGAAAAAGCATCCTATGTTAATGGACTGTAATATTTAGTAAGATGGTAATACTCCCCAAACTGATCTACATTGTCAATGCAATTTCTATCAAAATCCCAACAACCTTTTTTGTAGAAACAGAAAAGCTGATCCTAAAATTCAGATAGAATTGCAAGGCATCCCAAATAACAAAACCTTGAAAAAGGAAAATGTTAGAGGACTTACACTTGTCAATTTCAAAACTCACTACAAAGCAACTATTACCAAAATAGTTTGGTATGAGCAGACAGACAGACATCCAATGAATCAGAACTAAAAGTTCTGAAGTAAACCCTCACATATATGGTCAACTGATTTTCATCAAGGATGCTAAGACCATTCAATGGAGAAAGAATGGTCTCTTCAACAATAATACTATTAGGAAAACCTGATATCCACATACATGTATATGGATGGATGAATGCATGAATGAAGCTGGACCCCTTACCTTACATCATATACAAAAATTAACTCAAAATGGATCAATGGCCTAACTGTAAGAGCTAAAACTATAAAAATGTTAGAAGAAAACACTGGGATAAATCTTCATAACCTTAGGTTTGGCAATGGATTCTTAGGTAGTCTTAAAAGCATGGGCAATGCAAGAAAAAAATACATAAATAATCAAAATTAAAAACTTTTGTGCACCAAAGGATACTACCAAAAAGTGAAGACAACTTACAGAGTGGGAGAAAATATGTGCAAATTATGTATCTGATAAGGGTCTAATATCCAGAATATATAACATGTTGAACCGCCAGGTGTTGATGTGGTTAATAAGGACAAGGCAAATTAAAAGTAACCATCAAGTTTTTATTCACTTCTTGCCACAGTATAAGCAAGGGGCAAAATGAGAGGTGCTAGTTCTCCAGTGTTTCATTACTTCCCTAGGAAAGGGTGAGATAAATATGCACTGCTGGGTTGTCGGGGTGGGGCACACTGTCTCACTGCTGAGAAGCCCTGAAGAAGGCTGCTGCCTCTCTGCATCTTCATGAACCCAGGGGCCCACGGGGAGGAAGAGGAGGAAGGGCTAGAAGCAGAAAAGTACTGAGTCAGATAAGACAGAAATACCTTAGTCAAAGCCTCCAAAAGGAAGCCTCAGTGGAGGTACCTGGGAAGTGCCTCAGCCAACTCCCCCATCTCCTCATAAGAAGGCCTCCAAACAGAGTCACCTGAGCTAGGAATACAGCTGTGTGTGAGTGTGGCTGCAGGGAGTCTCAGTCACTGCCAGTAAGTACCTCCAGAAAACAGCATACACTGGCATGGAAAAAAAAAAAAAAGACACTTATCTGAGGAATGCAAGCCTGTTTAAATTATCAGGTCCAGAGAGGCACTGGAATGAAACAGCAGTCACATCACTCCCCCTTGAGCTAAATAATTATCTCTTGAAGACACTTGCTATGTGGGCTCTAGGCTAACTGACAAGAAGAAGCCACAACTGCCATATGCTGGACACCCTAACTCATACCCTCTAATTCAAAAATGTATAGCCAATCACTGAACAATGATATATCTGTCAACTATTGAGAATTCCTGTCAAATAACTTTGTATTAGCCCACTCCTTGTTCTCTCTCCCTTTAAAAATTTGCTTGTAACAAGGGCTGAGGGTACACTCCCCAAGGCAACTTTAACACACACCAGGGGCAGCTGTCTTCACTCTGGCTCAAGTAAACTCTTTAAATTATATTTTGTGCCTCAACTCTTCCTTTTAGGTCAACATTTCCTTAGGTATGGGGAAAGCAGCTTCCGCCATTGAGTTTGTCAGATAAAGCCTTGTAATTGTCTATAGTGGGCTCAAACATCACGTAAGATTTTGGCCTGAGGCCAAATTCCTCATAAAGAATTCTAATAACAGAAAGAAAGCCAACCCACTAAAAATGAGCAAAGGGCTTGAATAGACATTTCTCCAGAAGATATACAAATGGCCAAATAGCACATGAAAAGAAGTTCAACCTCTTCCCTAATTAATATTAGAGAAATACAAATTGAAATCACAATGAGATACAATTTCATACTCATCAGGATGGCAATAACTAACCAAAACCAAAAAAGGGAAAATAACAAGTGTTGTCCAAGATGAAGAGAAGTTGGAACTGTTGTATATTGTTAGTGGAAATGTAAAATAGTGTAGCTTCTGAGAATTAGAATCTCACCCAGGAATTCTACTCCTAGGTATATGACCCCCAAAATGGAAAATAATTATAAGAATTCAAATATTTATACACAAAGAGCAATACTACTTATAACAGTCAAAAAGTGGAAAGAACCCAAATGTCCATCAAGAGATGAATGAATAAACAAAATGTGGTGTGTATATATGTGTGTGTGTGATGGAATCTTATTCAGCCACGAAAAGGAATGAAGTATTGATATATGCTAAAATGTGGATAAACCTCAAAAACATTATGCTAAGTGAAAAAAGAGAGATACAAAGGTCACATGTATACATCGGAGATGGGGTGCATCTGATTGCCTGGTGTCAGAAGTGTGTTGTGATGAGTTTCAGAGCAAGAAAAACAGTTTGGTTTGGTATCCGTCTCATACAGTCAGGTACTTTGAGGCTGATGTCACAAACTAGTTTATTATCTCATAAAGGAACAAACAAACAAACAAACAAAAACCTTACATACTTGCCTAACAAACATGTCAAAACACTTTATCAAGAACTTACAAGACAGAAAAAAAAGTGAATTAAATGCTGTACCTAATTTCTCATAAAGATAGAAGATACTGCACAAGATATTTGTTTGGTAATGTTTGATAATCTCCTTAATTTACCATCCTGGATTTGGAGCAAACTCCTCATCTGCTCAGGGTAAGCAGTGCTCAGACACTCTACTGGCAAGAGCAAAAGCTACTTCAAAGAGTCTAAAAACTGGAGAAGAGAAAACACCAGCTGAATTGCAGATATAAGCACCAAGGTTCTTCTGTGTCTTATGGAATTCACTTTTCATCAAAGCTACTTTAATCTAAAATCTTAATTCCTTGCTTTATTAGAACCCATCAGTTTTATGTTCTTGAGCTACTTAATTGTATCCATATGCCAGGAGGGTGGCATACCCAACTCCATGGGGACAGAGGCTCCTGTTTGGGACTTTCCTGAACCTCACTCTATGTATCTCCTCTTCATCTACCTGTTCATTTGTATCCTTTAATTTATCCTTCATAATAAATGGGTAAATATAAGTAAAATGTTTCCCTGAGTACTATGAGCCACTCTAGCAAATTAATTGAACCTGAAGAGGGAGTCATGGGAACCCCCAATTTATAGGTAGTTGGTCGACCTGGAGGTTGTGGGGTTTCCTACTATACTCTCATATACTCCACTCAACAATTCTGACCCCAGATGTGTGTGGGGTTTTCTCCACACAGCACGCAATTCTCCAGTGAACACCGACTCGGTGTACTATAATTCAATTCAATTCTGACACTATCTGGAGTCAGAGTCAACTCCCACAGGTTGCGGGCTCATCAAACAAGACTGCCCCCCACTTCAGACAACAACTACAAGTAACAGTTTGTCACCTCTACTTCTGACCAACTGGCTTATAAATCAGGAGGGTTCCCACAACAACTCCCTCCTCAGGTGTAGTCTGCTAGGACAGCTCACAGAACTCAGGGAAATATTTATGTTTTACTCATTTTTTATAAAATACTTGATATTACCAAGCATATGTTGGAAGGGGCTGGAGCTTCCATGCCTTCTCTGTGTGTGCCGCCCCCCAAGAAGCTACATGGGTCCAGCAACCTGGAAGCTCTCTGAACCTGGTAGTTCAGGGATTTTTTTTTTTTAACCAAACCATTTAATTGTGTCTTCGAAGGTAAACAAAATATAAAGCTGGATCCCAAGCCCTAAGAATGCCAGAACTACACGTAGATCCAAAATGTGGTGTGGTTTTTCTCAACAGAGTTCAAAAGGGTCAGAACTCAAAAGTGTTAAAAGGCAGAGAATGGGTGGAATTCATGCACTCTGTTCAGCAATTTTGTAAATTACCAGAAATAGACCCCAAGAGTCTTTTACGGTGGGGAAAAACTCAACTCCTGGTTTTACAGGTAAAGAATGAGTACCAAAAATGTTATGTTGACTTCTCTTAATTTTTCTCACACAATCTGAAGCCAGAGCTGACTATTACATCCTCAACTCACAGCAATTGAAACTGCAGTATTAGGTACAAGATCAGTCCCTCTATCCATTTGCTTCCATGTAATGCCACAGCAAGGGTGGCCAGAAGCAGAGGGTTGTCAATAGAACAGCTTTTCAAAAAGCACTAAAAGCAAGCAAGAACCTTCTAGCAGCACACTGATTTAGTTTATTAGGTTAATTTACAAATTTTAAAAGCTACATGTTTTACTTTTTCTCCTTTTTCTCTTCTTTCATCACTGTTTATGTTTTCTTTGTCTTTCTCTCTGTCTCCTTTTCTATCCTTTTTGTTCTCTTCTTTTCCTGTCCGTCTTTCTTCTCTGCACCCTGGTTAGCAATCTTGTTGTTGATGAGGCTGTGCAGGGCAACCAAAAACAGATCAGCAAGGCCAAGTATATCACCTCCATTTGGTGGTCGGTCTTCAGGTGAAAGGCCTTGACAAACTCATCAGGGCTGACATCTGGCAGCAGGTTGAAGACATCCTACAGCAGGCAGATGATCTGATGGTTTATGGGTAGCTTGCCTGTCGCTACTTTTACCCTTCAAGCCATGCATAGACCTGGTTAATAATCTGCTAGGAAAGAGTACCCACGGTAGTGTCTTTGATGTCTCATAACAAGTGTTTGACTCTGACTTCCTCAGCTTCCTCTGCTCCAGTTTCACAGTCACATGCTCAAATGTTTTTGTGGTTGTAGTTCTATCAACATGAACTTCTTCCACTGTATATGTTTCTGTAACTTCTTCCACAATATATGCTTCTGTGGGCAGGCTCAGGTCCTTGGGTTTCACATCAATAATGACCAAAACAAGAGTTAGGGCAGCATCATTTCATTACTTCATTGATGGCAATGGCATTCTTGTAAAGTTTATGGCCTGTGTGGTGCCACCCAAATATTCTTTCTCTGGCATTTATTTACCTTCTTAAACAATCCATAAATGTTTTCCAAATAATCTTGGTCTAAAAATCAGATCATCTTTGTCATCTTCATAAAAAAGGACTTAGTCATCATCATAAAAAGGGACTGAAAACTCTTGGACATATCAAGTATTTTCTTTTGCCATGACCCCAATAGCACACCAACATGCTTCTGGTTTCCAACCTCACCAAATTAGCTGAAGTGATCCACCACACTGAGAAGCAACAGGGGGTAGACCACCACCTTCTGCACCGCCAGCTCTGGCATCACAACACACCCCAACCCTCAAGTCCTGGCTCCCTGCCACTCGCCAACACCAACAGTGGCAAGAACTCTCTCAGCTCCTCCAGGCCCAGCTTCTCCTATTCCAGTTTGGCAGCTACTGCCAGTTCAGGGATTTTTATGGAGGAGGCTTCATCCTGTAGGCATGATGGATTATTAACTCAACCTGGAGCCCCTCTCCCCTTCTGAGAGGATAGGGGGTAGAGCTGAATGTGTTAAGCTTCTAATCATGGCTGGGTCCTTCTGGTGACCAGCCCCCATCCAGGAGCCCACCAAGAGTTGCCTCATTAGAGCAAACGATGCTCCTATCACCTAGGAAATTCCAAGAGATTTAGGAGCTCTGTGTCAGGAAACCAGGTTAAAGACCAAAGATTAGAACAAAAGATTATCCCAGAAGTCCTATCTAGGGTTTTAGGAGCTCTGTCTCAGGAACCAGAGTCAGCGACTGTCATTAGTCCGTTTTCATACTGCTATAAAGAACTGCCCAAAACTGGGTAATTTATAAAGGAAAGAGGTTTAGCTGACTCACAGTTAAGCATGGCTGGGGAGGCCTCAGGAAACTTACAATCATGGAGGAAGGGGAAGCAAGGCACCTTCTTTGCAAGGCAGCAGGAATGAGAAGTGCTGAGTGAAGTGGGAAGAGCATCTTATAAAACCATCAGATTTCAATGAGAACTCTCTACCATGAGAACAGCATGGGGGAAACTGCTCTCATGATTCAATTACCTTCACCTGGTCTCTCCCTCCAAACGTAGGGATTATAGGGATTACAATTCAAGATGAGATTTGGGTGGGGACACAAAACCTAACCATATCAGGGCACAGATACACTTCTCATTATTTCACATCTCCTTATTGCAATAAATATGGTGTGGCACATCAACAGTTTCCTTGTTTACAACTAATGCTTTAAAAAAAACAAAAACAAAGATTATCAAATTCAGACAATTTAAATAATTGTCTTAAACATTAACTGTCCTTCATATTCCCAAAGGGAGTCATCTATATGCAAGTTAAATCATTCTTCTGTTTTCACCTCTGAGTCACAGGGAAATGGTGTCACCTTTCATCTTCCACAATTGGCCCCATATCTAGTATGAACCAGTGAAACCAAAAAACCCTCTCTCTTTTGGCAGCTTATTTGAAAATTTTAAGTTGTGGAGCACACCAGAGACAAATATGGAAGATACTGTGTACTCTAAATATTGGCAAATAATTTCACAAAAAACCCAAAAGATCTAAATAGTATTAACTGAAAGCTTGCTGAGCAGCAATTACCATTTTTCAATGCCTGCAACATATTAAATATATTTGATTTCTCTTTAAAATCATCCTTCTGGGTATAAAAGAGGGTTTACTCATTAACTTCATAGTTTAAATCCCTGACATAATAAATGGAAAGAAAACAAAGAAAAAAAATAGTACAACTACTTTAACTATGAACATTTGACCTGACTCCTGAACTTCCCCCAATAAAAACTCTGCCAACTAATCTAAAAGTAAGCTAAAATCAAAACAATTCTAGACGTCTACTAGGATCATGCTTCAAGAAATTGTGGCCTCCATGTATCTACAATAAGCTTTTTACACTAAAAAATACGGCTAAGGTTGGAAGATGTTATATTTTTGACACATCTCACACAATATTTTAAATGTGGATTATCTGTAAAAATCTATATGAGTAAAACCGATTCATTGATAATCTGAAGATTAGGGCAAGAAAACATTTTCTCCCCCAACTGTAACAGATTTGTGTATGCCAACTGGCTTCAGATTTTCTTGAAAAACTTATTTTAATCTAATGAGTTGGTGAACTTTCATAGTTGTGTTGAAACATTTGTGTATGACTATCAATCCTACATCTGATATCCTCAAACAAATTTATCAGTCTGGAGCTTTAACAGTAGAAGCATTTTGCTAGTTAACTTTGTTGCTAGGCCTGTTCATAATATTTTGTAGCCACACAGGTACACAGGTAAGTTATATATAGCAAATGAACTGTGGTTTAGTGATACTTTTATTAAGTTCCTACCTTTTTAAAAATGTGTCCCAAATGAGGTTAAGTGTTATGCTCCTAATCCCATTTTTCCCATAAACCTTGTGGTTTTTATTGCATGACTATACAATGCAGTGGCGACATTTACGAATGCACATGTCGTGTTACAACAGAACTCACTGAAAACCAATTACTGCCCCATGTGTCAACATGGATCAATCCTGATGTTAAGCTAAAATGGAATATGTAGTGGTGGAGGGTATTGGAAGGCAACAGTGAAGGAATTAAACAGTTTTAGCTCCTCATGAATTTGCCTGGGCCTAGAATTAGAGGGACATCTTAGACTGTCCAGGCTGCCATAATTAAATATCTTAGATTGGGGAGCTTACAAACAAGATAAATTTCTCACAGTTCTGGAGGCTGGGAAGTTCAAGATCAAAGCACCAGCAGATTTGGTGTCTGGTGAGGGTCCTCTTCCTCACAGATGGTGCCTTCTCTGTGTTCTCACATGGCAGAAGGGAAGGAATTAGCCAATGCTCTGCAGTCTCTTTTATAAAGGTACTAATCCAATTCCCAAAGGCCCCATCTTCTGATACTATCATATTGGGGATTAGATTTCAATGTATAAGTTTGGAGGGTACACAAGCATTAGCCCACAGCAAAGGCTTCACAACTATACCCTGTGTATGTAAGAATTGGATTTGCGGCTGGGCATGGTGGCTCATGCCTGTAATCAATCCCTGTACTTTGGGAAGCCAAGGCAGGAGGACTGCTTGAGTCCAGGAGTTCGAGACCACCCTGGGCAACATAGTGAGACCCTGCCTCAAAAAAAGACAAAAAGAAGATTAAAAAAAAAGAATTGGATTTATAATACTTGCCCTTTTTGTTATGTATGAATGCTATAAAACAAATCATTTTGGAAAAAAAAGTATATAGTGTGATACATTTAAGTTCAAAAATCAGCAAAATAAATCAACTTATTTTTGTTATAAATAACAGTAAAACCACAAAAAAAAAAGATGAGAACTATAAAGATACAATCCCTTGAGAGAGAATAAAAGGTAGGTTACAGCTAGAAATGGGTAAAATTCAAGTTTGTTAGTTGAATGGTAGGCAGATGGGTATTTTTTATATCAGTTGTTCTTGAAAACATGGTCTGGGGACCACAGGGAATCTAAGACTCTCTCAGAGGGTATGCGAGGTCAAAGAAGTCAAAGCTATTTCCATAATAAGACTAAGATGTGGCCAGGTGCGGTGGCTCAAGCCTGTAATCCCAGCATGTTGGGAGGCTGAGGCAGGTGAATCACCTGAGGTCAGGAGTTCAAGACCAGCCTGGCCAACATGGTGAAACTCCGTCTCTACTAAAAATACAAAAAATTAGCCGGGCATGGTGGTGGGTGCCTATAATCCCAGCTACTTGGGAGGGTGAGGCAGGAGAATCGCTTGAACCTGGGAGGCAGAGGTTGCAATGAGCCAAGATCGCTCCACTGCACATTGTCGCACCATTTGCGACAAGAGCAAAACTCTGTGTCAAAGAAAAAATAAAAAAAAACAAATAAATAAACAAATAAATAAATAAATAAAGACTAAGATGTGATTTGTCGTTTGTACTCTTGCTCTCACAAAAGTGAACAGTACTTTTCCCGCAATCCGGCCATGCTTATCAAAACAGATTGAATGCAAAAGCAGTTGTAAGAATCCCACTGCCTTCTATTAAGCCAGTCATTAAAAGATTTGCAAAAATGTACAATGTCACTTTTAACATTTTCATAATATTTTATTTATCTTAACATGTAGTTGTTATTTTTAAATGAATTAATAAATAAACATTTTAAAATTCTCAGTTCTAAGTTTTAATACAGCAAATATAGCTAGATAATGACCCATACAAAAAAAAGCTCTTTGGGATCTTCGATAATTTTAAAAAATGTAACAAAGTCTTGAGGCCAAAAAATTGGAGAACCACTTTAAACCTAATAGCTGATAAACACACAACACATGACCTTTTTGTATATAGGAAATATTTAATATTAGTAAGGTAAAAAAAAACAGTGTAGTGAAAAGACAATGAAAAAACACATCACCACCACCACCACCACCAAGTGCTGCTGTATATGGAAAAGCTTGTTACAATGGTTTATATCTATATATAGATATGACTTACCTATACTCAGTCTGAGAAACACAATCATAAATTTCCTGGGCAGTAAATTTGACATTTTTATTTACCTGAAAGGAACCAAGATATAGTTATTAAAAATATATATTAAAGTGAGTGATGACAGCAAAATTAGAGTAGCCCATATTCTGAGAGGAAAGTTCAAATTTCTAGTTATTGCATAAAAAGGATTAAACAGCAACAATAAGAAGTGCAACGACTATAATGCTAACATGGAACTGTATGCAAAAATATGAATCCCACTATTATATCTTAATCTGTTAGTAGAACCAGCAGAGGTGAGATGGGCCTAGACACAGTAGAGATCAAATGGACAGAAAAACACAAATAAGATTATAAACTGCAGACAGTTCTATCTGGTTTAGGAAAAAGTTTGATTTACAGACATTTTCTGAAGAAATATATTTTTCAGATTATTGAGGTCTACATGTTTAAACTAATAGGTTTAAGTTAATAAATATCTATATCAGAGATATAATTTATAATACCATAAATATAAAAATCTTTCATCATATAAAAACTAGCTATGGCACACATATGGAAGACACAGTGAAGGAATCTTGAAACTTACTATTCATTTAGACAATATTCCTATTTATATGCAGGGAAGAATCTGAAAACTTGCAGAGAAAAATTATTTTGATCAGATAACAAATAATATATTGACTAAATTTTCAGAAAATTAGAATTAGTAAAAGGAAACAGTAAGGCTAATTTCTATTCAATTTACTTAAAAAACATTTCTAAGTGTTGCTAGCTGGCATGCATTTTTTGGTGGGGAAGAATGATACCCCCTAATTTAATTACTACTAATTTAAAGATTCTTATCATAAAAGTCTTCTATATGATTCAATGTATTGCTTATTGGCAAAAATTCCATGACTTTCTTCAATGTTTTCATAGAAAGTTTACCATATTTGTGTAGAAAATGTTTCATTCACTGTAAGTTTAAAAATATACAGTTTTTTTGGCCAGGTGCAACAGCTCATGCCTGTAATCCCAGCACTTTGGAAGGTCAAGGTGGGAGGATTATTTGAACCCAGGAGTTTGAGACTAGCCTGAGCAACATAGTGAGACCCGTCTCTATTTAAAAAAAGAAAAATTATATATATATGTACACACATATATATAGTTTTCAAATATTTAAATGAACATGGATATATTGCTTAAAATTAGTATATATTTATATATTTAGTATTATTTAATTATATAATATTTGATATTATATTTAATGATTATATGAAATTGGTATATAATTTACCATAATTTTTAAGAGAATCTTCTAAAAATGTTATAAAAAATTCATTTAAACTATCAACCAGTCCACTTCTTTCTTCTTTACATGTTCTGCCTTCTCCTAAGGGCTGTTGATATTGTTACTATAGCCACACATTCTGGGACCATCAATGTATCAGAACACGGGCCACCAAATGTCAACACACTGCAGACATTTGGTCAGAGGATGAAGCGAATGATCCATTTTCTACAACTATTGAGAAAAATCAGCTGAAAAACTGAATTTGAACCTGTTAAATATGAATATAAAATAATTTATATTAAGCTTTTAATAGATCTTTTTTTAAGTATCTACATTTATCTCTAGTTGTAAAAGCAACCATCCACATACATTTAGACATTTATCCAAGAACACAGCTGGAAGTATAAAGGTGACATAATTCCAGGTTATAGTAGATAATTTACAAAGTAGGAGTTACTTTACTAATAAAGAAAAACTGAAGCACAGTCTCATGATGGTCTGGCCTGATCTTGTTTCACCATATTAATTAATTTTGACTATGAAGACATTTTCACTTACCCATATTGAGACATTTTAAATTACACTGCTAAATATCATCTCCATGCTTAAATGAACAATTTTAATTTCCAGGGGAAAAAAATAGCTAAAACATGCCACTGTCAGCAAACATTAGAGTTGTGACTATAAAACGAATTGTGAAATGGGTATCATTACCTTTTAGCTGTACTACTTACAGTAAAAGCCAGATATTAGAAATGGCTTCTTTTTAATTAAAAAATTCAAGAAAAGGCAAAGGAGAAGTATAAAAATAGTCAAACTCCTTAAAAGATTTAGACAGTCCTACCACCATTTTTAATATTAGACAAATATCTCCAATGTAGTAACTGATGTAGGAAAAGCAATTCTTTTAAGAGAAATGATTTTAAAAATCTGTGAATCAGCCAGGCACGATGATGCATGCCTGTAGTCCCAGCTACCTGGGAGGATGAGGTAGGAAGATTGCTTGACCTAGGAGTTCAAGGATCTAGTGGGTCATGACTGTGACAAATATATATATATCTGACATCTATATATAATATATATATAAAATATATATATCTGACATCTATATATAATATATATTACATATATCTGACATCTATATATAATATATACAACATATGATTCTTAGATCTACATATTCTTATTTTTTAATTTTTAAATTTTTTTCTTGTTTCTTTATATCACAAGATATCATGAAGCAACAGATCCACATATTCTTATAATTAATAAGTTAGGTACTTTCTTCTAATACTCTTGGCAATAGAAAGTACTAAATTAAAAAGAACTATGCCCCAGAATTTTCCAGGGTATGTGATTTTAAAACTGTCCTATTGTTCATATATATTTTAGAGCTGGAGTCATGCTCTGTCACCCAGTCTGGAGTGCAGTGCTATGATCATGGCTCACTGCAGCCTTGAACACCTGGCCTCAAGCGATCCTCCCACCTCCAGCCTCCTGAGTCACTGGGATCACAGCCACCATGCCCAGTTCTACAAATACATTTTTGTTAGACTTGATGTTTTGATTTGAAATTCAGAAAGTAAGATGAAATAATTATATGAATCATTTCAAAAGAGGAAGTTCTCTTAATAATCATATAATGTGGTGATAAAGAATTAAGGCTCTTTTATTTTTATTTATCTATTTATTTGAGACAGAGTCTCACACTGTCGCCTGGGCTGGAGTGCAGTGGTGTGATCTTGGCTCACTGCAACCTCCGCCTCCTGGGTTCAAGCAATTCTCCTGCCTCAGCCTCCTGAGTAGCTGGGATTACAGACATCCGCCACCATACCCGGCTAATTTTTTTGTATTTTTAGTAGAGACGGGGTTTCACTATGTTGGCCAGGCTGGTCTGGAACTCCTGACCTCATGATCCGCCTGCCTCAGCCTCCCAAAGTGCTGGGATTACAGGCATGAGCCACCGCGCCCAGCCTATTTTTACTGTTTTTGAGACAGAGTCTCACTCTGTCACCCAGGCTGTAGTGCAGTGGTGCAATCTCGGCTCACTGCAACCTCCACCTCCCAGGTCCAAGCAATTCTCCTGCCTCAGCCTTACGAGTAGCTGGGATTGCAGGCCCATGCCACCACTCCTAGCTAATTTTTGTACTTTTAGTAGAGATGGGGTTTCATCATGTTGGCCAGCCTGTTCTCAAACTCCTGACCTCAAGTGATCCACCTGCCTTGGCCTTCCAAAGTGCTGAGATTATAGCTGTGAGCCACGGCGCTCAGCCAAATTAAGGCTGACTCTTAAAAAGCCCATATAAACACCATTCATTGCTTAAATAAAACTAGTTAACCATCCCCTCCCCCTTTTTTTTTTTGAGACAGGGTCTTGCTCTGTCAACCAGGCTGGAGTGCAGTGGTATGAACATGGCTCACTGCAGCCTTGACCTCCCGGACTCAAATAATCTCTCCTCAGCCTCCCAAGGAGATGGGACCACAGGTGCATGCCACCATGCCGGCTAATTTTGTTTGTTTTTTAGAGAGATGGGGTCTCACTGTGTTGCCCAGACTGGTCTTGAACTCCTGGGTTCAAGCGATCCACTGACCTCAGCCTCCCGAAGTGCTAGGATTACAGGCGTGAACCACCAAGCCTGGCCAAGACTAGTTCTCTGTGCCTGGTACTGTTTGGAGCACTTTGCATATTTTACATTATTTAATCTTTGCAGAATACAAATAATTTACCTACTATTGTTACTCTCATTTCACAGATGAAGAAATTGAGATAAGGAGAATTAAATAACTCTTCCTAGATCACACAGTTAATAAGTAGAAGAACCAACATTTAAGCACGGGTAGTTTGACTTCAGAGTCTGTGTTCTTAATCACTGGGTTCTTAATGGAAGATGTGGCATACAGAAAGTTAAACAAAGAGCTAACCAGGAATAAAAGTGAAGAAATATATTTAAAGGAGTTTGACTTCATAAGAAATTTGAGACCTGAATATATGCCACATTCCTTCATTTAGAATGTTTTAAAAATTAAACACATATACACACAAAATTGAAAGTAATACTATTACAGGAAACATAAACAAAGAGCATTAAGCACACAGAAATTGACAACAGAATACCCGCTTCGGTTCAGTAATGATGAGGAGAGCATGCAGGTTAATTTACAAAATACACTGAAGCCTCATTATAGTTCTACCTCCAGGGTTTATGCTGCCACTATAGAGGAAACTAAATTATAGCTCTCCTTTCCAGTAATAACTATTTCTCAACCAGGAGTTCTTCCTTTGTGAGGTATTCTGGGTATGTAAGTTGGATGGGGAGATGGAATACTTTTGGTTGTCACAACAACTGGTATCGCTACAGGCATTTAGTACCTGATGTATAGGGATGTTAAACATCCTGCAGTGTTCCACACAATGAAGAAATGACCTGTCCAATATGCCAACAGCACCCCTGATGAGAAACAATTTCGCACTGAGGAAAGCGTGTTATTTTAGGACTCTCATATTTTTACTTAGGGAATCAAAGAAAAAATTGAATATGTCACTGGCAGGGAGGAGGGGATGAAATGGACAGTTGTAGATCACAGGATAGGAAGCTGCAGATACATAGGATGAACAAGCCTAGAGATCATACAATATGAAGTCTATAGTTAATAAGACTGTATTATATTCAAAATTTTTGCTAAAAGAGTACATTTTAGTTGCTCTTGTCACATACACAAAAAGGGTTAACTGTGAGATAGCTGATATGTTAATTTACTTACCTACAGAAACCATTTCACTATGTATAACATATCAAAACACCATGCTATATACCTTAAATATACCATTTTTTAAAAGTGAGAAAAAAAGAATATGTCACTGACAAACTTTTATGGCATTCAATAATTTAAAGCAAATATCAATTAAATAGCATTCCACTATGTTTGAGAACTCCTACTCTGTTTATTTACATTAAAATTTGTTTAAAGTAGAAATGTGATAAATATTTTAAAATATTTCCCATACCTCATACTTGATTAGGAAGTTATAGAGGGTCTCAACATCTTGATAATTACTGTTTGGGGCCAAAATCCTAAAAAATAAAATAAAAACAAAGGGGGGGAATAAATGATTTCAGAAAAAACCAATACCTTGAACTTTCTCCCAAAACATACCCATACCACAAGAGGTAACTTATTGTTTAATAAGCTTACAGGTTTATAATATTTTTAAAAATCAATTAAAAATTATAAAACCAGAAACTTAATTCAACGGAGGTCAACTTATTAAAATGTTTTTGCTTATTTAAATTCATGCTTATAACATCAATTAATCAACAACTATAAGCATTCTTACACGTGAAGTTATAGTTCACATTTTAAGATACAATAATACAGATTTCTCAAAAAGTAGACAGAAATGTGAAGTGCATTTATACTTCATATCTTTTAAGCTCCAGACAAAGCTTGAGTATTTCCCACAGAAATGTTCAACCAGTCCAAACAGACAACTGATGAAACTATTAGCCACTTAAAAGATATCCTAATAAAAGATTTTGACTAAATTCAAATAACATTGCTTGAACTATCAGCCTACAGCTCTATGAAAAATCAATAGATTACATAAATTGTGAAAATAACACTGATTGACAAAAAAATAACAAATGACAAACACAGAAATAAAACAACTTTTTAAATTTATTTTTTTGAGACCAGGTCTCACTCTGTCGCCCAGGCTGTAGTGCAGTGGTGTGATCATGGCTCAATGCAGCTTCAACCTCCTGGGCTCAAGCAATCCTTCCACCTCAGACTCCCAAGTAGCTGGGTCTACAAGGCAAGCGCCACCAAGTCGGGCTAATATTTTAAAAAATTATTTTGGTAGAGAAGAGGTCTCCCCATGTTGCCCAGGCCCGTCTCAAACGTCTGGACTCAAGGGATCCTCCCACTTCAGGCTCCCAAAGTTCTGGGATTATGGGTGTGAGCCACAGCACCCGGCCATAAAAATAATGAAGGGAAGAACATATTTTTACTTCTAGTAGTAAAGTATTAATTCTCATTTTCTTATACTAAATATTTTTTCCATACTTTCAGCATGAATACTGTTTTTCTTTTGGAAAAAAAAAAAAAAAAGGAAAGTAAACCAGCCTGTCATTTTGGTACAGTGTAGTGCCTCTGAGTACTGTCTGCCTCAACTGTGTGAGTTTTGTCTAGCTGTGTGACCTTGGTGAGTTACTTAACTTTTATGTGATTTATCTTCTTATCTGTTAAGTTAGGATAACTGTCCCTACTTCGTAGGGCTACTGCAAGAATTAAATTAATTACTATAAGAAAAGTCATTACAACAGCATATGAAATACAGCAAGTACTATACAGTATATGTCAATTATAACAGTGACAGTAACAACTATCATCATCATCATCATCTAATAAAGATGCTCTTTGACTTATAATGGGGATACACCCCGATAAACCCATCGTAAATTGAAAACATCCTAAGTAGATGTGCATTTTGACTTGTAATATTTTTAATTTATGATGAGTTTATCAGAAGATAACCCTAACCCCATGGTAAGTCAAGGATTGTGCTAAATGCTTTGCACCATCATAGAATTGAAAAATCCTAAAACAAACCATTATAAGTTGGAAATCATCTGTAGTTTCAAGCTATAAAATAAGTAAATATTGATATTAACTAATGAGAAATCAAGCCACTTCGGTTAACTTTTAGATTCCTAATGGCTTTTAATTACAACACTGTCTCTGGGTCTTCACATCCTTGCCACTACTTGATTCTGTCAGACTTGATAATTAACTGTTCTCAATAATCTTAATTACATCCTTAGACTATTTGGCCTTTATTACACTTGCGGGAGAGCTTTCATAAATAGTTTTTCGGGACATAGTCAAATTTTTAAAGGTCCCTTGGAGGGGGCACACATACAGAACATCTTTAAGAATATATAACAACCTCCATAAGAATACTATTTCATAGAAAAAGTTTTTCTCCCAACAAGTAATTTTAAAATACAAAAAAAAAAAAAAACAAAAACCTCTTAACCCTCCAAAAAAGCCCTGAGGAATACTACATATGGAGAAGGACCCATACATAATTTGCTTGGATAATACATATGGAGAAGGATCCATACATAATTTGCTTAAAACATGAAGACAAAGCTATCTAGATAAGTTAAACCAATCCTTTAGAAAGGCAAGGGAAACAAACTAGTGTGTTCTAACTTGGTAACCAAGTGAAAACAAACTATCAGGCCAGGCGCGGTGGCTCACGCCTGTTATCCCAGCACTTTGGGAGGCTGAGGCGGGCAAATCACGAGGTCAGGAGATCGAGACCATCCTGGCTAACACGGTGAAACCCCGTCTCTACTAAAAATACAAAAAATTAGCCGGGCGTAGTGGCGGGCGCCTGTAGTCCCAGCTACTCGGGAGGCTGAGGCAGGAGAATGGCGTGAACCCGGGAGGCGGAGCTTGCAGTGAGGCGAGATCGCGCCACTGCACTCAAGCCTGGGCAAAAGAGCGACACTCCGTCTCAAAAAAAAAAAAAAAAAGAGAAAAAGAAAGAAAACAAACTATCAGCCATGTGGAATATTTTATACCTATTCTTTTTTACGGCTTTAGAAATAATCTGAACTGTCCATAAAAGAGGGCGAGAAAATCAGATAAAACAAGATGTTCTATATTATGAGGCTAGTAAGTTTAACATACTATATTAGACTCCAGAGGATGAGACAAACTCTAGTGAATGTCCAACCCTCACAGTGTATTTGATGAGTAAATAAAAATGTAAAATATGTACTAAAGATGCCCAGATCAGAGCAAGTGACCCTTTATTCTCTCATTCAACAACTATTTGAGACCTGGGCCCCTGGATACAATGGTGAACGATCCAGAGTAGCTCAAAGCCTCACAGTTCTAAAGAGGGCATGAAAGAAACAAATCCTGACCAGGCACAGGGAGATAATAAAGGAAGAAAAATATATCATTCTTGTCCGTCTGGCCATCTCTTCCAACTTTTCAATGGCTACTTGTAAACAAATTAAGAAACACAGGAATTTTAAGTTTCTAAGAAAGAAGTAATTTGTTCTAAATGTAAATATTTAGTTATTTCACAAAATATCACAGAATTGTATTCTAATGAAGAAAGGTTTATTGGGATCTCATCTTCATTCACAGCTATATTACTTTTATAATCAGATAAAAACTATATATGTTACTTTTTAAAACAACAATATATGTTATAGGATATATGATAAAATTTGTTATTTTGAAAGATGGTTGGAGGTAAACTGAGCCCAGAATGGACTGGACAACTTTATTAAAATGCAGTCAACTTGGGGTTGAATTTAGACTTCATTACATCCTATGAACTCTGAATATGAGAATGGAATGTGGCCTGGCACAAAAAAATTGCAAACTTTTACTCACTAGAAATACAGCTTGTTGAAAATATACAGAAAATAAAATAGAGAAAATGCCTTAGTAATTCCCCACACAAAATTCTTGAGAGGTCAGCCTTCTCTAAAGTTTTCTCATTCTTTTTTTCTTGTACAGTATGAAGACAAAAGGCTTTTTGAATGAAAGTCCTAAAATCACCCTTCAATGGCAACTCTTTAAAAGAATGATGGAATCAAGAAATTAGCCCTTGGGAAAAATATCTTTTAGACAATGGCCATTTTTAAAATTTATAAATATATTCATATTTGTCCTTTAAAAAGAAATTCATAACAATTACAGTAAGTATATATTAAATGCATATTTGTTCAAATGCATATGAAGCTATGAAATATTTAAAAAAATAAGACATGGTCCATTATCCTCAAGTGGTTTATAATCTTAAAATTTCACTCTTAAATTCTGGAATGAGTTTTGGGGAACAGATGTTGAAGCAGGATGTAATCTGCAGCTCACAGCTGGATGTGCTCTGGTTTCCTTTATGACAGCATCAATAACAACACATAATGACTTACTGAACACTTAAGTCTGACCCTGCTTTACATACACTATCTCCCTGAATTTAATTACGTAGCCCAGCTTTAACACCCTAAATTCGGTTTTGCGACCTTGATCAAGTTGCCTACTTCTCTGTATCTCAGCTCCTTACCTGTGAAATGGGGATAAAGCAGCGTTAACCTCATAAAGTTACCGTTCGAATTAAGTAATGCATCTACAGTGTTTAGCACAACATAGGGCACACGGTACATGCTCAATAAATATTAGCTGTTATATAATAACCACTTTTCAGATGTAGAAACCAAAGTCCAATGTTTTAAGATACTTGCCTAAGATTACACAGTGAGTGGTGGTAGGTATCCAAATCTCTTTGGGTTTGATTCTGGAACTCATATTTTTCCCACCAATAAAAGGACAACCACTACCATCTTCTTGCCTTTAAATTATTTTACAAAATCAAATGAAATAGTCCATTTAAAACAGTTAAACTATTGCTTTTATATGTAAGCAAAAAAAAAGCTGTCTTTTATCAAATGCTTCTGGCAAATTATTTCATGTACGTTCAAACACTAATGTAGTTGTTTTATCTTTATCAGAGCCACAAAGCAAGTTGGTTAACAGAACTGACACTCACTAGCGGCCCTGACTCAGTCACATAGGCACTCTCAGTATTCTATTTATCCATGAACAATTAGCATTAATATTAATCTGAATTAAACAAATTTCATTTCTATATAGCTCAATAGTAAATACAAATCAATATATCTCTTTAAGAAAAAAAAAAAAAGACCATGCCACTCAAGGTTTAAAAAAAAATTTTCCCCCAAATGCCAGTCAAAGGAAGCAGTGGGAGTGGAGAAGGAACAAAGAAATCTGTAACTGGTTGTGATAAACCGCCACTCAAGTTTTTAGAGACAAAACAGAATAATCTGATGAAATTTTTAAATGATGAATTAAAATGGACTAAATTTTCAATTTGAATTTTAAAAATTCAAATAAAACTTATCTCCTATTTAGGAAAAATAAAGTTGCAGATTCAGGAACAAGGAAAGAAATCTAAAATATTCCAGTTTAATATTTAATTCTAAGGCTGGGCACGGTGGCTCACGCCTGTAATCCCAGCACTTTGGGAGGCCAAGGCGGGCAGATCACGAGGTCAGGAGATCGAGACCATCCTGGCTAACACGGTGAAACCCCGTGTCTACTAAAAATACAAAAAAATTAGCTGGGCGTGGTGGCGGGCGCCTGTAGTCCCAGCTATTCAGGAGGCTGAGGCAGGAGAATGGCGTGAACCCGGCAGGCGGAGCTTGCAGTGAGCCAAGATGGCGCCACTGCACTCCAGCCTGGGCAACTGAGCGAGACTCCATCTCAGAAAAAAAAAATAAAATTTAAATTCTAGAAATTCAAAACACTTAAATATGTTCTTGGATATTTATAAATAATGACTTACAACCCACAGAACTGAATAAATTGTGGTCCCTTCTGGCAAGACAATGTTTTATATTAATATAATATTTAAAACAGTTGTAGAGAGTGTGAAAAAAAGTTTTAAAAGGAATTGCAAGAAGTGGAAATGTTTATAATATTATATTAAAAATTCACTTTTATATTCTCTATAGCTAATAAATGAGTCAAGGTTTAAATATTATGAACCACTTACATTGTTATTGAGGATAACAAAATCATTTATCGAGCATCCACTAAATACAAGGGACTGAATAAATGCTATCTCCTTTGATCTCTATAGCTTAATAAAGCAACTGTTTTAACTCCATATTAGGAAACAAACACAAAAAAGGCTAATTAACCTATCTAGGTAACAAAGCTGGTGAATGGATGGAAGCAGAATTCAACTTCAGACCACTCTGGAGGCTCAAAGCTCTGTGCTTCTCATTTTAATACAGTGACATGTCTGAACGATATTATCAAATTGGATTTTGCTGATGATGAATTTAAGTTATGTTATTGATAAACTCGGTGAAAATGTATCAAATCCACAATGAGGAAACACTAAGGAAAAAAAGTCTTGGATCTTAGAGCACGTTTGGGGGGGATTATTTATTACAAGTAAAACTAAAATTATACGTTTTCTATAGTTAATTTGGAAAATCAGCTATGCAAATGAGAGCTAGCCATCAGTCCTAGATTTTGAAAAAAATGCCATATATAGTTAAAATGGTGAAAGAACAATTAAACAATTTAAGCAAAATTAATTGCTAAAATTTTATGTTCCTATTTTCCCTTCAGAGATAAAAATTTGCAAGCTCACTATAATAAATACATATAGGTTAACTATACTAATTACATATAACTATTAAACATAAAAACTTTTGATAAAAGTTTGGACAAAGTTCAGAATTAAAATTTGATCTATTCAGAATACTAGAAATCTTTTATTTTTTAAGTTGGTGGTGGGAATAGGAAGAGTTTATAGGTAATTTTAATGACTATGTTTCAGATTTAACTTAAAGCAATTCTAGAGTAGGAAAATATCATTTTGATTGTTAAAAGAATAGATTATATGTCTTACATGTTTGTTAGACATAAACATACATACAATTAGAATATACTAATAAATACTACAGCTTTCTGTTAATTTTGCAGAAGGATTAAAACACAATCTACACCATAAAATTTTCAACTAATCCTGTCTTTTATCTTGGGTCACCAGCCTACTCCTCTCCTGTATTTTCTTCATTAGCATTGAAACATAATAATATAATGGTTGTGATCACAGTCTCTCTGGAGTCAGCCAGCCAGAGTTCAAATAAGAGGTTTACCGCTTTCCAGCTAAGTGATATCAGATAACTTATTTTACCTCTCTATGTTTAGTTTCTCATTTGTAAAACAGGGACAACAATAGTACTTATGTCACAGGCATATTAAGATGATTAAATGAGTTAACATAGGTAACATACTTGGAAAAATTCTTGGCCCAATAAAATATTAGCTACTACTATTATTATTCTATTTCTTATCTTTGAAAACACCACAAATTATCACATAGCTTGTCAACTAGGAACCAAATGAACATTCAATTCAAGCTGTTTGGGGACTTGTTCTCTTCTCATAAGGCATCTCCAGCAGTGAACTTTTATGTCATCCATATGAACGGTAATGGTCTTCTCTCCTTAGTCCTGATATTGACAATAAACATCAATAGGAGAAATCAAGAAAAATGAAAAGCAAAAGATGTCTACTATATACTTAACTACACTTTTCATCCCTATTGATTATTGTAAATAAGGTTAAAAAAAAAAAGAGGCGCCAAATGTGAACAAAACCATGATTGTTATTAGTAGAGAACCCAGTCTGTAAAATATTTTCTGGACAGGAGGGAACACAGGGACTATGCCCTACCCACTGGCTACCAACTAAATGAGGAGAGACCGTTTCACATTACCAGAATCCAGGAGCACACTCAGAAGTAAAAGGTGATATTCTGATAATCAGCTGCAGCCATATTACTGAAATTTGCTTAGTTGTGATAGTGGCTGTTGTTATGGACTGAAGTGTGTTCCTCCAATATCAATATGTTGAAGCCCTTATCTCCAGTACCCCAGGATATGGATATATTTGGAGATAAGGGCTTTACAGAGGTAATTTAGAGTAAATGAAGCCATTGGCATGGGCCCTAATACAATCTTCTGCCAGGGTAAAAGATGTAAAATTCTAGTCCCAGTTTCATCTTTATGTGACTTTGGGTCAATCTATGGGAGCTGAAATCAATGCCACAATTTATTGTTAGAAAAGTCATGAGAAGTGGACTGGAAATATCTGAAAATCTCTGACTGATGAAAAGACAGCTTGTGTTATCAAAAATCCATCTCGTTAATTAGGTTTAGTGTTCAGTTGAAACCACCTTCAAAAAATTTTAAAACTCTGTCTACAAAACAGCATATTCTTATCTTAGCTAGTGAGTCCGTGTAGATAAGGTGTTTTCAAGCCTCTTCTGTGATATACTAGCCAAGCAATGGATGGATCCTCATTCATGACTAAAGAGACATTTTTGGCAAAGTGATCTGAGATGAGCTGGTAAAGTTAGGCCGGGGGACCATGGGATCCTAACTTCATTATTCAGGAAATTCTGAAAAACACCAACCACAGTGCACCCCAAGAGTTCATCACAACACTCTGAGTTTCCTCAAATCCAGCACTTTTTTTTTTGTTACTGGGTATTGGCTGTTGTTATGGGGTGAATTGTGTTCTCCAAAAATGTGTATGTTGAAGCCCTAACCTCCAGTACTGCAGAATGTGGATATATTAGGAGATAAGGGCTTTAAAGAGGTAATTTAGAGTAAATGAAGCCATTGGCATGAGCCCTAATACAATCTGAATAGTGTCCTAATAAGAAGAGAAAATTTGGGGCTGGCACCATGGCTCATGCCTGTAATGCCAGCACTTCAGAAGGCTGAGGCGGGTGAATCACTTGAGCCCAGGAGTTCCAGACCAGCCTGGGCAACATGGTGAAACCCCGTCTCTACAAAAAATACAAAAATCACCCAGGATGACGGCACACGCCTGTATTCCCAGCTACTCAGGAGGCTGAGGTAGGAGAATCACCTGAGCTTGGGGAGGTTGAGGCTGCAGTGAGCCAAGATCATGCCACTGCACTCCAGCCTGGGCACAGGGAGTGAGACCCTCTCTCAAAAAAAAAAAAAAAAAGAAAGAAGAAATTTGGACAAAGTGACACCAAGGATACATGTGCACAGAACAATCACATGAAGAGTCAGCCAAGCACACAAGCACAAGCTAAGGAGGGAGGCCTCAGAGGAAACCAACCCTGCCAGCACCTTGATCCTGGACTTCAGTTTCTAGAACTATAAGAAAATAAAACATCTGTTGTTTAAGCCACTCAGTCTGTGGTATTTTGTTATGGTGGCTCTAGCTAACTAACATTCAGCTGCCATCCACAGATACTGGTGGCCCAGCTTTGGGGAGCCATGTACCTCATGATTAGAAGCAAGATGGAACATTCCCCAGAATATGGGAATGATGTGGAATTCACTGAGTAGTTAGTTGTTAAATACTTTCTTTGCTTTGCTTTCTAGCATTATGCTTCCTTGGATGATAATCTTAGTACTTGGGATGCTGGTACTGCTGGAGGCCAGTTCTATGATCAGGGTTAACAATGTACTAAAGGGAGCCAGAAACAAGTATGACAAACGGGTTCATTTTTCTACTTAGTGAGGCTCCTGTGAGGTTCAAACAGGTCCTCAATGAATCCTGTGCCCTCTATGAAACCAGATACTGCCAGCTAAATCTACACAATACCTAATGATTCTCCAAATACTTTATGAATGTTCTTCTCCAACTGATTAATCTTACCTCACTATCAGGTATCTACTATTTTTCCACTGTAATATGACAAATAGGATCACTCTCGTTAACAAGGAAGGAGCAACTGAAGAGCTGAGAGTAAAAGAAACAAAAGATCGTATCCTCCCACCATTTACTCATACTGCCATTAAGATCTCAATATACCCAATCAAGGCTGAGACACAAGCCTATTACTGCCTCATTACAAGCATACCTCACTAGATGCAGAGACTTTTGACAATAGATCAACAACATTAAAGAAATGCTCTATTTATAAGAACCTTGAGGAAAAAAACTTTGAAGCATAAGAAAAATCCTTTTATTATACACATTTAATTGATCAACTTTGAAAGTGCACAGTTTTGTATATTAGACTTTTAATAAAAACAGGACAAACCAAATCACAACATACTACCCCAAAATCCATTAGGATGACTACTATTTAAAAAAAAAAAAAAAGCAGAAAATCACAGGCATTGGTGAGGATGTGGAGAAATTGGAACCCTTGTGCACTCTTGTTGGGAATTAAAATGTACAGCCAGCTGTGATGAAAAACAGTATGGTAGTTCCTGACAATATTAAAAATAGGATTACCATACGGTCCAGTGTACTTCTGGCTATACACCTAAAAAATTAAAAGCAAAGACTCAAATAGGTATTTGTTCATCCATGTTCATAGCAGCATTATTCACAATAGCCAAGGGGTGGAAGCAAACTAAGGGTCCACTGATGCATGAATGGGGAAAAATGTGGTATACACATATAATGGAATATATTATGCTTTAAAAAGGAAGGAAATTCTGACACATGCCACAACATAGATGAATATTTAAAACATTACACTAAGTGTAATAAGCCAGTCACAAAAGGACAAATAGTGTATGATTTTACTCATATTAGGTACCTAAAGTAGTCAAATTCAGGTGGTTGTCAAGGGCTGAAGGGGATGGAAAACTGGGGAGTTAATATAATGGGTACAGAGTTTCAGTTTTACGAGATGAAAAGAATTCTGTGGATAGATAGTGGTGACAGCAGCACAAGAGCAGGAATGTTCTCAATGCCACTAAACCGTATACTTAAAAATGGTTAAGAAGATAAACTGTAAGTTATATGCATTTTCCCACAATTAAAAATTTTAAATATTAACATTATTTTAAGGAAGGAAAACCGTGATCAAAAAAATAAGGAGGTTTTTGAGGAACCAAAGACTTTGTAGAATTACTGTGGGGAAAGAGTCAAGAAAAATTTCATGTGTCATTATTTGTCATGTGTCATGTGATTATTACAGAATCACTTTTGCTCTGGTATTTATATTATTATGAATGGTTTTATCTTTTCATGTATAATCTAAGAAACATTTATACTACTGACTTGACTCTTTGTTTTTCCAAGGAAGTCTAATACACATATTCATAAACACAACCCTTTCACTTGACCTTGTGATCTCCTCTAGCTACAATTACATTCTTTTACTATTTTTACTTCCTTACCTCCAAGTCACTCCTTAGCCTACTATCTAACATTTGCCCCAACATTCTCATGAAACTGCCACCGCCAAATTCACCAATGACTTCTGTGCTTTTCAATCTAATGGACACTTTTAAACCATATCTTATTTGGCCTCTCAGTAGTAGCATGATGATGTTAAAGATTCATTTTCTTTTGGAACTTATTCCTTCCTTGACATTTGTGATGCTAGTCTTATGAACATTTCCTTCTGCTCCTCCTCTTCAATCCTCATTTACAGTTCTGTAGTATTAAACTGGACTAATTTATCTACACTGCACAGCCATTGACCAGTAAAAGAAAAGCATGAGTACTCTAGCACCATTTAAAGATAAATGTCTTGGGTTCTCTCATCCTGTACCTACCCTTATCCTTTGTTCTCCAATCCTTTCCAGTGTTTTCTAGACTCCTTCCTGGTTTTTACCTCAAATTTCTGGCATCACAGTTGCCCCTTGGGCTTAAGGATGATTTCCCTTATCTATTTGGTACCACCTAAGCCATCATGTGCACTCATCCTCTAAAATAAATAACCATTGTTTTCCTTTCCCATCCTAAGCTTAAAAATAACAAGTATGCTTTGTGAGTTCCAAGGCATTTCTAAAGTACTCACCCATGACTCTTGCTATATAACAGATTAGATTAATACCCACCCTAAGAGATGGTTTGCAAACGTACTGCTGATAGAACCTTAGTGACCATCCAGTTCTAATCAAGGTCATCAGGGTATCTCTCTTTAGGGAAATATGAATGTAATGTAAGTACTATAAATAATCTTGAAATCTGTCCAATTGTGTTTCAGTATTTTTAGATAACTTTATTATGCTGACATAATTGACAAGAAGTAAGTGGTCTAAACAGATAAAGGGATTCAAGAACAAGAATTTCCCTATAGAGGGAAAAGTCTGCCCTATTTGGCAAATAAAGCTTTAGAGTAGAAAAGAGAGTACTTTAGCTTAAGGTCAATGTCCCCAGGAGTCAGCAAGAAAACTTTGATAGTAATCTAGTTTGCAGTGTAAATTTCCCTCTAGGAGTCACTCAATTTATAAATATTTTGATTCAGTTGACAGTTACTGATCTCAACATAAAAGTAAGTGGGCATTCTGATGTATCAGCCTCATTTTGTTCAAATCTGATTATTGTGAATCTAAGTTCTCAGTAAACTGGTAAAATAAAATTCCTAAACTTGCAAATCTGGGGACTAAACTCTGTACCTATGACTATGCAATTATGGTATGAAGATTCAAATGACCACGTAGTTTCTTCCTCTCTATTTATTCCTGCACCTATTGATTGCTGATTGTATGTTAACTCCTATGAGAGATGGCAATATATCAAAAAGCAAAATAGTTCTTTCCATTAAAGAGCTTCCAGGCCAGTCTGTCTTTAAAACAGTTAACATAAACAAGAGAAAGGCAGCACACGAAATTGATTAATATTGGCTGACTTTGAGGAGGAGAACAGGGAGTTGAGGTAAAAAGGGTGAAAAGAAAAACTTTCACCTTTTATTTTAAAGTAACATAAAGGTATTATGTACATTTTAAGTGATCAAAAAATTTTAATTGGGAAGAGATTTAGTGAATCAGAAAATAAGTCTGAGGAAATTATTCAGAAGGCAACATCAAAGAATAAAAGAGATGGAAAAAATAAAATAACAGTCAAGAGATATGGCTGATAGAATGACGAGAGCCAGGAATAGGAATTCCATATAAGAGAACTAAGGAGAATGGTAGAGAGGCACTATTTGGAGAGGTGAGGAGTGAGAATTTCCAGAACTGAAGATATGTCTTCAGACTGAAAAAAGCATACCACATCTCAAGAGAGATAAGCAAAACAAAATCCATACCCAGATATATTATGATAGAATTGTAAACACAAAACATACAGAGAAAAATCTTGAAAGCATTCAGGAGAAAAAAAAGGCATTAGCTAGCAAAAAAAGCAACATGTTGACAGCAGACTTCCCATTTCCAAGAGGACAGAAGATAATAAAATTATATTTTCAAACTACTTAGGGAAAATAATAGTCAATCTAGAATCCATAGCCAGCAAAATTATCAATCAAGAATGAAAGCAAAATAAAAACACGTCAGTATATTTACCATTAAAAGATCTTCACTGAAAGAACTACTAAAATTTTGCTTCATTAAATAGAAAGCTGAATCCCAGAAAATGAGTAAAATGAAGGAAGCAATGGAAATTTTTAAAAAACTAATAAAGCATGATAAATAAGCATGATAAAGCTAAACACAACAAAAACTGTGTTATATAGTAACAAATAATTTGGAGTGGTGATTTAAAACAACATGGAACATTATATAATGTTAGAAAATAAGGAGAGGAAAGATGAGAGGATGGAGATCAGAACTCAAAGTGTTCTAAGATCCTTGCTATATTCAGGATCTGAATAATACTGACACTTCAGACTTTATAAATCAAGTACACATTTATTACGTTAAGAATAACAATAATAATGAAATAGAAATAAAAGGTACAACCTCCGAACTAGTAGAGAGATAAAAAGGAGAATTAGAAAAACTAACAACAGTATGTCTTGCCCAATCCAATAAAAGGCAAAAAGAACAAAGAAAAAGTATGATAAAGAGGAAAGACAGGCTGATCCAAGTGTAGTGGCATTTACAACTAATTGACCACAACCAGTTACAACAGATTTCTTTGTTCTTTCTCCACTCCCACTGCTTCACTTGACTGGACTTAAAAAAAAATAAAATAATAAAACAAAAACAAGAGGAAAGATTTTTTAAATGATAGAAATTAGTCCAAATACAATATACCAATAATCACAATAAAAAATATATAAATTGGACAGGAGCCAAGATGGCCGAATAGGAACAGCTCTGGTCTACAGCTACCAGCGTGAGCGACGCAGAAGGCGGTGATTTCTGCATTTCCATCTGAGATACCAGGTTCATCTCACTAGGGAGTGCCAGACAGTGGGCACAGGTCAGTGGGTGCGCGCACCATGTGCGAGCCGAAGCAGGGCGAGGCATTGCCTCACTTGGGAAGCGCAAGGGGTCAGGGAGTTCCCTTTCCGAGTCAAAGAAAGGGGTGACAGACGCGCCTGGAAAATCGGGTCACTCCCACCCGAATACTGCGCTTTTCCGACCGGCTTAAAAAACGGCGCACCACGAGATTATATCCCGCACCTGGCTCGGAGGGTCCTACGCCCACGGAGTCTCGCTGATTGCTAGCACAGCAGTCTGAGATCAAACTGCAAGGCGGCAGCGAGGCTGGGGGAGGGGCGCCCTCCATTGCCCAGGCTTGCTTAGGTAAACAAAGCAGCCAGGAAGCTCGAACTGGGTGGAGCCCACCACAGCTCAAGGAGGCCTGCCTGCCTCTGTAGGCTCCACCTCTGGGGGCAGGGCACAGACAAACAAAAAGACAGCAGTAACCTCTGCAGACTTAAATGTCCCTGTCTGACAGCTTTGAAGAGAGCAGTGGTTCTCCCAGCACACAGCTGGAGATATGAGAACGGGCAGACTGCCTCCTCAAGTGGGTCCCTGACACCTGACCCCCGAGCAGCCTAACTGGGAGGCACCCCCCAGCAGGGGCACACTGACACCTCACACGGCAGGGTATTCCAACACACCTGAAGCTGAGGGTCCTGTCTGTTAGAAGGAAAACTAACAAGCAGAAAGGACAGCCACATCAAAAACCCATCTGTACATCACCATCATCAAAGACCAAAAGTAAATAAAACCACAAAGATGGGGAAAAAACAGAACAGAAAAACTGGAAACTCTAAAAAGCAGAGCACCTCTCCTCTTCCAAAGGAACGCAGTTCCTCACCAGCAATGGAACAAAGCTGGATGGAGAATGACTTTGACGAGCTGAGAAAAGAACGCTTCAGACGATCAAATTACTCTGAGCTACGGGAGGACATTCAAACCAAAGGCAAAGAAGTTGAAAACTTTGAAAAAAATTTAAAAGAATGTATAACTAGAATAACCAATACAGAGAAGTGCTTAAAGGAGCTGATGGAGCTGAAAACCAAGGCTCGAGAACTACGTGAAGAATGCAGAAGCCTCAGGAGCCAATGCGATCAACTGGAAGAAAGGGTATCAGCAATGGAAGATGAAATGAATGAAATGAAGCGAGAAGGCAAGTTTAGAGAAAAAAGAATAAAAAGAAATGAGCAAAGCCTCCAGGAAATATGGGACTATGTGAAAAGACCAAATCTACGTCTGATTGGTGTACCTGAAAGTGATGGGGAGAATGGAACCAAGTTGGAAAACACTCTGCAGGATATTATCCAGGAGAACTTCCCCAATCTAGCAAGGCAGGCCAACATTCAGATTCAGGAAATACAGAGAATGCCACAAAGATACTCCTCGAGAAGAGCAACTCCAAGACACATAATTGTCAGATTCACCAAACTTGAAATGAAGGAAAAAATGTTAAGGGCAGCCAGAGAGAAAGGTCGGGTTACCCACAAAGGGAAGCCCATCAGACTAACAGCGGATCTCTCGGCAGAAACCCTACAAGCCAGAAGAGAGTGGGGGCCAATATTCAACATTCTTAAAGAAAAGAATTTTCAACCCAGAATTTCATATCCAGCCAAACTAAGCTTCATAAGCGAAGGAGAAATAAAATACTTTACAGACAAGCAAATGCTGAGAGATTTTGTCATCACCAGGCCTGCCCTAAAAGAGCTCCTGAAGGAAGCGCTAAACATGGAAACGAACAACCGGTACCAGCCGCTGCAAAATCATGCCAAAATGTAAAGACCATCAAGACTAGGAAGAAACTGCATCAACTAATGAGCAAAATCACCAGCTAACATCATAATGACAGGGTCAAATTCACACATAACAATATTAACTTTAAACGTAAATGGACTAAATGCTCCAATTAAAAGACACAGACTGGCAAATTGGATAAAGAGTCAAGACCCATCAGTGTGCTGTATTCAGGAAACCCATCTCACGTGCAGAGACACACATAGGCTCAAAATAAAAGGATGGAGGAAGATCTACCAAGCAAATGGAAAACAAAAAAAGGCAGGGGTTGCAATCCTAGTCTCTGATAAAACAGACTTTAAACCAACAAAGATCAAAAGAGACAAAGAAGGCCATTACATAATGGTAAAGGGATCAATTCAACAAGAAGAGCTAACTATCCTAAATATATATGCACCCAATACAGGAGCACCAAGATTCATAAAGCAAGTCCTGAGTGACCTACAAAGAGACTTAGACTCCCACACATTAATAATGGGAGATTTTAACACCCCACTGTCAACATTAGACAGATCAACGTGACAGAAAGTCAACAAGGATACCCAGGAATTGAACTCAGCTCTGCACCAAGTGGACCTAATAGACATCTACAGAACTCTCCACCCCAAATCAACAGAATATACATTTTTTTCAGCACCACACCACACCTATTCCAAAACTGACCACATACTTGGAAGTAAAGCTCTCCTCAACAGATGTAAAAGAACAGAAATTATAACAAACTGTCTCTCAGACCACAGTGCAATCAAACTAGAACTCAGGATTAAGAAACTCACTCAAAACCCCTCAACTACATGGAAACTGAACAACCTGCTCCTGAATGACTACTGGGTACATAACGAAATGAAGGCAGAAATAAAGATGTTCTTTGAAACCAACGAGAACAAAGACACAACATACCAGAATCTCTGGGACGCATTCAACGCAGTGTGTAGAGGGAATTTTATAGCATTAAATGCCCACAAGAGAAAGCAGGAAAGATCCAAAACTGACACCCTAACATCACAATTAAAAGAACTAGAAAAGCAAGAGCAAACACATTCAAAAGCTAGCAGAAGGCAAGAAATAACTAAAATCAGAGCAGAACTGAAGGAAATAGAGACACAAAAAACCCTTCAAAAAATTAATGAATCCAGGAGCTGGTTTTTTGAAAGGATCAACAAAATTGATAGACTGCTAGCAAGACTAATAAAGAAAAAAAGAAAGAAGAATCAAATAGACACAATAAAAAATGATAAAGGGGATATCACCACCAATCCCACAGAAATACAAACTACCATCAGAGAATACTACAAACACCTCTACGCAAATAAACTAGAAAATCTAGAAGAAATGGATAAATTCCTCGACACATACACTCTCCCAAGACTAAACCAGGAAGAAGTTGAATCTCTGAATAGACCAATAACAGGATCTGAAATTGTGGCAATAATCAGTAGCTTACCAACCAAAAGGAGTCCAGGACCAGATGGATTCACAGCCGAATTCTACCAGAGGTACAAGGAGGAACTGGTACCATTCCTTCTGAAACTATTCCAATCAATAGAAAAAGAGGGAATCCTCCCTAACTCTTTTTATGAGGCCAGCATCATTCTGATACCAAAGCCAGGCAGAGACACAACAAAAAAAGAGAATTTTAGACCAATATCCTTGATGAACATTGATGCAAAAATCCTCAATAAAATACTGGCAAAACGAATCCAGCAGCACATCAAAAAGCTTATCCACCATGATCAAGTGGGCTTCATCCCTGGGATGCAAGGCTGGTTCAATATACGCAAATCAATAAATGTAATCCAGCATATAAACAGAGCCAAAGACAAAAACCACATGATTATCTCAATAGATGCAGAAAAAGCCTTTGACAAAATTCAACAACCCTTCATGCTAAAAACTCTCAATAAATTAGGTATTGATGGGACATATTTCAAAATAATAAGAGCTATCTATGACAAACCCACAGCCAATATCATACTGAATGGACAAAAACTGGAAGCATTCCCTTTGAAAATTGGCACAAGACAGGGATGCCCTCTCTCACCACTCCTATTCAACATGGTGTTGGAAGTTCTGGCCAGGGCAATTAGGCAGGAGAAGGAAATAAAAGGTATTCAATTAGGAAAAGAGAAGTCAAATTGTCCCTGTTTGCAGATGACATGATTGTATATCTAGAAAACCCCATCGTCTCAGCCGAAAATCTCCTTAAGCGGATAAGCAACTTCAGCAAAGTCTCAGGATACAAAATCAATGTACAAAAATCACAAGCATTCTTATACACCAACAACAAACAGAGAGCCAAATCATGAGTGAACTCCCATTCACAATTGCTTCAAAGAGAATAAAATACCTAGGAATCCAACTTACAAGGGATGTGAAGGACCTCTTCAAGGAGAACTACAAACCACTGCTCAAGGAAATAAAAGAGGATACAAACAAATGGAAGAACATTCCATGCTCATGGATAGGAAGAATCAATATTGTGAAAATGGCCATACTGCCCAAGGTAATTTACAGATTCAATGCCATCCCCATCAAGCTACCAATGCCTTTCTTCACAGAATTGGAAAAAACTACTTTAAAGTTCATATGGAACCAAAAAAGAGCCTGCATTGCCAAGTCAATCCTAAGCCAAAAGAACAAAGCTGGAGGTATCACGCTACCTGACTTCAAACTATACTACAAGGCTACAGTAACCAAAACAGCATGGTACTGGTACCAAAACAGAGATATAGATCAATGGAACAGAACAGAGCCCTCAGAAATAACGCCGCATATCTACAACTATCTGATCTTTGACAAACCTGAGAAAAACAAGCAATGGGGAAAGGATTCCCTATTTAATAAATGGTGCTGGGAAAACTGGCTAGCCATATGTAGAAAGCTGAAACTGGATCCCTTCCTTACACCTTATACAAAAATCAATTCAAGATGGATTAAAGACTTAAACGTTAGACCTAAAACCATAAAAACCCTAGAAGAAAACCTAGGCATTACCATTCAGGACATAGGCATGGGCAAGGACTTCATGTCTAAAACACCAAAAGCAATGGCAACAAAAGCCAAAATTGACAAATGGGATCTAATTAAACTCAAGAGCTTCTGTACAGCAAAAGAAACTACCAACAGAGTGAACAGGCAACCTACAAAATGGGAGAAAATTTTCATAACCTACTCATCTGACAAAGGGCTAATATCCAGAATCTACAATGAACTCAAGCAAATTTACAAGAAAAAAACAAACAACCCCATCAAAAAGTGGGCGAAGGACATGAACAGACACTTCTCAAAAGAAGACATTTATGCAGCCAAAAAACACATGAAAAAATGCTCATTATCACTGGCCATCAGAGAAATGCAAATCAAAACCACAATGGGATACCATCTCACACCAGTTAGAATGGCAATCATTAAAAGGTCAGGAAACAACAGGTGCTGGAGAGGATGTGGAGAAATAGGAACACTTTTACACTGTTGGTGGGACTATAAACTAGTTCAACCATTGTGGAAGTCAGTGTGGCAATTCCTCAGGGATCTAGAACTGGAAATACCATTTGACCCAGCCATCCCATTACTGGGTATATACCCAAAGGACTATAAATCATGCTGCTATAAAGACACATGCACACGTATGTTTATTGCAGCATTATTCACAATAGCAAAGACTTGGAACCAACCCAAATGTCCACCAATGATAGACTGGATTAAGAAAATGTGGCACATATACACCATGGAATACTATGCAGCCATAAAAAATGATGAGTTCATGTCCGGATGAAATTGGAAATCATCATTCTCAGTAAACTATCGCAAGAACAAAAAACCAAACACCGCATATTCTCACTCATAGGTGGGAATTGAACAATGAGATCACATGGACACAGGAAGGGGAATATCACACTCTGGGGACTGTTGTGGGGTGGGTGGAGGGGGGAGGGATAGCATTGGGAGATATACCTAATGCTAGATGACGAGTTAGTGGGTGCAGCGCACCAGCATGGCACATGTATACATATGTAACTAACCTGCACAATGTGCACATGTACCCTAAAATTTAAAGTATAATAAAAAAAATATATATATATATAAATTGTTTTACTTATCAAGCAAAAAACAAATTGTCTGATTGGATAGATAAAATCTAGCTAAAGAAAATAATGACTCCAAATGGTTGATGAAAAAGCAAAGAAAAAATACTAATAACAACAAAAAGCTGGTCTAGCAGTATTAATATATGACAAAACAAACTTTTAGGCAGAAAGTCTCACTAGCAGTAAAGAGGATCAATTCATCAGAAAGAGATAACCTCAAAATATGCAAAGAAAAATTGGCAGCATTACAATAAGAAATTGAAAATCCCACAATTACAGTAGGAAATTTTTAACATAAATCATAAAACTGATCAAAGACAAAACTCAGCAAGTATATAATAATATGGACAACATAAAATCAATTTTTTTCTTTAGGCTAAAGTGAAGCAGTGGGAGTGGAGAAGGAACAAAAGAATCTGTAACTGTCTGTGATCAGTTAGTTGTAAACACCACTGCACTCAGACCAGCCTGAACAAATTTGATCTAATGGACACATTTAGAATTGATGTAGCTTTATAAAAAGTAAAAGGAAAAAACAGAAAGAAGTTAGGTGGCACCAGTTCAGGATGTTGTGGGTTTATTAATTTATTTATTTTTTTAGGTTTTCTTGGAGTCTGTGATATTTGCATCTTGCAAATTCAAACCACATATGCTCTTTAATAAAAACTTTTCCATGCACACCACCATTAGGAAGAGCATCATTAAATCACTGACTTCTAAAGCCATAAAAGAATGGTTTTTCAGTTTCAAGAATTTAGATTTACTAGAGATAGCCTATATAAGTGTATCAACCATGTCAAACAAAGAAAAATATTTCCAGGCCGGGTGCAGTGGCTCATACCTGTAATCCCAGCACTTTGGGAGGCCGAGGAGGCCAGATAACCTGAGGTCAGGAGTTTGAGACCTGCCTGGCCAACATGGCGAAACCCTGTTTCTACTAAAAATACAAAAGTTAGCTGGGCATGGTGGTGCATGCCTGTAGTCCCAGCTACTTGGGAGGCTGAGAAAGAACAATCACTTGAACCCGGGAGGTGGAGGTTGCAGTGAGCCAAGATTGCACCACTGCACTCCAGCATGGGCGACACAGCAAGACTCCATCTCAAAAAATAAAATTAAATTAAATTAAAATTAAATTAAATAAATTATGAGTTTAGTTTTAGACATTTGGAGTCTAAGCTGAAAATTCACAACTGAACCAAGTAATGGGCACAAAGGAGTTGGGATGAGCTCACAGAGGGAAAGTGGAGTATAGAGAGAGGAAGAGGAGTGGTAGGCTGCATCTGGAGATACATGTAAGAAATGTTCCAAAATTTTCTTCACTTAGCAGTGTAAGAACTATTCAATATTTACCATTAACAGGAATGGCAGGAAAACATGGTCTAAAGATGAAGACAATAGCATTACTGTAAAACCTTTTGTTGAGACTCAGAAAGAGCTAAAGTGCCTCTTAGAATCATTCAGATACACAAAAGGCCCTTTAAGGGTCTTAAGAATGGTTGCCTCTCACATTCTTATGGTGACAGCTACGAGGGAGGCTGAGGCGAGAAGATCACTTCAGCCTAAGAGTTCGAGGCTGCAGTGAGCTATGATCACATCACCGCAACCCAGCCTGGATGACAGAGTGAGACACCAGTCTTTAAAAATAAATAAAATAAAATCATAAGAGCATTGTCCATACAGGTTCAAAGGGAGCCCAAGGTGAGAGGGTGGTTTATCTCAAAGAGATCTGTGGTTGTGACTTTTGTCTAACACAGTGAATCCCAATAAAGATTCATAGAAAACAAACAGCTTTACAGGATTGTTCTGGTAAAAGTACTACCACTTGGAATAAAAGAGAGAAGTAATACAAAAAGAAAAAGGTCTTTAGAATCCCTACCTTTTACAGGAAGGACACAGCTTGAGGAGGCTCCTCAATTGCAGCTTCCTTTTCTTATGGAAAAGTAAATCAGAAGCCAAAACCAAGAGCCCAGAGAGCAGAGTCAACAACAGTGGTGAATAATTCCCAGGCAGTCAGGCTGAGCCCTTATCAAGTACTAGCAACATGTGCATGGCTGGATTTTAGAACTGCTAGTGACTTCCTGTGTTCCCCTTTTGGAACACGAATGTTGAGAGTATTTACAAAGTATGGGGTGGGTGGTGGGGGATCAGTTTGTCTCTTTAGTTCACAGCACTTCCCATCTAGAGGAACGGTAGGTACTCAAGGAGCTCTGCTGAAGGAGCCATACCCAGGGAGCCTTGCCTCAATCACACCTGGACCTGATTCAAATAATGAGATTCTGGACTTTAACCTAATCCTATAAAGGGATAAGACTTGGGGATGTACAGGTCTTGTCAGTTGGAGGGATGTAAACTGCTGTGACCAGAAGGCAGACTGTATTTTCCAAGATGGCCACACGAGATCTCTCATCCCACATGTTCTTCTTACAGGGTAACACTGGCATTCCTATCAACAGGCAGGCCCCTCAACCTAGGCAGGTCTGTGACTGTAGGGGAAATGACACTATATGATTTCTGAGGCAATGCCATAACAGGCAACATAGCTTCCACCTCATATGGTGGGACACTCTTGGAAACCAGCCTGCAGCCTGCGACAAAGCTCAGGCTACATGAAGATGCCACATATTGGCGTTTCACTTGAGAGGCAGCATCAGCCAGCCTTAGAGGCTGGAGATCCAGCCTCTAAGTGTCTGGAGATAGTGTCTGGAGATCCAGACACTATCTGAATGCAGCTACACAAGAAATCTCAAGTGAGAATTTCCAAGATGAGTCTAGTCAACTCCCAAAACATTACAAAAAACAAATAATTGGTTGTTACTGTTTTAAGCCAATAAGTTTTGGGGTGATTTGTTATACAGCAATAGATACCAGAACATGAGAGTAAAGGTAAGGGAAATCAACCATCAGCTAGATAAACCATATGGTATGGAATTTATTTTCAGCTAATCTTTTGATTGGTTTAGCATAAAAAACTGCTGAACTGCTTTTGTCTTTTTTTTTTTTTTTTTTGGCTTAGTCGTATCTTCATTAGCTTTTTAGTGAAGGTTCCTTTTAGTGAAAGTTCTACTGCATGTAGTTAAATGAAGGATATTTTCCATATCTCAGCATGAAGAGAGGAGAGAGATTAGTATCTCCATTGATGGTAGACAGATATGACAGTGACAGCAGGAACCATCACCCCAGAACCAATGAAAGACACAGACCAGAGGGGGAGTGTAGAAATTCATAAGGAATAAATAGGGTGTGTAAACAATCATTCCTCACCAGGTGAATCATTCCAGCACAGAAGTTTCTAAGTTGAATAATTAACATACTAAATTTCTGAACATGGACTTCTATTCAGAATGACTTTCAATATAAAGTTGAAAATGCATGATACGAAAAATATGTTGGCCTGGATCATAAAATCGTATCCTGCAACTTCTCTGAAAATCCATGTATTTATGAAAAAAAATTGTTATTGGTTAATTGTATTGAAAGTAAGTTGAGTTTAATTTGTTTTGTGTGAGAACATTGTTGTTTGCATATTAGTCCCTAAGATTAAACATGTAAGGAAAGAGTACAATTACAGTTTAATTGGTGGAAACACACTGAACTACAGATACCCTCTGCTTCTTTCTATACGGGAAATACATTACAGGGTCATATCCACTTCTCTTAATTGTTCACAACTGCTTCCAAGCAATCTGAAGGAACTGTTGACTTTTTGAAAATAACCATAGTAATCATGTACTGTGATCCTATATTGCAGAGGGAATCCTAACAAAGCACCATGAATGCAGAGTTTCAAAATGCAAAAAAGCCTGAAATAACTATTAATTTAGGAAAAGGAAGAAGAGGCCCAAAAGAAAGCACTGTCACCAACTCATACTGTAATAGCAAATAAACAAATAGTCTGCTTTTTAGGAAGGAAAAAAAAACACTTCTAGAAGCAAATTACATAAAATTTAGTTCCATGACTGAAATATTCTATTTTTATTTTGTAGCAGAGCTTGTTGAAACCTAAATGAAAGCTTACCCAGAAATCTCATATATTTCTAAAACAGACAAAGGAGAGCCATACATACTGAAGCAAAGTGCAGGTCTGGAGAACAATGCACTCAGCCTTCTTTATGCTTTCCCCTACATCACCCTGAGAATCCAGACAGACCTCTACAGAGCCAAACTGAAAATTTCCATGTATCAAGTTTCAGTACAACAAAATTTCCCTTATAATTGAGGTAGCTTCATCTTTATGATACATAAATATGAATCTCACTGAGAAATTAAATAGCTAAACAACTTTTTTTCTAAACAACTTTCAATGCAAAAAATGAAAGAGCAGATATAAGTCTAGAGAAAGCCTAAAGCATCAACAGTCCATTTGTCCAGTTACACATCCCACTATTTAACCTCCAGTATTTCCAACTGCTGACTCCACTTTCCTAACATTGTATCTTCCCCTTTCTTTTATCCCTTCTGAAATTGTGCCTTTACTTTAGTCCGTATGTCAGAGAGCCCCAGGTCACACATGTTGAAGTATCCAGGGGATAAGGTGGGAGTTCCACATTAGGGAGGAAAGGAGAGGTGTGTACCTTATTTATTGGCTTTCAATGTTCTTCAAGGCACTGCATTTTACATATGTCTGGTTAGATGATTTACAGATTATATTACTTATTGAATTAACCTTCATCAAATGGGTAACAGTTTAAGGGATTCCAACAAGAAACCTAAGGACTGAAGGTAATAATAATAAGGCAATCACACGCAATCAACAAGAAAAGAGCTGATGCCACTATTTCTAGTTTGAGTTTTTACCAGTCACAATAGAATGTAAAGAAAAATGATCTTAGAAGATCTTTAAAAAATTAGCCCCTGGTCAGGCATGGTGGCTCACACCTGTAATGCTAACACTTGAAGAAGCTGAGGTGGGAAGATCACTTGAGCCCAGGAGTTCAAGACCAGCCTGGAGGACATAGTGAGATCTTATCTACCAAAAATTTAAAATATTAGCCATGCATGGTGGAGTGCGCCTGTAGTCCTTCCTACTCAGGAGGCCGAGGCAGGAGAATCACCTGAAACCATGAGTTCCAGGCTGCAGTGAGCTATGATCATACAACTGCACCGTAGCCTGGATGACAAAGTGAGACCCCCCTCTATTAAAAAAAAAAAAAAAAAAAAAGCTCTCCAAAATATGAACATAATTAAGATATACAAATTAAAGGATATGGCCAGGTGCTGTGGCTCATGCCTCTAATCCTAACACTTTGAAAGACTGAGGAGGGTGGATAGCTTGAGCCCAGGAGTTCGAGACCAGCCTGATCAACATGGCAAGACCTGGTCTCTACAAAAAACACAAAAGTTAGCTGGGCGTGGTAGGGTATGCCTGTAGTCCCAGCTACTCGGGAGGCTGAGGTGGGAGAATCACCTGAGCCAGGAAGTGGAGGTCGCAGTGAGCCATGATGATGCCACTGCACTGCAGACTGAGCAACAGAGTGAGACTCCAAGAAAAGAAAAAATAAAAATTTAAAGGATGTGATACTAATCAGGATAGATCTGTCCCTCTGGCCATTTCTCCAACTATACTGGCATTTTAGGCCTGTAGAGATTAGCATTAACTCAGAGCCAGTATGTAGTAATTCCCTAAAAGGTCTAAGTACAGTTATGCACTGCACAATGACATTTTGGTCAACAATGGACCACATATATGATGGTGGTCCCATAAGATTATAATGTAAGACTGGGTGCGGTGGCTCACACCTGTAATCTCAGCACTTTGGGAGGCCGAGGTGGGCAGATCACCTGAGGTCAGGAATTCAAGACCAGCCTGGCTAACATGGTAAAACCCCCTCTATACAAAAATACAAAAATTAGCCAGGCATGATGGTGGGTGCCTGTAATCCCAGCTACTTGGGAGGCTGAGGTGGGAGAATCACTTCAACCTGGGAGGCAGAGGTTGCAGTGAGCCGAGATCACACCACTGTGCTCCAGCCTGGGCAACAGAGTGAGACTCTGTCTCAAAAAAAAAAAGATTATAATGTAAGATTATCAGCAAGAGTGGAAAAAAATTATACTAGAGCCGAAAAATTCCTATCACTTAGTAACTTCCTACTAGCACAACTCATTACTCATGTGGTTGTGGTGATGCTGGCATAAATAAACCTACTGCAGTGCCAGTCCTCTAAAAGTATAGCACATACAATTAAGTACAGCACATTATACTTAACAATGATAATAAACAACTATGTTACTGGTTCTTTTCTGTATTTACTATATTTACTCTACTATACTTTTTATTATTATTTTAGGGTATATTCCTTCTACTTATTAAAAAAGTTAACTAAAAAGAGCCTCAGGTAGGTTCTTTGAGAGGTATTTCAGAAGAAGGCACTGTTATCATAGGAGACAGCTCCATGTGTGTTACTATCTCTGAGGACCTTCCAGTGGGACAAGACATGGCGGTGGAAGACAGTGACACTGATGATCCTGACCCTGTGTAGGCCTAGGGTAATGTGTATGTTTCGTGTATTAGTTTTTAACAAAAAAGCTTAAAAAGTAAAAAATAAATAAAAATTGTTATAAAAAGAAAAAAGCTACAGAGTAAGGATATCAAGAAAGAAAATATTTTTATACAGTTGTACAATGTGTGTGTTTTCTAGAAAGCATAGATCTGAAAGGGGTGGTCCTTTTTTATTTTATTTTTAAATATAAAAAATCGTTCTTAGAGATGGGGTCTCACTCTGTTGCCCAAGCTGGAATGCAGTTATGCAATCATAGCTCACTTTAACCTTGAACTCGTGGGGGGCTCAAGCAATCCTCCTGCCTCAGCCTCCCAAGTAGCTGAGACTACAGACACACAACACCATGCCCAGCTAATTTTATTTTTTTGCAGAGACGGTGTCTCACTATGTTGCCTAGACTACTCTCGAACTCCGGGCTTCAAGCAAACCCCCTGCCTTGGCCTCCCAAAGTGCCGGGATTACAGGTGTCGGCCACCATGCCTGGCCATTGTTTGTGTTCTAAGCTAAGTGTTACTGGAAAAGAGTCAAAAAGTATTAAAAAATCAAAAGTTCATAAAATTAAAAAGTTATAACAACCTAAGGTTAATTTGTTATTGAAGAAAGAAAACATTTTTTAATTGAGTGGAGCCTAAGTGTACAGTGCTTATAGTCTATAGTAGTGTCATATCCAGGGCCTTCACATTCACTCACCACTCACCCACTGACTCACCACCCACCCACTGACTCACCCAGAGCACTTCCACTCCTGCAAGCTACATTGTGGTAAGTGTTCTATACAAGTATACCTTTTTTTTATCTTTTATACCGTATTTTTAAGCATGCCTTTTCTATGTTTACGTATGTTTAGGTACACAAATAATTACCATTGTGTTACAACTCCCTGTAGTATGTACAGTAGCATGCCATACAGGTTTGTAATCCAGCAGCAACAGGCCATTTACCATACAGCCTAGGTGTGTAGTGGGCTATTCCATCTAGATTTGTGTAAATACACTCTATAATGCTCACACAAGAACATGTATCCCCATCATTAAGATATGTATGACTAGCTGGGTGTGGTAGCTCACATCTGTAATCCCAGCACTTTAGGAGGCTGAGGCGAGAGGACAGCTTGAGAATAGGGGTTCAAGACCAGCCTGGCCAACACAGTGAGACCCTATCCCTATTTTTTTTTTAAGAAAAAGAATTATATATATTAAAAAAGAGAGAGAGATGTATGAGTGTATTTCCCTTTCTCTAGAATATAGGCAGCATGGGTAAATGGATGAAAGTCCATGAAAGAAGGCTGATCGATACATTCTATACTATTTTACACTCCAATAGCATACAAAACTGCTGACATTTTTATCAATAAGGTTTAAATAAAATCTGCGTAAAGTCACTATCTTTAATAATAAACATAATTTTGATTATTTTACTTATTTGTCTTATTTCAACAATTTGGCTGGAGAAAATATATAGCTACATGCTGTCAAAAATAATACATTAACTACATATATTTAAATAGTAATAAAGTAGCTTAATATTAGCAAAAAAATCAGACAATTTAAACTTAATAGTTCCAGTTACCTTATTGTTAAGAGAAAGTGTATATGTTGATTCTAAAAAGGTTTAACATGCCTTGTTAACAGGGATTGGCGCATCAAAATGTTTAATAATTCCAGAGGTTTCTGATATACGGTTAAGTATTTACTGAGTACCATCTATGTGGAAAACACTGTCCTGAGTTAAAATCAAACTTTTCTTACTATTGGAAAACACCCTTGAGGACATTGTATCACTTCTCACTACTGGCAGCTGGTTGGCCTACTGAGGTGCTAAAAGTTATTTAGAGGCACAAGAATATATTTCTCAAAATAGATAAAATTAATCCTAGGCCAGATGTGGTGGCTCACACCTGTAATCCCAGCAATTTGGGAAGCTGAAGAAGATGCATTGCTTGAGTCCAGGAGATCAAGACCAGCCTGGGCAACATGAAGAAACCCTGTCCCTACAAAAAGTACAAAAAATAGGCTGTGTGTGGTGGCACATGCCTGTAGTCCCAAGTACTCCAGAGGCTGAGGTGAGAGGATCACCTGAGCCCAGGAGGTGGAAGTTGCAGTGAGCTGAGATCACAGCACTGCACTCCAGCCTGGGCATCCGAGTGAAACCCTGTTTCAAAACAAACAAAAACCCAACTAGTTAGAATGTATCCTAGAGTATAGGGTATACTCTACCTTTACGCCTTTTATATAACTGCTTTGTAAGAATGAATTAGAACTGATCATCTGGCTTTATCCCATATACTTACTATACATACTTGTTATTTAAGTTAAAATTATTATGATAGCCCTTATTCAGACCCTTCTATTGATTTCTCCCTAATTTCATTTCTTTTACTGGTGTTTAACATCACTGACTTATTAGGTCATTTATTCCATCTGGTGGTTTTAGCATTTCTTAAAACGAGACTTAATAGCAAGGAATTTTAATTAAATATCAGAACAATAAATCATTAGGTAGAATTAGTCAGGTATAAAACAAGAAGTAAATTTTAAATAAAAGAACAGATTATAAATAAAAACTCCATAAACAAGTTAAAATATTTGTTGTCTTCAAGAAGTAATCTTCATATTATATTTAATTGCTTAATTTGGATGTGATTTGATAATTTATGATGGGATACATTTAACTCTGTCATCCAAAACTGAATTATACTGGCCAAGGGAACACTAACACCTAAGTCCACTCTAGGGGCGATGGGAATAACTGCGGCATTTCTCCGCTGATATAAGTATCAGCGGAGGTTACCTTAAAAGGTAAATATAAGGTCTTTATTTCCAATTCTTGAATGACAAATGCTGGGAAACACAGATAAGAGTTTTAGATATGTAAAATGAAATCCAGTTATTCTAAAAATTAAGTCATAGTGATGTATTATCTTCAGTAACATACAGACCCAGGTTTAAAAAAATCAGCTGGTTACTGAAAAATTCAGTCCGACTGATACGTGAATGCCACGTATTTTATCAGCTACTTTAATAAAAATTTTATTACATATTACATTTAAAATTTGATATACACATTAACTGTGCTTGTCAAACTGCAATATAGATACCATAAAAGCTCTTAATAACTGTCTATATTTTACACATATGACCTTATATGTGTCTATAATATAACAAGAACTGCCTGCTTATATTCCCTGAGTCTAACTCTTCCATTAGATCCTATCTTTCCTTCTACTAGCCCTATTTTACATAGTTGATCTAGAGAGTAATCCATAAGTAATAATCTATAGTTGATAAAGTAATCAAGGATAACAATGTAACCCGAAGAGACATTTGGGTGAATTACTGGAGGCTCCATCATCTGCTCCAGACATAAATGCCTTTTTAATCTCCTTAATCTCTCTCTCTTCCAGTCTTTCTCCTTCCTCCTGATTTTCTTATTCTTTAACCTTTCATAGCTTGCTCATCTCTCTTCTATACCTCTTTTAAAACCTCTACATTAACTATTCATCTAATGTCATAATGTAGTATAATTAGCATTCAGCCTTAAAAAAAGTTGCCTTCTATCACAAAGACTATAAAACACTCATTAAATAATCACTTACTGACCATCTACTATGTGTCATTACCTGTGCAAGGCTCCAGATACAGAAAAGTAAGACAGTTTCTGCCCTGGAGGCATTCAAAGTATTAAGGAACTGATTATAAAATAAATTATAAAAAATAAAATTATTTTTTACAAAATGGTGGCATGAAGGATGAAGCAACTAAGTCTTTTCATTTTTAAACAATAAATTGTATTATTTTTTCTTACTCAACAAAGCAACTGATATACTTGGTGATGAAAGGACAAGGTGTTGAAAGTCTGAGAAGGTAACTAAGTGATATCTGAGGAGCTGTGAAACCCTAACTGAAGAGTGGGAGGTGAAGCCTAATTATCTAAGGGTGAAAAGGCCAAGCCTCAAAGAAAGTAGGTCAGACACAAACATGAATAAACCCCTCCACTCTAGATAACAATGGCTGAATATTTTGCACACTGCAATGAGTTCAGAGTCTAAAAAGTCACTTCTAAACTTCAAAGGATGAAGTTTTTAAGGTCTTTATTTTCTACACATTAGCATGCCTGTGACAGAATCTTTAGTTTCAACAACTAGTTTAAAGAAGTAGCCTAAAGTGTGTTATCTTTGTGTAAAGTAAAGGATGACCTATTCTAAATAACCTTTTCCAAAATCTTAAGAGGTCAACTATCAATATATACAGTAAGTCAAAGAGGCGAAGTTAATAAAATTTTATCTCAAAAGCAAAAATCAGTATCTTTGAAGCATATTAGTGGATCTGAAAAGCTACTGTGATTTTAAGGTTTCTTTTCCCAGAAATAATGCATAAATATACCATATATGGTCTGTTCTTACGTTAAAATGGGGTAGGAGATTAAAAGGAAAATTAATTTTTAGAGGTTTAATAAGAAAACAAAATATATGCAAATCACACCCAAAAAACCCCAAACTTCATGACTGCAATTATTTTAGAAAAATAGCTGTCTAAAGTATTCCAAACTAAAGCCACAAGAATGTGACAGAGGTTATTAAAACTTAGAAGATTAAACAACTCAATAAAAATTAATCATCTTCCTTTCCTAAATTGAAACTGAGGTTTTATTTTCCAAAATCCTGTTCTATGATCAAGTACAAATGCCCATGCAGCATATGATTATGTCCAAACACAACGGTTAGCAGTCATTTATTGCTAAATTTAAATATGACCAAACAAAATGACAGCTAGAAAAAAAACTAAGCTATATACACTTGAGATATCTTTTAATATAAAAGCATGTCCTCAAAATGCACCTATTTATAAGGAATAGAAATTCCCTCTGCCTCTTTCCCACCCCAAATATGAGTCAAAATAATAAACCAAGAAAACACTCATTATCTCAAACATTTCAAATAAAGCTACTTCAGTTCATGAAACTCACATATGCAAAGTTTTACATGTTAAACCAAACATATTTGGGCATGAGCTAGTATATTTTTGGATTTAAAATATTACCTTTTTTTGTTTTTTAAAACATAATTTCTACCTTATTTTATAAAGGTGAAATACAAACATAAAACCTAAGCAAGTTAAAGTTTCTCACCTTCACCCTCCTTCTTAGCTTCTAAATCAGGCAGCTAGCTCATCATCTATTTCACAGAAACAGAAACATATCTACAACACTTGTATTGTTGCTTTGAATATTAGCTTTCAAGTTGAAGCTGCACGCATTTACAGTGTGCCTCAGAGTTGGATTACATGACCTGTTTAGTTAACTCTGCAAAGATGACAGTTTAAGCAAAAATACATGTAGACAATGTTTTTGATCAATATAGAAAGTAGAACTTTCCCTATTTTTAGAAATTTGCAATTCAACTCTCCAATTAATTTTGTTCCAAATGAAACTTTATCATCTTTATATACTAAGCAAAAGGTTTCTGTGGTCTTAAGAGTTACTTGATCAATCTAGACATAAGTTTACAAAAGTATAAATTAAGACTATGTAGTACTGACCAAAAACAAATCTTAAAACACTTTTGTCTATCTGAAAAAAAAATTATCAACATTGTCCTTGGCTATCTAGTGGTTAGATGAGAAAACTATTAACAAAAGTGCTCAAATTAATCCTGTATACATATAAAAGAAAAGATGAGGAGAGAAGCAATTTCTAAATGAATAGCAAATAAGCTAATTGAAGTTCTTCTCCTACCTAAAAAGAAAGTGTTCAGAAAATATAGGAATTTGCAAGATCCTCATCCCTTTTCTAACTTTGCAAAATTAGGTATTTTGCTGCCAAATATATAACCATACCGACAACTGCTCCACTAATTTTTCAATCTTAACCACAATCATGTTTAGAGTTTTCTTAAAACTGAAATACACATTTTAAACATTTCAAACTTCACATATCAACTTTAAGGAAAAAGCAAGATTAGCGCATGTAAACATAGTTAGAAAGTATTTTCACATACATCATTTCATACACTCTTCTAAAGAAGGTACCAGGATTCTCATTTAACAAGGAAAGAAACTGTGACTTAGAGGGTAAATGACATGCCCAAAGTCAGCTACAAGGGGATAAATCTAGAACTAGAACCCAAAGCTGTTAGTCTATCAAATATGTTTTCATTCACTTCTTTAACTGAAAGGCCAAGCTAAAGATCACCTGATTATCGAGCCCCAATATAACACTATATATGATCTACTATTTTTAAGATAAAAGGGAATAGAGCTAACATATAATCACTGAGCATGCATCTCAAAACCAAATGAAACTAGGTCATTTTAGCAAGCATCAAAAATGCTAATTTGCAGTCACTACAAATTGCATGCAATTTCAATATTTAATTTTAAATTTAAATTAAATTGTAAAATTTTAAAACAATATTTAGCAAAAAAATTTTTAAACTGAGCTTCTTTTGATTTAACATGATTTTGTTTCTTGAAAGATTTTAAGCACTACATGTACACTTGAAAAAATAATTATTAACTTTTATTAAATTTTAATTTAAATGCCTATTATCTGCCCGGTTTAAAAAAAAAAATTCACAATTTTGTAGTTTCCTGTTGATAAGTGAATGGTGAGTTAAGCAAACCAGTTTATTCACAATGCTCCCTACTGGTAGCTCAAGAGAAAAGCATTCTCTAATGTAACATTACAAAAAATTGCATTAGTTTTATTAAATGTGATCTCTCACCACCTGCATACAAATCCCCTGGAAAGCTTAAAAATACAACTTCCTTGCTCTACACAAATACCTACAGATATTTTTATTTAAGTTAGTCTGGGATAAAACCTTAAACTTTACATTTGTAACAAATTCCCCAACAAACAAGTTAAGAATTGCTGATGGTTAGTAATACCAACACCTTGCTCTCAAAGCACAATAGTAACCCCATGAAATGCTCTGGGAAGGTATTATTATGGCTGTTTTATGAACACTGAGGCTCAAGATAGCTTTAAAAATTTTCCCCAAGCCAGGCAAGGTGGCTCATGCCTGTAATCCCAGAATTTTGGGAGGCCAAGAAAGGAGGATCACTTGAGCCCAGGAGTTCAAGACCAGCCTGAGCAATATGGCAAACCCCATCTCTACAAAAAATACAAAAATTAGCTGACTGTGGTGGCATGTACCTGTAGTCCCAGCTACTCAGGAGACTGAGGTGGGAAGACTGCCTGAGTTCAGGAATTCGATGCTACAGTGAGCCGTGATTGCTCCACTGTACTCCAGCCTGGGAAACACAGTAATACTCTGTTTAAAAAAAAAAAAAATCACCCCAGGTCACATGCTAAAAGGTAGCAGAGCTACCAATCTTTTCTTATCCCTAGTGCTAGGTGTCCTTAAGATGAAAGAGTAACAAATTGTATTAGCCTTAAAATTCAAGTAATTATTTCTTTTAGATACTGCTTATGTAAGCAATACATGCTAAATCTTCTTAACCCTGGTTCCACCCACATCAGTTGGGGAGTCTGTAGAAATGTCTGACCAGGTCCCATTCTCAGATTCAGATTTAATAGGATTAAGGTAGGGCCCAACCACTGTTACTTTAGTATTATTATTATTTTATTATACTTTAAGTTCTGGGGTACATGTGCAGAATGGGCAGGTTTGTTACATAGGTATACACGTTCCATTGTGGTTTCCTGCACCCATTAACCCATCATCTACATTAGGTATTTCTCCTAATGCTATCCCTCCCCTAGACCCCACCCTGACAGGCCCCAGTGTGTGATGTTCCCCTCCCTGTGTCCATGTATTCTCACTGTTAAATTCCCACTTATGAGTGAGAACATGCAGTGTTTGGTTTTCTGTTCTTGTGTTAGTTTGCTGAGAATGATGGTTTCCAGAGTCATCCATCTCCCTGCAAAGGACATGAACTCATCCTTTTTTATGGCTGTATAGTATTCCATGGTGTATATGTGCCACACTTTCTTTATCCAGTCTATCATTGATAGGCATTTGGGTTGGTTTCAAGTCTTTGCTATTGTGAACACCGCTGCAATAAACATATGTGTGCATGTGTTTTTATAGTGGAATGACATATAGTCCTTTGGATATATACCCAGGAACGGGATTGCTGGGTCAAATGGTATTTCTAGATCTAGATCCTTGAGGAATCATCACACTGTCTTCCATGATGGTGGAAATAATTGCCACCAACAGTGAAAAAGCATTCCTATTTCTCCACATCCTCTCCAGCATCTGTTGTTTCTTCACTTTTTATGATCGCCATTCTAACAGGTGTGAGATAGTATCTCATTGTGCTTTTGATTTGCATTTCTCTAATGACTAGTGATGATGAGCTTTTTTCATGTTTGTTGGCTGCATAAATGTCTTCTTTTGAGAAGTGTCTGTTCATATCATTTGCCCACTTTTTGATGGGGTTGTTTTTTTCTTGTAAATCTATTTAAGTTCTTTGTATATTCTGGATATTAGCCCTTTGTCAGATGGATAGATTGCAAAAATTTTCTCCCATTCTGTAGGTTGCCTGTTCACTCTGATGATAGTTTCTTTTGCTGTGCAGAAGCTCTTTAATCAGAACCCATTGGTCTATTTTGGCTTTTGTTGCCATTGCTTTGGGTGTTTTAATCATGAAGTCTTTGCCCATGCCTATGTCCTGAATGGTATTGCCTAGGTTTTCTTCTAAAGTTTTTATGGTTTTAGGTCTTATGTTTAAGTCTTTAATCCCTCTTGAGTTAATTTTTGTGTAAGGTGTAAGGAAGGAATCCAGTTTCAGCTTTCTGCATATGGCTAGCCAGTTTTCCCAACACCATTTATTAAATAGGGAATCCTTTCCCCATTGCTTGTTTTTGTCAGGTTTGTCAAAGATCAAATGGTTGTAGATGTGTGGCATTACTTCTGAGGCCTCTGTTCTGTTCCATTGGTCTATGTCTCTGTTTTGGTACCAGTACCATGCTGTTTTTGTTACTGTAGCCTTCTAGTATGGTTTGAAGTCAGGTAGCGTGATGCCTCCAGTTTTGTTAGGATTGCTTAGGATTTTTTATTTTTTGCTTAGGATTGTCTTGGCTATGTGGGCTCTTTTTTGGTTCCATATGAAATTTAAAGTAGTTTTTTCCAATTCTGTGAAGAAAGTCAATGGTAGCTTGATCGGAATAGCAGTGAATCTATAAATTACTTTGGGCAGTATAGCCATTTTGATGATATTGATTCTTCCTACTCATGAGCATGAAATGTTTTTCTATTTGTTTGTGTCTTCTCTTATTTCTTTGAGCAGTGGTTTGTAGTTCTCATTGAAGAGGTCGTTCAAATCCCTTGTAAAAGTTGTATTCCTAGGTATTTTATTGTCTTTGTAGCAATTGTGAATGGGAGTTCACTCTTGATTTGGCTGTTTGTTATTATTGTAAAGGAATGCTTGTGATTTTTGCACATTGATTTTGTATCCTGAGACTTTGCTGAAGTTGCTTATCAGCTTAAGGAGATTTTGGGCTGAGACGATGGGGTTTTCTAAATATACAATCATGTCATCTGCAAACGGAGACAATTTGACCTCTTCTCTTCCTATTTGAATACCCTTTATTTCTTTCTCTTGCCTGATTGCCCTGGCCAGAACTTCCAATACTATGCTGAATTGGAGTGGTGAGAGAGGGCATCCTTGTCTTCTGCCAGGAATGCTTTCAGTTTTTGCCCATTCAGTATGATACTGGCTATGGGTTTGTCGTAAATAGCTCTTATTATTTTGAGATACATTGTATCAATACCGAGTTTACTGAGAGTTTTTAGCATGAAGGGCTGCTGAATTTTGTCAAAGGCCTTTTCTGCATCTATTGAGATAATCATGTGGTTTTTGTCTTTGGCTCTGTTTATATGCTGGATTACATTTATTGAATTGCGTATGTTGAACCAGCCTTGCATCTCAGGGATGAAGCTGACTTGATCATGGTGGATAAGCTTTTTGATGTGCTGCTGGATTTGGTGTGCCATAATTTTATTAGGATTTTCGCATTGATGTTCATCAGGGATATTTGCCTGAAATTTTCTTTTTTGTTGTGTCTCTGCCAGGTTTTGGTATCAGGATGATGCTGGCCTCATAAAATGCATTAGGGAGGATTCCCTCTTTTTCTATTGTTTGGAATAGTTTCAGAAGAAATGATACCAGCTCCTCTTTGTACCTCTGGTAGAATTCAGCTGTGAATCTGTCTAGTCCTGGACTTTTCTTTTGGTTGGTAGGCTATTAATTGCTGCCTCAATTTCAGAACTTGTTACTGGTCTATTCAGGGATTCGACTTCTTCCTGGTTTGGTCTTGGGAGGGTGTATGTGTCCAGAAATTTATCCAATTCTTCTAGATTTTCTAATTTATTTGCATAGAGGTGTTTATAAGTAGTCTCTGATGGTAGTTTGTATTTCTGTGGGATTGGTGGTGATATCCCCTTTATCATTTTTTATTGCATCTATTTGATTCTTCTCTCTTTTCTTCTTTATTAGTCTAGCTAGTGGCCTGCCATACAAGAGCTCCTGAAGGAAGCACTAAACATGGAAAGGAACAACCGGTACCAGCCACTGCAAAAACATACCAAATTGTACGTAAAGACCATCGACACTATGAAGAAACTGCACCAACTAACGGGCAAAGAAAACCAGCTAACATCATAATGGCAGGATTAAATTCACACATAACAATATTAACCTTAAATGTAAATGGGCTAAATGACCCAATTAAAAGGCACAGACTGGCTAATTGGATAAAGAATCAAGATCCATTGGTGTGCAGTATTCAGGAGACCCATCTCATGTGCAAAGACACACACAGGCTCAAAATAAAGGGATGGAGGAATATTTACGAAGCAAATAGAAAGAAAAAAAAGCAGGGGTTGCAATCCTAGTCTCTGATAAAACACACTTTAAACAAACAAAGATCAAAAGAGACAAAGGCATTACATAATGCTAAAGGAATTAATGCAACAAGAAGAGCTAACTATCCTAAATACATCTGTACCCAATACAGGAGTACCCAGATTCATAAAGCAAGTTCTTAGAGACCTACAAAGAGACTTAGACTCCTGCACAATAATAGTGGTAGACTTTAACACCCCACTGTCAATATTAGACAGATCAATGAGACAGAAAATTAACAAAGATATCCAGGACTTGAACTCAGCTCTGGACCAGGCAGACCTAACAGACATCTACAGAACTCTCCGCCCCAAATCAACAGAATATACATTCTTCTCAGCACCACACTGCCCTTATTTTAAAATTAGGCCGGGCGCAGAGGCTCACGCCTGTAATCCCAGCACTTTGGGAGGCTGAGGGGGGTGGATCATGAGGTCAGGAGATCGAGACCATCCTTGCTAACATGGTGAAACCCGGTCTCTACTAAAAATACAAAAAAATTAGCTGGGCATGGTGGCGGGTGCCTGTAGTCCCAGCTACTTGGGAGGCTGAGGCAGGAGAATGGCATGAACCCAGGAGGCGGAGCTTGCAGTGAGCTGAGATTGCGCTACTGCACTCCAGCCTGGGCGACAGAGCAAGACTCCGTCTCAAAAAATAAATAAATAAATAAATAAAATTGACCACATAATTCGAAGTAAAACACTCTTCAGCAAATGCAAAAGAATGTAAATCATAACAAACAGTCTCTCAGACCACAGTGCAATCAAATTAGAACTCAGGATTAAGAAACTCACTCAAAACCGCTCAACTACATGGAAAGTGAACAACCTGCTCCTGAATGACTACTGGGTACATAATGAAATGAAGGCAGAAATAAAGATATTCTTTTTGAAACCAATGAGAACAAAGACACAACATACCAGAATCTCTGGGACACATTTAAAGCAGTGTGTAGAGGGAAATTTATAGCACTAAATGCCCACAAGAGAAAGCAGGAAAGATCTAAAATTGACACTCTAACATCACAATTAAAAGAAGTAGAGAAGCAAGAGCAAACAAATTCAAAAGCTAGCAGAAGAAAAGAAATAAGTAAGATCAGAGCAGAAATGAAGGAGACAGAGACACGAAAAGCCCTTCAAAAACTCAATGAATCCAGGAGCTGGTTTTTTGAAAAGATCATTCCTATTTTTTTAAACTCCCAGGTGATTATAGTCTGCCACTAGGGCTGAGAATCACTTGGGCCAGTGATGCTCAGCCTTCAGCATGAACAGAATCACCTAGAGGACACAGACCTATAGGCCTCATACCCACAGTTTCTGATTGAATAAATCTGAGAGGGCCTGAAAATCTGCACTTTTAACAAGTTAGATGTGGTGATGATGCTGGTCTTGTGATTACACTTTGAGAACCACTAGATAAGCATATTGGCTAGAGGTTCTCAACCTTGCTGACACATATGAATTACCTGGGGAAATTTTTTAAATCTTCATTGCCAGGCACACCCCAGACTAATTACATATGAATCTCTAGGGTGGAGGATCCAGGCATCAATATGTTTTAAAGTTCCTAAAATTAAAAAAATTTCCTTACAGCAGAGGTTTATAAAGCCATTAATATGCTAATAATACAAGTGATTTCCCCAGAAGGTGGTATAGTATGCAATATTTCCAGTTTTTTGAACCAGAAACACTTCTGGCACATAATTAACAGCTCTGAATATCTGAAATACTGGCCTATCAGATAAAATGGAAACTGCTTTGCATGGCCTGAGACACACTCCTCCAACCTCGATCCAGCCTCATCTTTTGCCAACCCTTCCTCCCGCCACTGCATATATATATCTCTATTAAAATACTAATACCTTTTGATTGCAAGATCTGTTTTAATATGATTGAATTATTTCCACAGCTGTTTGGATTCAGAGGTCATATCTTATTTCTCTTTGGTCCCCAGTGCCTAGTACGATACCAAGTATAGCAGGTGTTCAATGAACATCTGCTGAGTTATTACTTTCTGTAGAAAATATACTGTCAAGTATGGCTTTTATGCAATCTAGAGTGAACAGAAGTTTTTACACAGCTAAAATCAGAACTCAATAGTTCACCCTTATGGAGCCACACTTATTTTAATAAGGCTTTAAATTATAAAGGGACTATTTGCATTTAGAGGTAACATTTAACTTGTGTTAGGATCTGCCATACTTTAAATTCATTAATAACTTAAGGGTGGCAGAAGTTTAGATAACTTTTTATTATAAGAATTATTTAGGCCAACTGCGATTCAAAAAGAGGCAAAAATGCCTTCTAGATTAACAAGGCAAAAATGCCTTGTATATTAACAATAGTTTGCAAAAACCATTCAAGAGAAATGAAAAAAAAATTTTTTGAAAATTCAAGTTTTTCAAACTTGAACATAGCAAAATCAACTCAGTTTTGTTTCTGTTTTAATTTACAAAGAACAGTATTTTTGTGTTATCAACCTATATATCTAATTCAGGTCAAACAATCTTGGTACATAACGATAAAACTGCAAAGGTTAGAAGTATCCTCCTTTAGTGCCACAAAAGAAAGCACTTGATTTCATGCTATAAAGTGCCACGGTCTATTCTATGTGACTCCTAGCAACTCTGAAAAAGTTGGTAAGCCTAGGAGAAAGAGAAAAGTAATAAGTAAATAACACTTTAAAATTAATATAGTGTTTACCTTTGAATTCCTTCAAGAATATCCCTCACAGCTGCCATTAACTTTTGAAGACATATAAATGCTTCTTCAAATGATGCTATATTTGAAGTAGTCAGAGCTGAATTTGAGCCCAATCTTTGAAATACATCCGTGCTAAAATAGAGAAAAAAAAGATACTCATAGGTATACATACATATTTAATGTAATTCAAGTATTTCAGCTGCAAATGTATAAAGTAAAGTAGTATTTATTATCACTAATCTCTCAGAATGCTGATCTATTTAAATTAGAAATAAAAGATAGTAAAATACGAAAGTCTGGGATAAGATTCATGTAAAGGATCTAGTTCAGACACTATACAGGTCTAATCTAAAGTAATACTATGAAAGTTGTGTGAATATTGTTTCATTCTAAGAGACAACAAGAGATAGAGGAGAAGTAATGCTATCCATCTGCATTCAAGTCAGTACTCAGGATGAGAACGATGAAGAAAAAAATTAGAGATCAGATTATTCCTGTTGAAACTAGAAGTTAATCCTAGTAATTTCACTTGTAGAAATTTATCGTAAATTAATAATAGTTATTCACAATTAGGCAACAATTAGTAACACCTTAAATGTATAACAATATAAGCAGTGTTAAGTCATCAGTAAGTTGGCCACTTGATAAAATACCAAACTAGGCTGGGCGAGACGGCTCACCCATGTCATCTCAACACTTTGAAAGGCCGAGGAGGGAGGATCACTTGAGGCCAGAAGTTTGAGACCTGCCTAGGCAACATCGTTCAACCTTGTCTCTAGAAAAAAAATTTAAAAATTAGAGAGGCGTGGTGGCACTGCCTGTAGTCCCAGCTACTTGGGAGGCTAAGGTGGGAGGATCGCTTGAACCCAGGAGGCCGAGGCTTCAGTGAGCTGTCATCGTGCCACTGCATTCCAGCCTGGGCAACAAAATGAGACCCTGTCTCAAAACAAAACAAACACACACACACACACACACACAAAACACCAAACTATTAAAATGATGCTTATGCCACCTATGAAATAGAAAAATAAAAGTAGAGAAAATTTACTTTATAACATAAGAACAACCATATAAAAATCCAAAACATGTTGTGCTTGGTTTGACTAGTGTCCCCCCATAATTCATATATTCACCCAGAACCTCAGAATGTTACCTTATTTGAAACAGGGTCTTTGAGATGTAATTAGTTAAGTTAAAATGAGGTCATGCTGGATTAGAATGGGCCCTACTCCATGTGAAGAAAAAGGCAGAGATGGGAGTGATACATCTACAAGGCAGGGACTGCTGGCAACTACCAGAAGAAAAGAGAAAGACATGAAACAGATCCTCCCTCAGAAACTCCAGAAGAACCAAGCCTGCAGACACTTGGATTTCAAATGTTTGGCCTCCAGGTCTGTGAGCAAATACATTTCTGTTGTTTTGGGCCAGCCAGTTTGTGATACTTTGCTACAGCAGCTGTAGGAAACTAATTACATTCCTAAAAAACAAGAATGAGTATGCTTAATAAATTCACAATGTTGACTACGGTAGACTTTAGGCAGCAGCACTCAAAGGAATTTCCTCCCCTACTTTATACTTTCCAAAGTATTCCTTTTATAACTGTCGTAAAACTCACTTAACATAAAATTCACCACTTTGAACATTCTGAAGCATATAATTCAGTGGCATTTAGTACATTCACAATGCTGTGTAACCATCACCACTATCTAGTTAAAGAACATTTCATTACCCAAAAAGGAAACTGAATCCATTGAGCGGTTACTCCCCAGGATTCTCCTCTTGCCCCGCCAAACCCCTGCAACCACCACTCTGCTTTCTGTCTCTATGGATTTGCCTATTCAGGGTATTTGTGTGTGTGCATTTGCTATTTTTTAGATAAAACCAAATTTATTTTATTTCAAAATATTTACATTTAAAAAAAATTTTCTTAATTTAAAGCCTAAAAAGAGAATGTAAAAAGAGAATATGTAATACCCACAGTCTACCAACCAGAGATAAGCATTACTAACATACCTGGTTCTTTCTTCATCTTTTTCTGGATATACAAGCAAATTGTGTGTGTGGAGGTGTGGTTGTGAGAGAGTGGCTAGGGAGGCAGGAGGAGACCGAGAGAGAAAACAGGAAACAACATCTTCCAGGAAAGCCATCAGTAAATCAAAGTACTATATACTAGATACCATCATTCCAAAAACTTCCATTATAATTTTTATATAGATTTATACAATTCAGGTAAAAGGATGAGGACACTAAAAGTTCTTCCTCCAGGGTTTATTCTAAATGACAAAATGTGGGAGAAATGAGCGTGAGATGAGGATGAAAATAACCATACCAGTCATAGGATTGCCAGGTACAATCATCTTTTGCTGTGGGTACTACTATTTTTGCTCCTGTCTCTTGAGCTGTATCGGCAAATCTTGTTGTTTTTAACCTTTAAAATATATCCAGCATTTGACCAATTCTTATCATCTCTCCCACAACTGCCCTGACCCAAATCATCATCATTTTCCACCTGGATTATCACAGTACACACCTAAACCGGTATCTCGCCCTCTTCCTGCCTCACCCTCATCACTTCACAGCCTGCTCTCAACAAGGCAAAGCAATCTTTTTTAAAACGCAGGCCTGATCTTGTCATTTCTTTGCTTAAAATTGTGCTGTAGCTTTTGCTAAGAGTAAAAGCCCTAAATTCTTACAATGGCTTATAGGCCCTACACAATTAGCACACTGTACCTCCCTACTTCATCTCCTCCTACTCTGCCCCCTTGCTCCAGCCACACTGGCCTTCTTTCAGTTCACCCAATGTATATAGACATGTTCTTTCAAGCTCTTTGTAATTTCTATTCTTCTATCTGAAACGCTTTTCCTGTAAATAACTATATGCTCCCATCCTCACCTCCTTCAAGACAGTACAAATGCCATTTTTTAACTGAAGGTTTTCTTGAACACTCTCTAACACTGTAATTACCACTCCTCCCTAAAACCGTGTTACTATTCCTCCATTTCTTCTTTCCTCTTAAGGCGTCATGATCAAATGACATACTACCAAGTGCCTGAAAGTATGAAAAAAATACAATAAATACAACATTTTCCCTTGATTCTAGACTTTTACAGACACTGTGCAATGTATTAACTATTGGATCCATGGCTAAAATTTAGAGGTCCTTCACTTGAAAATGTATCTTTTTTTGAGACAGTGTCTTGCTCAGTTGCCCAGGCTGGAGTACGGTGGTACAATCACAGCTCACTGCAGCCTTGATCTCCTGATCTCAAGCAATTCTCTCACCTCAGCCTCCCGAGTAGCTGGCACTACAGGTGAGGGCTACCACACAAGGCTAACTTTTTTGATTTCTAGTAAAGATGAGGTCTCACTATATTGCCCAGGCTGGTCTCAAACTCCTGAGTTCAAACAATCCTCTTGCCTCAGCCTCCCAAAGTGCTCGGATTATGGGCATGAACCACTGCATCTAGCAGAAAATGTATCTTAAGGCTGAAGAAAAACATACTGAGTATATATATATGTATATATATATATATATATACACATTTTTTTTTAATGTGACATACTGTTTAAAGATGTTTACCACAGGTTCCCAGACTTTTTTGATACCCTTTCTTTTTGAGATAGGGTCTCACTCTGTCACCCAGGCTGGAGTGCAATGGCATAATTACAGCTCACTGCAGCTTCTACCTCCCGGGCTCAAGTGATTGTCCCACTTCAGCCTCCTGAGTAGCTGGGACCACAGGTGCATGCCACTATGACCAGCTAATTTTTAATTTTTTTTGTAGAGACAAAGTCTCACCATGTTGCCCAGGCTGGTCTCAAACTCTTCGACTGAAGCAATCCTCCTACCTCTCTCTGCCTCCCAAAGTGCTGGGATTACAGACATGAGCCATCATGCCTGGCCTCAGGATACACATTTTTAAAAATGTCTCGCCTTTCTCCCCCGCTAGAGCTGCTGGGCCTGCAGGTCTCTGTCAAGCTGCAGACGCAGGTCTCTGTTCTGCAGGATGGGGTTTGTTAAAGTTGTTAAGAATAAGGCCTACTTTAAGAGATACCAAGTGAAATGTAGAAGACGACGAGAAGGTAAAAATGATTACTATACTTGGAAACGCTTGGTGATAATAGGATAAAAATAAATACAACACACTCAAATACAGGATGACAGTTCATGTAACAAACAGAGATATCATTTGTCAGACTGCTTCTGCTCGTATAGAGAGGGATATGATAGTCTGCACAGCATATGTACACAAACTGCCAAAATAATGGTATGAAGGCTGGCCTGAAAAATTATGCTGCGGCATATTGTACTGGCCTGCTGCTGGCCCGCAGGCTTCTCAATAGGTTTGGCATGGACAAGATCTATGAAAGCCAAGTGGAAGAGACTGGCAATGAATACAATGTGGAGAGCACCGATGGTCAGCCAGGTGCCTTTACCTGCTATTTGGATGCAGGTCTTGCCAGAATTACCACTGGCAATAAAGTTTTTAGCACCCTGAAGGGAGCTGTGGATGGATGCTTGTCTATCCCTCATAGTACCAAACAATTCTCTGGTTATGATTCTGAAAGCAAGGAATTTAATGCAGAAGTACACTGGAAGCACATCATGGGCCAGAATGTTGCAGATTACATGTGCTATTTAATGGAAGAAGATAAAGATGCTTACAAGAAACAGTTCTCTCAATACATAAAGAACAGCATAACTCCAGACATGATGGAGGAGATGTGTAAGAAAGCTCATGCTGCTATACAAAAGAATCCAGTCTATGAAAAGACGCCGCAGAAAGAAGTTAAAAAGAAGAGGTGGAACTGTCCCAAAATGTCCATTGCTCAGAAGAAAGATCGGGTAGCTCAAAAGAAGGCAAGCTTCCTCAGAGCTCAGGAGCGGGCTGCTGAGAGCTAAACCAAACAATTTTCTATAAGGATTTTTCAGATAAAGACAATAAACTTATGGACAGCAAAAAAAAAAAAAAAAGTCTCAGAAGCTTAAATGAGAAATAGCAGGGAAGCTTTTGTTTGTTTGTTTTTGTTTGTTTTAATTTGAATCAGTAGTATCTAACACTTAACTAAATTCCTTGTAAGTAGAAAAGATACCAAAAACCTGACCTGATGAGCTACAAACCTGCAACTGATTTTTAAAGAGAGGGTCTTGTTGTGTTGCCCAGGCTAGTCTCAAACATTTGGCCTCAAGTGATCCTCCCACTTCAGTCTCCCAAAGTGCTGGGATTACAGGCATGACCCACCATGCCCAGCCTCGCTCTGGTATAGTTTTATATAACTATTTGTGCATAGGTCCTACCAGACTTCCAAATAAGCATCTTTACATGAAAGGCCCATGAGCGATTATGTCGAAAAACTTCTATAATGTGTCTGGTACATAACCAGGCTTGAGAAACAGTAAAGTAGGCCTAAATAAATATGTATTAATAAGGCAATATAAGCATTTTTGTCTTGCTGAAATGCTATTACATAGAGTATATTATCCAGAAACTACGCAAAACTCCCTAGCATCCAACACAAATGCATGTACATTATAGGTGAACTCTAAGAAAGGACAGCTAAAATATCTTAGATATAGTTTTAATCTATTTTATTTTGAAAGTGGTTATCCCTGTCAGGGATATATGGTAACTTTCTGCTAACCAGAATGTCTGATTAGCCAAAACCTTAAAACTATGTTAAGACTGAAACAAAAAAAAACCTTTGCTTTATATGAAAATATAAATTTGTAAATATTATTGTTAGTCCTCATGCCATTTATTGTTATTTCTTTAGCATGACAGGTTATAAAGCCAGTAGATAGTTTATGTTTATGCACACTAAATAGAAGTATTTCTTCCTTTTAAACAAAAGTATTTATCTTCTTTTAACAAAATCTTACAATGAATAACAGTAATACAGTCGTGTCACTTAAGACAATAAGAATACATTCTAAGAAATGCACTGCTGGGCAATTGCATTGTTATGCAAACATCTTAGAGTGTATTTACATAAACCTAGATGGTATGACTTACTAGACATCTAGGCTGTATGGTATAGCCTATTGCTCCTTAGTTACAAATCTGTACAGGATATTACTGTACTGAATACTGCAGGCAGTTGTAACACAATGTTAAATATTTGGGTATCTAAATATTTAAATAAAATTTTCCATCAGTGAAAATTCTGGAACCTGATGGCTTCATTGCTGAATTCTAACAAATATTTAAAGAAAAATTAATACCAATTTTCCTCAAACTATTCTAGAAAATTGAAGAAGCAGGAATACTTGCAAACTCATTATACAAGGCCAACATTACCAATTTCAAAACTAGACAAGGACACGGCAAGAAAATGAAACTACAGACCAATATCCTCGATAAACAGGTACGAAAATTCTCAACAAGATACTAGCAAACTGAATCCAACCACACATTTAAAAGTTCACTATGATCAAGTGGGATCCATCTCAGGGATGCAAGAATGGTTGAAAATACACAAATCAATAAATGTGATAAACCACATTAACAGAATCAAAGACAAAAATGATAGGATCATTTCAATAGATGCAGAAAAACCATTTGACAAAATTCAACATCCCTTCATGATTAAAAACTCCCAAAAAATTAGATACAGAAGGAGCATACCTCAATGCAATAAAGGCCATATATGACAAACCCATAGTTAACATCATACTGAAGGAACAAGAACACCTACTTTTACCACTTGTATTCAATATTGTACTGGAAGTCTTATAGCAATTAGGCAAGAAAAGGAAAGGAAGGGCATCCAAATTGGAAAGAAGGAAGTCAAATTATCCCTGTTCACAGACAACATGATCGTATATATGGAAAACTCTTAAGACTCCACCGAAAATGTCTTAGAGATAATAAATGAATTCAATAAAGTTGCAGGATACTAATCAACATACAAAAGTCAATAGCATTTCTATATGCTAATAGTGAACTATCTGAAAAAGAAAACAAGAAAACAATTCAATTTATAATAGCTACCAAAAAAGTAAACCTAATCAAGGAGGTGAAAGATCTTACGCTGAAAACTCTAAAACATGGATAAAAGAAATAGAAGGGGATACAATAAATGGAAAGATATCTCATGTTCATGTATTGGAAGAATTAATATCATCAAAATGGTCATACTTTCCAAAGTGATCTACAGATTTAATGCAATCTCTACCAAAATTCCAGTGTCATTCTTCATAGAAACAAAAAAAAATCATAAATTTCACATGCCAAATTTGAATAGCCAAAGCAATCCCTGAGCAAAAAGAACAAAGCTGGAGGCATCACACTACCTGATTTCAAAATATACCACAAACAACCAAAAATTAACCAAGAAAAAAACAAACAACAAAATATACCACAAAGCTATAGTAACCAAAACAGCATGGTACTGGCTGGCATAAGACAGACACATAAACCAACGGAACAGAATAGAGAGCCCAGAAGTAAATTAACATACCCAAAGCCATCTGATTTTGGACATGGGTACCAAGAACACACATTGGGAAAAAGCTTTTACACAGTGAAGGAAACAACAGAGTGAAAAGACAACCAAGAAAATGGGAGAAAATATATGCAAACTATACATCTCACAAGGTATTAATATCCAGAATATGTAAGAAACTTAATTCAACAGCAAGAAAACAAGATAACCCAATTAAAAATGTGCAAAAGGATAAATGGCCTCCAGCTCCATCCATGTCCCTGCAAAGGACATGATCTCATTCTTTCTTATGGCTGCTTAATACTTCATGGTGTATACAGGGCATTATCCTTAGCAAACTAATGCAGGAACAAAAAACCAAATACCGCTTGTGCTCACTTATAAGTGGGAGCTAAATGATGAGAACACATGGACACATGGAGGGGAGCAATGAACACTGGGGCCTATTGGAGGGTGGAAGGTGAGAGGAGGGAGAGGATCAGGAAAAACAATTAATGGGTACTAGGCCTAATGCCTGGGTGAAGAAATAATCTGTACAACAAACTCCCATGATACAAGTTTACAAATAAAATAAACTTGCACATGTACCCCTGAACTTAAAGTTTAAAAAATGGGCAAAAGACCTTAATATAAATTTTTCAAAGGAAGACATTTGAATGGCCACCAGGTATATAAAAAATGCTTGACATCACTAATCATCAGGGAAATGCAAATCAAAATCACACTGAGACACCACCTCACTCCAGTTAGAGTGGCTATTATCAGAAAGAAGAAAAGTGTTGGCCAGGTGCGGTGGCTCACACCTGTAATCCTTTGGGAAACCAAGGCAAGAGGACTGCTTAAGCCCAGGAGTTTGCAGGAGTTTGAGACCAACCTGGGCAACATAGTGAGATATCATCTCTATAAGAAATTAAAAAATCAAAAAAATGAGGTGAGAGGATCGTTTGAGCCCAGTAGGTCACTGCAGTGAGCCATGATTATACCACTGCACTACCACCTGGGTGACAGAGCGAGACCCTGCCTCAAAAAAACCAACAAACAAAAAAACAAGTGTTGGCAATGATGTGCAGAAAAGGGAACACTTTATACACTGTTAGTGAGATTTGTAAATTAGTGGTGCCATTATGTAAAATAGTACAGAGGTTCCTCAAAAAATTAAAAACCGAACTACCGTATGATCCAGCAATCCCATTACTGGGTATACATCCAAAGGACATGAAATGAGTATGTCAAAGAGATGCCTGCACTCCTGTGTCTGCTGTAGCACTATATACAATAGTTTATCTCACAGAGGCAGAGTAGAACAGTGGTCACTAGAGAACGGAGATGGGAGAATGAGGAGAGGTTGGTCAACATGTACAAAGTTACAATTAGATAGGTGGAATAAGTTCTGGTGTTCTATTGCATAGTAGGGTGACTATGGCTCAAAGTAAAGTATTGCACATTACAAAATAGCTAGAAGAGAGGCTTTTGATTTTTTTTTTTTTTTTTTTTTTTTTGAGATGGCGTCTTGCTTTGTCACCCAGGCTGGAGTGCAGTGGCACAGTCAGTTCACCGCAACCTCCACCTTCCAGATTCAAGCAATTCTCCTGCCTCAGCCTCCTGAGCAGCTGGGATGACAGGTACACGCCATCACGCCCGGCTTATTTTTGTACTTTTCTTTTTTCAGTAGAGATGGGGTTTCACCATGTTGGCCAGGCTGGTTTCAAACTACTGACCTCAAGTGATCCACTCACCTCTGCCTCCCGAAGTGCTGGGACTATGGGTGTAAGCCACCACGCCCGGCCTAAATGTTCTTATCACAAAGAAGATCATGATAAATGCATGAGCTGATGAATACCTCATGAAAAAATACATGATAAATGCATTACAATAGCCAAGATATGAAATCAACCTAAGTGTCCAATAATGGATGAATGCATAAAGGAAATGTGGTACATATACACAATGGAATACTTTTCATCCATAAAAAAGAACGTTATTCTGTCACTTGTGACAACGTGGATAAACCTGGAGAATATCATGTTAAGTGAAAAAAGCTTTTTTTTTTCACTTAACACTTAAAATGCATGAGGTATTCATCAGGCTCACTAGCCTGATTTGATTATATATCACATATATCTATTGAAACGTCAAATTGCACATCAAATTGTACCCTGTAAATATGTACAATTATAATGTCAATTTAAAAAATAACTAAAAAAAAATTCCCCCAAATTTAGTACCTGTTCTGATATATTGTAATCCAAACACTCTCTAGGATAGACCAGATTTCTTGATGCCTGCTGGGTTGGGGAAGATGAGAACTCGAGAAAACAGTGATTTCTTGATTATGAGAATTCTTCAATGAAGTACCTTCCTGCTTTTTAGTCACTGTGTTTTCTGAAGAATTTGGCTTAAGTTTTGTCTTGACCTGGGGAAATAAGAATTACATAAAATGCAGCTAGTTCTTCATTTGCAGAGGAGAAAAAGAGAGTGGCAACTGTGCTTACAAATGTTCTAGCTTTCTGAGAAGTGGTGGCAATTCTTTTTCTTTTATTATGTACATAATATTCCCAGAAAAGCATCAGAGCTAGAAAAGATATTTTCCTTTTCCATTTAAATCAAACAATATTTCCAATCTACTTATAATGATTTGTTTCGCTAACATGCTAATGTCAATTTAAGAATACTGCTTGAATACTTCTACATATGCAGTACTGAAAGAGATAGAGGACCCCTAGAATACAAAGTATAGAGGTACAATCAAGCCTTGAAGCACCTTACAATCCAGTTTTAAGAAAATGTAAAGGGCTGCAAAGTGTTGTTTAAAAAAAAAATCAAGATATAATTTAAACCTCAGGTTATGGGTAATGGTGAACCACTGAAGGTTTCTAACTTAGGCAGTGATATACTCAGAAGTGCACTCTAAGATAAACTAAAACAGAAGAAAGCGGAGGCAAGAAAACTGGTTAGAAAGTTACTGAAATAATCCAAGAGGAGAGTCCTGAGAACATGGATTAGCTATAAAAAGGCAGCAGAATGAAAAGAAAAATAAAATGCATGCAAGAAATATAAAGACTTGGCCAAAGACTAGATCCAGGGAGTGAGGGAGACCCCAAGACATTCTTTAACCTAGATGTGTTAGAAGAATGATACAAATAAATAGGAACTTAGGGTGGTCATAAATCTAGAAGAGTGTGTGTGTGTGTGTGTGTGTGTGTGTGTGTGTCTGTGTGCACGCACACATGCACACTAAGTAGACTGAACCTTCTTGATTACTTCCCCAGAGGAATGTATACAGTTTTACTCAGTAAAAGTCAAACAAATACTCGGAAGCAATACGTCTCACATACATATACAGGAATTGATGGAAATACTATTTGATGTTCCACAATCACTGCAATTTTAAAGATCACATTAACTTATGCGTTGCTAATGAGGGACAATTCACTGAACATATCACATATTATAGTGTAGTAGCAATAAACTGTAGTGTGTATTTGTCTATGTTTCCAAATTTTATGGCCTCTTGTTGTAAAGCTAAGAAGAGAGGCTGCTTGCAAATAAGAATCCTCTTTGGATGAACAGAATATGTTTGTTTTTTAGGTATATGTTGAGTTTGAGGTATAAAAAGTTATCCAGGTAAAGATAGTTAGCAAGTAATTGGATATGTAGATCTGCAGCTTAAATATACAGTTAAGAATCATTCTCATGGAGACAAGTCTTAGGAGATGAAATAGACAAACTGAAGGGGGAAAAGTAGGAACTAGCAAAAATAAGAGGGGAAGAATCAGTATGCAATAACAATAGAAGCCAAGGGAGTCAGGTTTCAGGAAAGAAAGGATAGACACCACCAAGTGCTGAAGAAGGACTGAGAAGAAGAATAAGAAAGAGAAAAGGGTAATTTTGATAATCAGAAAGCAAATGACAACCTACAGTTTCTTTCAGTGGAGTGTGGAGATAAAATTCTACTTGTAAAGGATTAACAGGTAAGTGAGTGCTCTAGCCTTGTGCAGTTGGCAAAAAAAAAAAGAAAGAAAGAAAAGAAAAAGAGACAAGAAAATAAAACAAAAAAAAAAGAGTGCAAAAATGAAAACAATGGTTAGAAATTGCTCTTTTTTTTTTTTTTTTTTTTTTTTTTGAGACAGGGTCTCATTCTGCCACCCAGGCTGGAGTGCAGTGGTGTGATCTCGGCTCACTGCAACCTCTGCCTCTAGGACTCAGGTGATCCTCAACCCTCCCCAGTAGCTGGGACCAGCGGTGCAAGCCATCAGGCCCAGCTAATTTTTTTTATTTGTTGTAGAGACAGAGTTTCGCCATGTTGCCCAGGCTGGTTGGTTGCCCAGACTGGTTGTGGCACAACCAATCTGCCCACCTTGGCCTTCCAAAGTGCTGGGATTACAGGCATAAGCCACCATGCCTGGCCATAAATTGCTCTTTTAAGAAGTTTGGTAGTTGATGGAAGGCCAGTGCAGTAAACAGAATGGCCAGTGAAAAGTACGGTATTTAAGAATGGAAAAGATCTAAGCATAGTTTAAAGCACAGTAAAAGAGATAAACTACTGATTCCAGTTTTTAAAAATATATATATCATGCAGAGGAAAAAAGGAAAAGTACCTAACAGAATGTACAAAATTTTAACTATAAGTTTAAAAACTTAGTTTTTTGGTCTTGGCTCTACTATAAATATGCTTTGTAAACTTAAATAAAATCACTCCATTTCTCTAGGCTTAAGTTCCCTGTGATAAAATGATTATTTCAAAGGATTAGCTTCATGGATTGCTAATTTCATACATATTAAAATTTTTTTAAATAAAATTTCCAATACTATCAGTAGTAACAGTTAATATTTATTGAGCATTTGTTATGTACTTTCTCAGAATTTTCTATTTATTAGCTCATTTAATCCTAACAACTACCCTATGAAACAGATACTATGATGGTCCATATCTTATAATCAACAAAACTGAGGCATAGAAAGGTTAATTAACTCATCCAAGGTCACACAGATGATAAAAGGCATGAACAGGATTTGACCTTCAGCAATCTGACTAGAATGAAGTTATGAGCTCTCTCCATCTGTAAAAGTAAATGTTACCCTTCTTTATCTTCTGGGGCAAGAAGAAAAGTTAAAAAGATGATTCTTCCCATTTTTGTCTGTTTACCTTAAATTCTGAATTTAATGAATAGACATAAATGAAAAGACATTTTATCCTGAGATAATTTTTTATCACCAAATATATTTAAAATACAGCCCAGCATTTACCTAATGCCTCTTTTCTTTAGCTCTTAAATAGTAGTGTATATACTACGCAAGTGGATTTCTTTATCAAATACTACATAGCACTTACTACATGCTAGACATTAAGGTCTCCACAAATATTAACTTGTTAATTCACGTGACAATTCTAAGGCCAGCATTATTATTACACTCATTTTACAAAAGAGAGAATTAAGGTCCAGAGAGTTTAATTAACTAGAGGTTAAAAATACCACAACTCAGGATCCTGAGGCATGTAAGTCTGAAGCTTATTAACAAGATTGATTTTAATTACTCTATCATCTTAGCAAAAAGCAAGTCCTATTTTTTTTAGTGGTTAGAAGGCCCATAAAACGAAAGTGTACGTATCCTTTTCCTATTTCTCCCCTCTTACATGAAAATCTGGAAAAGGCAGGGCATGACGGTTCATGCGTGTAATCCTAGCACTTTAGGAGGCTGTGGCGGGAGGATTGCTTGAGGCCAGGAGTTCAAGACCAACCTGGGCAACAAAGTGAGACCTAGTCTGTACAAAAAAATTTAAAAATTAGCTCAGCATTGTGGCACATGCCTGTGGTTCCAGCTATTCAGGAGGCTGAGGCTGGAGGATCATTTGACACGAGGTCAAGGTCACAGAGAGCTATGAGCTATGATCACAACTCTGCACTCAGGTCTGGGCTACAAAGCGAGACCCTGTCTCCCAAAAAAAAATCTGGAAAATGATAAAGTTAGTTTATCTCCATTTTAGTTTCTCAAAGCAATCAAATAATGAATATTCCTCTCTTCCTGATTTTCTACACTTAATAAATTAAGATTAGGTAGTTTTTACAGTTACTAGGAGATACCATATCTTTGGAGGTAATCTATTTGTTGCTCAAGTTACTGAGACATGACCAAATATATAAGACATATATCAAATCTAATACATTCTATAAAACAACTCCTGTTAAAAGTATATTTTAAAGCATCAGTCCCCAACCTTTTTGGCAACTGGGACTAGTTTTGTGGAAGATAATTTTTCCATGGACGGGTAAGCGGGAGGATGGTTTCAGGATGATTCAAACACAGTCCATTTATTGTGCACTTTATTTCTATTATAATTACATTGTAATATATAATGAAATAATTGGCTGGGTGCAGTGGCTCATGTCTGTAATCCCAGAACTTTGGGAGGCCAAGGTGGGTGGATCACCTGAGGGCAGGAGTTCCAGACCAGCCTGGCCAACATGGTGAAACCCTGTCTCTACTAAAAATACAAAAATTAGCCAGGTGTGGTAGGACGTGCCTGTAATCCCAGCTACTTGGGAGGCTGAGGCAGGAGAATCACTTGAACCTGGGAGGTGGAGGTTGCAATAAGCTGGGATCGTGCCATTGTACTCCAGCCTGGGCAACAACAGAGAACTCTAGAGAGGAAGGGAGGAAGGGAGGGAGGGAAAGAGGGAGGGAGGGAAGGAATATACAACTCACCATAATGTAGAATCAGTGGGAGCCCTGACCTTACAGTCCCATCTGGGATGATGGGAGACAGTGACAGATCATCAGGCATTAGATTCTCATAAGGAACATGCAACCCAGATCCCTTGTATGCACAGTTCACAATAGGGTTCATGCTCCTATAAGAATCTAATCCCACTGCTGATCTGACAAAAGGTGGGGCTCAGACAGTAATGTGAGTGATGGGGAGCAACTGTAAATACAGATTAAGTTTTGCTTGCTTGCTCGCTGCTCACCTCCTGCTATGCCAATACCAGTCATGGCCCAGGGGTTGTGGACCCCTGTTTTAAAGGACTATACTAAATCATAAAGTTCTTCGTTTACTCAATGAATTGTTTCTAACACAAAAATAAAGGTGCAACACTTCAGAGTTCTAATCCTGGAAACAGCGTGGATGGTTTCAAGTAATCACACTAAAGCCAAGTGTTGAGGGGAAAGCACTATTAGGATGCTAGATTCTTTGCTACTCGCCTTCATGAATCTCTTGCTAACGTAGCAAATGAAACTTAAGAACCAGAAATAAATAATTTATTAACAAGTCACTGGTTTTTTTCTTTTCTTTTCTTTTTTTTTTTTTTGAAATGGAGTCTTGCTCTGTCTCCCAGGCTGGAGTGCAGTGGCACGATCTCAGCTCACTGCAACCTCTGCCTCCTGGGTTCAGGTAATTCTCCTGCCTCATCCTCCCAAGTAGCTGGGACTACAGGTGTGTGCCACCATGCCTGGCTAATTTTTGTATTTTTAGTAGAGACAGGGTTTTGCCATGTTGGCCAGGCTGGTCCTGAACTGCTGCCCTTAGGTGATCCACCCAACTCAGCCTCCCAAAGTGCTGGGATTACAGGCATGAACCACCATGCCCAGTCAAGTCAATACTTTTAAGTATGCAATGGGCAACATATACGTAGTAGGCATATCATTATCTGACAAACAATACAAAATTTTAACATCATATTTTCATGGTACCTCCCATCTGTAGGTTTTTATCGATGAAGAGGATTAAAAACTACACATTATTGTTTTTATTTCAATGAATCCTAAATTTTGTTTTATTCTCAATAATCTTAATTAAAAGACTGTTAAGACTTTAAGTATCTTGCACTTTCCATCTGTTCACCACATTTTATTCACTAAGGATATGATTTAGGACTCAATTTTGTGACGGGAAAGGAGAACACATCTTTTCCAACACAATCAAGGTACAATACTCATGCTATAACCCTCTAAATCCCTAGGCCCATTTTTTCCTACTAATAGTTCTAAAAATCACGCTTGCCATTAAAAAAATAAAACTACCAATGTTTTGGTCATCTCAAACCAAAAGATCATATCACCCCTTAAATAAATTCTTTCCTCAAGAATGATCACATATTTCCACTCAGTTTATTTAAAAAGCTGCTTCCTTTACTCCATGAAGTAAGTATTCTCTTAGCAAGGAAGTGCTTTCCTCATCAACTATGATTAATGTTAGTATCATCTAATCCTTTGATTACTTCATAGGCAGGGGACCTATCTGACTATGAAAAATCAATGAGAAAAACCTGGACAATTCAGTTCCTCAGAGAAAAAAGAGAACATAATATCTATACTGGATAAAAGTTCCATTAATATCTCTTTTAGTAATAGTGATAACTGAGGTTTTTTGAGCTGTTTATGCTACATAAAACTCTCAGATTTTTCTAGACTTGAAATTAGAGGCCAGGCACAGTACCTCACACCTGTATTCCCAACACTTTGGGAGGCTGAGGCAGGAGGATTGCTTGAGTCCAGGAGTCAAGACTAGCCTAGGTATTAGGGCATAACTCTGCCTCTACTAAAAATATGAACAATTAGCCAGGTGTGGTGGTGCCATGCCTGTAGACCCAGCTATTCGGGGGGCTGACGTGGAAGAATCACTTAAGCCCAGTAGGTGGAGGTTGCAGTGAGCCCTGATCGTGCCAGGGTGACAGAGTAAAACCCTGTGTCAAAAAAATAAGTCTGTATTACTGGGTACAAAAATTAGAGAGTTAAGTTTAAAAGAGATAAAAAGGCATCAGCTAAGATGGCTGCATAAGAATCACATGAAACTTGTTAAAAACTTCACAAATTGGCAAAGTTTGGATAAGGTTCACAGATAACTATTGTATCAATGTTAATTTCATGATTAATTATATTGTAGTTACATAGGATATCCCTATTTTTAGAAAATACATATGGAAATATCTTGGGGAAAAAGAGCACCTGGGGGAAAAAGGGCATCCTATCTGCAACATACTATCAAATAGCTCAGAAAAAAATATAGATAGGTAGATAGATGGACAGACAGACAGGTGGGTAGGTAGAGAAAGAAAACAATAAAGCAAATGTGACAAAATATTAACATTTGGAGAATCAGGGTAAATAATATATATGGGAATTCTTTGTACTGCTCTTGTAACCATTTTATAAGTTTGAAATTATTTCAAAATAAAAAGTAAAACAAGGACAACAACATTACCAAGTAACACTGTCAAAAAATAGATTCAATAGGGTTTCAGACAGTGTTGACATCTGTATGTTTAAAACAATTTCCTAGGTATTTTTGATGTATGTGAGATCCACTGGCCTAGGGCACTGTAAATGAACAGTCAAATAGCATGCATAGCTTTCTTCCATCCATAAGTGAAAATAATATAAAATAAGAACAACTGCTGTGACACTGCTTCCATAAAAGGAGGTATGGGTTTTATAACTTGTTAGAGTTGCTTACTCTGTATTCAATTCACTTAACATTTACTTAACGCCTTTAGTATGTTAGAATAAGTTAGAATTAAATTATCCTTTACCTACTGTTGTCTGCTAAACACATTTTCAGAACATGTATAATTAGCTACTCTAACTGGCATTCCAAAGGCATCTTACCTCTGCAAATGTCTGAAGGAGGTTGTTTACTTGAGCAAAGGTCTGTGGAAGAATACCATCATAATTTGACCTTGTACTGAAAGCATGTAACAAACTTCTAGAATCCTGAAGCAAGAATTTGACTGTTGTAAAATCCACTGCCTTATTAGCTGGTAACAGAAAATTAAGACAGAAAAATATGGAAGAATGAGTATACATCATAAAAATGTCTTTGGAACACTAATATTAATTTTGAAATTTAAAAAGAGTATACATTTATACCTATATGCCACTCCTAAGTTATCCCTCTGGTACAAAAAGCAATAATTAAATAGATTTAGTTATAGATAAAGTCCTTTGAGTTGATTCTGGTATTCTGAATTCAGATTTCAGGAGTTCTGTCAGCACGGTCAACTTCAAAGTAAAAGTAAAGTTAAAGAATATTACACTCCCCAGAAAAAAGAGAAAATCACCAAAGAAACAAGTCAAACCACAGATTTCAATGCTGAGGTGATTTCACATAAGAGTACTGTGGAGAGATCAGAAGAGTGAGACTACACTGGTAAGCATGTCAGTTATATATGGTACCTCTCGTCATCACCTCAGCTATCTACATAGTGATTTATCTTCAACTCCATTGCATGAAACTCAATACTATGTTTATTGAAAACTATGAGTTATCTCTATATGTACAACACAACTTCAGGAGAGAAAAAAAGTTTGGGCAACAGTGAGAAGCAAAAGAAGCCTGCAGAATTTTTTTCCTGTAAATTAAAAGTGAGAAAATCTACAAACAATAATTTAAAGGTATAACAATTTTATCTCAAGGAACTAAAACTAATTACATTAACTTCTCAAACTAGTTGGGAAAGCTGGTGACAATAATTTCAAAAATTTCAAAAGTTATAAACAATAAAATTAAGTAATATCATAAAACTCAGAACAGAAAAAATTATTTCCATTATTAAAGCAGAATGCTACCTAACAGTTTTCAAAATAACCATGCTATACTGTTGTTTACTTTTTGTTTTAATGTTCACAGTTTCAGAGACTCTATTGTATTCTGAAATATCAGCATGGCTGTTCAATGGCACTATGAGTTTAAAAAACAATAAGGAGTTTCTCTGTATCACTTACACAAGAACTTGCTTGTGAAATCCTGAAGGGTCAAGTGAAATAAAAACTATATCTTAATAATTAATTCCACAATATTCAGAAACTCTAATCTAATGTAATGGTTGTAGCCAAGCCTCTGGCTTCTCCTTTATCCAAAAATATAAAAAATAATAATAAAGCAAGCCAATGTATTTCCTTACAGGAAAACTTTCATTTCTTTTTAAAGCCAATGACTAGTTTAAATTCCTGTGGGTAATGAGAGATGCTACACACAGGACAGACTGTAGATGTGATGAACTACGTAAATCCCCTGAGGAAGATATAATTGGACACAACTTCTTTTAAGGGTGCTTTTCCAATGTAACATATGTTTAATGAGGCTTACATATATGAATTAATCATTTTATTTCTGTCTTACAAAAGTTCCTAAGATTATGAGGAAAAGGGTAATAACAATAATAAATCCAGTATACAGACACAACAAAAAAAGAAATCTACATGAATGAAATAGTCTAATGCTTATATAAGGCCAATAATTATTTAAAGCTAATATGGGTAACAAAGTCATAAAAGTTACTAGTCATTTTCCACACAATTTTCTATGAACTAATCTAAGGATACATGCGTGGTATTCTCAAGTTAAACAAATATATAATTCAACAGCTGAAGGTATTATTAAAAGATAGTACACAAGAACATAAACTGTGATTTTTCTCATTCAAAATTATCTTACAGCAAGAAGTTTTTTTTTTTTTTTGAGACAGAGTTTCACTCTTGTTGCCCAGGCTGGAGTGCAATGGCGCAATCTCGGCTCACTGCAACCTCCACCTCCCGGGTTCAAGTGATTCTCCTCCCTCAGCCTCCCGAGTAGCTGGGATTATAGGCACCCACCACCACGCCCAGCTATTTTTTTTGGATTTTTAGTAAAGACAGGGTTTCACCATGTTGGCCACGCTGGCAATGAACTCCTGGCAAGAGGTACTTTTATAATCCCATGACATATTCTTCATAACTCATTAAACGTTAGGCATCAGATTCTTCGAGATCAAAGACCAATAAACTATAATGATCACAAAACTGATTTTTCAGCAGAAGATACAGTCATCACATCTTCACTTCTCTCCTTAATGGCAGTTAGAGCTGCCACCTACCACCTCTCAGCTGCGTCTAAGAGCAGACCCCCCTGCCAGGAAAAACAGATGGAAGATGGCAACTAGACACCTCATTTTTTACACTAACTTTGAGATCACACATAGTTTACGGACTTTCTCTTTTAAAAGATCAACTAAATTATGACCCAGGTAAAAGATATGAAAAGAGATTCTACATGCTTTATTTTTTTTATTTTATTATTATTACACTTTCAGTTTTAGGGTACATGTGCACAATGTGCAGGTTTGTTACATATGTATATATGTGCCATGTTGGTGTGCTGCACCCACTAACTCATCATTTAACATTAGGTATATCTCCTAATGCTGTCCCTCCCCACTCCCCCCACCCCACAACAGTCCCTGGAGTGTGATGTTCCCCTTCCTGTGTCCACGTGTTCTCATTGTTCAATTCCCACCTATGAGTGAGAACATGTAGTGTTTGGTTTTTTGTCCTTGCGATAGTTTGCTGAGAATGATGGTTTCCAGTTTCATCCATGTCCCTACAAAGGACATGAACTCATCATTTTTTATGGCTGCATAGTATTCCATGGTGTATATGTGCCACATTTTCTTAATCCAGTCTATCATTGTTGGACATTTGGGTTGGTTCCAAGTCTTTGCTATTGTGAATAGTGCCACAATAAACATATGTGTGCATGTGTCTTTATAGCAGCATGATTTATAGTCCTTTGGTTATATACCCAGTAATGGGATGGCTGAGTCAAATGGTATTTCTAGTTCTAGAACCCTGAGGAATCGTCACACTGACTTCCACAATGGTTGAACTAGTTTACAGTCCCACCAACAGTGTAAAAGTGTTCCTATTTCTCCACATCCTCTCCAGCACCTGTTGTTTATAAAACCGCTTTGGAGAGATGTCCAATATGTTGCTCCATGTCCTTCATATAATCATATCCCTAATAAACAACTTCTACAACTGAAGGCAATGACAGGAAAGTGCCGTTCCTTAAAAAATTGGTAACTTATAAAAATAGATATTTGGATGGTTGTAGATGTGTGGTGTTATTTCTGAGGCCTCTGTTCAGTTCCACTGGTCTATATATCTGTTTTAGTATCAGTACCATGCTGTTTTTGTTACTGTAGCCTTGTAGTATAGTTTGAAGTCAGGCAGTGTGATGCTTCCAGTTTTGTTCATTTTGCTTAGGATTGTCTTGGCTATGTGGGCTCTTTTTTGGTTCCATACGAAATTTAAAGTATTTTTTTCCAATTCTGTGAAGAAAGTCAATGGTAGCTTGATGAGGATAGCACTGAATCTATAAATTACTTTGGGCAGTATGGCCATTTTCACTATATTGATTCTTCCTATCCATGAGCATGGAATGTTTTTCCATTTGTTTGTGTCCTCTCTTACTTCCTTGAGCAGCGGTTTGTAGTTCTTGACGAGGACCTTCACATCCCTTTTAAGTTGTATTCCTAGGTATTTTATTGTCTTTGTAGCAATTGTGAATGGCAGTTCACGCATGATTTGGCTCTCTGTTTGTCTGTTCTTGGTTTATTGGAATGCTTGTGATTTTTGCACATTGATTTTGTATCCTGAGACTTTGCTGAAGTTGCTTATCAGCTTAAGGAGATTTTGGGATGAGATGATGGGGTTTTCCAAATATCGATCACGTCATCTGCAACAGAGACAATTTGACTTCCCCTTTTCCTAACTGAATACACTGTATTTATTTCTCTTGTCTGAGTGCCCGGGCCAGAACTTCCAATACTATGTTCAATAGGAGTGGTGAGAGAGGGCATCCTTGTCCTGTGCTGGTTTTCAAAGGGAATGCTTCCATCTTTTGCCCATTCAGTATGATATTGGCTGTGGGTTTGTCATACACAGCTTAAGAGCTATTTATTTATTTTGAGATACGTTCCATCAATACCTAGTTTCTTGAGAGTTTTTAGCTTGAAGGGCTGTTGAATTTTGTCCAAGTAAATGGTGTTAGGAAAACTGGATAGCCATATGCAGAAAGCTGAAACCGGATCCCTTCCTTACACCTTATACAAAAATTAACTCAAGATGAATTAAAGATGTAAACATAACACCTAAAACCATAAAAACCCTAGAAGAAAACCTAGGCAATACCATTCAGGGCATAGGCATGAGCAAAGACTTCATGACTAAAACACCAAAAGTAATGGCAGCAAAAGCCAAAATTGACAAATGGGATCTAATTAAACTAAAGTGCTTCTGCACAACAAAAGAAACTATCATCAGAGTGAACAGGCAACCTACAGAATGGGAGAAAATTTTTGCAATCTATCGATCTGACAAACAGCTAATATACAGAATCAACAAAGAACTTAAATAGATTTACAAGAAAAAAACAACCCCATCAAAAAGTGGGCGAGGGATATGAACAGACACTTCTCAAAAGAAGACATTTATGCAGCCAACAAACATATGAAAGAAAGCTCATCATCAATGGTCATTAGAGAAATGCAAATCAAAAGCACAATGAGATACCATCTCATACCAGTTAGAATGGCGATCATTAAAAAGTCAAGAAACAACAGATGCTGGAGAGGATGTGGAGAAATAGGAATGCTTTTACACTGTTGGTGGGAGTGTTAATTAGTTCAACCATTGTGGAAGACAGTGTGGTGATTCCTCAAGGATCTAGAACTAGAAATATCATTTGACCCAGCAATCCCATTACTGGGTATATACCCAAAGGATTATAAATCATTCTACCATAAAGACATATGCACATGTATGTTTACTGCGGCACTGTTCACAATAGCAAAGACTTGGAACCAACCCAAATGCCCTTCAATGATAGAGTGGATAAAGAAAATGTGGCACATATACACCATGGAATACTATGCAGCCATAAAAAAGGATGAATTCATCTCCTTTGCAGGGACATGGATGAAAGTGGAAACCATCATTCTCAGCAAACTAACACAAGAACAGAAAACCAAACACCACATGTTCTCACTCATATGTGGGAGCTGAACAATGAGAACACATGGACACAGGGAGGGGAACATCACACACTGGGGCCTGTCAGGGGGTGGGGGACTACAGAATAGCATTAGGAGAAATACCTAATGTAGATGATGGGTTGATGGGTGCAGCAAACCCCCATGGAACGTGTATACCTATGTAACAGACCTGGACGTTCTGCACCATGTACCCAAGAGCTTAACGTATAATAATAAATAAATAAATAAATAAGAAACTGGAGCCAGGATAGCACGAAGGAGGGGAGCTCATGCTTGCATTTCTGAGATAACAACAGTCTCAAGGATTTTCTTAAAAAAATCCCACAAGAAATTCCTCCATGTCCTTCATGCATCTCATGCTTTTCATGATCCACGTCTTGCATGTATGCACATATTTCTAAACCGGGTTTATCACTAGACATTCTTTAGGACCACAGCAGTTCAGATAAGACGTTCTTGAAAAAACTTTTGCCCAGTAACAGTGTCTCCACCAATGAACTAATGCCAACTCTGACTTTGAGCCTCAGGCACCAATAAACTCTGTTTTTAAGCAGCTTGTATGAACTTCTTTTTGCCAATAAAAGCTTTCCCTTACTCTCTCCTCTTCAGGTGCACTTGTGGCTTGCCACAGCTATGCATCCTAGATTAGAATCCTTTTTCCTTACTCCTGAGTAAATGCATCATGTTAGGAGATCAAAAAAAAAAAAAAGATATTCATCGAACATCTAACATGGATGAGACATAAGGAAATGACTAGGTGCTTTAAATCCCCTAGGGGAAATATTTATTTATCGACTTACTTTATTTATGGTTGACACATAATAATTGTACATATTTATGGAGTACAATGTGATGTTTTGACATATGTATAAATTGTGTAACAATTAAATCAGGGTAATTAGCATATCTATGACCTTAAGCATTTATCATTTCTTTGTGATAGGAATATTCTCTTACAGCTATTTTGAAATACACAATACGTAACTGTTAATTCTAGTCATCCTACAATGCAGCAGAACACCAGAACTTATTCCTCCTATCTAACTGTAGCTTTTTATATTGCTCAATCTCTTATCATCCCCTACCACTGCACCTTCCCCATCCTCTGGTAATCACTATTCTACCCTTTACTCCTCTGAGAACAACTCATTTTCAAAGAGTTTACACTTCAAGGAAAAGACAGAGAATAAGGTACACCTATCATAGAATATGCAATTTTTTTCCTTTTTTTCCTAGCTTCTATGAAGATTTTAAGGTTAGAATCTGGGCTCAAGTGCTGCAATAATGATTTGCATATGATTCATGATTAATCATCTCCTATTCTTCATTATCTGGCCTTGGTGCCTTTAATAATTTAATTATTTAACGGCCCTCTTGTACTCAGGTTGTTAGAAGCCATCAGAGTTATGCTTCAGAAGTACGCTGGATATAATTAATATATGAAATAATAAACACATCACTTCATGTGAGGAGTTTGAAAAAAGCAAAGTACCAACTGAACCTTTAATAATAATCACACTTTGCTTATTTATATTATATATATGTTTTTTTGAGACAGGGTCTCATTCTGTTGCCCAGGCCGGAGTGCAGTGGCACCATCTTGGCTCACTGCAACCTCTACCTCTCAGGCTCAGATGATCCTCCCACCTCAGCCTCCCAAGTAGCTGGGTCTACAGGCATGCACCACACACCTGACTAACTTTTGTATTTTTTTTAGAAAGGGAGTTTTACCATGTTGCCCAGGCTGGCCTTGAACTCCTGGGGTCAAGCAATTCACCCACCTTGGCCTCCCAAAGTGCTGAGATTACAGGCATGAGCCACCATGCCCAGTCTTTGCCTTTTAAAGGCATAACAAGACAAATCTAGTTATTTGAACAAGTCACTTACTGTTTCAAGACTAGTTTACTTGATCATAAAATATAGGCTTTAATAACATTAGATCAGTTTTTCTCACATTTTTTTCCTCACAGCAGATAAACTTTTTTCCAAGTCCTATATAGAATCTCCATAAAGAAATTTTTAAAAGCTGCTCTGGCTAAAGTTGGGGTTGAGGGCCAAAGGCACCACCTACTGGGCTCCCCCTTCAATCTTTCCATCATCCATCTGTGGCAGCAGAGGCACTTCAAGAAGCCAAAAGTTCTGTTCAATATAGTTTAAAAAACAACTAAGTTGTTCACTGTGGTCTCTTCCAGTTCTAAAATTCACTATACACCAAAGCCAAAGGTTTCCTGTTCCTTATCTATATAGTTTAAATAGAAACCTTGACACACTATTCTGAAAATTAGTACATGAAATGTGCTCAAAGTTTGTGTTAAACACTGTAAGAAACGAAAAAAGTCTAATTAATTCTATTGGTGTATCTGAACAGAATGTAAAACATGGTTTTAAAAGTTTTCAAAGTAGACATCATCAAAAATTATATATTCACAATATTTTGAAATATCAACAATACCATTTACAGTCACAAGCTCTATGAGCTGCATCTATTCATCCAGTTTCCACAAATACATAGCTCTATGAGCTGCATCTGTTCATCCAGTTTCCACAAATACCTTTATAAATTAGAAGTATAAATGATTAAGAACTAATTAACAAATTCTTCATTAATTTATCTTCACATCCCAGGAAATATATCTGCTAGTCTGACTTAATACAACACTGCTAAAGAGAAAAATAAAAGATTCATACCTTTACGGAGATTTTTGTATAGGCTCTCAATAGTTAAAAGCAAGTTCTTTTCCATAACTAATCCAAATACAGCCAACCAATGTTTTTTAAAGCACTGTAGTAAATGTAGTAGAGTCCATGGTGGTTTCAGGTACAGGATCTAAAGAGTATGTAGAAAAAAATTAACATCTCTAGATTTATTATTCCAATTATTAAAAAGTACCTATTTAGGAATTCCTACATATATTTTGAGCAAAATATAATTAGTTGGATTCTTTTTAAATTAAAAGATGTAAAGTCAATCATAACATTAAAATGCTAATTCCATTGCAAATTGCTTTTGTAAAACTCATGTTAGTATTAATCTTAATAGTTTCAGAAACTGTGCAAAAAAGAAAAACATACATCTAATCAGAGGAAACATAGTTTTATCAGCTAAGGTCCTTCAATCTACTTGTCAACGCAGTCATCGCTATAAGAAAATTAATCTAATTATTTCATGTAACTGGGTGAAAATCAGTATAGAAAAAAGATGTTCGGTGGCTCATGCCTGTAATCCTATCTCTTTGGGAGGCCGACGTGGGCGTATCACAAGGTCAGGAGTTCGAGACCAGCCTGGCCAACATGGTGAAACCCCATAGCTACTAAAAATGCAAAAATTAGCTGGGCCTGGTGGCAGACACCTGTATTCCCAGCTACTTGGGAGGTTGAGACAGGAGAATAGCTTGAAACCGGAAGGAGGAGGTTGCAGTGAGCCGAGATCACGCGACTGCACTCCAGCCAAACTCCATCTCAAAAAAAAAGAGAAGAAAAAAGATGTCAGTGACAACTGTCACTTGTTACACTCTTGCAAAGACATGCCTATTAAAAACATTGATCATTTAATTCTATAAGATGTCAGCACTTCCTTTTCTGAATCACTCACATATATACAATTACTTTCCTTATCTCTACTATGAGATATCAACACTCCTAGTATCTTCTGATGATTCGTCATCATTTTGGTTCAACTTTGTCAATATAATCAAGTAGCAAATGCACCGTTCTGGCAAATATTAGAATCTCACAGAACAGCTGGAATAGATACAAGCTATGATTGATGCAAAATCATGTTTCTCCTAGCTATAAATGCTCACGCCTGTAATCCCAGCACTATGGGAGGCTGAGACAGAAGGATCACTTGAGGTCAGGAGTTCAAGACCATCCTGACCAACATGGTGAAACCTCGTCTCTAATAAAAATACAAAAATTAGCTGGGCGTGATGTCACATGCCTGTAATCCCAGCTGCTTGGGGGGCTGAGGCAGGAGAATCACTTGAATCTGGGAGGCGGAGGTTGCAGTGAGCCAAGATCATGCCATTGCACTCAAGCCTGGACAACAAGAGCGAGACACCGTCTCAAAACAAAACAAAACAAAAAACACTGAACTTTTGAAACCATTATTATTAGAGTTTTACTGATTGTCAAAAAGGTGTGAATCCAAAGAAATTTCAAAATATCTTACTAATACAATCAACTTATACTCTGATTCTTACATTTACATGGCACAAGCAAAAATACATACTTCTTTTTCTGAATACATATTGCTAGAGAGATTCCTTATATTAGACATTTTGACTCAAATTAAATAGACAAGTTTTTTTTCATTCAATTTAAGCACCATGGGACAGTGCATCTGACACACAGCAGATGCAAAATAAATATCTGTTTGCTCAAAAAAAAGAATAACATATATTCCTAACCATTAAGAAATGTCCATCATTTAACTGTCAAAAAACTATTTCAAAAACTTGAAGAAAAATGTAACATGATACAGATTATTCAATGAAGCGTATGCATTTTATACAAGTAATATTTCTTAAGATAACAAATCTTCAGCAATAAAAAAGAAATTTTCAACTAATAGAGTTCAACTAATCACCTCCATCCAAAGGTTTCCAAAAGCAATTTTCATTTCTGTTTCTAATATTGAAGATAAACCTGTTCCAAGAGATTTTTCAAGATCAGATACAATGCTCTCAAGCAGAATGGACAGTCCAGAATTTGTAGATTCCTCCTTATAGCTCTCTTTCAAGGGTGTTGTTTCTTTAAAACAAATAGTTACAGACTTTATTTAGAATGCTAACAGTAATTATTATACATATAATTAGTATATTGCCATAAACAGTAAACATTTTATGTATATATTTTAATTATATATAAAACAAACAAATATTTTATTTTCAAAACAATTTAGAAACATGTATCTCTATTATAGTTGCTTTAGATGCAACATAAATATATTACTTTAACAAATGTTTTATCTTTTTAACAGGCAATTAAATAATATTTTTACTCAAATAAAAATGTAAGAAATGTATGCGATATTTCAACTACAATTTAATTTTATTATTTTCCAAAGAGAGTTACAAGAATGCCTTGGATTTATTCACAACAAAAAACCAAGAACTATGGATCAAAATGGGTTTTTTTCCAAAAATGGAATATTTTTCTTTTTTTTTTTCTTTTGAGACGGAGTCTCGCTCTGTTGCCCAGGCTGGATGCAGTGGCGCGATCTTGGCTCACTGAAACCTCTGCCTCCTGAGTTCAAGAGATTCTCCTGCCTCAGCACCCCGAGTAGCTGGCAAAAACGGAATATTTTTCTAAACTCAGCCCACATCAATAAATTTCCAGCTTAACTATCTTCATGCCCTCCTCCTTTAAAAGGAGCTTTTATTATTTTAAGTGATATCACTTCATTAACATTACTTTTTAGATACTTGAAAACAACTGTAATTTTCTTATGGCAAAATTAAAAATATTAAGTGGCTTATCTCTACAAAGTGGACAAGCTAAAGGCACACTACCCTTGAAAAACTGTAAACTAGAATATCCTGTTATTCCTTCAAAGGCCATTTTGAATATTATGACAAAAACGTTATTTCCAAAAAGGGTAAATAAGTAGTATATATGTATATATGACTATTTTCACAATTATATATAAAATGCACATATATTAGAGACTTCAATAATCATTTTCCCCAAAGAGGGGAAAGGTGGGATGTACTTATAAATAATGTCAGGTTTAATAAAATATTTCTTCAAATATCAAGCTACAGAACAGATTATTCTGGTGAAAAAAAATGAAATAATAGTATTGTCCTTACTTTTTTTTTTTTTTTCTGAGACGGAGTTTTGCTCTTGTTGCCCAGGCTGGAGTACGATGGCACAATCTCGGCTCACTGCAACCTCCACCTCTTGGGTTCAAGCAATTCTCCTGCCTCAGCCTCCCGAGTAGCTGGGATTACAGGCGCCCGCCACCACGCCCGGCGAATTTTTTCGTATTTTTAGTACAGACAGGGGTTCCCCATGTTGGCCAGGCTGGTCTCGAACTCCTCAGGTGATCCACCCGCCTCGGCCTCCCAAAGTGCTGGGATTACAGGCGTAAGCCAGTGCACCCGGCCTGTTACTTCTTGATTATTAGTTTAAAATTTTTAAAAAGAAAACTATTACTAGATTCCAACAAGTTTCTCTATTGCTAGCTGAGTTTTTATCATATTAATAGGTTATAAATAGAAAGCCAACTTAAAAAAGAAACTAAAAAATTATCTCTATGTCAACTAAATATCTCCTATAACTGCTATTAATTTAAAAGGAATACTCTGTTTCACTTGAAGAAAATGAAGGTGAAAAATACAGGTACACTCTGCAAGGTACAAATTAGCATGTACACAGTGATTATAATGTAAAAATGTATGTAAGCGTGCAGACAAAAACATCAAATTAATTTGTAAAAGTACATATAGAAGGTAATAATGTTAATTATGTTTTCTTTTGGATTACCATCATAACTTCCATTTATTCAATGACTTACATGCCAGCAAGTATTCCAAACGATGTTATTTTAAATGTACAAAATAAAAATTTACTATCGATTCTAATGTTATAAATAATCTTAGTGTATAAAATAAGATATATCTCTAATTATTTATAGTAAAAATACTACCTGCTTTCAACTGTTGCTTAGGAATACAAGGCTGATGACACACATCTGTGTTCAGAGATAAGTGTAATAACTCTGCACTCAATTCTTCTTTACTGAGTGACTTCACACCACTTATTAGGCCTTTGTTTCTTAAGTTTCTATCATCCCTAAGGTTGGGAGGTTGGGATTAGGAGGAAAAAATATTTTTTATAAGGTAAACCACATGGCAAATCAAAACACATGAGATCTAGTCAGAGGCAGGTGATTCTCAGCCTATACCTTAAGAAAGAATAACAACTTTTTTAAAAAAATATGAGCTTTGGGTACTAGGCACCATTCTAAAGTGCTTTATATATATATATATAAATCTATTTAATCCTCACAACAAACTTCTGAGGTAGGAGTAGTATTAACTTTACCCCCATTTCACAGATGGGGAATTGAGGTGTAAAGTTAAGTAACTTGTCCAAAGTTACACCCAGTAAGTGGGAGCTGGATTTGAATACAGGAATGTGATTATCCAAAGAGAAATAAACAGAGAGCTATGTATGAGAAATAATTCACAGTAGGCAGACAAGTACAAATTTACTCAGATTAAGCATAAGACAAATAGCACAAACTTGCTGTTTGCTGAAAGAAGCCAATATGATTAGAACATAGTGCATGAGACCAGTTTATGAGGTTATAGAGAACGACAAGGGCATTAAAAAACAGGAAACTTAAGGGCTTCAGTGGGAAAATGACATGATCGTATCTGTGTTTATTAAATTGTTCTGGAGGCCAGTAGGCTTCCAGCTTCTGTTAATGGCATAGTAGTTTGGTCACACTAACCCTACTACGAATGAGAATTATAAAATCTAAACCAAAAAAAAAATATATTAACTATTTGAAGGCACTAGAAAGCAACAGAATGTAGGCAGAAGCTGGAGTGGGAGTCTACCCTGAAGACACAGAAAATGCATAGCGAGAACTACAAGTCTCTTTTTACCTGAGGGCATTTCCCAATTCATCAAGTGTGACAAGTATTAGTGGCTTGAAATGTCAAAGAACCATGTTCAAGGTTGACCAGGGCAGCTGGAAAGTTAAGGGAGAGAGTGCTCTAGGTTGGCAGCTGGCAAGATGGCAGAATAGGAACAGCTCCAGTCTGCAGCTCCCAGCTAGATCAATGCAGAAAGCAGGTGATTTCTGCATTTCCAACTGAGGTACCCGACTCATCTCATTGGGACTGGTTAGACAAAGGGTGCAGCCCTCAGAGGGCAAGCTGAAGCAGAGTGGGGCATCCACCCACCCAGGAAGTGCAAGAGGTCAGGGAACTCCCTCCCCTAGCCAAGGGAAGCTGTGAGGGACTGTGCCCTGAGGAACGGTGCACTCCGGCCCAGACACTATACTTTTCCCATGGTCTTCACAACCCGCAGACCAGGAGATTCCCTCGGGTGCCTACATCACTAGGGCCCTGGGTTTCAAGCACAAAACTGGGCGGCCATTTAGGCAGACACTGAGCTAGCTGCAGGAGGTTTTTTTCATATCCCAGTGGCGCCTGAACACCAGCGAGACAGAACCATTCACTCCCCTGGAAGTGGGCACTGAAGCCACAGAGCCAAGTGGTCTAGCTCCGTGGATCTCAGCCTCACGAAGCCTAGCAAGCTAAGATCCACTGGCTTGAAATTCTTGCTGCCAGCACAGCAGTCTGAAGTCAACCTAGGATGCTGGAATTTGGTGGGGGGAGGGGCATCCGCCATTACTGAAGCTTGAGTAGGCAGTTTTACCCTCACAGTGTAAACAAAGCCCCCAGGAAGTTTAGACTCGGCAAAGCCCACCGCAGCGCCCCAAAGCCACTGTAGCCAAATTACCTCTCTAGATTCCTCCTCTCTGGGCAGGGCACCTCTGAAAGAAAGGTAGCAGCCCCACTCAGGAGCTTGTAGATAAAACTCCTATCTCCCTGGGACAGAGCACCTGGGGGAAGCTGCGGCTGTGGGCACAGTTTCAGCAGACTTAAACGTTCCTGCCTGCCGGCTCTGAAGAGAGCAGTGGATCTCCCAGCACAGCGCTCGAGCTCTGCTAAGAGACAGACTGCCTCCTCAAGTGGGTCCTTGAACCTCGTGCCCCCTAACTAAGAGACACCTCCCAACAGGGGTTGACAGACACCTCATACAGAAGAGCTCCGGCTGGCATCTGGCGGGTGCCCCTCTGGGACAAAGCTTCCAGAGGAAGGAACAGGCAGCAATCTTTGCTGTTCTGCAGCCTCTGCTGGTGATACCCAGGCAAACAAGGTCTGGAGTGGAACTCCAGCAAACTCCAGCAGACCTGCAGCAGAGGGGTCTGACTGTTAGAAGGAAAACCAACAAACAGAAAGGAGTAGCATCAACATCAACAAAAATGGCGTCCACACAGAAACCCTATCTGAAGGTCACCAACATCAAAGAACAAAGGTAGATAAATCCATGAAGATGAGGAAAAACCAGCTCAAAAAGGCTGAAAATTCCAAAACCACAATGCCTTTTCTCCTCCAAAGGATCACAACTCCTCACCAACAAGAGAAAAAAACTAGACACAGAATGAGTTGATGAACTGACAGAAGTAGGCTTCAGAAGGTGAGTAATAGCAAACTCCTCTGAGCTAAAGGAGCATGTTCTAACTCAATGCACGGAAGCTAAGAACCTTGAAAAAACAGGTTAGAGGAATTGCTAACTATAATAACCAATTCGGAGAAAAAGATAAATGACCTAATGGAGCTGAAAAAAACAGCACGAGAACTTCGTAAAGCATACACAAGTATTAACAGCCAAACCGATCAAGCGGAAGAAAGGATATCACAAACTGAAGATCAACTTAATGAAATGAAGCCTTAAGACAAGATTAGAGAAAAAAGAATAAAAAGGAACAAACAAAGCCTCCAGGAAATATGGAACTATGTGAAAAGACCAAACCTACATTTGATTGGTGTACTTGAAAATGACAGGGAGAATGGAACCAAGTTGGAAAACACTCTTCAGGATATTATCCAGGAGAACTTCCCCAACCTAGCAGGACAGGCCAACATTCAAATTCAGAAAATACAGAGAACACCACAAAGATACTCCTCAAGAAGAGCAACCCCAAGACACATAATTGTCACATTCACCAAGGTTGAAATGGAGGAAAAAATGTTAAGGGCAGTCGGAGAGAAAAGTCGGGTTACCCACAAAGGGAAGCCCAGCAGACTAACAGCAGATCTCTCAGCAGAAACCCTACAAGCCAGAAGAGAGTGGGGGCCAATATTCAACAATCTTAAAGAATTTTCAAACCAGACTTTCATATACAGCCAAACTAAGCTTCATAAGGGAAGGAGAAATAAAATCCTTTACAGACAAGCAAATGCTGTGAGATTCTGTCACCACCAGGCCTCCCTTACAAGGGGTCCTGAAGGAAGCACTAAATATGGAAAGGAACAACCAGTACCAGCCACTGCAAAAACATACCAAATTGTAAAGACCATCGACACTATGAAGAAACTGCATCAACTAATGGGCAAAATAACCAGCTAGCATCATAATGACAGAATCAAATTCACACATAACAATATTAACCTTAAATGTAAATGGGCTAGGCCAGGCGTGGTGGCTCATGCCTGTAATCCCAGCACTTTGGGAGGCCAAGGTGGGTGGATCACGAGGCCAGGAGTTCCAGACCAGCCTGACCAAGATGGTGAAATACCGTCTCTACTAAAAATACAAAAATTAGCCAGGCATGGTGGTGTGTGCCTGTAATCCCAGCTACTCAGGAGGCTGAGGCAGGAGAATCGCATGAACCCAGGATGTGGAGGCTGCAGTGAGCTGAGATCTCACCACTGTACTCCAGGCTGGATGACAGAGCGAGACTCGTCTCAAAAAAAAAAAAAAAAAATGTAAACGAGCTAAATGCCCCAATTAAAAGACACAGACTAGCAAATTGGATAAAGAGTTAAGACCCATCAGTGTGCTGTATTCAGGAGCCCCATCTCATGTGAAAAGACACACATAGGCTCAAAATAAAGGGATGGAGGAATATTTACAAAGCAAATGGAAAGCAAAAAAAAAAAACAAAAAAAAACAGGGGTTGCAATCCTAGTCTCTGATAAAACAGACTTTAAACAGAGATCAAAAGAGACAAAGAAAGGCACTACTTAACGGTAAAGAATCAATGCAACAAGAAGAGCTAAATTTCCTAAATATATATGCACCCAATACAGGAGCAGCAGATTCATAAAGCAAGTTCTTAGAGACCTACAAAGAGACTTAGACTCCCAACACAATAATAGTGGGAGACTTTAACACCCCACTGTCAATATTAGACAGATCAACAAGACAGAAAAGTAACAAGGATATCCAGGACTTGAACTCAGCTCTGGACCAGGTGGACCTAAGAGACAGAACTCTCCACCCCAAATCAACAGAATATACATTCTTCTCAGCACATTGCACTTATTCTAAAACTGACCACATAATTTGAAGTAAAACACTCCTCAGCAAATGCAAAAGAATGTAAATCATAATAAACAAGTCTCTCAGACCACAGTGTAATCAAATTAGAACTCAGGATTAAGAAACTCACTCAAAACCACACAACGTCATGGAAACTGAACAACCTGCTCCTGAATGACTACCGAGTAAATAACGAAATGAAGGCAGAAATAAATAAGCTCTTTGAAACCAGTCAGAACAAAGACACAATGTTACAGAATCTCTGGGACACAGCTAAAGCAGTGTTTAGAGGGAAATTTATAGCACTAAAAGCACACAAGAGAAAGCAGGAAAGATCTAAAATTGACACCCTAACATCACAATTAAAAGACGTAGAGAAACAAGAGCAAACAAATTCAAAAGCTAGCAGAAGAAAAGAAATAACTAAGATCACAGCAGAACTGAAGGAGATAGAGACACAAAAAACCCTTCAAAAACTCAATGAATCCAGGAGCTGGTTTTTTGAAAGATCAACAAAACAGACTGCTAGCCAGACTAATAAAGAAGAAAAGAGAGACAATAAAAAAATGATAAAGGGGATATCACCACCCATCCCACAGAAATACAAACTACCATCAGAGAATACTATAAACACCTTTATGCAAATAAACTAGAAAATCTAGAAAAAATGGAGAAATTCCTGGACACATACACCCTACCAAGTCTAAATCAGGAAGAAGCTGAATCCCTGAATAGACCAACAACAAGTTCTGAAATTGAGGCAGCAATTAATAGCCTACCAACCAAAAAAGTCCAGGACCAGACGGATTCACAGCCAAATTCTACTAGAGGAACAAAGAGAAGCTGGCACCATTCCTTCTGAAACTATTACAAACAATAGAAAAAGAGGGACTCCTCCCTAACGCATGAGGCCAGCATCATCCTGATACCAAAACCTGGCAGAGATGCAACAAAAAAGAAAATTTCAGACAAATATCCCTGATGAATATCAATGCAAAAATCCTCAATAAAATACTAACAAACCGAATCCAGCAGCACATCAAAAAGCTTATCCACCATGATCAAGTCAGCTTCATCCCTGGGATGCAAGGCTGCTTCAACATATGCAAATCAATCAATGTAATCCATCACATAAACAGAACCAATGACAAAAACCACATGATTATCTCAATAGATGGAGAAAAGGCCTTCAGTAAAATTCAACACCCCTTCATGCTAAAAACTCTCAATAAACTCGGTGGAACGAGTTTGAGATGGAATGTATCTCAAAATATTAAGAGCTATTTATGACAAACCCACAGCCAATACCACACTGAATGGGCAAAAGCTGGAAGCTTTGCCTTTGAAAACCGGCACAAAACAAGGATGCCCTCTCTCTCCACTCCTATTCAACATAGTACGGGAAGTTCTGGCCAGGGCAATCAGAAAACAGAAAGAAATAAAGGGTACTCAAATACGAAGAGAAGAAGTCAAATTGTCTCTATTTGCAGATGACATGATTGCATATTTTCTAAATATATAAATATTTTCTAAAGTCTCAGGATACAAAATCAATGTGCAAAAATCACAAGCATTCCTATACACCAATAAATGACAAACAGCAAACCAAATCATGAGTGAACTCCCATTCACAATTGCTACAAAGACAATAAAATATCTAGGAATACAACTTACAAGGGATGCGAAGGACCTCTTTAAGAAGAACTACAAACCACTGCTCAAGGAAATAAGAGAGGACACAAACAAATGGAAAAACATTCCATGCCCATGGATAGGAAGAATCAGTATTGTGAAAATGGCCACAATGCCCAAAGTAATTTATTGATTCAATGCTATCCTGATCAAGCTACCATTGGCTTTCTTCACAGAATTAGAAAAACTACTTTAAATTTCATATGGAAAGAAGAAAGAGCCCGTATAGCCAAGACAATCCTAAGCAAAGAGAACAAAGCTGGAGGCATCACATTACCTGACTTCAAACTCTACTACAAGGCCACAGTAACAAAAACAGTATGGTACTGGTACCAAAACAGAGATATAGACCAATGGAACAGAACAGAGGCCTCAGAAATAACATCTACAACCATGTGATCTTTGACAAACCTGACAAAAACAAGCAATGGGGAAAGGATTCCCTATATAATAAATGGTGTTGGGAAAACTGGCTAGCCATATGCAGAAGACTGAAACTGGAACCCTTCCTTACACCTTACACAAAAATTAACTCAAGATGGATTAAAAACTTAAACGTAAGACCTAAAACCATAAAAACCCTAGAAGAAAACCTAGGCAATACCATTCAGGACATAGGCATGGGCAAAGACTTCATGACTAAAACACCAAAAGCAATGGCAACAAAAGCCAAAACTGACAAATGGGATCTAATTAAACTAAAGAGCTTCTGCACAGCAAAAGAAACTATCATCAGGGTTAACAAGCAACCTACAGAATGTGAGAAATTTTTTGCAACCTATCATTTGACAAAGGGCTAATATCCAGAATCGACAAAGACCTTAAACAAATTTACAAGAAAAAAACAACTCCATCAAAAAGTGGGCAAATGATATGAACAGACACTTCTTAAAAGAAGACATTTATGTGTCAACAAACATATGGAAAAAGGCTCATCATTACTGGTCATTAGAGAAATGCAAATCAAAACCACAATGAGATACCATCTCATGCCAGTTAGAATGGCAATCATTAAAAAGTCAAGAAACAACAGATGCTGGAGAGAATGTGGAGAAATAGGAACACTTTCACACTGTTGGTGGGAGTGTAAATTAGTTCACCACTGTGGAAGACAGTGTGGCGATTCCTCATGCATCTAGAACCAGAAATACCATTTGACCCAGCAATCCCATTACTGGGTACATACCCAAAGGATTATAAGTCATGCTACTATAAAGACACATGCACACATATGTTTATTGCGGCACTATTCACAATAGCAAAGACTTGGAACCAACCCAAATGTCCATCAGTGATAGACTGGATTAAGAAAATGTGGCACATATACACCATGGAATACTATGCAGCCATAAAAAAAGATGAGTTCATGTCCTTTGCAGGGACATGGATGACACTGGAAGCCATCATCCCCAGCAAACTAACACAGGAACAGAAAACCACACACTGCATGTCCTCACTCTTAAGTGGGAGTTGAACAATGAGAACACATGGACACAGGGAGGGGAACACCACATACCGGGGCCTGTCGGGTGGTTGAGGGATAGGGGAAGGATAGCATTAGGAGAAATACTTAATGCAGATGACAGGTTGATGGGTGCAGCAAATCACCATGGCACGTGTATACCTATGTAACAAACCTGCACGTTCTGCATATGTATCCCAGAACTGAAAGTATAATAATAATAATAAAAAGAAAGTTAAAGGAGAAACTGAAGAAAAGAAACCACAGAGCAAGTGAGCCCCAAAATCTGCATATAAAGTATGCCCAGAGAAAAACAACATACTGCCAAGAGTCAAAGTAATCAACAGAAGTAGACTTGAATACAACACAGATACTGAAGCTATCTGACAGCAAATTTAAAGTAATTTTTATTAATATGTTAAAGGTTCTAATGGAAAAGGTGAAAGGAAAATCAAGCAGTTTCACAGAGATGAAAACCATAAGAATAAAATGGAAATGCTAGCAATAAAAAACACAGTAACAAAAATGCAGAATGCCTTGAACAGGCTTGTCAATAGATTTGATAAAGGCAAGGAAAGAATCAACAAACTTGAAGGGAAGTCAAAAGAAAGTACCCAAACTGAAACAAAAAGATAATAAAAGACTTTTTTTTTTTTAAAGTATCCAAGAGCTATGGGACAATATATACAACAGCAATATCCTTATGGTACCTGTGAAGCAGTATAATATTTGAAGGTAGACTTTAATAAGTAAAGATGTATATTGTAAACACTAAAACAACCATAAGAAGTTTTTTTCAAAAAAGTATAAATAAGTAAATAATGGGGACAAAATGGTATCATTAAAAATGCACAATTAATCCAAAAGAGAAAAAGGAAGAAAAGCACAGATGGAACAAAACAAATAGAAAATTATTTGCAAAATGGTAGATTTTAATCCAACAAATTAAATGTGTATGGTCTAAACTTAACAGTTAAAAGACAGAAATTGTCAGATTGGTCAAAAAAGAACCAACTATATGATGTCTACAAGAAACTTACTTTAAATATACAGGCGTAGAGGGGCTAAAAGTAAAAGGATACAAAAAGATACACCACATAAATACCAAGCAAAAGAAAGCTGAAATAGTTGCATTCATACTAGACAAAGAAGACTTTAGAACCAGGAATGATGTCAGAACTAAAAAGGACATTATATAATTATAAAAGAAGCAATTCTCCAAGAAGACAAGCATAAACAATCTTAGATGTATATGCATCTCACTACAAGTTTCTATCTTTTTGCCTGAGGGAATTCTCCAATTCATCAATGCCTTTACCACAACAGAAAGCCATAGCTTTAGTGGCTTTCACAATACACGAAGCAAAACAAATAGAACTGAAAGGAGAAATAGACAAATCCACAATTACAGTTGGAGACTTCAATACTCCTTTCACAGTGATCACAGAAAAAGTAGGCAACCAGCCTTGGCAAGGTGGCTCATGCCTGTAATCCCAGCACTTTGGGAGGCCAAGGCGGGAGGATCACGAGGTCAGGAGATCAAGATCATCCTGGCCAACATGGTGAAACCCTGTCTCTACTAAAAATACAAAAATTATCCAGGCATGGCAGCCTGCAACTGTAGTCCCAGCTACTCGGGAGGCTAAGGCAGGAGAATTGCTTGAATCCGGGAGGCAGAGGCTGCAGTGAGCCAAGATTGCACCACTTCACTCCAGCCTGGGCGACCAAGTGAGACTCCATCTCAGGAAAAAAAAAAAAAAGAAAAGAAAAAGTAGGCCAGTAAGGTTATAGAAGACCTGAAGAATACTATCAACCAACCTGACCTAACTGAAATTTATAGAATACTCCACCCATAAGGGCAGAATACACATTCTGTTCAAATACACAGAAAACATTCACTAAAACAGACCATATTCTTAGCCACAAAACAAACTTTAACAAATTTAAAAGAACAGAAATCATGTAAATTATGTTCTCAATTCACAAAGAAATTAAACTACAATTCAGTAAAAAAAACAAAACAAGTATCTGAAAATTTTACAAATACTTAGAATTAGGCAACAAACATCTAAATAACCTATGGGTCAGAGAAAGAGTCACAAGGGAAATTATAAAGTATATTGAATAGAACGAAAATGAAAACACAACATATTAAAATTTGTGGGATACAACTGCAGAAGTGCTTAGAGGACAGTTATAGCGGTACCAAATAAGTGATCTAAGTTTCCACCTTAAGAAACAAGAAAGAAAGAGCACAAAAAGGCAAGAGAGTACTTTCTGGGCCAGGCGCGGTGGCTCATACTTGTAATTCCAGCACTTTGGGAGACCGAGGTGGCCGGATCATCTGAGGTCAGGAGTTTGAGACCAGCCTGACCGATATGGCGAAACCCCATCTCTACTAAAAATACAAAAATTAGTCAGGCGTGGTGGCACTCACCTGTAATCTCAGCTTCTTGGGAGGCTGAGACAGGAGAATCGCTTGAACCCAAGAGGCAGAGACTGCAGTTAGCCGAGATGGCGCCACTGCACTCCAGCCTGGGTGACAGAGTGAGACTCTGTCTCAAAAAAAAAAAAAAAAGAGAGGCGTTACAGACGTGTTCTCTATATTAACAGGATGTGAGCTACACCAGTGCACCCATTTGTCAACATTGTATAGTTTAGATTTGTGCATTTCCTCAGCTACTCAGGGGCTGAGGAAGGAGGATCACTTGAGCCCAGGAGTTTGAGACCAGCCTGGGCAACATAGCCAGACCCTGTTTCTAAAAAATAAAATTAAAGAAGACCACACAGGACTGGCTAATTCACTGTATATAGATCATGAAGAAAAGGCAGGTATCAAAATTTACTCCCTGGTTTCTGGCTTTAGCAAATGGGTAGGAGGTGACCCTTTTTATTCAGGTGTAGAAGAGTTGAGAAGAAAAACTCAAGAGTTCATTTATGGAGATGATAGGTTTCAGATGTCTATGAAACATCCAAGAGATATCAAATAAATAGTTGAATATATTAGCCTGGAGTTTAGAAAAGCAATATGGATTGGAGATATTAATTGTATTGCTGGTGCAGACATATGATTGTAAATGTAAGCACTTAGAATGATGCATAGTATATAAGTGTTATAAAAGTTTTTCTGATTACTATCACTATCAATTGACATTATCATCATCCATTTTAAGTAATATAAATATGTCCTCACAATAGTAGGTATGACTTATACAATACACAGGATTATCACTATTTAAAGAAAATGCATACAAACCAACCAAAAAAAGAGAGAGAGAAAAACAGGCTCACCACTTGGAACACGACTATGTCAGAATTAAAAGTAAGGTTTGGCTATAAATTTTCAGTCGCTAAAAAATAGTATATCTGTTAATCCCAAAAAAAGCAGTGAATGTACAAATAATGGAGAATTGATAAAGTTTTGTCAATTTAATTTTCATTCTAAGCTGAACTAAAAAAATAATTACATAACAAAGAATTACTTCTCGAATTTATCTCAAATTCAAAATGATTTATATATTATTAATTCTATTTCAGCCTTCAACAAACTCCAAAGTAATATGTCCTAGATCAAAATATAATTTAAAACTCATAGATAGAAAGCTCCAATATTTCCTTTAATAGCAAAAGGAATCACATTATCTTTGAAGATAGCTAAAATAATAACACTGACTAGAATGTTTCCAAGAAACATGTTAGGGCTAACGATTTCTATAGTAGCTCCATTTCACAGAAAGAATTTGAGCATGATCATGAAACTATAAAAACTCCATTTTGCAGTGAATAAAATACAGATTAAAACTGCAAGTTTCAAAGCATGATGTAGACTGATTAAAAAAAAACTGCAAATTAAAATTGCTCTTCTGTCCCTTCAGAACCTTTTCTCATACATGATGAATAAAATTTTGTTTAGCATTATCTTAGTTTTATCTTTGAACTAAGTTATGGAAATATTAGTAGGGAGGGAAGAAGCAGGGGGAAGGGAGAAGGAGGGAGAAAACTTACTGAGATCTTACTATATATTAGGCACTATTCTAAGTCATTTACATATATTAACAGATTAAATACAATAATCTCATGAGGCAGGTGATATTATTATTCCTGTTTATTTGACATGAGGAAACTAAGTTAAGCAACTTGTCCAGGGTCACAATGCTGATAAATGATAGATCAGGACTCCAAGCCAGGCAGTCTAACTCTGTAATAGGCACCCAGCACACAACTCCAACATAAACTACCTTATCTCCACCTCACCAATATGTAAGTAAATAAATTTCTTGTCTCATCCTGTCAGATTCTGATTTTTAAACAATTTTGGAGGGATATTAAGTTGCCTTTTCCCCTGCTTTTTCAAGTTTTCTGAATCGTATAAAAATTAAACTGAAATGAAACTTCATCTAGTTGAGATCTCATTCCTCTAGTGCTCACACATTATAAGACTGTCAGATACAAGTGGGTATGCTTACTGGCAGATTTGGAAAATTATGTATGTTTTTGATCCTTGGTATGCTGGATACCATATGATTTTTTTAAATTATTTGGTTTATTTTTTAAAAATAAAAAGTCAAATGACTATGAAACTCACGTGCACAGAATAACAAAAGAACAAGGGAATAATTCCTGGTGCTGGAGACAGCATTTTAGTACTCGATCATCATTGTTCTCATCACTCAATCCATCTGCAAATTTAGTAAAGGCAACAGTCAGTAAGTACACTAGAAATGTGGGTGACACAGAAATAATCTAGGCTGTATTTACAAAACAAAAATATCTAAGAGATTTAAGGTAGTTAAGGTATGATACTATGATGGTGGACACACGTCATTATACATTTGTCCAAATCCACAGAGTGTACAACACCAAGAGTGAACCTAATGTAAACTATGTACTCAGAGTGATAATGATGTCAAATGGAGGTTCATCAACTATAACAAAGGTACCACTCCAGTGAAGGATACTGATAATGGGGAAGCTATGCTTGTGTGGGGGCAGGAAGTATGTGGGAAATCTTGATGTCTTTTGTGCAATTTTCCCGTGAAACTAAAACTACTCTCAAAAACTCTATTAAAAAATATATCTCAGCTGGGCACAGTGGCTCACGCCTGTAATCCCAGCACTTTGGGAGGCCGAGGTGTGCAGATCACTTGAGGTCAGGAGTTCGAGACCGGCCTGGCTAACATGGTAAAACCCCATCTCTACTAAAAATACAAAAATTAGCCAGGCATTGTGACAGGTGCCTGTAATCCCAGCTACTGGGAATCTGAGGCAGGAGAATCAGTTGAACCTGGGAGGCAGAGGTTGCAGTGAGCTGAGATCCCGCCACTGCACTCCAGGCTGGGCAACAGAGTGAGACTCCATCTCAAAAAAAAAAAAGTATATATGTATTTATATATACATATATAAGAAATATATGTATTTCATATATATTTATGTACATATAAAAGAAAGAAAACTTTTTACATAAAAAGACAAGAAAATAATTTTTTTAAAACTCTGAATCTAGAATTTACATAGCATACAGTTGTGGATTTAATGTGGTTAGTTCGCTATTAAAATGGTCTAGGATATGGCTATTAGTAAACTCAAAGGAAAGAAATGTGATCAGAAGGCTAAAATGTCAGACTAGAAACCAAAAACCACGAATCCTAATATCAATTCAGTCACTTACAGATTATAAGTAACTTAACATTTTCTCAGCTTAAGAAGTCTGTGAACTAATAAGCAACTGTTCTACCGCAGCTAAACTAGTTTCCTGTGTGTGCTCTTCCTTAATCTCTAAAGCAATGCAATTAGAGGTATACAGGAGAAAGAAATATGGGCCCTAGGAAGGTAACACAAGAAGTAATTCCTAACAAATGTTAATCAGCTGCTGACAGGGTACCCTCTGGCATTCTCTACGCCTCAAAACATGTAGCAAAAATTCAGTTTTTATAAAATTAATGCAGGCCAGGTGGGTGGTGCCTGTGATCCCAACATTTTGAGAGGCTGAGGCAGCGGGATTGCTTAAAGTCAGGATTCCAAGATCAGCCTGGGCAACATGGCGAGACTCTGCCTCTACAAAAAAAACAAGAAAATTATCCAGGCTCGGTGGCACACTCCTGTAGTCATATAGTCCCAGCTACTCAGGAGGCCGAGGAGGGAGGACCACTTGAGCTCAGGAGTTCAAGCCTACAGTGAGCTATGATCGTGCCACTGCACTCCAGCCTGGGTGACAGGGTGAGACCTTGTCTCTAAAAAAATTAAGAATAAAATAATAATAATAATGCAATGTGTAGAAATTGGACCAAAGATAATGTTTCCCACAAGTCCATAAACTACCTACCTGAGAACTCCCTAGACTTATTAATAACACAGAATGCAGGACCATACCCCAAATATATTTCTGGGTAAGAATCTTTGAAGCCTGGACCCAGATCATAATTTAAGGTCTTGGCCTGTCTCTTATACATTAAAATTTAAGACATACCAGCCAATTCATCTCAACCTTATTCCCAGTTTATAATCATTTTTCTCTCAACTTCTGGCCTATATTACTTAGTCCTCTAATCCTTCAAATTAGAAAACTCATTCGTTCATGCAATAAATACTTATATACGGTTTAATTTGTGCCATGCTAAGCAGATGGATATGCAAAGACAAACTCTTTAGGAGTTCATATTAGTGAAATCTAGACAGAGCTCAACTATGTCAGGACATGAGTGTGAGGAAGATGTGATTAAATTTCTTGATCAGATGACCAGTGAGCCAGACAGACATATATCACAGTAGTCAATTTCCCTTAAATTCAGAGGGTAAATGCCATGAATAATGCAAAATGTGTAACTCAAAATCATTAGTTAACTTTAAACAATTCAATTCAGCAGATAAAAGGAGGCTTAAAAGTAACAGTGCACTGCTGTAACAGTATCAAACTCAAGATTATCAGTAATACCACTTTTTCTAAGATATATGGAGCAGAAAAATCAACTGTAAGACTATTCATGAAATCTTTAGTTATTCAATAAATACTTTTGAGCACCTGTACATGTGAACAAAATAAAGTGAACAAAATAAAGACTCCGGAAACAGACCAGTCTGGTTATGTATCCTTGTTTTCCCACTTACTAGGTATGTATCCTTGGGTGAAGTTTTTAATCATGAGGAGTAAATGAAAATGTATATAAAGTATTTAGCCCAGTGTATGGCAATAGTGAATGCTTAAAAGTACCATGTATTTATTACTTAAGATGCAGCTTGGCAAGGCGCGGTGGCTCACACCTGTAATCCCAGCACTCTGGGAAGCCGAGGCAGGCAGATCACCTGAGGTCAGGAGATCGAGACCAGCCTGACCAACATGGTGAAACCCCATCTCTACTAAAAATATCTTAAAAAATTAGCCGGGCATGGTGGCACATGCCTGTAATCCCAGCTACTCAGGAGGCTGAGGCAGGAGAATCGCACACTTGAGGCCGGGAGGCGGAGATTGCAGTGAGCTGAGATCACGCCATTGCACTCCAGCCTGGGCAACAAGAGCAAAACTCCATCTCAAAAAAATAAAAAAAAATTTAAAAAGATTCAGCTTAAATGGCACCTCAACATCAATGACCTCACTCACATACAGAATAAATAAATTCTATATAAATCATAGTTATTAAGATGTTTAATATCTAATAGAATTTAACCTCCTCAACAGTAGGGTTTATCTTTCTTATTCACTGTTACAGGGCCAACACTTGGAACAGTGTCTGGTACAAATACTTGGCAAACAAATGAATCAATAAAAATACAATGAAAAATATAAAAATACAGAACAAATGTCTGATTGGGGGAGTGGCAGATAACTATTTATTGCCTTTAATTATTTTTACCTTATTATAAAAAATATATAACTTTATTAGCCAGGCACCGTGGCTCACACCTGTAAGCCGAGGGAGGCTGAGGCAGGTGGATCACCTGAGGTCAGGAGTTCGAGACCAGCCTGGCCAACATGACAAAACCCCATCTCTACTAAAAATACAAAAATCAGCTGGGTATGGTGGCTCACACCTGTAATCCCAGCTACTCTAGGAGGCTGAGGCACGAGAAGCTCTTGAAGGTGGAGCTAGGAGGTGGAGGTTGCAGTGAGCTAAGATTACACCATTGCACTCCAGCCTGGGTGACAAACGAAGACTCTTTTAAAAAAAAAAAAAAAAAAAGCTGGGCGCGGTGGCTCACGCCTGTAATCTTAGCACTTTGGGAGGCCAAGGCGGGTGGATCACCTAAGGTCAGGAGTGAGAGACCAGCCTGGCCAACATGGTGAAACCCTATCTCTACTAAAAATACAAAAATTAGCCAGGCATGGTGGGGCACACCTGTAATCCCAGCTACTTGGGAGGCTGAGGAAGGAGAATCACTTGAACCCGGGAGGTGGAGGTTGCAGTGAGCTGAGATCATGCCACTGCACTCCAGCCTGCGTGACGGGAGCGAGACTCCATCTTAAAAAAAAAAAAGGTAATTAAAAATCTGGAAAATACAGAAAATATAAAGAAAATTAAAATAACTGATAAACCCATCAGGTAAATATCACCTCTATTCATCATTAATCAGTATATAATTAAATAAATTTAGAATTATACTTCACATATTTTTTTAATCTTATGTTTGTTTTTATTTAACGTTATATGTCATTAATGTTTTTCCAAATATAGTGTCCCCTCCTGTGGCTATAGCAATGTATGTAACTTCTCCAAATGTTATACAGGTTGATTCTAATTTTTTTGTTACATAAATAATGCTATAATGAACACTATTTATATAAATCACTGCCTGCATCTCTCACTTTTTTTGGATACATTTCTAGAAAGACAATTATTATCCTTAGGCTTATTCAAGCACATTGCTAAATACTGCTCTTCTACAAAGTTACCAATTCATAGTCTTAAAGCCATGCAGTGCTGTGAATCTTCCTAGTGGGTTGGGAGAGAGTAACTTTCTAAACTTAGAAGTGATAAAAATAAATCAGATATTTAAAAAAAAGATAGATGAGTCTTATCAATCTGCATAAGCTTTTCATATAATGAGGACACAAGAGAATTACTGCCTATTCTGAACCATAAGCTATTAGTTTAATATATTAACTCAACCAATCTTCACAACCATTTTATGACGTGGAATTTATTTCCTCTCATTTCATTTATTCAGTTTCTTCACCTTTAACTTCCCCCGGGTTATGCTATAAACCCAGGTTGATCATATTTCAAATCCTATGTTCCTCTCACTATAATAGATCAATACTATATCAAATAAATATAATTTTGCAAATAGTTAAGGACAAGGCTAAAATTATAGTCAACTAAAGCTACTTGACATGGACCATCTTCACTCAAAATTCATAAGCATTATATCTGGAATATACTAAGAACTAATAAATATTTGTTTAGACAATGAATGAATGGTAGAGACCCTTTTTCTTCAAAATTTTAAGACTAAACAAAAATTTTAGACTAAAGTAATTCATCTTAAGATGAATCTAATCATGGCTTTTAAAGCCTTCTCATAGTTAATACCATAATTGGATTCCTCTTAAGATGAATTCTTTCAAATCTTACGGTGAATATGGGTGCAGTGGACAGTACAAATCCGTGGTATTTAAAATAATGTAAGCTTACATATATAAATAATTCTGAGCTGGGAAGAAACAAATTCTGAAAGAATGAAATAAATCTTCTAAATATATATGTATAAACTCCACAGAAATAAGTGTTCCTTTATATATAGATATTTTTCCAGCAAATTATATAAAACATAAAGAACATCCTTAGCTTCTAAGACTAAAGCAATTTTTTAAATGCCTTAATAGAAACTAATATTGAAAAAAATTAAATGAGGGGAAAATCTATACACTACTTTATTGTAAAAACACCTCATTCATTATTACCGATTCTGACAAACCACAGGAAAGCAACATCGTCTCCACAGTACATTAACTGCATATGGTGATATTAACAGACTAGAAACCTAGATCACTTACAGACTTCATCACTCAGCAATGGTATTTTTAAAAAAGGAGTCCAAGGTTCTGGGATATAGATAATTATGCATACACAACTATACAGTCACTATCTGTGAAATATAGACATAATGTAAAAACGTCTAGGAGAAGCAGAAAAATAAAAGTCAAAGACTCCTAAACTAAGCCACAAACCATCACAATGCCCCTTCCATTTCACATTCCAATGGGTTTAAATGTTTTAAAAGTTTTGCACCATTTCCCTCCAATAATGAGTCTGCACCCAAACAAGTATTAATCAGGAGGCACTCTGAGAGAACAATACTTACAATGTTTTTGGGATGCAAGTTGTATTGACTGACCCCATAGCTTTCTATCTTGATTTTTGAGACTGTCGTTGATGAAATGAACTGCAGGTATAGCTTTGTGCTGGGCACGTTTTAGTAGTTTTCCTTCCTTCATACGATCTAGCTCTTGCATAACGACCCAGGGAATTATTAACACAAGTTTGTCAAAACCTAAAAAATAAAAAGATTTCTTAGAATTTAACAAACATTTATTGAGCTACTAAATGGAATTGCTGTCCAAGAGGTAAAAGTTTTAAAGCACACAGTCCCTACCTTTAGGAAATTCACAATAAATTGAGAGACAATATATTATAAAATGGAAATTAAAAAGAAAATAACGTGTCAAAAGAATGTTAAAAAAATAATTACTCTTGGAGATCAAAAAAAGAGTGAGTTCAGATTGCTAGTTTAACCTGTAAAGGCTTTTATAAACTTATAACACTGAATATGCTTAATATATAGCATATCTAAATGGAGACATGTTCATGGCAAAAAAAGCCCATCATTGTTAATATAAAATATCAACTCAAGGAAGAAAATCAGAATCTTTAAATATGTTCTGTAAATACCTGGTACTTCTGTTGTCTTCAAAATTCTAACAAATTTGAGATGATTCATCAGAATATTTGTGTCAATAACAATTAGAAGCTTTCTGTCTGAAGTATTATTTGCTAAAGAAAAAGAGCAAATATTTCATGACACTTGATAACAGACTTATATAATGACTAAAATTTTGATATTACAGAAGCATTGAAAATTCAATTAAATTTAAAACGCCTCTTTGTCTTGTTAACTGTATCAGAGATTTACACAGTTGGCTAGACTCTCAAGCTGATATCTATCCGGCCCGTATCCTTGTTGCCAAGTAAATTTCTCCCCAATCAATTAAGGTCCTCTGGATAGGAATTGCAACCCCTGTTTGGAGTGGGAGTGGGGTGGAGAATCGTCTAAGTCAAAGTGGGCAGAGAAGGTAAGGGTTGGCAAAGCAGAAATACACGGGAAACCTGGGGCCAAGACTGTGAAAAACCAGCCATGGAGAATGTTTTTGAGAGCATTCTTAAGAGAAGTCCTTTAGACAATAAAAACAAAATTGCTTTTACTTCGATTCTTAAGAGAAAGAATAGTAATCAATGTTTAATCACCCACCAGTAGAATACTATAAATTGCTTGTAGGTGGATTTTAAATTATGAACTGACTTGCCTGGGGAGTAATTATGTTTCTAACTTCTGTCATGGATCACCGGTAGTTGTGCACTTAGTAATTATAAGCTAATTTTAACATATCCTGAGTGAATATAATTGAAAGATGAATATGTGTAAAAGAAAATACATGCTGGGCTTGGTGGCTCACGCCTGTAATCCCAGCACTTTGAGAGGCCGAGGCGGGCCAATCACCTGAGGTCAGGAGTTCGAGATCAGCCTGGCCAACACAGTGGAACTCCAGCTCTACTAAAAATTAGCCAGGCATGGTGGCACACGCCTGTAGTCCCAGCTACTCAGGAGGCTGAGGCAGGAGAATTGCTTGAACCTGGGAGGCACAGGTTGCAGTGAGTGGAGATAGCTCCAATTCCAGCCTGGATGACAGAAGGACACTCCGTCTCAAAAAAACAAAAACAAAAGAAAAACCCACAAACAAACAAAAAAAGAAAAAACATAATAATTCTAGCATTGTTATTGCATAGGACCATTTTGAGGATCAGATAATACATAGGAAAACACTTGAAAGATGAAAACTGCAATGTGAATGTAAGGTAGCATTACTTTTTTTTTTTTTTTGAGATGGATTTTTGCTCTTGTTGCCCAGACTGGAATGCAGTGGCTCAATCTTGGCTCACTGCAACCTCTGCTTCCCAGGTTCAAGCCATTCTCCTGCCTCAGCCTCCTGAGTAGCTGGGAATACAGGCATGGGCCACCATGCCCAGCTAATTTTTCGTATTTTTAGTAGAGATGGGGTTTCACTATGTTGGCCAGACTGGTCTCGAACTCCTGACCCCAGGTGATCCACCCTCCTTGGCCTCCCAAAGTGCTGGGATTACAGGCGTGAGCCACCGTGCCCGGTCAGCATTGCCATTTTTAAAAATGGAATTTGAAACAGTACACTGATAGATTTTGGATAATCTCTATCATTATCTTCTCCCAGTAGCAAAAAAAATGATCAAAATTTCACAACATGAATAAGAAATCAATAAATATAATACCTTCAAGCAATCTGCATTCTTTCTTTTTTTTTTTTTTTTTTTTTTTTGAGAGAGAGAGGGTCTTGTTCTGTCACCAAGGCTGGAATGCAGTGGCACAATCTTGGCACACTGCAGCCTCAACCTCCCAGGCTCAAGCAATCCTCCCACCTCAGCCTCCTGAGTAGCTGCGACTACAGGCGCATCCCATCACACCTAGCTAACTTTATTTTCTGTAGACAGGAGGTCTCACTATGCTGCCCAGGCTGGTCTTGAACTCCTGGGTTCAGGCAATCCTCCCATCTCAGCCTTCCAAAATGCTGGAATTACAGGCATGAGCCACTGCACCAGCTATTCTGCATTATTTCTGATCAGTGCTTTACATCATTGAAATTGTTAAAGTTATAACAGCAAGAATAAAAGACAACTCATAATTCTAATTACTACCTCTTGACAGAAAAAGAGAAAAATATCTAACTATCCAATAATATGAAATATGTAAAACCAATAAGACAAATATTGGATCTAATTCCTGTACCTAAAAAATAAACTATTACTTTATCATTCATTTCAAGTGAGCACATTTTAACATTTTTCATCTAAATATTATAAAAATTGAATATTGGCACATTAATTTTTAGGAAAGCATAGGGGAGCATACACATCAACATATAGGGTATACCAGAGGAGGAATGTACATCATCTTCTAAGTCAATTTCCATACTCATTAACTCTCCAGGTAAATCCACACTTTTTCCCACACGTGCAGCATGAAGCTCTTCTACTATCTGCATCTAAAGTGTAAAAGACCCCAGTGAAATATTTTGAGTTACTTTGCAGACTGACAAGAGAGGAAAGCAATTAATTCTTAATTAATTCACTTGAGATGGTTTATGGAAAGAAAAAATTTTATAAAACTCTGAAGGAGCATAGTAAAAGAACAAAGATTTATAAACACACACGTGGTTTTCAAAATAGTTTTCTTCTTACCTCCATAACCTATGCAAGCAAATTATTTAACAACTTTGGGTCTCAGTTTGTTAATTCACAAAATAGGAATCTTTAATATCTATTTCCTTTAGGATTTTTGTGAGGAATAAATGAAATAAGCTAGGTGAAGCTCCTTGCACAGAGCCAAATACCTAGACATTAAAGTAAGTTCATTCTCATTCCAATCCTCACTTCATTTTAGGAGTCAAATTTTTTTTATCTTGACAGTAAGCATTCTTCTTGAGATTTCTAAGATTGTTATGAACCATCATAAACTGAAATCTAGATCTTAAAACCATTCTCACTTCACAGAAATACTTCTCTGATGTATTGTGACACAAAGAAATGAAAATACAGTCTAGCTTTAGATCAGAGGTGAGACATCTTTCTTCTATCAAGGAGCACCTCAAAACAGAAAAATACAATTGACTGTCACAAATAAAAATCAATTAATATAGTCTGAAAGTTTTTTGTTTTGTTTTGAGACACAGTCTTGCTCTGTCAGCCAGGCTGAAGTGCAGTGGCATGATCTTGGCTCACTGCAACCTCCATCTCCCGGGCTCCAGTAAGTCTCCTGCCTCAGCCTCCTGAGTAGCTGGGATTACATGCATGTACCACCATGCCCAGCTAATTTCTGTATTTTTAGTAGAGAAAGGGTTTCACCATGTTGGCCAGGCTGGTCTCGAACTCCTGACCTCGGGTACTCCACCCGCCTTGGCCTCCCAAAGTGCTGGGATTACAGGCTTGAGCCACGGTGCTTTGCCTGAAAGTCTTTAAAAAGACAATTACAAAGTGTTCCACGAATCTCATCTTAACTTAGGACAAGTCAACATAAAATTCTATGAAGATCAGTCAGGGGACTCTGGTTGGGAAATGAAGCAACAGGTAAAAAGATAAACACTCATGTACTCTCATTTTCATTGAATAATGTTTTCATCTTATTGATGATTTTTAAAATGAAGTAAAAACATGTTAATGTCCTACTGCATTTTGGCAACCCTAGGCATAAACAGGGAAAGTGTCATAATATTAAATCAAAATTCAGATTACTTGTGGGCCACTGGTTTCATGCTCTTTGTTCACAATAGATAACCTTACTAGAAACAAAAGTAAAAAGTACTAAAGTATACTTTTCTGAATAGTTTTGGATGACTTCATAAAACCTTACATATTGATTTAAATAGAGACATCATTGTTATTTTCATATTATCAGGGTTTCTACAGTCATTATTTTTTATTAAAAGTAGGAACTGACTTAATTTCATTAAAAATATCAAAGTAAACAAGAATATCAATAACCTCTTGATCTGCATCCTGGATACTTTCAGATGACACGGAACAACATGGTGCTTCAAAACTCTGAAATGAAAGTAATTTCATTAGCTAAGAATAAAGCATAACCTAAATAGGGTTTTTCAACCTTGTCACTATTAACCTTCAGGGTCAGATAATTCACTTTAGGGGTTGCCCTGTATATTGCAGGATGGTTAGCAGCATCACTGACCTCTATCCTCCAGAATGTCAGTAGTACTACCCACCTACCCCTACTCCCAAACTTTTTTTTTAAAGACAGGGTCTCACTCTGTCACCCAAACTGGAGTGCAATGGCACAACTGTGATTCACCACAGCCTCAACCTCCTGGACTCAAGCGATCCTCCCGCCTCAGCCACCTGAGTAGCTGGGACCACAGGCACACCAACACACCCGGCTAATTTTTGTATATTTTGTAAAGATGGGGTTTTGTCATGTTGCCCAGGCTGGTCTCGAAATCCTGAGTTCAAGTGATCCACCTGCCTCAGCTTCCCGAAGTACTGGGATTACAGGCGTGAGCCGTAGTGCCAGCCCCAACCTCAATCTTGACAATCGAAAATGTTTCCTGGCATTGCCAAATGTCCCCTGAGGGGCAAAATTGCCTCCAGATGAGAAACTGTCCCTAGAATAGAGAAGCTCCATTTTATCAAGTCATGAAACATGGTAGAATTCTTCATATACAGATGCATAAAAATACTATATTCTAAGAATAAAATTACATGCCACCCCAAAAAAAGAGAAATAATGAATGCAAAGGTAAACAAGTTGGCCTTCAGTGGTGAAAAATTTTCATCCAGGAGCAACTAAGTCATTTCTACAAGTGACATGATAAAACAACAGAAGGAACTTGAGGATTACAATAAGGCTAAAAAAGAAAAGCTGAACAATGCACGGTTATATTATATGTAGTTAGAGCACCAGGGGTTTCTGTTTTATATTTTGTCTTCAAACAAAGTCTGAAAATCTCCCTCCAAATTCCAATTTTCCACTGGCATTTCTGCTGAGTGGATGAGACCTACCTGACCCTACATACAGGTGACAGGAAGCTCAGCAAAAGAACGAATGAATTATAACCTTCTAAGAATTCTCCAAAGTAACTCTAAACTAACATGTACTTTACGGAAATCTATTTCTGGTATGAACTACAAACACTCTTCTTTTCTTTTTTTGAGACAGAGTCTCGCTCTGTTGCCCAGGGTGGAGTGTAGTGGCATGATCTCAGGTCACTACAACCTCCACCTCCCGGGTTCAAGCGATTCTTCTGCCTCAGCCTCCCAAGTAGCTGGGACTACAGGCCCGCCACCATACCCAGCTAATTTTTGTATTTTTAGTAGAGACAGGGCTTCACCATGTTGGCCAAGCTGGTCTCAAACTCCTGACCCCAAGTGATCTGCCCACCTCAGCCTCCCAAAGTGCTGGGATTATAGGCACGAGCCACTGCGCCCACACAAACACTCTTTAAACAAGTACATCATACGTAGAAATGCTTTACTGAGAATTCAGCTTCCGCCTGAACTTTCAGGCTAAATGCTTTACTGGGAAATCAGCTTCCACCCAACATCAAACCTCACATGATATAACAACACACTTCACACACATAGGCTCATTATAGTTTTACTATTCCATGACCCTGAGAGTCATAATCCCTTCTCCATATAACTTTAAATCTCACTGATCTTTAAAGTTCTCTTTAAGAAGTGCCAAACAAGCCAGAGATTATTAACAGAACTTGTGGCTTTTGACATTCTACATCTCTTTATTCTCTTCCTTTGGTTACTATTACCCTTTGCTCTCTCTATTCATGGGCCACCTACAGTGACTACAATGAATTTTCCACCACCGAACAATCCAGAAAAGTTAATGCATTTAACTGTTTGCCTCCCCCACCATGCCTTATCAAATACATAGGTTGGGATAAAGCCTTTCATGAGAATGACAAAAGGGAATATCGTAACAAAGATAATAATGGTTCTATCTACCAAAGTGATTCCAAATGGAAAACACAATTATATTATTTCCCTGACTGTGGTTCAGTGGCTCTCTTCCATCTACGAGATAAAAACCAGTCTTTCCCATGATACGAAATCATCCATTGTCTAGAGACCCTGGCTTTCTCTCCAACTTCCTTTCCTATAGATTCTCTACCCATCTTGACTCTAGTCATACTGACAACCTATGTGCTCATGTACCTTCCTTCCATGCAATTTTACAACTCTGTGCCATTACATACACTGGCCCTCTACCCTAGCTGGACAGCATATCTAGTCCTCACCCCACATGTCCTTCGAGATGAGGTTTTAGAACCACCACTTTAGTGAGCCCTTCTTTAACTCACCCGGAGATTTATACTAACATCACACCCAATTTGTAGGACTGTGGTATTTACTTCACTATAGTACAATCATATTTTTTTTACTTACTAGTCTGCCTCCCTGGGAACTTCTTGAGGCTAATAATCATCTTACTCATTTCTAAATACCTAGTACCTAGAAAAATGCCTGATACATACTAGGTACCTTTAATAGATGTTTGATAAATGAACGAATTCCTACTTTAGTCTTGTAAGAATTAAATGTGATGCTGTTTTTAAAAGTAGCCGATAAACTATAAATCTCTAGGACATTAATTTTCAATGAGGGGGAGGTTTGCAATTTGAGAGGGGTCTATATCAAAGAACTATAAAACCTAAGAAACAAAAGAGTTATTTTTCCTTTAGAAAGCATAACTAAATCCAGAAAAAGAAAATACAATTATTTTCCTTGTAAAGTATACTCATTATTTTAGGAAAATAATTATCTACTGAGGAATTAGTGGGTAAAACATAAAAACAAACAGGGTATTAAGATGATTATCTGCTGTCAATAATATGCTGAAGATAATATACACAAGATAAGGACAATATTTACTTGCTGTTTCTGTGTCTAAATGACTTTAAGCCTGATAATGCTGCTATCTGAGAACAGTTTATAAAGAGTCTAAATTCCAATAACTGGAAAGTGGTCATGGAAAAACTGCTTCTTCTGCAACTTAATATTCTTGCTATGTACCTCTTTTGGTTTGTGTAGTAATTCTACATAGAGACCAAAAGAAACCATACGACGCCCTGCAGAGATTTCTCATGCTATTCCTTAGATGTATAGCACAATGGGAAAACCAGGCAATGACACAATGATGATCACTGAACATACTGGCAACTTCAAGTTCCTTTCTTTCATTCTACTCTAGAGAAATGGTTATAACACAAGAAGAAAAACTGGAGGTTCTTTCCTTTAAGAAAGCAGTGAAAACAAACTCAATTCAAACTCAATTCTTGCCCTCTTTGGGCCCCTTCCAGTTCACTTAAACTAAAAATACTAATTCCCAAGCTCTTCTGGCCTCCTTAGTTATAATTCCTCCATTTTTCGTAAGAAATATCTTACCATTGCAATCCATAGTCTTTTTTTTTTTTTTTTTTAAGACGGAGTCTTGCTCTGTCGCCCAGGCTGGAGTGCAGTGGCGCGATCTTGGCTCACTGCAAGGGCCGCCTCCCAGGTTCACGCCATTCTCCTGCCTCAATCTCCCAAGTAGCTGGGACTACAGGTGCCTGCCACCATGCCCAGCTAATTTTTTGTATTTTTAGTAGAGATGATGTTTCACTGTGTTAGCCAGGATGGTCTCGATCTCCTGACCTCGTGATCCGCCCACCTCGGCCTCCCAAAGTGCTGGGATTACAGGTGTGAGGCACCAGGCCTGGCCACAGTCCACAGTCTTAATACCTAAAAGCAGGTAGGCTTAACCATCCCTGTTTATCAGTGGTCTCTACATTTCAGAATTTCTGAAGTTCTAAAATTCCAAGGTTCCACAGTTCTGAAAGTTCTCTTGAAGATAAGTAACTTTATTTGACATAGAAACAAAATTATAGAGATTAGGTTCTCAAAGTAGTCCATAAATGGCAATTACATTACATAATTTTAAAGCAAAATAGATGTGCCAAGCTTTCTAGCCTAGATCCCTGCTCATGTAGCTCCCTCTGCCTAAAATATCCCGGCTTCTCCCATTCTACCTCACTTCACCTCCACTTAAGTAACTTCGACTCATTCTTTAGGTCTGTTTAAATGTTACTCCCTCCAGCCTCCAGTAAATCTTTTTTTTTTTTTTTTTTTTTTTTTTTTGGAGACAAGGTCTCTTTCTGTCACCTAGGTTGGAGTGCAGTTACATGATCAGCTCACCATAACCTTGAGCTCCTGGGCTCAAGTGATCCTCCCACCTCAGTCACCTGAATAGCTGGGACCACAGACTCACGCCACCACACCCAGCTAATTTTTATGTTTTTGTTGAGACCCGTCTCGGTATGTTGCCCAGGCTGGTCTTGAATTCCTGGCCTCAGACAATCTGCCTGCCTGGGCCTCCCAAAACACTGGGATTACAGGCGTGAGCCATTGTATCCAGTCCCCTCCAGTATACCTTTCTAAACTAATTCTTTCATGATGTACCAAAGCTATATTAATCCCCTGCTGTGTATTCTCTTATTAAGTGATAGGTATTATACTTTTCCTATTTAAGGAAATTGCTTGTGTCTCTCTTCACTTGAATAAGTCCCTGAAAACAAACTGTGTTATCTCTTACAAGCTATTTTATTGTGGTGCCTGGTACACGGTGACACTGAAAAAAATAAACTGTTTAAAGACTATTCAGAATATTGTCCCGAGTGTTCTCCAGCATACAATGCTTTTTTCAAAGGACTATCTATAACTGCTTCTCACCACATTTTTACACATTCCTTTCTATTATGAATCCTTGATACCTGCCAAAATATCTTCCTAAAAAAGTTGGAATTAAAGAGAGTAAAATAAAGAAACCAACACATATCTTCATGAATAAATTTGAATCAGCCATCTATGATTATCATCAGTAATAGAAACAACTAAAAAGGCCATGTGCAGTGGCTCACGTCTGTAATCCCTGCACTTTGGGAGGCTGAGCAGGGGCGAACTGCTTCAGCCCAGGAGTTCAAGACCAGCCTAAGCAACATGGTGAAACCTCATCTCTGCAAAAAACACCAAAGTTAGCCCAGTGCGGTGATGTGTGCCTATAGTCCCAGCTACTAGGGAGGCTGAGGCAGGAGGATTGCTTGAACCCAGGAGGTCAAGGCTGCAGTGAGCCAGGATCGTGCCACTGCATGCACTCCAGCTTGGGCAACGGAGTGAGACCCTGTCTCAAAAACAAAAAACAAACAACAACAAAAAAAAAAAAAAACAGAAAAAAATATAGAAATACAGAAAAAACTTAACTATATTAATAAACTCTCAGTTAAAACCTATATTCTTCATTTTTTACTACCTTACCTGGGTTAGGTTTTCCCTAGAATGTGAATCATTACTTTCTTGATGGTCATAATGATGTTTTCGTTTCCACTCATGAACAGTCCGCTTATATGTAAAATCTGAAAGTAAATGTTCAGTTTTCTGCCTAGTCACATTTAATGAAACCTGGGAGCTTTCCAGGTATTCTCTTTCTTCCTGCTTAGTCTTCGAATTATTAGAATCTATGTTGAAGACATTTTCTTCTACAAGTTTCTGGAGGGTGTCACGGGATTTTATAGGGATTTTGAAACTGATCTTCTGTCTTCTAGATCCCAAGGGTTCCTTAATTATCTTGTTGGAGTTATAATCCTGAGAAAATTGATTTCTCTTCCATTTCTCTAAGACACATTTTTCAGAATTGTCTCTAAATTTACTGTTTCTTCCTTTCTTGAGTTCTTTCATCTTCTCTCTCTGAACAAGTAAATGAGACCATTTATTTTCACTTGCCTGGCCTTCGGCTTTAGGTTTCACATCACTGGCAATCTTAGGACTACTAAGGCTTTTAATTCCATGGTCAAGCTTGCTCCCAGCATTTGTCAATTTGATATCTTTAGGTTTAAAGTCTACACATTTATGTATGTCTTTTTTAGTTCCATTTGAAGAAGGACTCTGCAAAATAATTTGATTATCATTTGAATATGATGCTTCTTTGAGTTTAATAGGTCTTTGGGATGAAGAACCGATTTTTGGTCTCCTTCTGAGAGTGTCAATTTCTACACTCAATCTGTAAAACAGCACAGAAACCTAGGTTACATTATAATTATACATAATGTTGCACTCTATCATTTTAGTTAGAATAACAGAATTGGGCTGACATTAAGCTTCATAAAAAGTAGAAATAGCTACATTAAGAATGAAGTGGAAAGGATTACTCACTTAATGGTGTTAGAATAATTAGTTTGCTATTTGGAAAAAAAAATTACAACTTTAAATAGTAACAAACAACATAAATTCCAAATGGACTAAATGCTTAAGTGTAAAATAATTATTATTATCATAATAATTTTGTGCTTCATATTAAACCCTTAAAAACCAGTGAGGAAAAACAGAACGTATGTGTGATTTCATTTTTTTTGAGACGGGTTCTCACTCTGTTGCCTAGGCTAGAGTGCAGTGATGCAAACATGGCTCACTGCAGCTTCAACCTCCCAGGCTCAGGAAATCCTTCTACCTCCCAGACTACCACGTAACTGGGACTACAGGAGCATGCCACAATGCCTAGCTAATTTTTGTAATTTTTTTGTAGTGACAAGGTTTTGCTATGTTGCCCAGGCTGGTCTCAAACTCCTGGGCTCAAGCAATCCACTTGCCTCGGCCTCCCAAGGTGCTGGGATTACAGGTGTGAGCCACTGTACCCCGGCCTATCCGATTTCTCTTTTTCTTTTTTTGAGACAGCGCCTCACTTTGTCACCAGGCTGGAGTGCAGTGGCGCGATCTTGGCTCACTCCAAACTCAACATATCAGGCTCAAGAGATCCTCCTGCCTCAGCCTCCTGAGTAGCTGGCACTACAGATGCACACTACCACATCTGGCTAATTTTTGTATTTTTTTTTTTTTTTTTTTTTGGTAGAGACAGGGTTTCACCATGTTGCCCAGGCTGGTCGAACTCCTGGGCTCAAGCAATCTGCCCACCTTAGCCTCCCCAGTGTGCTGAGGCTACAGGCATGAGCCACTACGCCCAACCTGATTTCTTAATAGAGAACTTCCCAAACTTAAAAACAGTGGGAGAAATAACAAAGGATAACACTGATAATATGTGACTATTTACTTTAAAACTTTAGCGTATTAAAAATTAATAAAAATTTAAAGAACTAGGAAATGGTATTTGTTAGATGTACTAACTTCTAGCAAAATAATGTTAATAAGCTTACTAGCCTTAGTAGATAAAAAGCTCACCAAAAACTACTAAGATTCTAGAATAGGGCATAAACAGAAAATTAATAAAAGAAAACAGCTAATAAACATTTTTAAAAAGTTTGACTTCTCTAGCAATCACAGACATGCTAATAATAACAATAACATACCATTTTCTTCTTTTTTTTTTTTTTTTTTTGAGACGGAGTCTCGCTTTGTCGCCAGGCTGGACTGCAGTGGTGCAATCTTGGCTCACCACAACCTCCGCCTCCCAGGTTCAAGCGATTCCCCTGCCTCAGCCTCCCAAGTAGCTGGGACTACAGGCACACACCACCACGCCCGGCTAGTTTTTTGTATTTTAGTAGAGACGGGGTTTCATCATGTTGGCCAGGATGGTCTCGATTTGACCTCGTGATCTGCCCACCTCGGCCTCCCAAAGTGCTGGGATTACAGGTGTGAGCCACCGCAGCTGGCCCATACCATTTTCTTCTATCAAATTAGCAAAGATTTTACAATAACATCAAATACTCGCAAGGGGTTGTAAAATGGACACTCTCACATGTTGCTGGTAGAAATGTAAAACAACATAACAGTCCCACAAAGAAATGTGAATATAAATTAAAAACTCTAAAAATGGTCATTTTTTTACATCTGAAATTCTCATTTTAGAAACCATACCAAGGTGAAGAAAATCACACATGAAAAAAATATTAAAAGATATTTAATTCAGGATTACTTATAATAGCAAAACAATCAGGTACAAAGTAACTGCTAAAATTTTGGAAATGACTTTAAAAAGTGACATATTCATATGACGGAATATCACAGTTTTTTAAAAGGATGTTTATGAAAAGTCTTCAGTGACATAAAACATATTGAAAATCAAAAACAAGCAGGATACAAATCTGTACATATAATATGGTCTCAACATCTTAAACAAGCATAGTAAAAAGGCCAGAAAGGTGCTAAAATGTTAGAAACAGCAATAGCTAGAGGTGATAATTATATTTTCCTGCTTAATAAAAGTAGATATTACTTTGTAGTGAGAAAAAAAGGGGAAAAATGTCAAACACAATCTATTAATTTATATCAGTAAATGTGTGCCTTTTCAGTGCCATCACTCTGGTAGGCACCCAAGAGGCAGTAGAGGACACAGCAGATAGAGTCTTTACCCTTAATTAGGTTACAGCCCAGCAAGAGAGACACATTTAACAAGTGACTTCTCAAATAATTAATTATGTAAGAGCAAACCATAAACAGAGTTTTTATAGGAGTTTCACCTGAGTTTTCATCATATATGCATGCATGAATGTAGGTATGTCTTTGTTGGTTTGACAGAGTCTCAATCTATCACCCAGGCTGAAGTGCAGTGGTGGCATGCGCCTGTAGTCCCAGCTACTTACTTGGGAGGCTGAAGTGGGAGGATCACTTGAGCCCAAGAGTTGGAGGCTGCAGTGAGCCGAGACTGTGCCACTGCACTCCAGCCTAGGCAACAGAAAAAAAAAATGCCCTTTCTGCCTTCACTGCCACCATGGCATCCATGAAAAACCTTGTGGTAAAGGGGGGCAAAAAAAAAAGAAGCAGGTTCTGAAGTTCACTCTTGATTGCACCCACCCCATAGAAGACGGATCATGGATGCTGCCAATTTTGAGCAGTTTTTGCAAGAGAGGATCAAAGTGAGCAGAAAAGCTAGGAATGTCATTGGAGGGGTTGTGATCAAAAGGAGCAAGGGCAAGATCACCATGACTTCCGAGATGCCTCTTCCCAAAAGGTATTTGAAATAAGAAATATTTGAAGAAGAACAATCTACGTGATTGGACGTGCGTAACTGCTAACAGCAAAAGGGGTTATGAATTACGTTACTTCCAAATTAACCAGAACAAACAAGAGGAGGAAGACGAGGATTAAAATTCACTTATGTGGAATATTTTATACGAATTCTTGAATAAAACTTGGGAACCAAAATGGTGGTTCATCCTTGTATCTGTGCAGTATGGATTGAACAGAAAATTAGAAATCACAGTCAAAGGGCTTCATTCGGGATGCCATGCACTCATTTGTAACTAGACTTTTTTTTTTTTCCTGTTTGAAAATTTCAATTCTAATGGTAATACCAGAATAGAAGGAGACGGTGACTTTAGGGGAACTGACAACCATTGGGCAGGTAGATGAGGGTGGGGAGATGTAGGCTAGAGGTAGTCACTGTTTTATTTTAAAAAGTGTGACTGTCAATCGTCTCTGGTGCTTTTCTCAAAAAATGATTCAGGAATACAAGTGGGCTTCTCTCATTACTTAAAAGAAAACAGGTGACGTCTGCCTAAGATTCCCTGTGGAAAATGACAGTGTCAATAAAATGCAGGTTTCTGGGCCCTTCATCTTTCTTTTTTTATTATAAATTTGTCTTGATGTACACAATTATGTATACTAATCCTTTTCTTCCTATAGTCCTATAGAAAGAAACAGTGCTCCTTCAGCACTGCTGCATAGTCCATCACCCACCATAAAAGGTCTGGACAACGACTGTTAAAAAGTCCCAGGTTCTAAATTAAGTAAATGCGTACAAGAATGAGTTTATACATAATCTGTTTCTACAGGTCTTTGCAACAAACTGTCACTTTGGTTTCCAGCAGAGGGAGCTAGAGGAATAGAGCTTCCAGATGTGGCCTCCTGTGTGGGACCCAGAGTTAGGGGCCCTTTGTGCCGAGAGCTCTGGAGGCTCTCCTGAATGGGGGCACGAAGAAGTCACTGGGAAACCTCCCATGCCAAGGAGACATGAGGTACCCAGGGAACAGCTGCTTCATGCTACTTAGGCCATGACAGGATTTAATGTCAGAAGTCATTGTACAAACAGTGGTGTGCCTCAGTGCGTACAAAGGCTAGAGAACCACCAGAGGGGGCTACCAAAGTTAGGAAGACAGAATTGTTGCAGCCAGTGACTTTGAAAGAGACCCTGATGCCTTGTGGTGCCCTTCAGAAACTGGAACAATAACGCAGAAGTGTCTGCTCTGTTTTAGAATTTACGGTGTATAAAATTCAGGTTTTTAAAAGAGCTTGCCTACAGTTGGTTTCCACACCTGAAACTGTTGTGCTCTGAGAGTTGCAAAGCTGAAAATTGAATGTTCAAATTCTACCTTGGCTCCAATTTAACATTTGGTGCTTTGTGGATTGAGTTGAACATGCTGAGGCTTTGCAATTTCACTTATGGTAACGGCTCTAGCATTTTCTCTTTCTGTGCAAATTTCTTTGAAGCAGAATTGCTTGCATATTTCTTCTCTGCCTTCAGAGAAGGCAGTTTCTTTCAGACTTCACTGAGGCATCAATAGCTCTTTGGCAATGTCCCTTACCATGATCATTAACTCATTAACTATAAGTTTGTGCCTTGAGTTTACAAATTTTACTTGTGTGTTGCATTGATGTTCCCATGTAGTAATTTTTAGTTTAGCTGTAAAAAAAAAAAAAAATTAATCCTGGGCTGAAGTTAGCATTTAAGTTCTGAAAAAAAAATTGTGTGTGTAGAGATGGGGTCTCACTACATCGCCCAGGCTGGTCTCAAACTCCTGGCCTCAAGCCTTCCTCCCACCTCGGCCTCCCAAAGTGCTGGGAATACAGGTATGACCCATTGTGCCCAGCTTCTTGCTTATATTTTTACTGCTAATACATTTCTATGTATTCAAATCATGGAACAGGAATTACAGTAATGGTGCACTGTAACCGCCTTTCCAAATGATAAAATTATCTCTAATTTTTCATCTGTATTATGGCTTTCACTGTTTGCACACCAATTTCAGAAACTTCTCTAGAGCTGAATTAATACGGAGATTTTTATAAAACATTTTATATTTTACCCTCTTGTATATATTGATATAATATCAAGGGCCAAAAAATGTGTCCTTAAACAAAAGGTAACTAGTTTAAAGTCAAATAGTGTTTTAGAACTTAAAATTTAAAAAAAAAAAAAAAAAGGATATCAGTGTAAAAGGCATTAAAATGGTTCAAAAAATGTAGCAAGGGATAGTCAACATAATATGAAATTAGTGCAAGAATATACTTCAACAGAGAATAACACAGAAGCAAAGTATCAGGAGATGATTCAGAAGAAAAAGTGAACAAAAGACAGAGGCGAGTTGAATTTTTTTGTTTTTAGCAAACACTAACTGAGATTGTTTGGGAAGCAGAGCTTTTATTTGTAATATTTAATGCCATCTTACTTGTTTTCCCTTAACTTCTTATTTTTGGAGAAACCTTGATCTTACCAAGTTTTATCACACGTTATAACTTTGTATACTTATTTATCCCCATTAGCAGCAAGTACTTTCTGCACCAAAATTTCACTGAAATTTTTATCCAAAAAGTGCAGAAATTAAAGAATAATAATTTCCATTATTCCAACCATCATTCCCCAAGTTCTCTAGCTATAATCACATACTGGTTAATCAACACGGTTTTAAAGCCATATCAATTCTATAAGATACATACTCTCTTCACGGGTAATATATGAAAATGATTTATCCAAAATCTCTAAATTAGCCTCATAACTTACTTCACTAGTGTATGTAATGAAGTTACGCATGTTACAATCATGTGCCAAAATCAAATCACTTGAGATTAAAATGCACATTTGAGTGTCATTTACACAATAGTTTTCATAGATTTTTATTTCACTCAACTTTTTCTTAAATATAGTTAATATTAAGACAATTCTATAATCATAATCAGTTATATAGCTAGAGATATTTGCATGCAAAGCAGTCCTCTTCAAAGTAAATAAAAAAAATTTTTAAATCCAAATATTTAGTCTCATAATTCTAAACCAAAACAGTAAAAAGAAAAAGGAGAAATTTACCTTTTCAGTCCTTGTCTTCTTTTTATATTATAGTACAGAACATCTGTATGATCTGATTTCTGAAATAAATAAAAAAAGGACACATAAATTGTGCACTGGTACATATTTTTTTCCACAGTTTATGATAGTGAATAGGCTGACACAATACTTTTACTTAATCTTTCCAGTAATCCGGTGAGATGGATATTATCATCATCCCCGTTTCACAAAACTCAAACAGAGGTAGGCATCTTCCTTAAAGTCACAGAGCAAGTCCACAGCAGAGCAGTCATCTGTCATCTGTAAATAGATCTGTCTGACTCTCTCTACGCTACCATCCTATCTCTCTACGTACTCTGAGGAAACTGGGCCAAGCACAAGAAAGGTAAGAGAGACATAAAATATAATCCATGTCCTAAAGAGCTTAGAGCTTATAGTTTTACATAAAATAATAAAGACGAGAAGTAGAACATGTACAAATAACCTACTATAATGATGTAAGTAAGTGTCAAAGCAGAAGAGTCAAAAAGTGCTAAAACAGTTCAAAATACCAACCACCTAAAGAGGAAAAGTACCTAGGAAAACAGGTGGACAAAATAACAATAAATAATAAAGCTTGAAAGACGAGTAAAAGAAGGCATTCTGAGAAACTGAGGATAACTGGTATAAATTCAGCAGAAAGAAAATAAACCAGCCTAGCGAAAGGCAAGAGGGCCTCTTTCAAGGAAGAAGGGAAAACAACAAAAAAAAGAAAACTGGATAGTTAAGGTATGAACAAATTTGAGAGAGCCCTGAATGGCAAATAGTGAGTAAAGATTTTCAGCAGAGGAGAAATGGGATGAAATCGGTGTTTCAAGAAGGTTAATATTGCAAAAATAAATAGAAACCGCAGCTTAATTATATGAAAACAAGTAAATTCTTAAAACATAATTCTGCATCCCTGGAACTTCCACTACCTTATCTTATACCCACCACAACTATGTAGCTATCCTGGATATGTACATAACTTCAACCTGAATGTTCTAAGTACATTACCACTAACCTATGGATTAGCGTATTGTGTTTAATCTGCTGTCACTGTTTCTAACTATTTGTATGACAGTGGAAAGAACTCTGGACTTGGCTCTGTTGCTGTACACAGTTTTGTGGCCTTGGAAAAGTCACTTAACCTTCTAGACTTCGATTTCTGAATCTGAAAATGCAAACAATGTATCTGCCTTGGCTACCTCAAAAGGAGACAAATATAACCTCTGGGAGGCTGAGGCGGGCAGATCACTTGAGGTCAGGAGTTTGAGACCATCCTGGTCAACAAGGTAAAACCCTTTCTCTACTAAAAATACAAAAATTAGCTGAGCCTGGTGGTGCACGCCTGTAATCCCAGCTACTAAGGAGCCTGAGGCAGGAGAATCGCTTGAACACAGGAGGTAGAGGTTGCAGTGAGCCAAGGTGGCACCACTGCACTCCAGCCTGGGGCAACAGAGTAAGACTCTGTCTCAAAAAAAATATATATATATAAAACCATATATATGTGAGAGGACTTAAGAACTGTCTAAATTTATAGCCATGACAGTTGTCTAATCCCACATGGTAGGGCCTAACAGTACAAGAAATAATAAAACTTGATAAATGGTTTGGTGAGTAGAAGAAAGAAAACAACACTGACTTTCTATTGGCTATCAAAAAGTATAGGAGGAATTTATATCACAAACACTGTCGATTAAAACTTTAGCATAAATAACTTTTAGTTAGTTATATCTAGACACTCACCAGTTTTCTCTTTTCTGATGAAACTGATCTTATAGAAGATGAACTAGTAGAACTTGCTGGGGTTTTTCTCTCTTTCTTGTCCTAAGAATGCAATAAAGAAAATGAATTTTAAAAAGCACAAAATAAAGCATAGTATAAACAGAACTATTTCATCACTAGTATTACAAATCAACATTTACATTCAATAATGAACTTCGGTGGGGAACAATGTTTACAGATACACAAACTTTGGTAAAAGGAAGGGAGATTCAACTAGAAGCCAGAACCCCTAAATGCTCACAAAATAGAGATGAGGTGGGATATAGGTATCAGAGCAGGAAGCCAGCTGACAGCTCAGATAAGGTTGTTGTGAGGTGGCACTGCCATGGTGAGAGTCAGTCTTCTACAATGCAAAACCACACATCCACTTATTTTTCACTGGATTCTGAATTCAACAGACCTAGGACAAACTTGTTTGAAGTACCTACCATGTACCAAAGACATTCTAGACAGTGGAGAGAGAGGAATGAAAAAATAATAACAGTTCTTCATGAAGGTCAAAATCTAGTACAGGAATTTACAAATAAACAAGTAATATATTTAGTGTGTCAGACGATGCTGTGGAAAAAAATAAAGCAGAGAAAGGAAACAGGAAGGGCTGGGAGTCAGTAAAGCAGAGAAAGGAAACAGAAAAGGCTGGGAGTCAGAGGGGAAGACTCGCCATTTTAAACAGAGTAGTCAGACCCCAGGTACGAGCTGACATCTGAATGGAGACCTAAATAAAGTGAAGAAACAAACCATTAGAATACTGAGGGAAAGAGTTTTTTCAGCTCAAAGGGGATGCCAGCAAGGGCAAAGCCCCAGAGGCAGAAACATGCCTGGCTTGTTGGGACAGCAGCAAGGAGGCCATGGAGTAGAAAAGCAAATTATGTCAGGAGAGTGTCAGGGGGATGGGATGGGGAGAGGAGGTGGCTTTGTCAACCCTGGTAAGGATTTTGGCTTTTATTCTGGATGAAGTGGAAAAACACTGGAAAGTATTTAGCAGAGGAGTAACATGATTGTACTTATATTTTAATAGGACCACATTAGCTAGTGTGTTGAGAACAGACTATAAGGAAGCAAATGCAGAAGTAGGGAGGTTATTTTGGAAACTATTACAATAATTTAGGAAAACAAGGTGCTTGGATCATGGACATAGCAGTAAAGGAGATAGTCAGACTCTGAACACCAGTATACATCATTTTATTGTGGCTTGCTTTATTGTACTTCATAGATAATTGCATTATTTACAAATTGAAGGTTTATGGCAAGTCTATTAGCACCATTTTTCCAACAGTATGTGCTCACTTCATGTCTCTGTGTCACACTTTGGTAATTCTCACAGTATTTCAAATGTTTTCATTGTTGTTATACTGCTATGGGACCTGTGATCAATGATCTTTAATGTTATTATTATAGTTGCTTTGGGGCGCCACAGACTGCCCATATGAGACAGCAAACTTCACTGATAAATGTTGCATGTGTTCTGTTTCACCAATCACCCATTCGCCAGTCTCTCTCCCTCTCCTCAGGCCTCTCTATTCCCTGAGACAAAAGAATACTGAAATTAAGCCTACTAATGACCCAACAATGACCTCTAAGTGTTCAAGTGAAAGGAAGAATTATAAGTCTCTCACTTTAAATCAAAGCTAGAAAGGATTACACTTACTGAGGAAGGTATGTCAAAAGCCAACACAGGCTGAAAGCTAGTCTTGTGCCAAACAATTAAGACAAGTTATGAATGCAAAGGAAAAGTTATTGAAGGAAATTAAAAGCACTACTCCAGCGAACACATAAATAATAAGAAAGCAAAACAGCCCTATTACTGATATTGGGCAAGTTTTGAGTGGTTTGGATAGAAAATCAAACCAGCCACAACATTCCCTTTAGCCAAAGCCAAATCCAGAGCTAGGCCCTAACTCTCTTCAATTCTATGAAGGCTCACAGATGTGAGGAAGCTTCAGAAGAAAACTTGGAAGCTAGCAGAGAGGTTGGTTCATGAGGTTTAAGGAATGAAGCCATCTCTGTAACATAAAAGTACAAGGTGAAACAGCAAATGCTAACATAGAAGCTACAGCAAGTTATACAAAAAACCTAGTTGAGATCATTGATGAAGGTGGTTGCTACACTAAACAACGGATTTTCAACATAGACAAACAGTCTTATATTGAAAGATGATGCCATCTGGGACTTTCATAGCTAGAGAGATGTCAATGCCTGGCTTCAAAGGAAAGGCTGACTCTGGTTAGGGGCTAATGCAGTTGGTGACTTTCAGTTGAAGCCAATACTTACTTATCATTCAGAAAATCCTAGGTACCTTAAGAATGATGTTAAATCTACTCTGCCTGTGCTCTAGAAATGAAACAACAAAGCCTGGATGACAGCACATGTGTTTACAGCATGATTTACTGAATATCTTAAGCTCACTGTTGAGACCTACTGTTCAGAAAAAAAAAAAAAAGATTCCTTTCAAAATATTACTGCTCACTGGTAATGCACCTGGTCACCCAAGAGCTCTGATGGAGATGTACAAAGAGATGAATGTTGTTTTCACGCTTGCTAATGCAACATCCATTCTGCAGTCCATAGATCAAGGAGTCTAACTTTAACTTTCACACCTGATTATTTAAAAAATACATATTGTAAGGCTATATAGCTGCCATAGACAGTGATTCCTCTGATGGATCCAGGCAAAGTAAATTGAAAACCTTCTAGAAAGGATTCCCCATTCTAGATGCCATTTAGAACACTCATGATTTGTGGGAGTAGGTCAAAATACCAACATTAACAGGAGTTTGGAAAAGTTGATTCCAAACCTCATGAATGACTTTGAGCAGTTCAAGACTTCAGTGGAGAAAATAACTGCAAGAGAACTAGAATTTGAAGTAGAGGTTGAAAATGTGTCTGAATTTCTATCATCTCATAATAAAACTTTAATGGGGGCTGGGTGCGGTGGCTCACGCCTGTAATCCCAGCACTTTGGGAGGCCGACGTAGGCAGATCACAAGGTCAGGAATTCAAGACCAGCCTGGCCAACACAGTGAAACCCCATCTCTACTAAAAATATTAAAAAATTAGCTGGGCATGGTGGCGGGTGCCTGTAGTCCCATCTACTTGGGAGGCTGAGGCAAGAAAATCGCCTGAACCCAGGAGGCAGAGGTTGCAGTGGGCCAAGATCGCACCACTGTACTCCAGCCTGGGAGACACAGTGAGACTCTGTTTCAAAAAAAAAAAAAAAAAAGCTTTCATGGATTAGGAGTTGCTTCTTATAAATGAGCAATGAAACTGGTTTCTTGAGATTGATTTCTACTCCTGGTGAAGATGCCATGCACACTGTTGAAATGAGAACAAATGATTTAGAATAATATTACATAGGGTTTGAGAGACTAACTCCAATTTTGAAAGTTCTGCTGTAAAATGTTATCAAACTGAATTGCATGCTACAGAGATCAATCTTTTGTGAAAGGAGAGTCAATGTGGCAAACTTCATTGCTGTCTTAAGACGCTGCCACAGCACCCCATCCTTCCGTAATTACCACTCTGATCAGTTAGCAAGCCATCAACATCACGGCAAGTCCCTCCAGCAGCAAAGATTATGACTCTCTGAAGACTCAAATGATCTTTAGCATTTTTTTAGCAATGAAGTATTTTTTAAATTTATTATTACTACTTTTAGAGATGGGGTCTTGCTCTGCTGCTCAGGCTGATGTGCAGTGGCACGATTCTCAGGCAGGAGGATCCCTTGAGCCTCAAACTCCTGGGCTCAAGGGATCCTCCCGCCTGAGCCTATTTTTAAATTAACATATGCACATTTTTTTAGACATAATGCCATTGTACACTTAATAGACTACCGTATAGTATAAACATAATTTTTATATGTACTGGATAAACAAAAAATTCATGTGACTCACTTTACTGCACTATTTGCTTTACTACACTGGTCTGGAACTGAACCCAAAATATCTCCAAGGTATGCCTATACATTATAAAAAGAAAGCTGATAGAATTTGCTGATAGGTGCAGGTAGAGCACGATCACAAGGATTTCAGCCTAAGCAACTCAAAGAATGGAATCACAATTTATTAAATTGGGAAAACGAAGCCTGGGTACCTGAAAGATTACAGTTTTATAAGATGAGGAGGAACTAGCAAAGGACACTGAGAAGCAGTCACCAATAAGGAGGAAAATCAGGAGAATATGGTATCTCTAAAGCTAGGTGAATTCCCTAGCAAGCAGACTCAGAGAAAAACAAAAAGCTTTGTGAAAGTGTTTCGAGGAGAAGGTGTAATTAGCTATGTCAAATACTGCTGATATGCCATGTCAGATGAGGTCTTAGAAATGACCAATGGATTTAGCAACACAGAAACCACTGCTATAGGAGTTACGGAAAGAAAAAGTCTGACTAAACCTTTTTAGTTTAGTAGTTTTAAGTAGGTTTAAGGAATGAGGGGTTAATTGCAAACAGCATGCCAGTTAATAATGACAAATGGAGATGCTGAGTATATAAATTACACAGAGTACTGTATGGCCATGCTTCAGTGTTGCCTTTCCACATATTGCTATACCTGCGAGACCAAATTTGTAATCAGAAAGTTAGTAAGTAAGCAAGGAACAAACACCAAAAAGCACACTATCTGGAACTTCATCCAGGTCATGAAAAAGTCTTATGAACTAACCTGCCACCACAGAAATCACTTTTTTTGTGAATATTCACCTTTGCCAGATTAGTCTCTCATCTTGCACAGTAACACAGCATAAACACTCTCTAATACTGATGATCAACTACCCATACTATTCAGAGAGTATATAATGAAACTGATTACATGGTTTTTTTGTTTGTTTTGCAGTTTTGCTTCCTGGAGACAATACCCAGCTCAATTAATGAGATACCCTAAATTTCATCTACCAAAACACTACTTCTTTTTTTCTTTTTTGAGACAGGATCTCACTCTGTCAGCCAGACTGGAGTGCAGTGGTATGAACATAGCTCACTTCAGCCTTGGTCTCCGTGGCTCAAGTGATTCTCCTCCCACCTCAGCTTCCTGAGTAGCTGAGAACACAGGTGCACACCATCACGTCTGGCTTTTTTTTTTTGTAGAGACAGGGTCTCACCATGTTGCCTAGGCTGGTCTTAGACTCCTGGGTCAAGTGATCCTCCTGCCTCGGCCTCCCAAAGTGCCAAGATTATAGGTATGATTCACCACACTCAGCCCCAAAACACTTCTTAAGGTAGTGTCTGAGAGAACAGAGAAAGACATGGTAAGTATGTCTTCCCCAATATTAGCCTCAGCCACATAGCGCTGGCCATTCTGACTGATAAGAATGCAATCCTAGCCAACGTTGAGGAAATTGAAAAAGGAGAAAACATGGAAAATGGTTCAATGTTGAGTTATCGCTAAGAATGAGGGGATTTAAGGGGCTTAGAATTGAAGTCAGGAATACCTAAGCAAATTACTTACCTCTATAAAACTACTCTCTAAGCCTCAGTTTCTTCATCTGTGTAATTGGAATAATAGTACCCACCTCATACAGTTGTGAGGAATAAATAAAACAATGCAAGTAAAAAACCGGAAAAGCAAATGACTTTTCCTGGATCGGCTGAGCAGAACAAAATATTTACATAAATCATTATAATAGTAAGGTGTATTTTTTTCATTAAGCAAAAATAAATTGAAATGTATCTCTAGGTCAGTAAATCAAAATTCTTACTTTTTCACCAAAATTGGGTGATGAGGTGGTGGTGTCTTTCCTCTGAGATGTCTCTTTTTTCCCACAGGATTCTTTGCTGGACATCCTGAAAAGCTAACATAAACATTAAAAATATAGGATTTGTTTTTGCACTCAAAAAGAAAATAGAAATTTGTCTTCTTTCAGTTATATAAAGATTGGAGTTTTACAATATGATCACTTTTTATTTTATTTTATTTTTTTTTGAGATGGAGTCTCGCTCCATCGCTCAGGCTGGAGTGCAGTGGGATGATCTCAGCTCACTGCAACCTCTGCCTACCGGGTTCAAGCAATTCTCCTGCCTCAGCCTCCTGAGCAGCTGAGATTACAGGCATGTGCCACCATGCCCGGCTAATTTTTTGTATTTTTAGTAGAGACAGGGTTTCACCATGTTGGTCAGGCTGGTCTCGACCTCCTGACCTTGTTATCCACCCGCCTCCCAAAGTGCTGGGATTACAGGTGTGAGTGACCACTCCCAGCACTATGATTACTACTTTTTAACCATTCCCAATATGACAAGATTCTCTCATTATTCCACTTTTCTTCACTTTCATTCTCCTTCAAAATTACCCACTCCTCTCCTTCAGCTTCATCTATCACCTTTCCAGGAATGAGTCTCAAACCATGCCTTGATCCCTGACTTCTCACTTAAGCATCAGATCACCATTTTCAACTGCCTCCAGGACTGCTATATTCTTCACCACCCACACTTCAAAGCCAATTAGTCATAAGTTTCATTTTCCCAAAATACCTTCAGTCATTCATTGAACAAGACTTTGGCAAATCACATGCTTTTTTTAAGTCTTTGTGTCATTACTTGTAAAATAGATAACCCATCCCACAGGGTTTTTGAGGTACTGAAACAATGGATGTAAAATATATCTTGTGGCTGGGCACCACGGCTCACTGTAATCCCAATACTTTGGGAGGCCGAGACAGGCGGATCACCTGAGGTCAGGAGTTCAAGACCAGCATGGCCAACATCATGAAACCTCATCTCTACTAAAAATACAAAATTAACCAGGTGTGGTGGTGCATGCCTGTAATCCCAGCTACTCAGGAGGCTGAGGGAGGTGAATCGCTTGAACCTGGGAGGCAGAGGTTGTAGTGAGTAAGATTGTGCCACTGCACTCCAGCCTGGGTGACAAGTGCGAAACTCCATCTCAAAAATTTAAAAAAATATAAAAAAATATTAAAATACATATATATATGTACATATACATCTTGCATAGGTTGGTACACAGTAATGTCTACATACATACTTGCTTGTATGGTTGTCTTTCTACTAGACACTGAGCTCCTTGAGTGTGCCGTATTAAAAACTTAGGTGCTCATAAATGCCTACTGAGTGAATAAATGAGTGAATTCTTCTTCCTTGGAATATTAACTCTTTCATTCTGAACCACTTCCAATTCACTCACTGTAGTTCCTCTGTCCACCTCCCATCCCCGTCTCACTTTTCCAGCCCTGCTGTGGACCAAGTCAATACTGTTAGTGGATGACAGTATTGTGGACTATCCCAGAAAAACACTTATGTTTATGTTTATTCGGACAAATGTTGTATATTCATACTAGTGTGAAATTCCTATTGATTTTATGCAAATCAAAACATAAATGAGGGGAGACTTCATGTGCTGGCCAGTCTTCAAGATGGCTCCTGATGATTCCTGATGCTTGGTAATCATGCACTTAATGTAATCTGCTACCACAATGAATAAGGCTGACCTGTGTAATCAATAAGATATTACTGCTACATAGTGGTATGTGGCTAAATCATATAAGATATCATGACGTCTGCCTTGTTCTGTCTTGGACTGCTCACTCTAGGGAAAGTCAGAGTGTCATGAGGACACTCAAACAGCCCATGGAAAGGCTCGCAAGGGAAGAACTACTGGCATCTTGCCAACAACCAGAACCAACTAACAGCCAGGCATGTGAGTGTGTTACCTTTGAAGCTGATGATCCTGCACCCCTAATCAAGTGACATGACAGCAGCCCTGGCACATATCTTCACTGCAACCTCAGGAGACCCAAAGCCAGATCAACCCAGAAAGTCATTTCTGAGTTCCTGACCCACAGAAACTGTGGAGTAATAAATGTTTACTGTTGTTTTAAGCTACTATGTTTTGGTATAACTTATGCAGTAGCAATAGATGAATAACATTATTTAATTCTTCAAACATTGACGATTCCTTCTTCAGGATGTCTTACAAGCACAGACCATGCTTAGAAATTCTTACAAAAATTCCCACAGAATCCAGACACTAAAATCTGACCCTTTTAATCTGGTTTCCAGCTGGTGTTAAATGACATTAACATACTGAATCTAGCTTTCAGTTAACCATCTAGTCATTTAGAAATAAAAAATCATCATGAACGACAGTAAAAAAAAAAAAAAGAAATGAGAACAAGAATTATTGGATGATGCACAGATATAGTTAGCATTTCTGTAAGTTATAGTCAGTGTTATCCCATTTTTAATTGACTGTTGAGCCATGAGTCAACTACACATTCAGGAATACTAGATAAAAGCTGTACGGGACGATCAGTAAAAGGGATTTAGGACTATAACTCACAGAAGCTCCACAGGGATAATCTGTTCCCATTAAACTGGGGAGAGGTTAAACACACACACACACCCCTCCAGATATATACTTCTTAACTATAGGGGGAGGAGTTAATTTCCAGTTAGTGCTTCAAAGTGCCAAATAATCATGCTATCTCTTCCCCGGGGTTCTGAAACAAGTAGGAAACAAATAGACCAAGAAGATTGGCGTTTATCAACTTAATTAACTAAGAAAAGCTAACTGGAAGCGCGCGTCTTGTTCTTGAGACTAAATTGGGCTTCCCTCTCCTGCCCTGATGCCTAGAAGGTTCGGACCAAGCCCAAGCAGGGCAGCCAGAAAGTTCACGTTTTTCTCCTTTCTGTCCCAGTGGATTTATCGCGGGGGGACAGAAGAAAGAAACAAGAAAGGCTCGAATGTCAAGTAGGCACTAAGAGTGAAGGGGAGAGAAGTACGGGGGACAGGGGACTCGCTAGCATATGTTTTGGGGATCTGAAACGCATCAAAATTAAATGCCCCGAAGCTCTACCCACTCAGAGCTCTGGTTATTAAAAGCCTGAAAACAAAGCAAAATAGAGCAAAACAACTAATTTCTATCCACTGGCCACACCGCAGAACTGCTGATACTGGCAACATGAAGACTAAAGCAAAAATAAAAACAAAGGAAAAGAGTGTTCGGGTCACGGTGTAGGTGAGGGTGCGAAATGAAGAACAGACCCTAATTCCAAGTCAGCTGGATGGACAGGCAAGCTCGTCAGCTGCTAGTAAACCGCCGCGGGCCCGCGGGCTCCGCACGAACCGACCAGACCCCAACACCGGGCAAGGGGCAGCCCCGGAGGCAAGCCGGGCCAGAACCACACCCTCCACGGAGCTGGCTCGTCCCCGGACCCGCCCACAGAGTCGCCCCGCCCAGGTCCGTGTGACTCCTGAGTCCCCAGTCCGGCCGGCCGCCCGCCCGCCAGTATACTTGGGGCGGGGGACGAGGGGGAACCTGCCCAGCAAAACGTCAACGCACCCCGCAGTTCCTACCTTACCAGCGCCGGCGGCAGTGGCAACTCCGGAGCCCCAAGCCAAAGGAGAGGGACCCCCGCCTCCCAACACACACACACACCCCGCCCCACCAACTGTATGCCTGCTGGGAAACGTAGTTCTGCGCCCGCATCCGCACTACCTACTCACCGCCCCACAGCGCTCGCTTAGATTTGCATTTACTTCCTCCGAGGCTTGAACTCCGGCCCCGCCCCCAGACTGCGCAGTGTATCCTGGGTGCTGTAGTCTTTGTTCGGTTTGGTGGTTGGCCGGTGGGCCGGAGACGCACCGTAGAAACCGAACCCTCTTACCCAATTGGACGCCGTCCCCAGTACGCTTCTGCGCAGTTTGTGGTGGCGTCGTAACGCCTCGGGGAAAGGGAAGCGGACGGGCATCTGGAATCGCTGCCTCTGGCTTTCTGTTTTCTACTAACAGGATTTGGTCACTGGTTCTTCATCTTTTGTCTGTTGCACGCATCCCGCCCTCCCCACTTGCTTCCCCACTCCTTGGATCCAGCCCTGTGGGCATTCACGTCAGTTCTCTGACCCCGCCGTGAGCCCCGCTCCGGGTCCCCGGGCGGGCTTGGCACGGAGGCGGTAACTATGGAGAATATGGCGGAGGAGGAGCTGCTGCCCCTGGAGAAGGAGGAGGTGGAGGTGGCCCAGGTCCAGGTCCCGACCCCGGCCCGGGACTCGGCTGGGGTCCCAGCTCCGGCCCCGGATTCGGCTCTGGACTCGGCTCCGACTCCGGCCTCGGCTCCAGCCCCAGCCCCTGCCCTGGCCCAGGCTCCGGCCCTGTCCCCGTCCCTAGCCTCTGCCCCTGAGGAGGCTAAAAGCAGTAAGTGCAGAAGGCCCAGATCTTTCTGCTGCAGAAGAGAGAAAGTGCGCCTTGCTGGGAAGTAGGGGAGGCCCTTCACCGGGATGGTTTTTATGGGGCAAGGCAGGTTTAGGAAAATGGTGGGGAGGAAAGAGGGGCCCGTGTAGCGGCTAAAGCAGGGTTACAGAATGGGAGACGGCATCTTCATAAGCCTCGAGGATGTCACGGTGAGGGATATGCGGAGAGCAGGAATGCTGCAGATAGAAGGAAATAATGAGGTTAAGGGCTTTTTCTTAAAAGGGAGTCTTTTTAAGGTACAAAAATAGGAAGTTACACATAATTTGGTAGTTTCCCGCAGTCCAGTCTGCCATGGTTAACTAAGTTCTTTCAAATGTGACATAGTAACCGAGGCAACCTGTTTACGGTAGTAGATCCTAGCTGCCAACATTTCTAAACCATTACTGTCAACTAGCTTTTCTGCTTCGACAGCCACAAGGAGATGAGTTTTTCTCATTTCAGTTTTCTTTTCCCCCGCTAGCAGCTTGCCTCCGAAAAGATTTTGAGGCTGAGTAGTAGTTTAGGAAAGAGTCGACTAAATTTACGGATGTTTTCCCCCATACATAAATACCAATTGAGTTTTGTACTCCATTCCATCAGAAATAGACTGTTGAGAATTAATGGCCCATATTATTGTGCTTCTGAATGTGCCTGCATGTTTTCTAAGTGGTGGTTTATTGGACCATATAGGAATTTAAAAGACTGATGAGTAACACTTTCTTAAGGATCTTCTAACATTTTAAAATGTAAGGTCTAAGAAAGACATAATTTAAGTTCTTTTAACATTTAGTTTGTGGTCATAAGTTGACCTTTATGTGCTTTCTGAATTGGAACTTAAAATAATCTTTAATTCATTATTTTTTCTACTTCTAGGCCAGTTTTGAGTTTAATATTTATAAAAGGTTAGATAGTTATAGATAGGATTATTTTGCAGTTTTGAAACAACATACAAATTGTTATAGATTTCAGAGTAGGGCTAATCACAGGAAAGACAAAAGTCAGAATGCTTCAGGTAAGCCCCTTCTCATTATATAAGATCAGAGCTTGTAGGTACAAAATAAGGCCAGTTGTTTCTTCAACTACAGTGGGTAGGGATCGGGGAGGCATGGGGAGCTGAGAGGGTTCCACCCTCCTAAGTAGCCTCCTACCTCACTTCGAAGTTGTATTTGTTTATATTAGTCAGAAGTGGTTCAGCAGCTTTGGGAAATGCATGCATTCTCTACCTCCTCACCATCAAAAATATGTTAAACATAGAAAAGACTTATCTATATATTCCAAAATTTACAAATATGTAATTTGAAGAAGGTATACTATATGGGAAACTGAAAATGCATTAGTAGGACAAATATGTAATGATTGAGAAGTCTGAAATGCATTAGAACTAATACATATATTAATCACATTTTAAACATTATTTTTAGTTGATCTAGTTAGTCCTTTGAAATCAGTCATAACTAGGTAAGATGAAGATAGCCTATCTGAAATAGAATTGAAAATTGAGGAAAAAGTAATAGAATAAGTTGTAAAAGACCCTCCTAGCATCTTGGAGACATCTAATTTAACAAGAAGTTTGCCTGTTGACTTCTGGATTAATAGTGTGTTACAAAAAGCAGATTGAGTATTTTGCATACAGATTGTCTGATACGCACTATCTTAAACCAGAAGGTGATTTCAGAGATGTTTATAGGCATATCATGCATTTTTAAACAGATCTTCAAGAGTTTCTTCAGTAGTAGACCACAGGATTTTTAGTTTTCTAACTTAACCAAGCTCCTTTCTCTTATTTTGTGCTATTTAATAGAATAATTTCAATAGGCACGTCTTTATTGATTGCTGTTTATCTTGTTTTACATACACAGATCTTTGAACTCTGGAACCAAAAGCCTTTATGGTTACAAATTAGATAGGTTAGTTTGTACACATGGATTCATTTCTGGAATATTGCTGTCTGACCTAGCAAAAGATTTTTATGAAACATGAAGAAGTTTTACCTGTTTATAGAAATTATATCTCATTATAACTCATTTGACCAGTATCTGATATAGGAAATTAACCAATATTGTTTGTTGCTTCTTTAAAAATGAGGTGAATAACCAGGCACCAGCCTATACTCCCAGCTACTCAGGAGGCTGAGGCAGGAGGATTGCTTGAGCCCAGGAGTTTGAGGCTGCAGTGAGCTATGATTGAGCCACTACATTCCATGGAGGCTGGGTGACAGAGCAAGACCCATCTTTAAATAATAATAATATGAAAAATTACCTTTTAATAAATTTGAGCAGGAGTGTCTGATAGTGCTGAATTGGATTCCAAAATTATTGACACAGTGTGCTACTGCATCCAAAAAGTCTAACAATTTTTTTAACTTCTTGTTTAACAAACTTTAGTGCCTCCTATCTGCAAGCTACTGCATTAGGCACTTAGCCATCAGAAAGATGAACAAGAAATAGGCCTTGTCTTCTGTTGATTATTTGTGGGGAAAGCGAACAAGGACACAAATTATACAAATGGGTAAACGAACTGATAGTGAAGCTCGGAGAGGAGTAGTCAAGAAGGTGCTAATATCAAGAATTGAATTTTAAAGTCTCAAGGTTTTAAATTGTATAACCTAATAACATAATATTAGAGAGCCCTGTGGTTTATCCCACCATCTCCTGTCTCCTTGGGCTCTTTACATATCAGTTTCTCCTAATCTTAATATATATTCAGTCCCCACTTTGTAATTGTTCCTTTCTCTTGGAATGCACATATATTCAGGTTCCCCATACTTAAAAAAAAGCAAGTTACAGTCTGATTCATTTCCTTTTTTATACCGTCAAACTTCTCAAAAAAAGAAAAACCTAATTTTCTGTATTTCCTTTCCCCTTCCAATTCTGTTTCTACTCTGAAACACCTCCCTGAACCTGTTTTCTTAAAGGTCACCAGATGTGCTTTCTTGATCTCTACAACTGTTTGTGATATTCAGTGTTGAACGTTTTGCGTTTATAGACTCTTCTCCCTTGGCTTCTGCATTACCTTGATTCCCCTTACCATTTATTCTTTCTGAATCTACATTCCTGATTCCTTCTACTTAATTTTTCTTATAAATATCTACATCTCTCATACCTCACTACCAGATTATATCTATCTATAATAATCAGTAGCGGGTTCAGCAACAGGTAGGGAATGTATCCCCTACCCACCCCAGTCAGAACATGTTAAACTTATTTTAGACTTATTCATGTATTTCCAAATTTAATTTAATTTGAAGAGTGTGTAATGCTTGAGAAACCTGAAAATGCATTAGTGGGACAAATATGTAATGATTGAGAAATTTGAAATGCATTAGAATTAAAATATAAATCACATTTTAAAATTAATTTTACATAGCCTAGTTGGTTGTTTGAAATCAGTCATAACTAGGTAAGACTGGGTCTTGGCTTTTTCTCTTATTTTTCACACTTTTTTTCTTAGGCTTTCTTATTTATTCTCATAGTTTCACCTAATGTGTTACTTACGATTTGTATCTCTAGAATCCCTCCTGAGCTCCAAAAACAAATTGCCAGCTGCCTATTATACATTATTGCTGGAATACTGTACCAGTAGTACATCAAACACACCATGTCAAAAACTAAATTTTCCTTTCTCTTTTCCCCTTCCTTTCTGCCATAAGAGTTTCTTCTGTCTTGTTTGCTTAATATACCATTATTCTCAACCACATAAACTCAAAATCTTGGAATCATCTTTGATTTTATCCTTCACCTTTACTTCTCATATCCCAAGTTCTGTTGCTTATTTTTTTAACCTTCTATTCTGTCCCTTCCCATTGCTAATTTTCTCTGTTACTGATCTTTGGTATTACTGGCAGAGATAGCCTCCTGAAACTCATTCAGATCGTATAATTCACTTCCTCAAAAACCTGCAGAGACTTACCATTATTTGAAGAATAAAGTTCAAACTAACTTGCGTAGAATTTATGTTTTCCTTGGTCTGTACTGCATCTTCAGCTGCACATACTTCTACTGACTCCATCCCCCCAAACATACCACATTCCAGCCAAGGGTGGGGTGGCATGGTTGTATGTTTTCTACACATGGATTTGTTCATGAGGTTACTTCAGTTCATGAGGCCAGTTAGCAAATCTCTACTTAATAGTGTTCATTTCATCCTATCTCATATGATAGTTAGAAGTTGACATATTGCCTTCTCCCACCTGATTGAAAGTTCTTTGAAGATAGAAAACATGACTTAACGTTTCCTTCAGTATTTTGTATAGGACAGAAACATTTTTCATAGAATTATTTTGACTAATTAGATAAAATTTTAAAACTAAGTTTATACAGTGGGGTCTCCCCCCAACTTTTCATTCTAAAGCACACTTGTTATTTTATAAACCGAGTTGTGGCAGTATTCCCCATCTAGGTCCATAACACTGTGTTATAGGAAATAAACTTCTATACGATGTGATCAATAAAAATGGAACTAGAATACAAACTGTTAAAGCATAATCTTCTCAATTTTTTTTTTCAGAGAGACACATCTCAATTCAAAGGCAGCTTGCTGATCTAGAGAATTTAGCTTTTGTAACTGATGGAAATTTTGACTCTGCCAGCTCATTGAACTCAGATAATCTTGATGCAGGTATTTCCATGTTTGGGTTTTTTTTTTTTCTTAGTTTCTAATAATTTATCATCTTTCAATTCACAAAAATAAGTTTGGTAAGAGTAGACTTGTTTATTCTTACTGAACTAGAACAGTGGTAAAATACAGTTTTTTATTCAGGAAATTGGCAACCGCTTATGTGCAAAGTTGCTATGGAAATAAGTTATTTTACAACTCCTCAAGAAAATTATAATTTCACGGATGTCTAGGGGCTGTCTATTCGGCAAGTTAGGAATGGCATTTGGCTACAAGTAACAGAGGTCCCAAAAAACAGTGTCTTAAGAGGTTAATATTCTGTCAGGTAAATGAAGTCCCAAGATAGGCAATTTAGGGCTGGTATGAGAGTTCCACGTTATCAGTGCCCCACACTGCTCTCTTTCTGCTCTACTCTCCTTAGTGTTTGGTTTGTATCCTCAAGATCGCTGACTGCGTGGTTTTTTTGAAGTAGACAGTGTAAAAATAAAAATTGTACCTATACTCTATTGTACTGTATGTGAAAGATATTTGTTGGGTTAAAAATTATTAATATGAGCTGACAGGTATGTAGGTATAAGAGAAAAAAGAAAAAAATTACTAAATGAGTTATTAATGATTCTTGCTGTATATTTTATTGCTTTAAACCTGAATTTGAAATTTAATTCTTTCATCTATACTATCAAAGTTTTTATTTGAGATACATTATATTTCTAATTAAATAAGACATTTTTATGATACATAATCTTTTTGAGAATATGTTAATAAAGAAGGCAGAACTTGTAAATTCAGTAATGGATACGGTGGCTGTAACTATGCGCCCCGTCTCAGAACAGCGGTTATATCAAATCCCATCTATTCCTTCCACTTCCTTCTTCCATTTTTCTAACTCCACATGTTAACTGTTTTTGTTGTTGCCAGTTTAGTAGAGGAATACCACAGCACATACTTTTGCTCTTTGTCCAATCCCTGTCCTTTTGGGAGTGTAACTGCTGTCCTTTCAGCTGTCCAAAATACAGAGTGATGCTCTCAGTGGCAGAAAATTTGGCCGGAAGGATGTCATACAGTTTATCACTTCTTCAACCTTTGTTCCCAGTAACGACAAATGCATCCACTAGCTACAGAGAGGGAAATTTTAGGGTGAAAAAACAATCACTGATCATGTGCTGCAACAATTACTGTTAACTGTCTCCTGGGTCAAGAATAATGACTTCTCCCTAAAGTTAAGAAAGACTTTAAGAAGTAGGAGGGGGAGCCCCCATTAACCTCTTTGTAGTTGAATCCAGGCATTAATAACTAGAATATTCTGTTGTTTATTGATTCTTTTTTCTTTTTAAGGCAACAGACAGGCTTGTCCATTGTGCCCTAAGGAAAAATTCAGAGCTTGTAATAGCCATAAGCTTCGTCGTCACCTCCAGAATTTACACTGGAAAGTCTCAGTTGAATTTGAAGGTTAGTATTTTTGTGCTTGCAAAGAAGTAATATATATGAAATTCAACATTTATTACCAGTTTTGGCATTTTTATCATGAGTATAATCAAATATTTTCAGTTTAAAATGTGAGGGGTTTAATGCCCTCATTTCTAATGTATTTAATAAAACACCATATAGCTTTATAGGCAGTAGAGATCTATATGACACAGTTTAGTTGAGCAAACATTTATTATGCATCTGTTGTATACTGAGTACTCTGACCCTGGGAGTCCATTTTGCTTCTTGAACAATGTTTTAATAAGTTTTCCTTTTATTTTACACATATTTTGGAAGGTATAGTACATGTAGTAAAATAAGAAAATAAAATAATTTGTATGAATATTGGAAAATACAAGATAATATCTCTTTCTGCTGATGGCTTAAAAAAACTACTGGAGTTAAGAGAATTCAGAATGGTGGGATACAAGATAATTCAGAAATCATAGCCATTTTCTACTTCAGATAAATGGAAACAAACAAATATTTCAATTATAATCATGATAAAAATGACACAATTTGAGGGAATAAGTTCAACAAGAGGACTCATCATGAAAAGAATAAAATCGAAGGACAGAAAACAAGAACTTTTCAAGTTAAAGGGCTTCCTAAGTGAATTATATGAATTATTATAGCATTTTTGGGAAAATGCTATAATTTTCCCAACATCTGACAACATCTTTTAAAATTAAAAATACGCATATCCATCCACCATGCAGTTCCTCTCCTAGGAGTGCCTTAGAAGTAAAAGAATTGAGGTTGGACACAGTGGCTCATACCTGTAATCTCAGCACTTTGGGAAGCTGAGGCAGGAAGATCACTTGAGGCCATGAGTTCAAGACCAGCCTGAGCAACATAGTAAGACCCTGTCTCTATAAAAAAGTGAAAAAATTAGCCAGGCGAGGTGGCCTGTGCCTGTAGTTGCAACTGCTAGAGAGGCTCAGGTGGTAGGACTGCTTGAGTCCAGAAGCTTGAGGCTGCAGTGCCATAATTGTGCCACTGTATTCCAGCCTGGGCAACAGAGTGAGACTCTGTTTCTTAAAAAAAAAAAAAAAAGAGGAAGTAAAAGAATCAACAGGCACGGATAAATGTACAAGGATATTCATTGCAATATTTACTTAGTAACAAAAACTTGGAATTAAAAGAGATGATTGAATAAATTATGGTATATACATACCATGAAATATTATTATGTAGCCATTGAAATGAGTATATTAGATATATACCAGCTAACTTAGAAGTATTTCCATGGTCAACTACTAATGAAAACAGCAATTTATAGGGAAGATTTTATAATATTCCATTTGGATAAAACAAAAAGTCCCACCCTCAAAAGAAACCTAAGTATCAATCTTAAACATATATACATTTATATTTGTATATGATTATGTGAGCACAGAAATTGTAAAATATGGTTGGAGTGTCAACCAGCCTTGATAAAGCAGCTAGTAAGAGACATCCAGAAAAGAAGTCGGAACTATGCTGGAACTATTTTCTTAGTAGTACTACTAAAAAGATTATCATTAGTTATTTAGGGAAAGGGGAATTAGATGCTAATTTAAGGACCATCTTGTCTTTTAAGTTTAGTTCTATATAAGAATGTATGATAAACCATACTGACTTCTTAGGAAAATAAAGGTCTCATTTCAATTAAAAGGATCTCTCATATTCTTTACTTAGGTCATTGTTTAGCCTTTAGGTTTGGTCTCCCTCCAAGTTATTCTCTTTTCTTAAATATTTTCTTGTGATATTTCTTTACTTACTCATGGATGTGGTTCTCTCATGTACATTAGGCTATTGGGTTCTTTCACATGGTATTGCTCTGGTAGATGGTGAAGATATGATAGTTTTTGTCTCAGTGAGCAGGTTTCAAAGTAGTTGACGTAAAATTGAAGGTAGAAGCAACCAAATCTGCCGAAGGAATGGATGTGAGGTGTGAGAGAAAGAGCCAAGAATGCTTGGGTTTGGGACTTGAGCAAGTAGAGAAATGGAGTTGGCCTTTACTGAGCTGGAGAACAGTGCATTAGGACCAAGTGTGGGAAAGAAGGCCGGAACCAGAAATTTGGGCATTTAAAGGGTGAGATGCATCTAAGTGGAGATGTCAAGTAGCCCATAGGTTATATGAATCTGGAGTTCAGGAAGAATGTGGGGCTAAAGATATGCATTTGGGAGTTGTCAGAAGACACATGGTATTTAAAGCCATAAGATCAGATAAGTAACTAAAAGAATACATATTGATGGAAAAAAGAAGTCATCCAGGACTAAATCTTGGAGCACTTCAGCATATACAAGTAAGAAATGATCGAATCTAAGGTATAAGAAAAATGCATTAGAGATGACTTAACAGGCTTTGAGTTAAGAGCAACTGTAAGGCATTATCATTCAAAAAAAGTAAAGAGACCTAATGTAAGATAAATTACCAGTTTAGTCTTGACAAGTAGGTTTTGAGATGCTGACTAGATAATCAGTTACATATCCTTAATAGGCAATTAGAAATAGGAATCTGGCTCTTAGGAATGAATTAGTACCTAGAGCTTTAATTTGGGATTCCTTTAATTGGAATTGTGAAAGGAGCTAAGTTGCCAAGGAAATGAGAAAAAAAATCACTTAGCCACCCAAGCCTATGGAATTTCTACATTTTAGGGCATGAGAGAAGGAAGAGGATCTGTAAAGAAGATGAAGAAAGGTGGGAAGAAAACCAAGATAGTACCATGTCATAGATGAAGAAGGGTCTGTATAATGGCAAATATATCAATAGCATGAGGTAAAGGTGAAGCCTAAGAAAAAGTCAAGGTGGCAGAGAATAGGATAAAGCTGAATCCCAAAGATGCTAAATGACTAATCCAAGATAAAACAGATAGTCATGGCGGAACTAGAATTCAAACCTGGATCCCTCTGTATTTGTGTATATAGATAACATATACATATGTATATATGCATACACATATATCTCATGTATAATAATTGTATAAACTAAAGCAATCTCATTTGAGTAATTATGACATTACAAATGTAAGGGTAATACCAATTCTTATAAAATAAAACTTGCTTATAATTTTTGATAACTGAATATTTAATGAACAATGTATGATAACCAGCCATTCTTTATTTTAGGTTACAGGATGTGCATCTGTCACTTACCTTGTCGACCAGTGAAACCAAACATTATTGGAGAACAGGTGATCAGATATTAGATTTTTTTATTTTTAAATTTAGTCCTTTTTAAAGAAAGCATAATTTTTACTTACTGTGAAACTAAAATGTGTATGTTCAGCAGTGTGGTTTACTTTAAAATTCTCTGAGTCCTTTCAGATTATCATAATGGGAAAACTATGAAATGTATGAAAAAAAATAATTGTTATATTGAAGTTCTCATTTTACAGTTTTTAGTTTAAGTCAGATAAATTGCTCCTTTGTGTTCAAAATGAAAATTAACTCATTTACTAATTTTGAAATGGAAAATTTAGAGAGTAGTTTTTTCTCTTAAAATTTCGGTCATGGAATAGGAGCTTCAATTTCTGTGATTTAGTAAATATCTTAGTATGTTTTGATTTAATTCATCTTCCCCATGTCCTTCCTTTTGAGTTCAATCTTAGAGAATCAAGAAACTTTCAGAAATCTTAGTAACTTTTTAAAAAATACATGTGTTTTATTTTTAGGGTAGATTTGACCTAAGGGGAATACAAACTATAAAATTTTTTAGTGACACTATCCTGAATGCATATTGGCGTAATGAGTTCCCATTATTACATTTTCTTTTGAGCCACTAAAAGCAGTATAGTGTTGACAAAAAAGAAAATATTCTGTAAGTAGTAGTCAAAACAGTACCTGGTCCATCAGCCTAGTCTAAGATATTTTGAATATGATAATCACAGTACCACAAGGAACCTTGGGTAATGTGCTTCACTATTTTCTATTTGCTGTAAGGGTCCAAGTAAAAAGGAGGTAGCAGCACTAAGAGTAAAAGGCATCAAAACTAGGAAAGAGCCATTGGAGCAGTCTTTTGTTCTCAGCTAAATGAGAAATTATGAAGTGAAAATTTTTTTACTCGGATAAGTACGCTTCTAATTATGTCTCTAACATTCAGTGGGGTACTGGAGCTGGCTCAAATTTCCAGAAATCTTTCAAGCTGGTTGTTTAGTATGGCCTCCATTAAAAATTAAGTTATATAAACCTAAAAATGAATGAGTTATATTAAAAAACAAAGGTAATGAATGTTCACTTCATATCATTGTTCTCCTGTATTTTAATATTATCTGTGCACTTACAGTTATTTACATCTGTTATGTCTGCTGGGTGGCAGTGCTCTGTAATGGTGTAATAATGCACATCTTTTCCTAAATTCACATTCAGTGATGTTACATTGATAGCTTAAAATCTATGACAGTTGTAGCTTGAAATTGGCTATAGCAGAGTATTTATGCCACAGAAATCTGCAAATACTACAAATCAGGGCTTTATTTTCCTGGAGAGCCAGTTAATAAGCATTTACCAGCACACCACTCCTAACATTACACCATTTTTAAATGCAACCTATAGAAAATACAATTATTTTCTGATTGGAATGAATGAGAAAAGCTAGGAAATTAACCTTCTGGCCTATTGTAAAGTAAGTTTTAAAAGTATATGTAAATGCAGGTAAGGAAGTTAAGATACTTCAAAGTCACATGGCAAAATTAAAATTATCTTCTATACCATTAAATCCAAGACACTAATGTACTTAAATTTGCAAACATATACTTCTGTTTCATTGTCTTAGCAACTTATTTAAATTAAATACTCTGTTTGATAGATAACCAGTAAAATGGGAGCCCATTATCATTGTATCATTTGTTCAGCAACAATCACCAGAAGAACTGATATGCTAGGACATGTTAGGCGCCACATGAATAAAGGAGAGACTAAATCTAGTTATATTGCAGGTAAGTTGAGCAATCTCATTAACATATTAATATGTAAATCCTTAAATAATGGTCCAGTTATTATTTTCAGACATCAGGAATATAAAATAATGCTGATTTAACCAAATGATTTAGTTCACTAGTCCATTACTTCAGCTTTTGGTTTCTTTCTGTAAGGTCTCCAAAAACATTTTAACATTCTCAATGTATATATTTAATAAATGGTGTAGAAAAAAGTAAGTGACACTCAAGTGACTACAGGTATTTTAATGAAAGATTATAGAATTGTTTTCCCAGTGACAGCTTTTACACCCTTAACTGTCATGTATGTATTGTTGGAAAACACTAGAAAAAAAGATACAGTGAAATAAAGACTTATTATTCATAGTGATATGAAATTATTAATAGCTTGTTACTACTTAGAGATCCCTTCTCAAGAATTAAATCAAGCACTAATGGCCTAAAGCATGTATTATATGTAATGAATAACTTCTCTCCTCTGTGTCCAGAATGGCACTACGTACCATTCCTTTAAGAATTGAAAAAAAAAACAGTCACTGAACTATTTTTCTATGAAGCATAATTTTCTCACAGAGCCTAAGTTGAGAAAGTCTGACCTTGTGAGATATGCAACATGCCTCCTCACGGGTAGAAAAGGGTATGTAACACAGTGCTAGGGAAAGTTACTATTATTTTGCATTTTAGAAAGAAAGATACAGTTGCCATTTAGTTAACATTCCGACTGTAATGTTATCAAGAAATCCAAACATAAAGGATCTCATTTCTTAAATATTTAAAACATATGCACATATATACACATCAATATTTTATTAGTTTATAGCTAAATGATTCTAACATACTAAATGTAAAATCATTTTTTCATTACTTTGTAGCCATTTCAATGTAATTTGTGACTTGAAATCATTATGAGAAAATATTCTGAAGTCTCCCATGTTCAGGAAATAGAGTGATTCTTAGTAAGCCATGCTAGCTAATGGAATGCAGCCATATGGAGTTACTCATTTTCTAACAATTATACCATAGTGAAATATATTTAGCAAACAATGTAGTGTTTGATGAACCACAAAGGTATTTTAGGATTTTGTGCTTTCCTAGGGTGATTGTTCTTAGGTATCATAATACAGATGTATTGATGTGCTGGACAGTCAAGATAGTAAATTAACTTTCATTAATCAGATGTTTAACTGAGTGTTACTCTTTTGTAGAGAGTGCTGAATAAATCAGTTCTTTGGTTTTGGTTTGTTTACATCTGCCAAACCGTTTGCATTAACACAAAATAATATAAAGTTATTTTTCAAAATGTATATTTATTGTTTTAGATGTTTACAATTATTTTGTGTTTTCTTGGAAATCTTTTGTTTAGAATTATTTTGTGTTTCCCTGGAAATCTTTTCTTTTTTCCATCTTAGCTTCCACTGCTAAACCACCTAAGGAAATTTTGAAAGAGGCAGACACGGATGTACAAGTTTGTCCCAACTATTCTATACCTCAGAAAACAGATTCCTATTTTAACCCCAAAATGAAACTAAATCGGTAAGATAAATTGAAAATAGGGTTATGGGATGTTTCAAATTATTATAAGTGTACCTTCTCTTAACCTTTATGTTCTAATATATTAAAATTTAGAACTAGGTGCAGAATAAAAATCATCTGTTTTAACATTTTTCTCAGAAGAATTGTTTCTTTTTTTCTAACAAGCCGATGTCTTTATCAGAGAATAAGATAGGCGTAACTTTATATAATTACTGAACAAGCTGGTACTTCTGTGAGCAAGTTTTCTTTATAAATAAATAAATACTTGTTAATAGAACCCAACTGGATTCATAGTTTAATTTCACATATTTTTAGTTCTTATAGTATTAAATTCAGAATATGTTTTCAGGTCTCCTTTTGAAATAGTTTGTACAGTAACTAGGAACTTCAGTTCACTATTCTTAAATGAAATAAAATCTATGATGGTGAAGCCATGGTAAAGTTATTTCAGATTATGATTTCCTTCTAGGCAGCTAATATTCTGTACATTGGCTGCTTTGGCTGAGGAACGAAAACCTTTGGAATGTCTAGATGCTTTTGGAGCCACTGGTAAGTGAGGACACTTTTTTGGAACCCCATTTTATTTATTCAATTTTACAGTATTTTTTCTTAGAAAATATATATGGGCAGTGATGTAAAAAAATTAAAGATCCAAGGCAAAATTTTTAATTTTTTATTGTGAAAAATTTTAAATGTATATTAGAGTATAATAAGTGAGTCTCTGTGTATCCATCGCTTACTTCAAAAATGAGTGGTTCATGCTCAGTCGTTTTCTCATTGTCCTCATACCTCATATCCTAATCTTTTGATATCCATTAATTTGAAACAAATAACAGATACATCATTTCATCTGTAAGTATTTCAGTTGGATCTCTAAAAGGTAAAGATTTTTAAAAAATAAAACCACTATACTGTCATCATACTTTAAAAATAAAGAATAATTCTTTAATATCAATTGTTTGCCCAATTATCTCATAATATGTTTTAAAAATCAAATCAGAATGCAGACAAAAACTGTATTTCAGGTGTCTGGTATGTCTAAGTCTCTTTTAAATCTATGGGTCCTTCTATCATTTTCTGTGTGTGTGATAATTATTTGTTGACTTAACATGTCTTTTGACCCATAGAGTTTCCCGCAGTCTAGATTTTTGCTGATTGTATTGTTATGGCTCATAAAACATGTTCTTCTATCTCCTGTATTTTTGTAAATTGGTCATTTAATTAGATTCAGATACAATTTTTTTTTTTTTTTTTGCAATAATACTTGTTTGCTGCAATCAGGCAGCACCTGATGTCTGGTTGTGTCTCTTTTTTTGTGTTGTGATGATCATTGCCTAGCCTTTAGACAGTGGAATAAAGTGAAATTTTAAACATTGAGAATATTCTTCTCAAAAGACTTAATAGTAGAGAAAAGATAATAGAAACAGTAGAAAATTTCTAAAAAGCCTCCGTACCCAATCCAGGTCCTTCTTTATAAAGATTATAAGAGTACACTTTTGGGGAGTTTGTGCCAAAGGAGTGAAAGCATGAGTTAGCTCTCCTTCCTAAACTCCTCTCCTCAGGGAAAAGTAGTGGTTAAAAGCATGGACTGTGGAACCAGACTGCCTGAGTTCAAATCCCAGCTTTATCGCTTTGATAGTTGTATGACCACAGGAAATTGTGCCTCAATTTGCTCATCTATTAAAAGAGGAGACTACTGCTACTACCATGATGATCAGCATTAGTACCATCTCAGTATAAATATGGTAAAAGTGATGAGGTGATGCTTCTGATTATTTCCCAAGTCGCTTGGATTTGAAATTTGAATCATGTTATTACTCCTTCTTTTCCTGTTACTCTTCCCATATCTACTCAGCCACCAGGTCTGTTCTAATTTTTCTTTTCTAATATAACTCACATTTTCCATTCCATATCCACCAATTTAATGATTTCATAGCAAGCCTATTGCAGTAGCTTCTAAATAGTACCCTTGCTTCCAGTCATTTCTCTCCTCCAGTTTGTCTTGCCTGTTACTGCTAAACAGCTATTCCTCTGAAGCACCACATTAATGTTATTTATCAATCAAAAAAGTCATTCATCTTTATTGCCGGGAGTCCAGACTTCTCAGACTACATTTAATATCTTCCATATCTGATCCTAACCTGCTTGTCCAAATTTATTTCTCAGTATTCTTCACCATACACCGTTTTTCTTTACTCTTTTGAGACAGAGTTTCGCTCTGTCACCCAGGCTGGAGTACAGTGGTACCATCTCAGCTTGCTGCAACCTCCGCCTCCTGGGTTCAAGCAATTCTCTTGCCTCAACTTCCCAAGTAGCTGGGATGACAGGCGCCTACCACCACGCCTGGCTGATTTTTGTATTTTTAGTAGAGACAGGGCTTCGCCATGTTGGCCAAGCTGGTCTCGAACTCCTGACCTCAGGTGATCCACCCGCCCCAGCCTCCCAAAGTGCTGGGATTACATGTGTGAGCCACCGCGCCCAGCCTCTTAACTCTTTTTTAAATCTGAAGTCATTAAAGCTAATATCTAAGGAATATATTTCCAGCCTCTTCTTTTAATGTGCCTTTGTAAACTTAGATCAGGTCTGGAGCAGTCATTTTGCACATTTTGCCATTCCTAAAATGAGGATGTCAGAACTTACCTCACAAGCTTGTGAAAATATGAAAAATGCGTATATGTGAAGTCCATAACACATGGTATTTTTCCATTCATGAGACACGTGTATGGAGAAGATGGTCAGTATTTCCAGTACATAAGGGGTTTACTAATCTATGTTGGCTGGGCTTGTGTTGCCATCTCCCATTTTGTAATGAATGTCCCTTATGACTTTAAGCTAGTAGATATGGAAAAACTGTGAAAAGGGGCCCTTTTGGTCTGAATTCTTCCTCTAATCATTCGCTTTTTTGTTTTTGTTTTTGTTGTTTTTTTTTTTTTTTTGAGATAGGGTCTCGGCTTTGAGATGGGGTCTTGGCACCATCTCGACTCACTTCAGTCTGGACCTCTAGGAGGTGATCCTCCCACCTCAGCCTCCCAAAAGTAGCTGGGACCACAAGCATGCGCCACCATGCCCAGCTAATTTTTGTATTTTTCTGTAGAGATAGGGATTTGCTATGTTGCCCAAGCTGGTCTCAAACTCCTGGGCTCAAGTGATCCACCTGCCTCAGCCTCCCAAAGTGCAGAGATTACAGGTGTGAGCCATCTCACCTGGCCACAATTTTTTTTTTTTTAATTCACAACAATGCTATTGTGCAGTGTTTGAAAAGTGTTGGTCCAGAAAAGTTTTTCATATTTTGGTCCATGATGGTAAACTTCAGCAGGAGGTATTCCAACTTCCCATCCTCCCTTCAAGCAGAGTAATCCCATTTGTATAAAGTATTCCATGGTCAGAAAAAAAGCAAAAAAGAAAACATTTTCCACTATTCAACAAAATAAAAAGCATACATAGAGATTTTATTTGAACAAGGATCATAAAATAGGTTTAGAAGAAGTATTAGTTAAAATCTGTTAGACAGATTTTTAGTTATAACCTTTCTTGAGAAGCTTTGTAGTAAGAAGGAATAAGATTCATGAAAACATTAAATTTTGAAATAATTTGTTATTTATAAAACTGAATGTTGTTATACCATTTTTATTCTTTAAAATTATTACAATTATAAAACTCATTTTCTTCCCATTTTTCCTAAGGGATAATGGGATTACAGTGGGCAAAACATCTTGGAAATGCAGTCAAAGTTACAATCAATGACTTGAATGAAAATTCTGTGACACTGATTCAGGAAAACTGCCATTTAAACAAATTGAAAGTGGTGGTGGACAGTAAGGAAAAGGAAAAGAGTGATGATATTCTTGAAGAAGGAGAGAAAAATCTTGGTAATATTAAGGTGACCAAAATGGATGCCAATGTACTGATGCATTTGAGATCTTTTGATTTCATGTAAGTAGAAAAGACTTGCCGTGTCACTTTCTAAACTTATCTGAAATTTTGGGGACGAGGAGTAGTTAAAAATTAAGACAGTTTTTTGTTGTTTATTTATTTAAATTAATGCCATTTTTTGACATTGGCCTAAGGTATGCAGTATGAAAATTTTCTAGTATTTGAAATAAAATGCCTGGGCATGTGACTTTTCCTCTAACCCGAATTTATTTTTACATGTCTGATACATCATACTATCATTTTATTACTTAATTTCAAAACAGAATTATGTACTTAAAATATATTTGCAATGTATTTTTAAATCCATGGAATTTTATAATTAGAAATAATTACAGTGGTATAATTTTTGTTACTAATATGACTTTAAAATGTCTATATTCTTTCTGATTTTAGACATCTAGACCCTTTTGGAACATCAGTGAATTATCTAGATTCTGCATTCAGAAATATAAGAAACCTTGGCATAGTGTCAGTGACTTCTACAGATATCAGTTCTTTATATGCCAAGGCACAGCATGTTGCCCGGCGTCACTACGGATGTAACATTGTCCGAACTGAATATTACAAGGAACTAGCAGCCAGAATTGTTGTAGCTGCAGTGGCAAGGTACCAAATTGCCAACAGTGTACTTAGTGTGTTTCAGTATTTGATAAAAAGAGATAATATTACAAGAAGTACTTACCTTATTCAAAATATGCACAAAATATAAATTCTGTATTCCTTATCTGTAATACTGGTTTTTAATCTTACGTGGTATCTGTTGTAATTTTATTTAAAAGTTTATACCTGAAATATTCAGTTTACTCTCCAATTAAAATGTTACTGAAATAAAGTATAAGAAAGAAAAGGTAAAAGTGAAAGTTAATTTCCAGTTTATTTCAACAATGTAGGATAAAGGATAGCTATATGAAAGGAAAAGCAAAAACTGTTTTGTTTTGTTTTTTCACCATGTTGCCCAGGATGAAACAAGACTCCTGGCCAACATGGTGAAACCCCGTCTCTACTAAAAATACAAAAATTAGCTGGGCATGTTGGTACACACCTGTAATCACAGCTACGATTATAGGTTGAGGCACTAGAATCACTTGAACCCAGGAGCCACATGCTGCAGTGAGCCAAGGTTGCTCCACTGCACTCCAGCCTGGGCAACATAGTGAGACTCTGCCTCAGAAAGAAACAGTCATTTCTTTTATATCCATTCTGTTTTATCTTCTTTATTTATATAGTTTGAATAAAATGATGGCTTACAAACTTGATTCTGCAAAATGGTCTTACAAAATGGGAAGTTCTCTCCATTTCTCACCAGGATTTCCAAACAGAATTTGAAAACAGTTATTTTTTAAAAGGATGACTTTTTTTGAGCACTTACTATATGCAGATTATGCTAGAATAATATAATATAAACGGATATTGTGAATATAGATAATGGATAATCAGCCAGCTCACTTGCCAGCCCCAATACTAGTTTCAGAGCATTTAAGTAGAAATTTCTACCTCAGGATAAATACAGATTATTAGACTTCATAGACCTTCAGGGTTGTTTCTAATTACCTGAAAACTGATGTTTACTGTATGCATGCTAAGGACTTAACTGCACATACTTAAAAATGTCTATAATGTAATATCAGCAAATTCAGAGTAATATATATAAATTAAATGTAGTATATGACTGCAGAGTACATAAATGGTATATAGTAGAGCTTAATCCAAAAAGTCTGTGAAATTAATGGTGGAAAGGACTTTGACTGTTCTTTTTTCACTCAATTTTCAGTAGCTAGCATACTATCCTGCATATAGTCATTACTCAATAAATAGATACTGTTTGAAAGAAGCTTTTATAGGAAATAAAATAGATAAAAAGGAAGCAATGTGGTGGTGATGATAAGAAACAAAGTGAAAATGACTGAAAACCAGAAAATATTGCCCTATTGAGAGGATATCGCAAGGGAAAATGTCTAGAAACTGAAGACCCTCCCAAGCATCTTTTATTTCCTGTGTTTCAATTTCTGTAAAAGTTACAGTAATGATCTTTTAAAAGCACTGCTACTGAGAATTGAATTTTTCTTGATGTCCCATAACTTATCCATAGTATACTGTCCAGGTTAATATTGTCAGTATAATGCCAAACAAGGGAAAATGATAAGCCCACAAAATAACTTGAAAAAATTTATTGTAGAGCTGCAGCCCGATGCAACAAAGGCATAGAAGTACTGTTTGCAGTGGCTCTGGAACATTTTGTGTTGGTAGTTGTGAGAGTTTTGAGGGGACCTACTTCAGCAGATGAAACAGCCAAGAAGATTCAATACCTGATCCATTGTCAGTGGTGTGAAGAGAGAATTTTTCAGAAGGATGGTAATATGGTAGAAGGTAAATTCAAGTTATATATTATGTTTATCTATAATCCTCCACTGAATAAGCCTTTATCACATACCTAATTATACATATTGTTGTCCTTTGATTTTAAAGATTACAGTGCTAACTTTGTTATTTCCTATACTGGATTTCCTTTCGTCAACAGACAAGACATTCGTGTGAGTTTATTAAAGTTATTTACTCATGCTGTACAATATATGCTTTCTAGCTCTGCCTTCTATCGAAACATCTAGAAATAACTTAGTTTCCACTCTCAACTAATTTTAGGAACATAAGTCAGATTACGTTTTTTCCAGGCTGTTACAAATCATTAATTTTATAAAAATAATTTTCATGTTTCTGGCTGTGTATAAAAGCCATCAGTTATAAAATGCATTCAATAAACATTTATTGAGCCTCTACTATATGCCAGGCCTGGGGATGGGAAACAAGGAAAAAGCTGTAGTTTATGCCTTCATAAAGCTCTTTCTGTTTGTTTCAGTTCTGGGACATGGAAACAGTTGCTTATTGTTTTCTGTTAGGTTCTTGGTATTTTATGAATTTTTGAGTTTAGCACTTACTATGTTAAGTTGCAGATTTTTTTCTCATTTTGTCACTTTTTTTTTAATCTGTGTTGCAGAAGTTTTTTGTTGCTAATTGAATGTTTATGTAGTCTGGATTTTGCCTGTAGTTAGAAAGAGCTTTCCTATTCCTGGATTATTCAAAGTAGATTAGGTTGTATTGAATAGTACACCTTTCCTCCACTGATTTGAGAATACCTTCTTTATCTTATACTAAATTTCCACATGTATTTGAGTTTGCTTCTAGATTTTCTGTTCTGTTCCAGTGGTTGGATATTTCTTCATACACGTCTATCATACTGTTTTGACTATAGAGGCTTTTCAGTGTCATTTAATATCTGTGATGGCAATCCCTACTCAAAGCTCTTTGTTTTCAGTGTTCCTGTATTGCTCTTTTGTTAATCCCTTAATATAAAAGTAAATAATAACCCAGTTGGCATATTATTTTGATGACATTAAATTGGGGAGAATAGATACTGTGATTTTTGAAGCTTCCTACAAATATGATATGCTTTTCATTTGTGCAAGTACTTTAGTATAATGTTAACTGGTGGTGGTAATGGAGGAAATTCTGTCATGTTCCTTACTTTTAGTTTCCTCTAGCGCTTTCTATTTTTTTATTTTTTTTCAGATGGAGTCTTGCTCTGTCTTCTATCCAGGCTGGAGTTCAGTGGCACAATCTTGGCCCACTCAACCTCTGCTTCCTGGGCTCAAGCAATTCTCCTGCCTCAGCCTCCCAAGTACCTGGGACTATAGGCACACACCACCATGCCCGGCTACTTTTTGTATTTTTAGTAGAGACGGGGTTTCACCATGTTTGCTGGCTAGTCTGAAACTCCTGACCTGTAGTAATCTGCCCGCCGCATCCTCCCAAAGTGCTGGGATTACAGGCATGAGCCTCTGCACCCAGCCTCTAGTGCTTTCTGATTCAAGCATAATACTGGCTTTTCATCTACAATACATATCATTTATCACATTAAGGAAGAATACTTCATTTTTATTGTATTTTATCAAGATGTTGAATTTTGTCATAATGCATTTTCAGCATCTGTGGAGATGATTATATGGTTTTTCTCTTTAGGCTTACTAATTTGATTAATTGTAATAAAAGTTTCCAATATAGAACCAAACTGGATTTTGTAGAATAAACTATTGTCAGGTTTTTTTTTAATATGTTGTTGTATTTTATTTGCTAATTTTTAAAGGATTTTCTTGTTTCATGAGATGGTATATAGTTTTCCTTTGTAGCATAATTTTAGTTGGGCTTTGATCTATCAGTTTACTCCCTTCAAAAATAATTTGGAATGGTTCCCTTTTTTCAATTCTTAGGAATTGAAAAACTGATTTTTTTTTAAACTAGTTCTTAAGAACTAGTTTAACTAGTATTGGAATTATGTGTTCCTTAAAGGTTTAGTAATATTCACCTAGCATTTCTGTTTTATTTACATAGGGTTGAGCTAAGTGTTGTCTAATAATTCCTTTTAATCTCCTTGGTTCCTATGGTCATATTCCCCTTATATACTTTCATTTATTTATCCTTTCTTCCATTTTTCTTGACTAGATAAGAGGCTGCTTTAAATATTTTATTGTAATTGTTTGTTTTTCTTTCTTTTTTTTTTTTTTTGAGACGGAGTCTCATTCTGTCACCCAGGCTGGAGTGCACTGGCACAGTATCGGCTCACTGCAGCTTCCATCTCCCAGGTTCAAGCAATTCTCCTGCCTCAGCCTCCCAAGTAGCTGTGACTACAGGCACACGCCATCATGCCCGGCTAACTTTTTGTATTTTAGTAGAGACGGGGTTTCACCATGTTGCCCAGGCTGGTCACGAACTCCTGAGCTCAGGCAATCCGCCCGCCTTGGCCTCCCAAAGCACTAGGATTACAAGCGTGAGCCACCACACCCGGCCTGTTTGTTTTTCTTAATGTCTATTTTTAGTAGTAAATATGTATATACTTCTGTAATTTGGATTTATCAGTTTTAAGTAATATACTTTGGCTCCTTGATACCACAACTGAGATAATTAGCTCCCTGTTTTCCATTTTTCCCTTCCTAATTTTTGTTTGTTATACCATCTCTATGTTATTAGAATATGTAACACTTAACATTCTGTTTTGCCAGATTAATCTCTACATATAATAATATTCTGTATATGTCATCAGTCTTTTTGCCATAATTTCTCTAGTCATCTCTTACTTGGTTAAATTTAACTCTCAGTTTACTCAATAGAGCTCATAAGAAAAATACTACTTTGTTTCCTTCATGTTCAAAGCTTTTCTTTGCCCAAAGCATGTCCAATAGCCTGTATACTTAAAGAGGTTAAAGAATTTGAGTGCCTTATAGAAGTTCTTATAATTTTTCTTTCTTATGTATGTGACATTAATCAAACATTTTAAAGACTTTTTGACTTGATAAGTGATAACTATAAAGCAATGATTTATTTTTGCATTTTATTTGGAATCATACAGAACTTAGAATAAACAAGTATGTCCTACAAAGAAGTCATCTCATTCAGAATTTTTATCAATTTGTAATACATAGTTTAAAAAGTCAAATAGCTGGGCACGGTGGCTCACGCCTGTAATCCCAACAGTTTGGGAGGCTGAGGCGGACGGACCACCTGAGGTCAGGAGTTCGAAACTGGCCAACATGGTGAAACCCCATCTCTACTAAAAGTACAAAAATTAGCTGGGCGTGATGGCGGGCACCTGTAATCCCAGCTACTCAGGAGGCTGAGGCTGAGACAGGAGAATCACCACTTGAACCCAGGAGGCAGAGGTTGCAGTGAGCTGAGATCATGCCACTGCACTCCAGCCTCGGTGACAGAGCAAGACTCCCTCTCAAAAAAAGAAAGAAAAAAAAGTCAAATAGTTCCGTAAGTCTTATTAATAAAATAATAACCTCTGCCTGACTCCCTAAACAGTTAAAATGTCACAGCTGTTTCTTATAATGCTTACATTCATATTTCTAAATAACATGTTTATAATGCATCTAACTTCCTTCCATGGAAAAAGAGTATTTGGCTTTTTAAACCAATCGAGTCACATGCATGCTTTCCCCCTTCCACGTTGGACTACATCAATATTTAGTGTTAGTATTTTTATAAATAGATAAATATTGTTCGCAAATTTTATTTGCTGTCTATTGCTGTGTAACAAATTCCTCCAAAATTATTGGCTTTAAACAACATTTATTATCCCATAGTTTCTATGAGTTGAGAATCTAAGCATGGCTTAGCTGGGTCCACTAGCTCGGGGTCTCTCACAAGGCCACAGATCAAGGTGTTGGTCAGTGGTTTGTGCCCTTAGTCCCAGCTACTTGGGAGGCTGAGGCAGGAGGATCACTTGAACCCAGTAGTTCAAGGCTGCAGTGAGCTATGGTTACACCACTGCACTCCAGCCTGGGTGACAGAGCAAGATGCCATCTCTTAAAAAAAAAAAAAAAAAGCAAGTCAGAAGAACCAGAGAGTGAGTGAGTGCCAGCAAGATAGAAGAGGTCTTTTGTAACCTAATCTCAAAGTAATACTCCATTACTTTTGCCATATTTTAGTTGTTAGAAATTTGTCTCTAGAACCAGTGCCTACTCAGGGGGAGGGTATTACACAAGGGTATGAATACCAAGAGGCAGGGATTATTGCTGATCATTTTGGAAGGCTGCTACAGTACAGATAAACCATATGAATCCGGGCATGGTGGCTCATACCAGTAATCCCAGCACTTTAGGAGACTGAGGTAGGATTGCCTGAGGTCAGGAGTTCAAGACCAGCCTGAGCAACATAGCAAGACCCTGTCTCTACAAAAATAAAAATAAAAGCTGATTCATATATGTTATAATAATGTTTCCTTTCTTATGCAACTCTTCGGTAACTCTGGAATTAATACTTACTGTGCTTGTTACCTTTTTAAAAAAATACTTTTTATAATCCATCCCTAAACTCTTTGCTACATTTTCAATGCTTCCTTCACCATAGTTAAGCACATTAGGTAATCTTTGGCTATAAATTTCACTCCCCTGGAGACAGCCCTCCTGTTGTAGTTTGGATTGTTTGTTTTCTGTATCTGCTGAAATCTGTTGTGCAAGGGCTTCTGTTTAACCATCATCCTGGAAATTTTCTTTAACTTTCTTTTTGTGATAAATCTCCTATCGCAGATCCTGTGTATTTTCCCACTTTCCTTGTTTACTTCTTCATTTTGAGTGGACACTTTTTCCTATAGATTGCAGAGAAGTATTGCATGGCTAAGTACCAAATTCTAGGATGGAAATCATTTTTTCCTCAAAATGTTCAAGGTATTATTCCATTGTCTTCTAGCTTCCAGTGAGAAGTCTGCTGCTTTTCTTGTGTAGTGTTATATTATTTTCTCTCTGAATGCTCTTAAAATATCTCTTCTAAACCCAGTATTCTAAAATAATTTTGAGATAATATGTGTATGAGTTCATCTTTTTAAATTCAGTTTACTGGATAATCTCTGAGTTCTATTTATTTATTTATTTATTTTTATTTTTATTTTTATTTATTTTTTTTTTGAGGTGGAGTATCGCTATGTCACCCAGGCTGGAGTGCAGTGGCATGATATCAGCTCACTGCAACCTTCACCTGCTAGATTCAAGCAGTTCTCGTGACTCAGCCTCCTGAGTAGCTGTGATTACAGGCACATGCCACCATGCTCAGCTAACTTTTGTATTTTTTAGTAGAGACAGGGTCTCACCATGTTGGCCAGGCTGGTCTGGAACTCCTGACCTCAAGTGATCCGCCCTCCTTGGCCTCCCAAAGTGCTGGGATTACAGGCATGAGCCACTGCGCCCAGCCTCTGAGTTCTTTTAAGTCAGAAACTTGAGCTCTTCAGCTCTGATAAATTTGGGGGGCAAGGGGACTAATTTTTTCTTTTTCTTTTTCTTTTTTTTAAGATGGAGTCTTGCTGTGTTGCCCAGGGTGGAGTGCAGTGGTGTGATCTTGGCTCACTGCAACCTCTGCCTCCCAGGTTCAAGCAATTCTCCTGCCTCAGCTTACTGAGTAGCTGGGACTGCAGGCCTGTGCCACCACTCTCAGCTAATTTTTGTATTTTTAGTAGAGACAGGGTTTCAGCACATTGGCCAGGCTGGTCTCGATCTCCTGACCTCAAGTGATCTGCCTACCTCGTCTCCCCAAAGTGCTGGGATTACAGGCAAGAGCCACCACACCTGGCCCTTGGGGGATGTTATTTCTTTGACAAGTTTTGCCTTTCAAATTATATCTGTTGTCTCTTTCAGGAACTCTGTTTAGTTATATTTTGGGTCTTCTAGATTAATCCTTTAATTTTTTAAAATATCTATACGGTTCATCTCTTTGGCAATTAGTTCTACTTTATACTTTTTCCTTAATTTTTATTTTCCAACTCTTATTTAAATTTCTGTCATATTTTGTTCATTTCTAAGAGTTATTTCATATTTTTTCACTGTTCCTTTTTTTTTCTTTAGGCTAGTCAAGTGATTATTGTTCCTTTTTTAATAGTGTCATATTGTTTCAGGGATACAAAATCTCTTACCTTTCTAAGAATTGATTATACTTGGGTATATTTTATATTTAGGGGAGAATAGGGGTTTTTTGTTTGTTTTGTATTGTTGCTGTTGTTTTGTTGTTCAGTTCTCCTGTTTTTTAACTTTTTCTGTTTTGTAATTTTGTTCTCTGTCTGTCATGGTAGTTCTCAAATGTTTTGTGGTCTTCGGTTGTCCACAGTGAAAAATTGTTTTAAAGCACTTGGGGCAGAGCTTATAAACCAACGGATTTGGCTGTAATCCCAGCACTTTGGGAGGCTGAGGCGGGCAGATCATGAGGTCAGGAGATCGAGACCATCCTGGCTAACACAGTGAAACCCTGTCTCTACTAAAAATACAAAAAATTAGCCGGGCGTGGTGGCGGGCACCAATAGTCCCAGCTACTCGGGAGGCTGAGGCAGGAGAATGGCGTGAACCTGGGAGGCGGAGCTTGCAGTGAGCCAAGATCGCACCACTGCACTTGAGCCTAGGCAACAAAGCGAGACTGTCTCAAAAAAAAAATAAAAATAAAAATAAACCAATGGATTTTACTGTGATAAGAAGATACCAGTCTGCTTTTTTTAGTAAGACACCCCCAAATGTCAACAAGTATACATAGATCTTTTGTCTTGGATTGGTAAATTTTTCCAGAGAGGAATCAACCAATCTTTTAGCAGCTCTGGGAGAGCCACACTGGGGACAGAGACTGGAAAGCAGATTTTTACTTAATCCCTCTGTTTTCAGACATCTCACTCTCAACTGTAACTAAAACTGCTGGTTTCATATCCTCAATAGTTTAGCCTCACCAAAGATTAACTTCATCTTTTGGAATGGGGAGGACACAGACGCTTGATTGTATTAGAGAAGATCTGGAGTTTTAATTGAACCCTTTAAAAAATTGTAACCAGACCTCTTATTTGCAATACCTCTCTATAGTCATCTTCAGAGACAATCATTGCCTTCAATTTTCAGGCCGTCGCAGGGTCCCAAAACACTAATGAACTTTCTGTTTTGTTGGTTGCCCATCTATCCATTTCAGGCTTATGCTTTAGATTTTTCTGGTCTGATAATCAGTTCTCCCATTGTGTATGTGACTCCTGCTTCTGAAATTTTATTGGCATCTCTCATCTTTTGTTACCTCCTCTCCCATTTTATTTATTCTTGTAGTTTAATTTTTGTTCCTGTCATTTAAGCGTTAAGAGACAGCAGAGAGAGAGTGCATGTTTAATCTGTTGCATTTAAATAGAAGTCTCAGAATATTTTTTAACTCCTCATCTGGTATTGCCTTCCTCGCTTATGTACCAGTAACACGGAAATACTAGTTTTCTTTCTACTTTACCGCTTCATTATTTGCTGCTAGTAACTTGAATTGATAGCCTTGGCCCTCAGAGAGGAAATTTGCTGATGCTAATTTAGACCTGAGAAATCCTAGCAAAGAGGCTTGGGAAAAGGCACGTTTGTATGGTAAGATTATTTTGCACAGTGCATCAAGATACAAACTGATTAATAATTCATTTGTGCTCTCTGCCTGTGGTAAGTGGGTGTAGCTGACAGAACTATACTATAAATTGCCATCCTGAATTGGATGATGACTGCTTATAAGTATTTGTAGTTTAGTGATGTAATGGTTTAAGAGAAGACTTCTTAAGTATACTCATATTTGAGGAACATAGTTCTCAACAAAACTTTACGTCAGTGCTAACCACACCCTTTCATCAAAGCTTAGAATTAAATAATACTGAAAAGTAGACCTAGGAGCAGTGAAGGACACTTTTAAGTAAATGTAAAATAAGATCTCATAACTATGCATTATACCAATAATTGTATTGAATAGCAGAGTGATAGTATCAGCTAGCAAGAGGCTATCGACCTGTGTTCCTGCCACCATTCTTTGGTTCTGAATGTATCTGGGACTGATTGATTAGGTCAGGCCATTTCAAGAAAGTGAATGATAACCCAGGAATGGCCTGGAGTGGAGGGAATTAGTTGGAGAATATCTGATATAAAATGACTATTTGGGCCTTGAATGGATTTAAAAGTTCCATAGTCAAATATTAGCCCATTTTGAAAACTAAGAATAGTGCTAGTATCTCCCCAGTTTCCTTGTGATTATATCAGGACTCTCATTCATTGCTTTTTAAACCAAATTAGATTCTTCTAGCCTACATTTTGAAGGCTGAATATGAATCAAGCATAAGGAATTTTCTTTCCAACTGCGGAAGAGTTAACTTATGAGAAATATCTACATTTTGATTGGGATGTTGGTTACATGGGTGTATACATTTGTTAAAATTCATCAACTTTTTAATATAAAGTATATATGTTTTATTGCACATAAATTATACCTTAATCAGTTAATTTTGAAATATGGATCTCTTGTAAACTTTATAAGACTTTCTCCTTCCTTATATTATTTCATGTGGTATAGTAAGTAAATATCAGTTACACCTCTAATAAGCCATTTGACATGAATTTCCACCTCTCTCAAGCTTTAATCCTCTGATCTGTATAATTGAGATTTTAACAGTACCTACTTCAGAGAGTTGTAAGGACTTAAATTAAAAAAATATATATATGTGTGTGTGTGCACATATATGTGTGTATACATATATACGTATACATATGCACACACACATATATACATACATAAAATACTTAGCATAATACCTGGCACATAGTAGATCCTCAGTATATAGTAGCTGCACATTATTATTAATATAACAATTACTACTATTTGTATTAGTCATTTCTCCTTTGATTTCTCCTTTTATTATCTTTTTACAGAAAACCCATATAGACAGCTGCCTTGTAACTGTCATGGAAGCATGCCTGGAAAGACAGCAATAGAACTTGGACCTCTGTGGTATGTGACCAGCCATAAGAACATATTAAAATTTGATGTATTGATTGATTTATTAATTGCTGATTTTTATTATGTGTGGTAAAAGACAAATTTAAATTCAATTGTTAAGTCTAGGCAAATAATTATGACTCTTCTCCTCCTATGAACCTGAGGTGTTTAATATTTTGAGATTTTTCTCTACCATTATTCTCTCTAGTTTGTGACAGAACTAAGAGGCAATGGAGGTAAAAGAGAAGCCTGGATGATCTGGAAACTAGATAATTCATTTCTGAATAGTAAGAAAGAAGCTTTTTAAAATTGATCATTGTAGATCTAGCATGTGATTTTTAAATGATCACAATAACTTTTTATAGAAGAGCCAACTCATGTAAAAGGTCCTAGAAGAATTAGTTTTAAGAGAGAAAGGCATGTGAAAGTGTCTGCCTTTGTTTTAGATAAAGTTATTTAGATGATACACAATTGGAAATATTTAATGTGTATATGCTTTTGCATCATTGGTAACAGCTGATTGTACCTTAAAGTTGAATTGGTTTTTTTTGTTTGTTTGTTTTTTTGAGACAGAGTCCCGCTCTTGTCACCCAGGCTGGAGTGCAGTGGCGCAATATCGGCTCACTGCAACCTCCACCTCCTAGGTTCAAGCGATTCTCCTGCCTCAGCCTCCTGAGTAGCTGGGATTACAGGCACCCGCCACAACACCTGGCTGATTTTTGTACTTTCATTAGAGACTGGGTTTCACCATGTTTGCCAGGCTGGTCTCGAACTCCTGATCTCAGGTGATCTGCCTGGCTCAGCCTCCCAAAGTACTAGGATTACAGGTGTGAGCCACTGCGCCTGGCCAAATTATTTTAATCAGAATCCTTACCTTAAGTTTGTTACTAGAGATTCTTTTTTTTTTTTTTTTTTTTTTTTGAGACAGAGTTTCACTCTTGTTGCCCAACCTGGAGTGCAATGGCACTATCTCGGCTCACCACAACCTCTGCCTCCCAGGTTCAAGCAATTTTCCTACCTCAGCCTCCTGAGTAGCCAGGATTACAGGCATGTGCCACCATGCCCAGCTAATTTTGTATTTTTTTAGTAGAGACCGGGTTTCTCCATGTTGGTCAGGCTGATATCAAACTCCCGACCTCAAGTGATCCACCCGCCTCGGCCTCCCAAAGTGCTGGGGATTACAGGTGTGAGCTACCGCACCCGGCCGAGATTCTTACAGAAATTCAAGATTCCTAAGAACATTGTGACAAGAATTGCAAATTTCTTCTCATTACTTTATAAGGTCAAGGCTTAAGCACCTACTAAACCTAGAAATTGACCTACATGGTAAATGTCTTTGTGCTGATGCTCATGATTTTATCTTCATCTTATTAAATACTCTTAGATTAAGAAAGATCTAGCCAGCCCTACCTTCTAGTTCTTCTAAAACTAGTTCTCACCTATAGCATCTGCTACACATTGATCCTACTCACTGATTCAGAACTGAGGAAATTAAAAATAGCAGGTTACTGGATCCAGAAGGAAGATTTCTAGCCTAACTGCCTTATTTTACACATGAGGAAACTATGGCACAGTGTTTTTAAGTGCTTGCTAAAACTGACCAAAAAAATTCATACCACAGCCAAGGCTAGAACTTAGGTTTTCTGACTCCCAGGACTGAATTCTTTTTTTATTTTTTATTTTTGAGGCAGAATCCCACTTTGTTGCCCAGGCTGAAGTGCAGTGGCACAATCTTGGCTTACTGCAACCTCCACCTTTTGGGTTCAAGCGAATCTCCTGACTCAGCCTCCCGAGTAGCTGGGACTACAGGCATGTGCCACTGCACCCAGCTAATTTTTGTATTTTTAATAGAGAGGGGGTTTCATCATGTTGGCCAGGCTGGTCTTGAACTCCTGACTCCACCCACCTCGGCCTCCCGAAGTGCTGGGATTATGAATTCTTAATAAAACCTTATGATTTCCACATGAAAGCTATTGTGTTCATGGCTTTACACTCATCCAGAATACCTTCCCCTCTCTACCACCTCCAATTCAAATTGTACTTTCTTTTTGAAGTCTCTTCTTAGTGCCTCAACCCAATATAATCTCTAAATTCCCTTTAGTATATCTTATATTGATCACATATTTGATAATTTAAAATCATATATTCTTTCATATATATTTGCTAACCCTAACAATAGTAGCTACCATACATTGAGGATATATAGAGAAGTTTTATTTTTGGCCAGGCGTGGTGGTTCATGCCTGTAATCCCAGCACTTTGGGAGGCTGAGACAGGAGAATGTCGTGAACCCGGGAGGCAGAGCATGCAGTGGGCTGAGATTGCGCCAGTGCACTCTAGCCTGGGCGACAGAGCAAGACTCCATCTCCAAAAAGAAAAAAGTTTTATTTTACATTTCATGATGAGGAATATAAGACTGAAAAGTAGTAATTACTCAGGATTATATAGCTAGCCCAGCACAGTTGCAGACATCTATAGTCCCACCTACTCAGGAGGCTGAGGCAGGAGGATCCCTTGAGCCCAGGAATTCAAGTTCAGCCTGGGCAGCATAGTGAGACCCTGTCTCTTAATAAAAAGATTACATAACTAGTAAGTGGTGGAGCCAGGATTGGAATCCAGTTTATCATACTCAGAATTTCATATTTTGTCCATTATACCTGTGATTCTTAAATTAAATGGGAAGCATATCAGATTCACCCCAGACTATTTCTGAACCATACCATCACCACATATAATTCTCATATATGTGCTCCCCTGCCCTGTCCTGCCCCACCCTACCACCATAAACTCATCAGAATTAAGATTTTCTATTAGTGACTAGAATGTGCATTGTGAAAACCTCTTCATTGCTTTATTTTCCTGTCTAGATTTATAGGCTTTTATAAGGTCAACATTGTATATTATATTTTGGTATATCCTCCACACACCCTCTGTGTACCACAGTACTGTATACCTTATGAGAGTTCAATAAATTATTTTTTTATTAAGGTAACATACACATATAACATTTTCCTTCTTTACCATTTTTAAGTATACACTTCAGTGGTAATAAATACATTTATATTCTTTTACCCCTCTTCATCACCCTCTCCCTTCTCCCCTTCCCAGCCTCAATAGATTCTTGTTGACTTAATTAAGTTTCCTTGACTAATGCTACTAGTTTAGAGAACTGATATGATAAAAATGAGTGGCAAATAGAAAATAAAGTTTTAGGCCAGAAGTGTGGTGTCTCACACCTGTAATTCCAGCACTTTGGGAAGCCAAGGTAGGAGGATCCCTTGAGCCCAGTAGTTTGAGATCAGCCTGGGCAACATGATGACACCCTATCTCTATTAAAAAATAATAAAATACTATAGCCTAGGCAACAGGACGGGACTCTATCTCAAAAAAGAATAATAATAATAAAGAAAATAAACAGTTTTAAATTAAATCATAAATTCTTTTTGAATTTAAGTATTACTCTGTCATATAATTAATTATATATCTTACTTATAGTTAAATTGTGAAGACTTTCTTTTTAAAGAGAAACATTTTTCAAACCCAGTTCTCTGTATATTCTTTTCTTTTCAGGTCAAGTTCCCTTTTCAATACTGGATTCCTCAAAAGAATGCTATTTGAATCTCTTCACCATGGTTTGGATGACATTCAGACCCTAATAAAGACATTAATCTTTGAATCAGAGTGTACGCCTCAAAGTCAGTTTTCAATTCATGCATCTTCAAATGTCAACAAGCAAGGTGACTAACTGAACGCTAGCTTACTAGCTTTAAACTGCTTACCAAAAATACTGTATCTTTTTCAATTGTATTTGATGTTATAATAAAACCAATATAATTATAAATAGTGTGTTTTTAGTAAATCTTCTCTAATGAGTCTGATCCTCTGGTTTTTTTTTAATTACATAGTTTTATTCAGGCTTGTAATCAGGCCTGAGATGAATAGGTGAATGATGAATAGTGTTGTTGGTTTTGTTGTTTTTTTTTTGGATACTGGGTCTCACTTTTTCACCCAAGCTGGAATACAAGTGGCACAAACATGGCTCACTGCAGTCTCAACCTCCTAGACTCAGGCAGTCCTCTTGCCTCAGCCTCAACCTCCTGTGTAGCTGGGACCACAAGCATGCACACCACACCTGGCTAATATTTTTTAGAGATGGGGTCTCACCATATTGTCCAGGCGGATTTCAAACTCCTGGGCTCAAGCAGTCCTCCCACCTTGACCTCCCAAAGTGGCTGGGATTACAGGCATGAACCACCATGCCCTGATAATTTTTTTTTAAAGATAACCTCCTTTTTTGTGTGTTTTTAATTTTACTAGATTTAAAAAAAGAAAAAAAAAACACTAAAGGTCCTTTGTGATTTTTATTACCCTAGATGTGCTTTCTAGAAAAAGAAACTTTTGGTAATTCAAGGAGTGTTGTGGCCAAAAATTGTAATATCTATGAAGACACAGAAACTACATTTATACTTCTCATTCAGTAAAGCTATGTGTTTTTTCTGTTTAGTACAAACAGCCAATTTTGTAGTTGTATCTGACTATTGATATGAGCCTATTGAATATCCTAGTGTTCTCATAAATAATTAGAAACTGCTATTATAGAGGGTTAAAAATGTAATTTTTGCAGTTCAGTTTGGCCACAGAATCTCTTGCATATTCGTGAAAATAGTGTGGATGGAATTTCATAAACTTTTATTTAAACTGAGTTGTTGCTTTATGTCATTCTGTAAAATATTTTCTTTTCCCATTTGCTTTATTTTTTAGAAGAAAATGGTGTATTTATTAAAACTACAGATGACACCACAACAGATAATTACATTGCACAAGGTATGTATGCATATATGTGTGTACATATGTACATATCAGGTCAAAAAGGCATATAGCAAAAGGGTAGGAAGAGAAGAGATTGCCATGGTAGCCTACTTAAAAATACATTTCATATTATATGACAACAAAACTGTAGTAAAACTTGTTTATCAGCATTCACACATAGGAAATTTCTGTTAACATATGCTTTGTTCACATCTGTAATATATGGTTATCCCTTTGAACGAACTGTATGATCTTGAACCATGTGAATAAAATAAGATCAAATTATATATGATAAAGTTATATATAATTTTATAGTTAAGATAAAATTTTATTCTAATTCTTTTAAAAATTGCTCATTAATATATGATTTATAGCAATTCCATTTAAGTAACCAGAAGACCTCATTCTTCAGCCAAAAGAATTTATTATATGGCCTTTCATATAATTTAGGATATGTGCATACTTTAAATCTAGCTGTGGTAGACACTAAATTCATATTAAAGGATGTTAAGATTTAAAATATCAGTGCCCTAATGTCTAAGGTTTTGTTTTGCTTTTTAAAAAACTTTAGATTCTAGATGTGTTTTTTGAGTACAGATGAAAAGAAGACTGTAGAGTGTTAAGTTTGAAAGAGCAGTGGCCTTTAGTTATCAGCTGTAATTTTTTATTAGTTGCTCAGCAGTTTAATGTTGACCTTCAAAGACAAGGAAACTTAAATTTCTTTTAATAGTATATAGTTTAAATAACTACTGCATACTCTTTGCAACAGCCATGTTCATTTGGCATCTTCAACTAATTTGATAACTTAAATTGATACATTCTACCTAATTTCTCTGTTGGAGGGAAGACAAAGAAGCATTATGATACACTATAAAGAATATTAGATTTGCTGGGCATAGTGGCTCATGCCTATAATCCCAGCATTTTGGGAGGCCAAGTTGGGTAGATCACTTGAGGTCAGGAGTTCAAGACCAGCCTGGCCAACATGGTGAAACCCCGTCTCTACGAAAAACACAAAAATTAGCCAGGTGTGTCAGTGCAAGCCTGTAATACCAGCTACTTGAGAGGCTGAGGTGGGAGAATTGCCTGAACCCAGGAGGCAGAGGCTGCAGTTAGCCAAGATTGCACCACTGCACTCCAGCCTGGGTGACAGATCGAGACTGTCTCAAAAAAAAAAAAAAAAAAAAAATTAGATTTAAGAGTATTATCCTATGCAGGCGTTGTTATATAAACTCAGCCAGGTCCCTCCCATTCAGCAAAATTATCTTAAATCCTTTTTAGAATAAAGTAAAACATAAATAAGCTTTAAAAATATTTTCAAAAGCCAAGAGCACAGTAGCACACACCTGTAATCTCAGCTACTCAGGAGGCTGAAGTGGGAGGATAGTGTAAGGATTGTGTGAGCCTGGGCAACACAGCCAAACTCCATCTCAAAAAAAAAATTTGTTTTTAATCTGTGAGCCTTTCTCATAAGTAAATTAAGGAAATTAGACTAATTTTTGTGGGCTCTTCTATAACTTTTAAATTATATGGTTATTCTAAGACCATTGGTCAACACATAAAATCTTAAAATGATAGTACTATGCAAACCCAAAGGAAAATAATTCATTCTGTCAAAGATACGTTATATGTTCATTGCAGTGCTATTCACAGTAGCAAAGACAGAATCAACCTAGGTGCCCATCATCAATGGACTGGATAAAGAAAATGAACATATGTACTAAGGAATACTATGCAGCCATAAGAAAGAACAAAATCATGCTCTTTGCAGCAACATGGATGGCACTCTAGGCCGTTATCCTAATAAAACTAATGCAAGAACAGAAAACCAAAGCCCCATGTTCTAACTTACAAGTGGGAGCTAAACTTTGGGTACTCACAGACATCAGATGGGAATAATAGACACTGGGGACTACTAGATGGGGGAGGGATGGGATGTGGCCTGGGCTGAAGAACCACCTGTTGGGTACTATGCCCACTGCATGGGTGCTGGGGTTGTTAGGACCCCAAACCCCAGCATTACACAATATACCCACGTAACAAACCTACACATATACCCTTTAATCGATAAAGAAAGTTGAAATTATTTTTTAAAAAAGAAGAAATTACCAGGCCAAAAAAAAAAATCTATATACTGCTGATGATACTCACTATTAACGTATTACATCAGATTTTTTGCCTCAGATGCTCCTAGAACTTGTACTAAATCTGGATATCTATCCTTTGACTAGGTGCCTCATTAGATTTCATGCAGTTTCAAATTTTAGATTTCAAATTATAATTCTGATTTGATGGATGGATCCCAGGTTGTCCTTTTTGCTTTATGTTTTTATGTAAAGAGGCAACAGTTCAGCAATAATTTATATTTATTTTGAATGTAATTTATTTTTATGTATCAACTTTGCCTTTTCAATACTTTTTTTTTTTTAAGAGACAGGGTCTCACTGTGTTGCTCAGGCTAGACTCAAACTCCTAGGCTCAAGCCATCCTGCCACCTCAGCCTCCCAAGTAGCTGGGACTTGGGTCCCAGTTACACAGGTGTACGCTACTGCTCCTGGCAGCTTCTGAATATTTTGCTTAAGCAGATGTTAATTACTTTCCCTGAAGAGATAAGATTTGACCATAACGTTCATATATAAATAATCAAGGGTTGAACACCAGGCAAAATCTCATTATAGTATTGGATATCTCAGTTGTTTTCATGTTGTGATTTTTGGAAGGATACAGTTCTAGAATCTTAGCTGGCCTCCTTTCACTCAAAATGAAAAAACTAAGTGCTGTGATGAGAAATAGGCAATGAGATCATAACATTGACCTTATGTCAGTTTCTGTGTCCAAACTCTCAAGACTTTGTGTTGTTTTTCTTTGTTTTGTGATTACTAAAGACCCACTGTGTATCCAATACTGATCACTCAGTAGAAATACAGGTATAAAAATGAAAGACATTGTCCTTAGGAACTTAGAATATAACTTGGGGAGAAAGGACTTACACACATTAAGGAACTATAAGAAAAGAAAAAAAAATGACAACTTAATCAAACTCTGAGTAGTGTAGTGTAGTATTAACAACAATGAAATGTATGAAGTGACTAGCCCCAGATTGACAGATGGCTTCCTACAGGAGACGAAATAGAGTGTGGCTTGAAGTTGAAGAAGGTAGAAAGGAAGTTCTGATTCAGCAGTTTAATATGAAAATTACATAAGTGAAGGACCGTGAAAATAGAATAAATTATAAGAATTAAGATTGGATAGTCAGGTTGAAATAATGTGTCAGGATTTATACTTGAGATAAATATATAGTTATAAAAGTATTTGGCTTGTAATTTTTAAGAGCATGCTAACTTTGTATGTGTATGTTGCAGGAAAGAGAAAAAGTAATGAAATGATCACAAATTTAGGCAAGAAGCAAAAGACTGATGTCAGTACTGAACATCCTCCCTTTTATTACAACATTCACAGACACAGCATTAAAGGAATGAATATGCCAAAGTAAGACACCCAGTGAATGACAAAGTATATATATTTTATATTTTAATAATATTGTGATTTAAATAAAAATACAAGAACCTGATTATTTTTTCTTTCCTTTCCTTTTTGCAGGTTAAAAAAGTTTTTGTGCTATTTATCTCAAGCAGGCTTTCGAGTAAGCCGAACTCATTTTGACCCAATGGGTGTACGCACAGATGCACCTCTGATGCAGTTTAAATCTATCCTTTTAAAGTACAGCACCCCCACCTACACTGGAGGACAGTCAGAAAGCCATGTCCAGTCAGCATCTGAAGATACAGTAACTGAAAGAGTTGAAATGTCAGTGAATGACAAAGCAGAAGCAAGTGGCTGCAGAAGATGGTAAACGTAGAGAAGAATTGGTTCTCAGGTGTCTGTATAGATGGCCTAATAGTTCTCTATACCAACTGTAGTTCTTTTTCTGTTCTTTCAATTCAGTAGAGTAAAAATAAAAAACAGTGTCATTTTCATTCAGAAACTGAGCAGTTTCTAACTTAGCTGGTTTGGGAGCTTTGCTTTCCAAGTTTTTTTTTGTTTTAAGGCAAACTTAAAATTTTAATGGAAACATTTCATATGAAGCCAAGTCTCACTGAGATCACCCTACTGCTTAATAATTCAGAAAATTTTCACATGCAAAGTGTTTGGAATTTTATGTATGTTATGAAAGCCATCTTTTACAATTCTTAATCACATCTCTGCCTAAACTGATTCATGATGTTTATGTTTTCCTGTTTGTAGTGTACAAAATGAAGCTGAAGGCTCACATGTTAAAATGACCCTGAATAGAATAGGAAGAACAATGTTCTTACAGGTCATAATGTATTTCACAATTAAAAAACTAAAATATGTACCCATTTTTAAGAAATCATACTTCTCTCCACATTGATCTTTTCATTTCTTACTAGCTTTTAAGAAATTAAATACTTGCCTGAGATAGAAATACTTTATTTTTGTAACTTTAAGGTCTAAATGACTAAACTTCAAAGTAAGATTTTGTCAGAATAAATTGAGACCATTAATCTAATATAATACTTGTTCATGAGCACTGAAATCCTGAAGAGGAGAGATTTGGTTATAAATTAAAAAGGTTGGGTGATCTTAAGTGCCTCAGTTAATGCACGTACAGTATTCATTTGGTTGGTTGTACTACCTCTCAGAAGTAAAATTTGTCACCTTATGGAATGAGAGTTTTTGGGTTTGGGGGTTGTTTTTTTGTTGTTGCTTGGTTTGGTATTTTTGGTTTTGTGTGTATTTGTATAAATTTTCTGTATAATTAGCCCAGGCTGATGTAACTATAAAAATTAGTTGAAAAAAAAAATATTGTTTCCTTAATGGAATTCTCACTTCATTTGAATATAAGATTTTGGATGAAAGGATTTGGTATAAAGTTTGGGTTTTTGTCTCAAGGATTTGATCCATATTTATCCCTAAATATTTCTTAAGGGATGTAACTTTTTATAACCATTAAGTGGGGGGAAGGGGGTGGAGGGGGTGGTAATAATTATAACTGAAAGGTTTAAATATACTACCTAAGAAAAAAGTACTTCTGTGACATATACAAAAAAATCTAGTGGATAGGCATTAGATGAATAGAGAATATTAATTTTGCAGAAATGAAGGAAAATCTCTTCGTGCTAGTACAGCGTATTCCCAAGAGAGTTTATTTTCCTTTCTCCAATTAATGTGGTCATAAATTTCGGTAAAATCAAGAAATAGGTGAAGTGCAAGCTAGTTTCTATAATGACCATTAAAAAAATTCTGCTGTGTAATTCTTGCCAGTTAAAATTATAACTTGCAAATGAGCAGAATAAATGAGGTTTTTTTCAATTAAAAATTACTATAAATCCAGGAGGCAAACTATTTTAGCACTCAGATTATCTGATTTAATACATATTATTGAATATCAGTCTCAAATTTTGCTAAATGCTTATCAGCATGAAATATGTTGATCAGTGATGAGTTGGGCTTAATGCAAAGATCCTAATTTAATAAAGAAACCTGTAAATTACTGTTACCTAAAATATATGTGTATATTAATTTCACATATAAAGGTAGATTTTTCAAAGAAAAATTTGGTAGGCGGTAGTTTAGAACTCTGATCAGGTACTACATCAACCAAAAGAGGAAATACTTTAAAAATTCCTTTTAGCAACCTGAGCAATCTTATTCTCGTAACAATAGTAGTAATTTGGGACATTGCAAATGTTTATCATGTTGTAAAGTAGCATCAGTTGTATCCTTTCATTAAAACTTGATAAACAAAAGAACGAGTTAAGGAAACCAGTGTGTTGACTCTGCTAGTTGCTAATGTTAATACTCTAGCCATACACTCAGGAAATGGGAGAAGTAACCAAGGGATGGGTTTAGGGGTCACTGTGGTGGACTTGGGTCAAAACTCCACTTATACTGACTTCCACAAGACTCCACTCTGAATAAGTGTTTGATGTTCTGGTTGCCCAAAATTAGGACTAATTCAGCATGTTTGGTGAGCCCGAAAGGTCTAGGAATTTCTTTCTGCACTGTGTAACTGCTCTGGTAAATGGCCACAGATTACTTTGGAGAATGCTAAGAGATACATAATACATACTCATGATATTATGTCAAAGTCCTTTCTCCAAGGCCTCCAGAAATTGAATTAAATCAGACCTGAGAATCAGTTAAGGGCTCATGATTACTACAGTGGCTCAAGTCAGACTAACAGTTTTTAGTAACATAGACCAAATAGGACTATCCATTTTCCTTCTTTAGATCACATGATCCTTCAGCCAAAGCCAGACCTCATGTTGAGAGTATACTGATTATCCTGTGGTTCCTGCTGTCTATTACAGTAACCATGCCCACCTTTCTAGTCTAGCAATTAAATGCACTACTTTGTCTCTGACACAAAACAGTCTTGAAAATGCCTATCGAATCAAGGGGTCCATTTCAACTGAAGCATCTCCCACTGGCATCTCTGGCCTACAGACAGACTATATGGCTTTTCAAGAGTGCTGGTGCTCTGCTCACCAGTGTTTTTCTCAATGCCTTGGTAAAGAGAGTTGACTAGACTCTTACGAGGGATACAGTTAGAGGATCACTCATATTAAATCCTCCCCAACATGGCCCCTCTTCTTTGATTTCTTTTCTCTACATCATACCAAGGAGTTTCTGGCATATCATCTCTAATTTAGATGAGCCACTGCTGAGTCAAAATGTGTTTCCACCAAGTAAAAAGGACTACTTCAAGCTGTTCAGTCTCATAGACTGAGCCAAAATCTCTACTATAGGTTTACCCATAGTGATCATTTGACCCAATTTATGTCCTTTCTTCCAAGGTCCTACATATTCAGAATCTATTTCCACAGATATTCTCCACCTATCAATATTAAGATCCAAAAAAAGACTCTTTCAGATCACACTTTGTATTTGTCTCCCTGGGACATGCTGGGATCTGACTCAAACTGTGTCCTGGAAACAATGAGGGATTGTAGGGATAGGGCATATGGGCTTCTTTGTGCAAGGTAACTAACTCCTTTAAGTGAGGTTATTAAGGTACTGGTCAGCCAAGGTAACAAGCATATCTAAGGGGTTCCTTCACCTTCAAGTGAGGAGTTTGGGATTTAGGATACTCAACTCATCGTAGTCTTCCCAAAACTCTTACTCTCAGAATACCACTCTTTCCTGACCAGCTTCTCTACTCTTGTTAAGACCCAACAAGATAGGGATTCCACCAGCTCACAGAATCCTAGGAAAAACATTCCCTAGGAAGTGGAATATTAATTGTAATAGCTTATATTTATATGAGACTTAGTACTACACAGTGCTATCTTTACATAGATTATATAATCCATAGCAGTTGTTACGATCATCCCCACTTCATAGAAAAAGAAACTCAAGCTAAACAAGATTAACTTACTCATCCAGTGCCACTCTAAAACTGGCTAGTAAAAGAGCCAGGATCCAATCCCAAGCCAACTTCAGAGGTCATACTTTAGCCACTTGGTAATCTTCCTTTATTGAAGAACATAAAGATGTATGTAAAATAGAAGATTACTTTAAAGTAATACTTATTTGGCCAAAGGCAATCCGGTAGAAACTTGTAGAACAGAATTAATTACAAAAGAATAGTTAACCGCTGCCCTATTATACATTTTCCATTTCTAAAACCTTTTAACCACTATACTTTATAATCTATCCCTATGTAGAAAACACTGTCTTTTAGCTTCATTCTCATTTTCTATGGCCAATATTGTCCCAGAGCTTAGTTTTAGATTAATAGAAAAATCACTGCAAACTCAACCTTTTGAAGATAAAAGGTAAAAACCCATTGAACTCCAGATCTCTCTCAATAATCAGTTACAACTTGAAAATCTCAATACATTTGGTGAGAATCTACTATCTGAAGTTAGTCCAAATCCGTAAAGATTTTGTTAAATACAGTAAGTCTTCACTTACCGTTGCTGATAGGCTCTTGGAGACCGTGACTTTAAACAAAATGACTTATAATGAAACCAACTTAACCATAGGATAATTGATATAAACAAGAGTTAAGTTCCTACACCATATTTCTGGTCACAAAAACATCACCAAACTTCTAAGTAGAGACCCCAAACACTTCTAATATTAAACATTGAAATACATGTGAGCCATGCATACATCTAAGAAAGATCAATAAAAACAATATAATTATTTACCCAAGTTTTGGTAAACCTGAGTGATAGCGATTGTAATGGTGGGGGGTTTAAATTGAGGAATAAATGTTTGCAAAGCAAAAATTTTAAGGAGCACCTCCTACCACTGCACAGTTCAAACACAATAACAAATATGGTGGGCTTGCTGAGCACTGTTGTACTGCATCTTTTTTTTTTTTTTTTTTTTTGTCAATACAGACACCTTTATGATTATCATTTACTTTACAAATTTTTATTTTACAAGAATTTGTGTTCATTTACTCATTTTCCAACCTGCTTATTCCAGTTCAGGGTAGCAGATGGCCAGAGCCTGTCCCAGCAGCTCAGGGCACAAGGCAGGAACCAGCCCTAGACAGGATGCCCATCCCTTGGCAGGGTGCACTCACACTTATTCACACTGGCACCATGTAGACACATCAGTGAACCCAATATGGGCATCTTTGGGATGTGGGAGGAAGTTGGAGCACCAGGAGAAAACCAATGTAGATGTGGGGAGAACAGGCAGACTCCACACAGACAGCGGCGCCACCAGGGACGTGATTATTTTTTGGTCATCAACATTATAACAAAACATTTTTTCAAGGACCTGCTGTACTTTCAAAGATAAAGCATTCATGTTTTACAGATAGAAAGAACCATAGACAACATCAACCCCTCCATCGGAGAAAACACTGCTAATGGGGTTAAGGAACTAAGATATTTGGCCAAGGTTACACCATATTTAGGTACAAAAATGAGACGAGTGCAAGTGTTTTATTTTCATCTAGTTTTGGTTTGGTTTTGCCAAAGCAATACATATACATTATTTAGCAAGTCAAATGAATTCTTAGGAGTGAAAGAGGTAAGCTAAGAATCTACTTATTATTTTAAAATAATATACCAAGCTGGGTGCGATGGCTCACGCCTATAATCCTAACACTTTGGGAGGCTGAGGCGGGTGGATTGCCTGACCTCAGGAGTTCGAGACCAGCCTGGGCAACACGGTGAAACCCCATCTCTACTAAAATACAAAAAATTAGCTGGACATGGCAGCATGCACCTGAAATCCCAGCTACATGGGAGGCTAAGGCAGGAGAATTGCTAGAACCTGGGAGACAGAGGTTTCAGTGAGCCAGGATCGGGCCACTGCACTCCAGCCTGGGCGACAGAACGAGACTCTGTATCTAAAAAAAAAATAATAATAATAATATACCAATAGTACCAATAGTATTCCTGTATTCCATTTTAGGCATTATCTATTAAATTCTAACTACAGAAGGCTGGGCACCGTGGCTCATGCCTGTAATCCCAGCACTTTGGGAGGCCAAGGCAGGTGGATTACCTGAGGTCAGGAGTTCGAGACCAGCCTGACCAACATGGTGAAACCCCGTCTCTACTAAAAATAGAAAAATTAGCCGGGCGTGATGGCACATGCCTGTAATCCCAGCTACTCAGGAGGCTGAGGCAGGAGAATCTCTTGAACCTGGGAGGCAGAGGTTGCAGTGAGCCGAGATTGTGCAATTGCACTCCAGCCTGGGTAATGAGCGAAACTCTGTCTCCAAAAATAAAAATAAAAAAATCCAACTACAGAAGATACAGATGATTTAATTTTCTTAAACAATTTTTGAGATATCTATTCTATGATTTCTGATCTTTTTGACAGAAAAGAGAGAGGGAATATGTGTGTGTGTGTGTGCTTTCTGGAGATTTTAGCATCTTTTTATCCTATATTATGCTTGATGTGCATCTTTAAAAAAAAATTATTTGTGCTAGGCATTCTCTGGGTTCTTTAGAAGTTCAAGTCCTGGCGGGGTGTGGTGCGTCACACCTGTAATCCCAGCACTTTGGGAGGCCGAGGCAGGCGGATCACGAGGTCAGGAGATCGAGACCATCCTGGCTAACACAGTGAAACCCTGTCTGTACTAAAAATAGAAAAAATTAGCCAGGTGTGGTGGCACGTGCCTGTAGTCCCAGCTACTTGGGATGCTGAGGCAGGAGAATCGCTTGAACCCAGGAGGCGGAGGTTGCAGTGAGCCAAGATTGTGCCACTGCACTCCAGCCTGGGTGACAGAGCAAGACTCCCTCTCAAAAAAAAAAAAAAAAGAAAAAGAAAAATTCAAGTCCTTCACTTCGGAGTCATTTTCTTACATTGTTTAATAATTTTCTTTCCTTCATTCCATCTTTCTCTTCCTGAAACTTTCAGATTTCAGACCTTCTGGGTAGATTAATTGTTTTTTTTTTTTACTCTATTTCCATCTTTTTATTACTTTTTTTTTTTTCATACAAAGTCTTGCTCTGTCTCCCAGGCTGGAGTGCAGTGGTGCAATCACGGCTCACCGCAGCCTTGATTTTCCGGGCTCAGGTGATCCTCCCACCTCAGCCTCCTGAGTAGCTGGGACCACAGGCATGAGTCACCACACTTGGCTAATTTTTAAATTTTTTGTAGAGATGAGGTCTCCCTATGTTGCCTAGGCTGGTCTTGAACTCCTGGGCTCAAGCAATCTTCCTGACTCTACGGCCTCCCAAAATGCTAGGATTATAGGGGTGAGCCACCACACCTGGCCTTTATTACTTAAGAGATACATTTCACATTACATTCTAGTACTTCTGTTAGGGTTATTTTGTATTTTTAAATTGATATAATTGTACATATTTTGGGGGTACATGGGATATTTTGATACATGTATATACAATGTGTAATCACCTCCCAGAGGCCCCTAACTCCAAATATTGTCACATTGGAGCTTAGATTTTTAACATACAAATTTGTGGGAACACAAACATTTAGTCCATGGCATTGCATTATCTCTTCTTTCATCTTTTCATCTTTCATTGTTTTTTTAAAAGTTTTTTTAATTAAACCCTTAGACAACATCTCCCAATCCCACTCTATGCCCAAACCCCTAGCCCCAGGCAACCACTATTCTTCTGATTCTATGAGTTTAACTGTTTTATATTTCACATGTAAGTGAGAACATGCAGTATTTGTTTATGTCTGGCCTATTTCACTTAGCATAATATTCTTCAGTTTCATCCATGTTGTCACAAATGACAGAATTCCCCTTTCAAAAGGCTGAATAGTGGTCTGTTGTATATATACACCACATTTTCTTAATCCAGTCATCCATCAGGGGACACTTATGTTGATTCCATATCTTGGTTATTGTGAATAATGCTGCAACAAACATGGGAGTGGCTGCAATAAACATGGGAGTGCGGATATCTCTTTGACAGAATGATTTCATTTCCTTTGGATAAATACCAAGAGTGAGGTTGCTGGATCATATAGTTTTGTTAGAGATAGGGTCTCGCTCTGTCATTCAGGCTGGGATGAAGGGGCACAATCATGATTCACTGTTACCTCGAACTTCTGGCCTCAAGCACCCCTCCTGCCTCCCAAAGTTCCGAGGTTACAGGCATGAGCCACCAAACTCAGCTTTATTGTTATTTTGTAGGGAACCTCCATATTGTTTTCCATAAGGGTTATACTAATTTACATTCCCACCAACAGTGTACAAGGGTTCCCTCTTCTCCATACCCTTGCCAATATGTATCTCCTGTCTTTTTGCACAATAGCCATTCTAACTAATGTGAGGTGATAATATCTCATTGTAATTTGCATTTCCCTGATGATTAGTAATACTCAGCATTTTTTCATATACCTATTGTCCACTTGTATGTATTCTTTTGAGAAATGTCTATCCAAGTCCTTTGCCCATTTTTTAATCAGATTGTTTTCTTGCTGTTGAGTTTTTTGAATTCCTTATATGTTTTGGATATTAACTCCTTATTAGATGTGTGGTTTGCAGATATTTTCTCCCATTCTTTAGGTTGTCTTTTCACTCTGTGGATTGTTTCCTTTGCTGTATCAGAAGCATTTTAGTTTGATGCAATCCCATTTGTCTATTTTCACTTTTGTTGCCTGTGCTTTTGAGGTCATATAAAAAAAAATCATTGCCCAGAGCAATGTCAAGAAACTTTTCCCTGTTTTATTTTTACTAGTTTTACAGTTTCAGGTAGTTCAGTTCAGTTTTATAGTTTCAGGTCTTAAGTCTTGAATCCACTTTGAGTTTTGTTTTTGTTCTTTAAGAGACAGGGGCTCACTTTGTCACCCAGCCTGTGTAGTGGTGCAATCATAATTCGCTGCAGCACGGAACTCCTGGCCTCAAGGGATCCTCCCAGCTCAGCCCCCTGAGTAGCTAAAACTATAGGTGTGCACCACCAAATATGGCTAAATTTTTTATTTTTTGTAGAGACAGGGTCTCACTATGTTGCCCAGGCTGGTCTTGAATTCCTACCTAGATTGCCTTGAAGACAGAAAAAATTGGAAGAAATATGGATGTTAAATGTGACTCTTGAGAGGGCTAAAAAGGAAGTGAGGTACATGTCATAGAAAGCTTTTTATCTTGGAGAATAAATATATTCTCATGAACAGAATGTTGGTAGAAATATGAACATTAATAAGTGCTTCTGGTGAGGTCTTTGATGAAGAACATAATAGTGGAAACTGGAGAAAAGGCAATCCTTGATATAAAGTGGCATAAAACTTGGCTAAATTAGTGGGGCATGATGGTGTGCACCTGTAGTCCCAGCTACTCAGAAGACTAAGGCAGGAGGATCACTTGAGCCCAGGAGTTTGAGGCTCTAACATGCCATGATCATGCCTGTGAATAGCTACTGCACAATAGTTATAGTTAAGAGGGACCATAGTGAGACCCTCTTAAAAAAACAAAACAACAACAACAAAAAAAAAACAAGGTGGGGTGCGGTGGCTTACGTCTGTAATCCCAGCACTTTGGGAGGCCAAGGCGGGCAGATTGCCTGAGCTCAGGAGTTCAAGACCAGCCTGGGCAACACGGTGAAACCCCGTCTCTACTAAAATACAAAAAATTAGCCAGGCGTGGCGATGTGCACCTGTAGTCCCAGCTACTTGGGAGGCAGAGGCAGGAGAATTGCTTGAACCCAGGAGGCGGAGGTTGCAGTGAGCTGAGATCACACCACTGCACTCTAGCCTGGGTGACAGAGCGAGACTCCGTCTCAAAACAAAACAAAACCAGAAAAACCCACTAAGTTATGTTTTACTGTTGGGTAAAAACGAACTTATAAGCTATGAACTTGGATATTTAACTGAGATTTTCAAGTAACAAGTGTTGAAGGCGCAGCCTGATTTCTCCTTGCTGCTTAGAGTAAAATGTGAGAGGAAAGAGATAAATTGAAGAGGTTATTAAGCAAAAAGCAACCAGCACTTGATGATTTTCAAGAGTCTCATCCTATCCTGATTGCAGAGGATGCTAAGTAACAAATCTACTGTTGGAAAGGCATGCTGTGGAAAGAGGGCCAAGGGACTGACTGGACAACCTGTTGCTGAAGAGATTAGGTGTGTGACTCATGGATGTAATCAACTGTCTTAGCAAAAGCCAGGAATAGAGATGGGGTTATCCAGGAAGGATCTGTCAAGAGATAGATAGGTCTATCTATCAAGACAAGATCTCTCTTGTCTAATGGCATGGACCTCCATGGGATGAGACATGGGAGATAGACAAGGATTTTGAGAATGTTATAGCAGCAGAAACATTGCTGGCTTAGAATAAAAAGAGACTGAGACTATACAAAATGAAAAAAGGTTGTTAGATTCTCAAAATTCTACAGGCAGGAACAGGCTGATAGGGCTACTCAATTGCAAACATGTGCTACCTTTTGAGAGAAAAAAAGAATGACTCCAAAACCAGAGGCACAGATGCAGAAGCAGAGGGCAGAGAGGTGACCCCTCTGGACAGCCAAAGGAGCCTCCATGGACCCAGAGTGTGGAACACTGATTCTGGAGAGCAGAGGATTAAGCTGCAGAGGGTAATTCTCAAGCTTTCAAACCTAATGGGATTTTCTCTGCTGGGTTTTGAACTTGTTTAGGATCTGTGATACCTTTATTCATTCCTCCTTCTCCCTTTTGGAATGGGATTGGCTATCCAGTGCTTGTCCCACCATTGTATTTAGGGAGCAGATAGTTGGTTTTCTAGTCCACAGGTCTACAGCTAGAAAGGAATTATGCCCTAGGATGGATCATACCCAGAGTATCACCCATACCTGATTTAGATAAGATTTGGGACTTTTTGAGTTAAAAATATTTACAAGAGGTATTAGATGTACAGGTTGATGCTGGAATAGGTTGATTCAGGGGGATGTTGGATTGAAGTAAGGTATTTTGCATGTGGGACAGACCTGAATTTTGAGGGATCTGAGAGTGTACTATAATGAATTGAATAGTGGCCCTCAAAAGACATGTCTACCCAGACTTCAGAATGTGACCTTATTTGGAATAAGGGTCTTTGCAAATGTAATTAAGGATCTTGAGATGAAATCATCCTGGATTAAGGTGGGTCTTAAATCCTAAATGACAGGTGTCCTTAGACAGAAAAGAAGACATAGACACAGAGGGGAAGGCCATGTGAAGATGGAGGCAAAGTCTGGGCATGGTGGCTCATGCCTGTAATCCCAGCACTTTGGGAGGCTGAGGCTGGTGGATCGCCTGAGGTCAGGAGTTTGAGACCAGCCTGGCCAACATGGTGAAACCCCATCTCTACTAAAAGTACAAAAAATTAGTTGGGCATGGTGGTACATGCCTGTAGTCTCAACTACTCAGGAGGCCGAGGCAGGAGAATCGCTTGAACCTGGGAGGCAGAGGCCGCAGTGAGCTGAGATTATGCCACTGCACTCCAGCCTGAGTGATAGAACAACACTCCACCTAAAAAAAAAAAAAAAAACAAAAAAGATGGAGGCAAAGACTGGAGTGATGCATCCAAAAGTTAAGGAATGCCAAAAATTGCCAGCAGCCACAAGAAGCTAGGACACTATAATGGAATGGATTCTCTCTCACAGCTTCCAGAAGAAATCAACCCTACTGACACCTCGATTTCAGATTTCTGGCCTTCAGAACTGTGAGAATAACTTTAAGCCACCAAGTTTGGAATAATTTATGAAAACCTTAGAAAATTAAGATAGGATGTAAACATTCATCCATTAAGTATGAAATTAGCTGGTTTTTTCTTAAATGTCCCTTTTTAAATATGTTTCCTTTTATTCCTATACTGTTGAGTTTTTTTTTAATCATAAAAGGCTGAAGTTTTTTTTCAAATGCTTTTTCTGGATCTGTAATGGATGATTATGTCAGTTTTGTACTTTATTGGTAGATTACATCAGTTGACTTGTTTGTTGAACCAACCTTGCATTCCTGGGCTAAAAGCTACTTTCTTTTTTTTACTTGTATATTTACAAAGAAGTCTTTTTTTTAAAAAAAATTTATAAGTGATATTTTAAAATTTCAGTGTCCATGTGTTAATCACTAATATATAGAAATATTATTTTTTCCTATGTTTATCTAGTATCTTTCAACCTTGCTGAATTTACTTATTAGTTCTAAAAGTGTTTCTACAAATTTCTGAAGATTTTATATGTAGACAATCATGCCATCTGCAAATAGGGATAGTTTCAGCTTTTCCTTTTTGATCTGTATGCATTTTTTTTCTTTCTTCTCTTGTTTAGAATTTCCATGTTGAATAAGTAATGAGAGCATACTTGTTCACAATCACAGGGAGAACTGAAGTGTTTCACAATTAAATGTTAGCTATAGAATTTTTTTTGTAGATGCTGCTTGTCAAGTTGAAGTTGCCCTCTATTCCTAATGTTCTGAAAGTTGTTTTTTTGTTTGTTTTTATTGAGACAGGGTCTCACTATGTCACCCAGGCTGAAGTGCAGTGGTGCAATCAGGGTTCACTGCAGCCTCAACCTCCTAGTCTTGGGTGATCCTCCCACCTCAGCCTCTCAAGCAGCTGAGACTGACTAGAGGTGCGTGCCACCACACCCAGCTGGTTTTTGTAGAGACAGGGTTTCCCCATGTTGCCCAGGCTGGTCAAACTCCTGGGCTTGAGCAATCCACCCGCCTGGGCCTCCCAAAGTGCTGGGATTACAGGCATGAGCCACCATGCCAGGCCTCTGAGAGTTTTATAAACCGTGACTGGGTGTTGAATTTCATCAGCTGCTTTTTCTGCATCAATTGATTTGTGATTTTGTTTTTTAGCCTCTTAATATGGTAGATTAATTGAATTTTGAATACTGAAACTGCCTTGCATCTGGAATAAACTCCAAGTCATAATATATAATTCTTTGTATATATTATTGAATTCTACTCACCAATTTTTTTTGGATTTTTAGTCTATATTCATCAAAAATGCAGATCTGTGATTTTCTTAACTGTCTGGTTTTGGTTTAGGGCAATAATAACTTCATGAAATAAATTGGTTAGTGTTCCCTCCTCCCCTATATTTTGAAAGAGATTGTGTAGAATTGGCATTAATTCCTCTTTAAACGTTTGGCAGAATTCTCCAGTGAAATCATTGGAGCTTGAAGGTTTCTTTGAGGAGTTACTAATTTGTGAATTCAATTTCCTTAATACTAGAGGGCTATGTAAATTACCTTTTTAATATCAGGTGTGTTGTGTTAGCTTATGTTTTTGCTTTTTTTTTGAGACGGAGTCTCGCTCTGTCACGCAGGCTGGAGTGCAGTGGCGAGATCTCAGCTTACTGCAAGCTCCACCTCCCGGGTTCATGCCATTCTCCTGCCTCAGCCTCCCGAGTAGCTGGGACTACAGGCACCCGCCAACACGCCCGGCTAATGTTTTTGTATTTTTATTGGAGACAGAGTTTCACCATGTTAGCCAGGATGGTCTCAATCTCCTGACCTCGTGATCCACCTGCCTCAGCCTCCCAAAGTGCTGGGATTACAGGAGTGAGCCACCGTGCCCAGCCTCAGCTGGGTCATGTTTTTGAACTAAACTCCCAATCTTTTAATTGGTATATTTAGACTATTTACATTTCATGTAATTATTGATATATTAGGGCTTAAGTGGGCTTTTATTGGTTTTGTACTTGCATTTTTTTTCATTTTCTGCCTGTGTTACTTGAACATTTTTCAGAATTATACTTTTAGAGTGTATCTCTCTGTAAACACTATAAAACCACTTTTAGTGGTTGCTCTATTATATAAAAATAACTTTTCAGTCTACTGATTTTACCAATTCAAGTGAAGTATAGAAAACCTACCTCCCTTTAACTATTCCTGTTTATAATCATTAAATATTAACTCTACATACCTTTTGAGCCACATCAATGGCATAACTTTTACTTCAGCCATCAAGCAACATTTAGATAACTTAGGAGGAGGGTGTATTCAACTTAGTCATTTTTTTTTTCTCATTGCGTCCTTTCTCCCTATATCATGTTCCAGAGTTCCTTCTATTATCATGTCCTTCCTGTTTATAGAATTTCCTTTAGCCATTCTTTTTTGGGCAGGTCTGCCGGCAGCAAATTCTTCCCCCTTCATTACTGAAGGATACTTTTGCTAAGGTACCTGGATTAGCAGTTATCTTTCAGCACCTGGAAAATATTCTGCAACTTCTTTCTAGCCTCCATGCTTTCAGAATGAGAAGAAAGTATCTGTTGTTTAAGCTGTCTGGTCTATACCTTGTTATAGCAGCCTGAGCTAACACATTTATACTGTCTTTTATATTTTAACTATTCAGTTACCTTTTCCAGTGCTATTGCTTTGTGTGGATTCATGTTACTATCTAATCTTTCATTTCAGCCTAAAGAACTCCCGTTAGTATTTCTTGTGGTTAAGGTTTGCTAGTGATAGTCTTTGTTTTTGTTTATATGGGCATGTCTTACTAATTTCTCCGTTTTTGTGGAATAATTTTACTGATACAGATTTCTTGGCTATTTTTTTCTTTCAGTACTTGGGAATGTCATTCACTGCATCCTGGCCTCTGTGATAGCTTATTGTGAGAAGTGAGCTGTTAATCTTATTTAGGACCCCTTGTTTATGAATTGATTTTCTCATACTGTTCATAGTACTCTTAGTTTTGTGGATCTCTTTGAATTTATATGGTAGTTCGTTGAGCTTTTTAAATGTGCAGGTAATGTTTTTCATCAAATTTTTAAAGCTTTTGGCAATTATTTCTTCAAATATACACTTTCTGCCCCTTTCCCTCCTCTCCTTCTGGAACTCCAATTCTGGGTGCTAGTACAATTGATGGTGTCCTACATGTCTCTGAGGTTCCACTCTTTTTCACTCGTTTTTTAGACAGGATATTCTCAATTGGCCTGTCTTCGAGTTGATTATTTCTTCTACCAGTTCAAATCCACTGTTGAGACTCTAGTGAATTTTAAATTATGATTCTTTTATCTTTCAATCCACATTTCCATTTGGTTTGTTCGTAATTTATTGATATTTATTTGGTGAGACATTCCTCTCATATTTAGTTCAGACATGGTTTTTAGTTCTCTGAACATGTTTTTAAAAGCTGACAAAGTATTTGTCTAATTAGTCCAACATCTGGACTTCCTCACAGACACTTCTGTTTCTTTATAGGTCTTGTAATTTTCTGTTGAAAACTAGGCTTTTAAAATAGTCCCCCCTTTATCCTTGAGGGTATGTTCTAAGATCCCCCCACCCCGCCGTGGATCCTTGAATCCACAGGCTGTACCAAACCCTGTACTTCTTTTTTTCTACACCTACATATATGGTAAAGTTTATAAATTAGGCATGGTAAGAGATCAACAACTAATAATATACAATCATAATATACTGTTCACAATTTCATGAGATCTGTCTCAACTTTGACATAGAAAAAAGCTTTGTTCTTGTCATAGATCTTAGCAAATTCAGCATAATTTATGTTTTCTTTCCTTATTAAGTCAAGAACTCTTACCTTTTCACTTAAAGGAAGCAGTTTATGGCTTCTCTTTGGTATATCCAAATTGCCAACATCACTACCCTTGCAATGTGGGGCCATTAAGTAAAATGAACACAAACACTGCAATACCATGACAATCAATCTGGGAACCGTTAACAGGTACTAAGTGACTAATGAACGAGTAGCATATACAGCAAAGATATGCTGGACACGGGGATAATTCATGTCCCAAGTGGAACGGCACAAGATTTCCTCAGGCTACTCAGAACGGTGTACAGTTTAAAACTTATGAGTTATTTCCGGGATTTTCCATTTAGTATTTTCAGAGTGCAGTTGACCATGGGTAACAAACCACGAAGGCAAAACTGGATAATGGGGGAAGACTATAATACAATGTGGCAACTCTGGAAATGAGAATCCCTTTAGGTCCCCAGGGTTTGTTGTGTTTGCTGTTTAGTGGCCTTCTTTTGACTAACTCTGTAATGTTTGCATTCTCTGCTGTGACCACTGAAGTCTGCTTCATTAGCTTAGTGGTCAGCTAATAACTAGACAGATTTCCTTAAATGCTTTGAACCAGTAAGTCTCTGTCTTGCTAAAGTGCTCTGTCTGGGATATGCCTTCAAAACTCCAGCATGTAGTTTACAACTGTGGCTTACCTTTCACTTCCTGCTGGCACAGAGCCTCAGGGTCTGCTACAGGTGAGGTTAGTGCCTTATATTTTTTTCTTGGGCATGCCAACAGTCTTGCACAAATGTGTGGCCTTCGAGATTCCCAGGAACATAATGGAACTTTTCAAAGCCCTCTACATTTCCTACTTTTTAGTCAGCTGCTTTTTAGGCCCACATGCCTCAGGCAACTGCTGTGTTAAACAACGGCAGGAACGATTTTTTACAAACACCATGAAGATAGAGCTTTTTAAGCAAAGTGAGCTGAGTCCAGTCAAAGACACGCTCAGAGAAAAAGAGCTTTTCAGTGAGGTTCCAGAAAGGCCAAGAGTGATAATTCACTGGAGTGTGATTTTTGGGGAGTTTTGAGGCTATTTTGGGGGAAACTTAAACTTTTCTGAATAGAAATGGGAATTTAAGAGATGCCTTTTCTCACTTGGCATTTCAGTTACTTCACATTTAGTTATCCAAATCAGAATCCTGAGCCTTTGTCTTCTCAAATGTACACAAAGGAAATACTGTCTTCCTAAGGTTCAAAGGGTTAGAAATGATATAATGCAAAATTTATTACAAAGCTAAAGTAATCAAAATAGTGTAGTACTGGCATAAGGACAAACATATAGACCAATGGAATACAACATCCAGAAATAAACCCTCACATATGATTTAGAACAAGAGCACCAAGATCATTCAGTGGAGAAAAGGCTAAGAAAACTGGATATCCAAATACAAATGAACAAAGCTGGACACTGACCTTTCACCATATACAAAACTCACAATGGATCAAAGACTAAGAGCTAAAACTATAAAACTCTTAAAAGAGGAAAATCTTCATGACATTGGGTTTGGCAATCTTCTTGAATATGACACCAATAGCATAGCCAAAAGAAAAAAGACAGATACACTAGACTTCACCAAAATAAAAAAAATTCTGTACATCAAAGGACACTATCAAGGGAATCAAAAGAAAACCCAAAGAATGGGAGAAAATATTTGCAAATCATGTATCTGATAATGGATTACTAACTAGAATAAAGAATGCCCACAACTCAACAATAACAGAACCCAGTCAAAAATGGGTGAAGGACTTGAATACACATACACATTTCTCCACAGAAAATACACAAATGGCCAGCAAGTACAGAAAAAGATGCTCAGCATCACAAGCTGTTAGGGAAATGCAAATTAAAACCACAATGAAAGGAGACATCCAGTAAGACAGCTATCATAAGGATACCCATTAATATAGTTATTTTAAAAAGAAGAAAAGAAAATAACAAGTGTTACAGAGGATACGGAAAAGCCAGAACGCTTGTTCATTGGTGGCAGGAATGTAAAATAATGAAGCTGCTATGGAAAACAGTTTGGAGTCCCTCAAAAAATTAAACATAGAATTATCATATGATGCAGTAATTCTATTCCTTCATATATACCCAAAATAACAGAAGGCAGAACTCAATTATATACTTCTATAATAATGTTCACTGCAGTATTATTCACAATACCAAAAGTCTCCATCAACAGATGAATGGATAAACAAAATGTGGCACATACATACAATATTATTCAGCCATAAATAGGAATGAAATTCTGATATATGCTATCACATGAACCTTGAAAATAATGTGTGATTCCACAGGTGCCATGAGGCACCTAAAATAGACAAATTCAAAAAGAGAAAGTAGAATAGAGGTTGCTAGGGGTTAAGAAGAAGAGAAATGCATTACTTTAATTGCACACAGAGTTTCTGTTTGGGGTGATGAAAAAGTTTTACAAGTAGACAGCGGTGATCATTACACAACATTGTGAATGTACCTAACCCCACTGAATTACATGCCTTAAAATGGTTAAAACTGTAAATGTGGCTATGTATATGTTACCATAAAAAAATTTAGAACTAAGTACCCAAAGCCTTCACACCACTTGTGGTGAGCCTTTTCTTCCTCAGTTGAGATAGTGATAAAAGAAATTACTTAGGTAATACTTTTTGAAACCCTGGTTGGTAGTGATGGCCAATAGCATCGCCTCTCCCCGTACCCCAAAACACACATCCACACACACACAAAATACACTCAATACCCTATCAAATACCTAGAATTATATTTCACAAAGGATTACACAACCAATAATTTCACTAATGATGCAGTTTATATCCTCCCATACTGACAGATAAAAACACATACATTCTCTAAGCACAAAGCTTATAGTCACAAATAACTCTCTGCTTAAAGACAAAATTTCAATTAATCACAATGGGAATTTAGTTATTTAATGCAACTACTAATCTAATGTCATCAACAAAATCTAAGCAGTTTTATCACAAAACCAGGGTTATATTCAGTGGGCATGCATTAATAATCTATACAACTTTAACATTACACCAGAAAAGGAATTGAATATATAAAAGTTCCCTTGATTTTTGGTGGTTTTCAAATTTCATGGCACAGATTACAAAAAAAAAAAAAAAAAAAAAACCCTGTAAAAACAGATTTTAAATATTTTCCATAAAATGGTAAAAAATTGAATATATACCTTTAAGTTTTCATACCGGGCTGAAGATTTAAAACATCAAGCTGGCCCCAATCTGTCAAAACTGACAGATAAATATTTACAATGACTAGACAGACTTTAGTTACAAAGGTACTGGAGGTCTACACCCTATTGAAAACCCTTTAGGGTTAATTTCTCAATGCAAACATGTCTTTTTAAATACTGTGATATATAAAGTTGGAAATATACCTAGAGTCTGGAGAGAGATGAAATATAACACCCAAGTCAATCTTATTTCTGATCTGTCAACAAAGCTTTCTGGCTCCCAAACACCCAATATTGTTCCTCAATATAAAAATTAAGAACAGTAGAATGACTTTACCCTACTGGCTGACGTTTTTCTACAGAATTATCTTTCACTACATATTAAAGCAGGGCTCAAGCTCTATTAACCTTCTACAGAGTGTAATTAAAAGAGCGCCAAATTTATAAACTGATGTGGCAACCCAAAATGATATAATTTTCCAATGGAAACAAACTTTTTTCCATTGTTCTGTGTGCCATGTTATTCTTGAAACTTATGTGGCTACAAATAAGAAAAAAATTAGGGAAGCTTTGAACATATCTTGTACTTTTCATCAAGGCTAAAGTGCAAAATATCTCCATTATCTCTGGTATTTTAATGGGGAAAAACATCACATATAATACAGGAAATGAAGTGACAGCAGAACTAATACAAAAAAAAGCACTCTCAAACGTATACTTGAAGACTATATTTTACTACCAATTTAATTTTTCTTTCTTCAGCAGAATATGTCAATGAACCAAGTTCTCATAGAACTTAAGATTTTGTTTGATTCTTCCCAGGACCAGAAATTCCAAAATTACAGGGAAAAAGAATGGAAAAAAAAAAACATTGCATGACAATGGACACTAAGTTCATAAAGAACTTCTTTTTAAAATGAGATATTATGGAAGAAAATACCATGAAAAGAATAATCCTATGAGAATTGTTTTTAAGGACAGTAAATTTGAGCCTTGGGTCTTCATGAAGATACTACAGTTTATATAGAAAACTATAAATATACAAGACTCCGGGGGAAAAAAAAAGTCAGAATACATAATATTTAACATTCTGTATGACTAAAAATCTTTTGAGGGGAGCAGGAAAAGGACAGCCAACTGAATCTTATAAGAATACAGAAACTATGAAAAATTCCTGGGTCAAAATGGTGCTCCAAGTGGAAACACACTTTGTGGGGAAAAAAAAAAACACAAGAAACTTCAGATATATTTTTTTAAAGGAAAGAAAAAAATACTGAATAATTGCAGTCCCTTCCAAAAAGGAAATCTTAAATAAAGGGGAAAAGATTTGAATAGCGTAAACTAGTCTGGCTCAGAAAGAAAATTGAACAACATATCCAAGATCTGTCCATAAAAGTAATGCCAGTACATCTTTAATATTAAAGAAATAGGCTATAAAAAAGTTCAGTCTCAGAATTGGTTTTTAAAGGCTCATTTGTGCTCCTTTGTAGGTGCGTAATAAAGTTCCATGGGTTTGTTCACTTTCCAGTATTTCTCACTGACCAATTCCAAAGAAAAAGAGCCATTTAATACCTAAAACAAAAAAGAAAGAAAAAATTATGAAAACTGCACAAACCACAATAATAATGAAATGAAACTAAAATGGAAGTCCACAGAATCTTTTTTTTTCAAATCTTAGGAATAACTACTTGTCACTTAACACTGTTACGGTTTTTTACATTATTTATTAGATTCTACCCCACCACTTGCCACTCAGTTAGTTGGTCAGTGTGCTCCCAGTTTCAACAGTCTATTATTTTAAATACTCACAGTGAACTGGCCACTGGCTGTTGCTATATAAATGGTATACTGCTTCTCACTGGCTGTATCAAGGTTCATCTGGTTTGATTCACCTTTGCTTCGAAGTTCTTCTAAAGCTAACCTCACAGCCAGATACTTGGATAAGTGATCAACAGTGGCGTTACCAGAAGTCTTTATGTATCTAGAAGAATAAATCATTAAAAATTTCATTTCTAGAATATGCCAATGAGAAAAATGTACTTAAATTATGGAACTAATACATTTCTTAAAAACTAAGTAAAATGGCAATGTCTCAATTATTGACAAAATAATATCAGAAATTTACTGCTCTACAATCTAAATTTCTTATTGATAGGTACAGAAGAGGGGAAAGTAAATACTCAATATCTTACTGTCAGGTCACAAAAGCTTTACCTACCTTACCTTCTATAAAATGAGATACACAGTGACAAAAATCAAACAGAAATACACAAAGTACTAAGGGGAAAAAAAGGAACATACCCCCCAAACCCTAATGACCAGAATCTGCTGGCTATAGCAGCAACAGAAACAGAATAGAAGCAAATTTCTTATTGTCTAAGAATTAAAATGTCTTTTAAGACTAACCATAGAAATGTTCATTTGGGCCGGGTGTGGTGGCTCACGCCTGTAATCCCAACATTTTGGGAGGCTGAGGCAGGTGGATCACTTGAGGTCAGGAGTTCGAGACCAGCCTGGCCAACATGGTGAAACCCCATTTCTACTAAAAATACAAAAATTAGCCAGGTGTTGTGGTGAGTGTAATCCCAGCTACTTGGGAGGCTGAGGCAGGAGAATCGCTTGAACTCGGGAGGCAAAGGTTGCAGTCAGCCAAGATTGTGCCACTGTACTCCAGCCTGGGAGACAGAGCAAGACTCCCATCTCAAAAAAAAAAAAAAAAAGAGGCCGGGCACAGTGGCTTGGGCCTATAATCCCAGCACTTTGGGAGGCCAAGGCAGGCGGATCACGAGGTCAAGAGATCGAGACCATCCTGGCCAACATGGTGAAACCCTGTCCCTACTAAAAATACAAAAATTAGCTGGGCTTGGTGGCATGAGCCTGTAGTCCCAGCTACTCGGGAGGCTGAGGCAGGAGAATCGCTTGAACCCAGGAGGCGGAGGCTGCAGTGAGCCGAGATCGCGCCACTGCACTCCAGCCTGGCGACAGAGCAAGGCTCCATCTCAAAAAAAAAAAAAGTTAATTTGAGGATTTTTAAAACATAATATATCATTAAATCCCTCATTCAATAAATATTTGATGCTTATCTGTACTCAACAGCAAGCAGTGTGCTGGAGATACAGTGGTAACGTAGCCATTCTTGCCAGCATGAGTTTTAGAGCCTATTGGTACTCTAGTATCATTGCTGAGAAATTTGAATAGGCCCCTTTACCTTCTCTACCAAGGAGAGTCATTCCTTTCAGATGTGCAATTTTGGGTGGAAAGCACATGAGGGAGGAAGGAAGAAAACAACAATCTAGGCAGCTAGTAACTGAACCCCTGCAATCAATGGGATGACAAATATTGCTCCTACTTCTTATACAAGACTGCCTTTTACCTCCAAATTAAACATTCTGAATTTAGATAATCTGAAACTAATCCACACACTTACCTCGTCTGTGCACTGTCATCTTTTTCCATAAGTGTGGGATGAGGCCTGAATACTAATTCAATTTCACTAGCACCATCCATTACTGGATCAATTGCCATTGCTGCATTGTTATTATCAAGCTCTAGCCCAGAATCATCAGATGTTTTGGTCCGTTTGTTACTAGGGCCTGCTTCCTGATTGCTATGTGTGGATGCATTACTGCAGTGTGAACTGTCACCATTATCTTCTGCTCCACTACCATTTTCAATCTGTTGTTTCTTGCCTCGCTGCAGTCTAGTCAAGGGGGAAAAAAGGATGCATAAAATTTACTTTTAGGCCTTTAAAGCAACAAATCTGAAGCATGTTTGCTACTGAACTTTAGAATTCCAAAAAATACTGGTAACTGAATTTACTCTGAGTTGGATGATATTGTTTCCCACATGTTCCTGAAAGGTCTAAAAAATCTCTCTTGCTCACAGGCAAACATTTAAATAATTTAACGAATGTTTCTATTCACTTAATAATTTTACTGGCCAGGCACGGTGGTTCACACCTGTAAACCCAACACATTGAGAGGCCAAGATGGGAGGAGCTTGAGGCCAGGAATTTGAGACCAGCTTGGGCAACAAAGTGAGACCCTGTCTCTACCAACAACAAAAAATTTTAATTAGCTGGGCGTGGTGGTGCACCTATCATCTCAGCTACTCAGGAGGCTGAGACAGGAGGATGGCTTGAGCCCAGGAGTTGAAGGGCGCAGTAAACTAGGATGGCTCCACTGTACTCTGGCCTGGGCCAGAGTAAGACGCTATCTCTTAAAAATAATTTTCTTTATTAAACAAAAGACTATAAGAATTAATTGACAAATCTTTATATTCTGATCATTTTCTCTCATGGGGTTACAGGTCTGAAGAAAGGCATGATTCAAATATGAAAATGTAAAAGTTCTTAGGGAAGATATTTATGCCTCTTTAAAGAAATTCTTAAGGAAACAAAAGTTAAGAAGAATAGTAAGTACTTCCTCCCTGCTGACCTTCCGCCAAGTCAGCTAAGGCGATACAAAATGACTGAGGAAAATGCGATGGTATCTAAATAACCAACGTGGACACAGAAGCTGCTCTCTAACAAGCTCAGATACTAAAGCTAATTACCGGGCAAGGCACTTTATACATACAATCTTGTTTACTCTTCAAAATAACCTGTCAAGGCAGTTACCATTAATGTCATTTTCTAGTTGAGAAAAGCAAAGAAAACTCAGGTACAAGATTAAATAATTTGCCTCCAGTTATACAGCTAATAAGTGCCAGAACTAGAGCTAGGATGTGAACCAGACCACATTCTTCCTACCACACTGCCTGTCTCCCTACCTGTATAGATAAGAAAAAAGGAATATATAATGAAAAAGAAATATGAAAGAATGCCTTGCACTTGTAAGAATATTGTCATTATGTTTACTGCCAGAACAAAGAAATAACAGTCCAATGGTTAGGAAAGATGCTCAAGAACTCATGCTTTAAAAAAAAAAAAAAAAAAATCCTGCTTATAAAATTCATAGATCATTGCAAAACCAAGAGAGTATGACTAGTATGTTAAATAACAAACTATGATTCAAAAATACATAAGCACACACAATGGATTATTCAGTCCTAAAAAGGAAGGAAATCCTGCCACATACAACATGAATAGACATGCTGAGGTCATTTAAGTAATATAAACCAGGCACAAAAGTACAAATACGTAACTTGGTGGCCTACAGTCAAGTAAAAAGAGAAATAAATAACAGTAAATAACAACAACAAAAAAAAAACCCCAAAAGTACAAATACAGCACGATTTCACTTATGTGAGGTATCTAAAGAAGTCAAATTCATAAAACAAAGTAGAATGACAGTTACCGGGAACTGGGGGGAGGGAGAAATGAGGAGTTAGTGCTTAATGGATACAGGGTTTCAATTTTATAAGATGAAAAGAGTTCTGTAGATTGGCTGCACAACATTGTGAGTGTTCAGCTTTGAGGAGCCAATCGTTTAAAAGAAAAAAAAGAATGTACTTAACACTACTGAACTCTACACTTACAAATGGTTAAGATGGAAAATTCTGTTATATGTCTTTTACCACAATTTTTGAAAAAAAGGTATGAACGGGCTAAAATAATGGGACAAAAAATTGATAGCACAACATAAAGACTAAAATATATTCTAAAATCCACAACTAAAGCAAATGAAAAGTTATTTGACCATAAATTACAGTGACCTAACAGGTTTATTAAGACTCAATATATTTATTTTTATCCCACACCTTTCCAAAAAAGGATTGATGTGACAGAGCTATATTAATGTAACTGCAGGCAGCGTTTAAAGAATATGTTCATATAAAGAACATTAAGTCTATTATATCCTACATTTATCAAATCACGTCTATAATACTACATACTGTCCTGATGGTAGCATTTTAAGAATGACACCAATCTTGAGTGTCATATGAGGAACAAAAAAGAAATGAGGAATGTGAATATTAAGCCTTTAGAGGGACATATACGAACATATACCTACATAAAAATATTTGTAAACACAGAAGTAGAATCTGAAATGTATGTAGAAGTCAACATAAGTATTTCAACATAAGACAAACCCAGACTGCTGCACACAAGAGACTAATTTTAATTCAATATAAAGGAAGAACTTAAAAATTCACACATAGATAAATATTTACTGAGCAGCTACTACTTTAAGCCAAGCATGGTTCTAAATAATGGTGTTAATAAGAATCAATGATACTGACATAGTCTCTTCCCTCTTAGGGGTCATAATTCTAGTGTAGCAGGTAACACATGAGAGAGTGATACGTGCTATGGGAAAAAAATGAGGCAGGGAGGGTAAGGAATTACAGAGTCCTAGAATGGAAGATGAGAACTTAAGCAGATACCTGCTAAGAAAGTGAGGTAGTGTGCCATGTGGATTATTTGGAAGAAGGTTCCTGAAATAGAGTAGTGTAAGTACAAAGGCTCTGAGGCAGAAGCATGCTTGGTGAGTCTGAAGAACAGTAAGGAAGCTGTAATAAAGTTGCCAACAAAAGAAAGGAGTGCCTATCATACAGCCCCACCACTAGAAATGTACAAGCAAAACCAAAAGAATATTTACAAGGAGAGTCTTGCTTTTAGTAAAAGGCTAAACTGAACAACCATTAAAGTCCTTCCAACGCTTAGGAATGTAAAATTCTTCTAAAAATAAATACATTTAACATTTAGTACATTATACTTTGGTAAACAGAGTGGTAGGTCAGTTTAATACTGTTAGAATGGAGCACATCTTTTAACCTTTAAGCCAGTGGTTTTTGATCTTGACTACACTCCAGAATTATCTATGGAAACTTAAAAGCAGAAATGCCTGGATGCTGATTACTGGGACCGGGATGATGCCTAAAGCCATGAGATTTGAAAGTTTTCTGAGTGAGTCTGATGTTCAGCCAAGGTGAAAACCACTAGACTGAGATGGACTTTACTATTATCTCCTTCTATGGAAAATAATGATTCTCCTTGAGGCCTGAATAAATCAGACGATAATGTCAGAGAGGAAAAGAAGATGAGGGTAAGGAAAATGCCCACCTTATATAGGGTCTTAAAAACCATCATTAAAGTCTTTTAGTTTTTAGCCTGAATGTGAATAGAAGCTATTAGAGGGCTCTGAGCAAAGGAAAACCATGATCTTCCTTTCAATTTAACAGTATCTCTGGCTGCTGTGCTGAGAATAGACTATGTGGGAGTAAGCATGGGAAGTAGAAAAACCAGTTGGGAACTTACTTCAATACATCAAATGAAAGATTGTTGTGGCCTGAATGAATCTGGATATACTATGGAGAAAGCAAAAAATATTTGTTTATTTACGGACTGGAATACAGGATGTGTAAAAGAGATTTAAAAGCGACTCCAAGGCCAGGTGTGGTGGATCACACCTGTAATCTCAGCACTTTGGGAGGCCGAGGCAGGCAGATCACAAGGTCAGGAGTTGAGACCAGCCTCGCCAATATGGTGAAACCCCATCTCTACTAAAAAATACAAAAATTAGCTGGGCATGGTGGCGTGCACCTGTACTCCCAGCTACTCAAGACGCTAAAGCAGGAGAATCGCTGGAAACCCAGGAGGCAGAGGTTGCAGTGAGCCAAGATGGTGCCACTGCACTCTGGCCTGGGTGACACAGCAAGACTCCATCTCAAAAAATAAAAAAAATAAAAAAAAAAAACTGACTCCAAAGTTTTTGGCTTAAGCAAGTAGAATGATGGAATTGCCATCAACCAAAATGAGTAAGAATGAAGAGAAGTAGGGAGTAAGTTCAGTATTCATCATGTTAAGTTTGAGATGAGTATTAGATACCCATATGGAGAAATGTCTAAAATTCAGGTAAGTCCGGGCTGGATATATAAATTTGGGAGTCATCAGCATACAGATGGTAAATAAAACTATGAAACTGAGTAAGATAATTTGGAGACAGATTTTGTATTGAAAAGAGAAACAAACACTGGTCTCTGGGACACGCCATATTTCACAGTTGGGGAAATTGAAATAAAAAGTACAAAAGAAACAAGTAAAGGAACAGTTAATGACATACAAAGGGAACCAAGAGACTATGGCCTCCTGAAAGCCAGGTGAAGAAAATTATTCAAAGAGAAGGGAGAAATTAATTGTGTCAAATGCTGCTAAGTAACGCGAGGTCTGAGAATCAGCCATTAGATGGCACAATGAAGAGATCACTAATAACATTGATAAGAGCAATATGATGGGGTGGTGAGGATGAATGTCTGATTGGAGGGGGTTCATAAAAGAATAGGAAAAGAATTGGAGTTACAACTCTTTCAAGGAATTTTGCTATAAAGAGAAGAAATAGAATAAGTTGAGAAAAAAGTAAGTAAAACAGAGATTCTAGTATTTTAAATGAAATACCCTATTATGCCTGGAGGCATGTATTATACCTGCACGAAAGGTAATCATGCAGTACTACTATTTGTTACTGTATTTTACCTTTTTCAAAAAGTAAATTTAATTGTTAATAAAGTATTCAGAAAAACAGCTACCCTCTCTGACCCTCTTTCCCATATACCTGTTCATGGCCTGTATCTTCAGTCCTTCCTCAATGCTGTGACTGAGTGCTTGCTGATTATTGTGCTTGTTGATCCTGGCTAATACTCTCTCTTGATGAGCTTCATACTCATCACGACTTGGATAAATTTTGCTGATGAGTGCATCAAAGTTTGGGTCTGGCCTTAGTGATCTTTTGGAAACTAGTTTTTTCCGACAGGTAGGACATTCTTTGTTGCTAAATAAAAGGAGGGGAAAGCAAATGTAAACAATGCTAGTATCTTTGGGCTAAAGACAAAAATACCCAGCTTCTGGATAGTTATTCACCTTTATTCCAATACCTTTAATAAGTCACAGAAATGTAAACCAATTATCCTGAATTTCCTTGAAAATCTGACTAGTGGGTAAGCAAGATTTTGGAAACCTCAAACCCTCTATACCACTCGTCGAAAGAAAAAATTTGAGTATTTCCCAAGATAATTTATATATAACCATCTTAGAAATAAAAATCTATTTTTTCTAATTTAAATTTCCCCTTTCCGATATCCATGCTTTGCAAGGAAAAAATACCCACTAATATATATATGTTAATTTATATGTAATAAATTATTTTACTGAAATAATACTTTCATATGGATATTATTTTATATACTTAAGTGGAAAAATCGTGGTTTTATGCGTTGTAATTTCCTCAAAACAAATACTCATCTTATGAAGTGTCTAAAAATCAGCGATTTCAATACAAAGATTTTCCTACAATTAAAACTTAGGCTTTAGAAAGATTTCTAGTTTTCAATCAAACACTTACAGAAAATGTATTTCTCGGCTAGGCACGGTGGCTCACGCCTGTAATCTCAGTACTTTGGGAGGCCGAGGCGGGTGGATCACGAGGTCAGGAGTTCAAGACCAGCCTGACCAACACAGTGAAAGCCCCCCTCTACTAAAAATACAAACATTAGCCAGGCGTGGTGATACACGCCTGTAATCCCAGCTACTCAGGAGGCTGAGGCAGGAGAATCACTTGAACCCGGGAGGTGGAGGTTGCAGTGAGCCGAGATTGTGCCACTGCACTCCAGCCTGGGTGACAGAGTAAGATTCCATCTCAGGAAAGGAAAGGAAAGGGGAAAGGGGAAAGAAGAAAAAGGAGAAAGGAAAGGAAATGTATTTCTCGGCCAGGTGCAGTGACTCATGTCTGTAATTCCAGCACTTTGGGAGACTGAGGCGGGTGGATTACCTGAGGTCAGGAGTTCAATATGCTGAAACCTGGCCAACAAGTTGAAACCCCGTCTCTACTAAAAATACAAAAAAAAAAAAAAACTAGCCGGCCACGGTGGCAATGCCTGTAATCCCAGCTACTCTGGAGGCTGAGGCAGGAGAATCGCTTGAACCCAGGAGGCAGAGGTTGCAGTGAGCCAAGATCGTGCCATTGCACTCCAGCCTGGGCAAGAAAAGCGAAACTCTGTCTCAAAAAAAAAAAAAAGAAAATGTATTTCTCAAACCCTGGAAAGCACTTTCGTGGTACAATTAAGTACCTAGTATAACAACTCTTTTCAACATACCCACTTCTAAGGGCTGTGATGATGCAGTCTGCACAAAAACGATGTAAACACTCCTTTGTAGTCATGGTGTTCTTCAACATATCCAAACAAATTGGGCACATTAATTCACTGTGTAGACTTCGAGGTGAAACCACAATTTCTAAGCCATCTGTTATTGCCTCCTGTAAAAGAGTCACTTTAAAATTAAAAGCTACTTAATTTTTTATTATGGACAAGCTCAAACATATAAAAGTACTGGAAATGGTAAAAACAAACATATATGTACCCATCACCCAGCCACTGCCATTGTCAACTCACAGCTAATTTTGTTTCAACTATAATCGCCTACAGCTCCCCTCAGCCTCACCACCACTGTTATAAAAATGCTCTTGCTTTAATGCTAAAGATAACATATTAATGTATTTAAAAGCTTACTAGTGGGAAATTAGTCTGGTATAATACAAAAAATTGAATTTGGAATCATATACCTTAGGTTAGATCTAGTTCTAGTCAAATTAACTAGCTGAGTCTAAATAATTATTTAACATTGTCTTCTTACCTGCAAAATGAGAAAGTTAGGGCTAAATTAACCCTCAGAAAACGTCCACCTTCAAAAGTTACACCATTTTCACAATAAATTATGTTTCATGCTGCCCATTAAAACAAGATTCCAATAAAAGTTTCTCTAGTTTATAAACAGCTTAATAGAATTTCATTTTAAAATACTTTTGAACCCCGAAAATTCTTTTCCACAGAGCAATTTTATACAAAGTAGTCAGCTTCTCACGCTAACCCAGGAGCTGATTTAAACCAGAATATATCCAAAGTATAAAATGTATTGCTATATCTAACTGTCATGCCTAAAGATGTTTCTCTCCAAAATGCATCTGGAGTTCCAATGTAAAATTTCAGGACATATCTCCCCTGCTGCAGAATGATTAGTGAATCCTACTTGGTTCACTACCCTCTCCACAAGCTGGCAGTGAGAACACAGATTACTCAGCTCTAATGCCACCAGTATCAACTCCTATGGATTGAGGAGAGTTCTAGTATGGCGAGAATTGTAAAGGAAGATGCAGGTATAAATAAGTGGCTTTCAATACGCTCCCGTGCTTCCTGTTTCCACTGGCAGTCCATCATACTTGTGCTTTCTTTATATGGTCAAAGATGGATTACTCCACAAAGAAAAATATAGAAACTATAGCTATTGTTCATAAAGGGCTCAAGCATTAATAAAATGTTTGTTAGATTTCAGCCTCTCTATATAAATATGAAATAAAAAATTTTCATTTTTCCCTTAGTTTAACACTTAGACAAACTTGATTTAGGAAACTATCACTCAAGAGTATATTGATGACCCAGAGAGTAATCAAGTCTGTTCTCCTCTGCCTCTTTAGAACATGCCTAACAAAATCCCAACCCTGGATAAATTCAACCATCTATGTTCTCCTCCAGGGCTGTACCTGTGCAGATGTGTAGCACTGTAGGGGAAAAGAAAAAGGGAAAACCACCTTGGTGTAACTAAAAATTTCACCAGCCTCGGCCAGGCACGATGGCTCACACCTGTAATTCCAGCACTTCGGGAGGCCGAGGCGGGTGGATCACAAGGTCAGAAGTTCGAGACCAGCCTGACCAACATGGTGAAACCCTGTCTCTACTAAAAATACAAAAATTAGCCGGGCATGGTGGCACACGCCTGTAATCCCAGCTACTTGGGAGGCTGAAGCAGGAGAATCATTTGAATCTGGGAGGTAGAGGTTGCAGTGAGCCGCGATCACGCCACTGCATGCCAGCCTAGGTGACAGAGCGATACTCTGTCTCAAAAAAAAAGCCTCCCGAGTAGCTGGGATTACAGGTGTGCACCACCAGGCCTGGCTAATTTTTTGTACTTTTAGTAGAGACAGGGTTTCACCATGTTGGCCAGGCTGGCCGCAAACTCCTGACCTCAGGTGATCCACCGGCCTCGGCCTTCCAAAGTGCTGGGATTACATGTCTGAGCCACCACGCCCGGCCTCTATCTCCATCTTATAAACACAATTGAAAACTCAATTTCACATTGGTCTCCAGTTTTTGCTCCATTTCTCTGCTCCCCTGCATAGCTGAATTTCTCTGAAGAACTGCCTATTCATCTTTTGTCACTTCTACCCTCCCCTTACTGGGCCATATATATATAATTATCATATCCTTGATTCATCACATGAACCAATGATGAGAATGCACCATGATTCCAATCAACCCTCAAACTTGTACAATCTACTCAGGTGAACGTGCTCTTGTCAAGGTCACCAAGTATATACGGTCGACCCTTGGTATCCATGGGGGATTGGCTCCAGGAACTTCCACAGATATCAAAATCCTTGGATGCTCAAGTCCCTTATAAAAAAATGGCATGATGTTTGCATATAACTTAGGCATATTCTCCCACATACTTTAAATCAGGGGTCCCGAACCTCAGGCCATGGACAGGTATTGGCTTGTTAGGAACCAGACCACACAGCAGGAGGTGAGCAGCAGGCAAGTAAGCATTACTGCCTAAGCTCTGCCTCCTGTCAGATCAGTGGTGGCATTAGACTCTCGTAAGAGTCCGAACCCTATTGAGAACTGCACATGCAACGGATCTAGACTGCATGCTCCTTATTATAATCTAATGCCTGATGATCTGAGGTGGTGCAGTTTCATCCTGAAACCATCCCCCACCCACCCACCCACCTCCAATCCATGGAAACACTATCATCCATGAAACTGGTCCCTGGGGACTGCTGCTTTAAATCATCTCTAAATTACTTTAATACTTAATACAATGCCCATTCAGCACCTCATTTGCATGGATTCAACATAGTACTTATTAGCACATGGATGAAACTGGTCCCTGGGCATGCTGCTTTAAATCATCTCTAAATTACTTTAACACTTAATACAATGCCCATACAGCACCTCACTTGCATGGATTCAACATAGTACTTATTAGCACATGGAAAATTCAAATTTTGGTTTTTGGAACTTTGTGAAAATTTTTCTTCCTGGATTTTTTCAGTTGTGGTTGCTTGAATCCACAGATGCAGAACCCCATGTATGTGGAGGGCCAACTGTATTGTTAAGTCTAATTTACACTTGTCTAACCTTCATCTTATTAAGCCTGTCACTAGTGTTAAACACTTTAACTACATCCTCCTTGAAATACTTCCTTTAGCTTTTTTTTTTTTTGAGACGGAGTTTCGTTCTTGTCGCCCAGGCTGGAGTGCAATGGCGCAATCTCGGCTCACTGCAACCACCGCCTCCCAGGTTCAAGTGATTCTCCTGCCTCAGCCTCCCAAGTAGCTGCAACTACAGGCACGTGCCACCATGCCTGGCTAATTTTGTATTTTCAGTAGAGACGGGGTTTCTCCATGTTGGTAAGGCTTCCTTTAGCTTTTAAATCCCCCCTCTCTCTCAATCTCCTGTTTTTCCTTCCTTTTCTCTGGATGTTCTTCTCAGTCTCCTTCACTGGCTCCTTGTCCATTACCTAATTTCTAAATGTTGAAACAGCTCTGGATGAAGTTATAGGTCCTCTGCTCATCTCTCTGGATGAGTTTAACCATTCTTATTGCTTAAAATGTGCTGTCAATCCCTAAAATTTTGTATTTAGTTCAGACTAATATAAAAATCATCTATAGTTGGCATCTCTGCCTGCCTGTTGTATAGGAATCTCAAAATTAATCCAGTGTTAAGCATGTTTGTTGCCTTCAAACCTGCTCCTCCCCTAGTCTGCCATCATCTCAAAACAGTCTTCCTTGGTGCCTTATCAGTACTTATTACAGCAAGGAGGACTTGCCCAACTTTCTACAACTTCTCACATGTGAATTTTATAGATATGTACTTTTTCAATGTCTGTAAAGTCCATGGTTGGTGCTACATCTGTTTTATTCACCACTGTTCACCCAGTACCTACCACAAAAGCTTGTATAGAGTATTCAGATTATTTGTTCAATCAATGAATAAAGTGTTAGCCAACATACAGAAGTCAGGAATGCTTGAATATAAATTTATTATTACTCTATGTTCTATTTAAGTTTTCATGTTCTAAAAATGTATCCCAGTTTACACGTCTCATATGCCCCTTGGCAGTCATCTTAGTCATTACCTGAGGTGTTCGTTGTAACTCATATAAACTGAGTTCCCATGTTTTGCTTAATGGTTGAGTTCCGTTTGTCTGCACAGCCTGAGACATTGCTGGAAATAAAGAAGAGAGAAAAACAATTTTAGTATTTGGAAGGGAAGTGCTATGGTCTGAATGTATGTGTCCCACCAAAATTCCTACGTTGAAATCTAATCTCAATGAAGTAATATTAAGAGGTGGGGACTTTGGGAGGTGATCAGGTTATGAGGGCTCCACCCTCATGAATGAAATTAGTGCCTTTATAAAAGAGGCTTGATGGAAACTTTTGGCCCTTCCAGCATGTTCTGACACAGAGAAGCAGCTATAAGGAATAGGCCCTCACCAGACACTGCATCTGCTGGTGCCATGATCTTGGAATTCCCAGTCTCCAGAACTGTAATACATTTCTATTGCTTATAAATTACCCAGCCTAAAGTATTTTTTATAGCAGGCTAAATGGATTAAGATAGGAAGTAAATCTCAAAACTGATTTTTAGGAATTGTTAATCTTGAGAATAAAAAAAACAAATTATTCACTGGTTCTCAAAAATTAAAAAGAAGAAAAACTCAAAATCTTTACACTTATAAATATGAACTACTTGACAGTAAAAGCCTACTACTGACTTCCAAATGCCCAAGAGCTGGCATACAGGAAGTACTTAGCATATCAAAAGTGCTTAATTACTGCTGAATGTATACAAGATTGTCTTAACCCAAAACAATAAATATTTTTATGAAATTCATGGTCATGGAACTTAGAACTAAATCAGGAAAACTTCAGATTCTTCAGCATAGCTATCTAGTCCAATGCTGTCCAAGTTAAAAAATCTACTTTAGAGCACTTTAAACCACTAGTCATTCTGCCTCTTTTCACAGCTTCACTCATGAAAAATTCCCGACCTCATGTTCAGAAAGCTCTTCCTAATGTTGAGACCCAAACTGCTACCTATTCATCCTATAGCTGCCCTCTGAAGACAAACTAATAATAACAATTAGTCTATAATTTTTCTACATGACAGCCTTTCAAATATTTGGAAAGTGGTATCATATCCCACCTGATTTTCCTTTACTTTTGGCTAAATATCCTAGTTCCTCCTATTGTTCCCCATTTGACATCATTTCAAAGTCTCCTCACCACGCTGATTAATTCTGCCTCCTTTCCCGATATAAATGAACTGAAGAGCATAAGACCAACTTCTCTGCTTGTCTTTGAGTAGGGGGACATCTAGTATAAATATGGGAAAGAGGGTTGTAGATAAAAAAAACTCACTCTTGTGGGACACAGAAAAATGAAGTGACCCCAGTCATCCTAATATTTAGTAAATATTTCTCACTAGTCAAGCAGAACTGCCCCAGGGTCCTTGTCTAGAAGGAAATGCATGCAAATAGATAAACAACAATCGATAAGACAAAGTCTAAGCAGGAGTACAGACAAAAATATATGGAATTATAGAGGTGGATTGGGGAATTTGAGGAGTTAAGGAGGCTTTGGTAGAGATGAAATAAACCTTAAAAAGAAAGAGATTATCAATCCAACAGAGCTTAAAGGAAAAAAATATATTAATACAGATTACTACAGTGGAATGGAAGTATAAAAGAAAGCAGGTTCTAAGCAAATTACAGCACCATGTATGGGTATGCTTGTGATTGGAAGATACTAAAAGTTTTAAACAGGGCCAGGTGCGGTGGCTCATCCCTATAATCCCAGCACTTTGGAAGGCCAAGGCAGGCAGATCACCTGAGGTGAGGAGTTCGAGACCAGCCTGGCCAACATGGTGAAACCGTCTCTACTAAAAATACAAAAATTAGCCGGGTGTGGTGGTGCGCGTCTGTAATCCCAGCTATGCGGGAGGATGAGGTAGGAGAATCGCTTGAACCCGGGAGGCAGAGGTTGCAGTGAGCTGAGATCGCGCCATTGCACTCCAGCCTGGGCGACAGAGCGACACTTAGTCTCAAAAAAAAAAAAGTTTTAAACAGGAGAGTGACATGATCAAATCGTTCACAAAAACTCAAGTAGTATAGAAGGTAGAAGACTAGAAAGCAACTAACAATAAAATCAGTGAGAGAAAGTTGTTAAAAACCTGTATGATATTAACTATGTGAACTAAAGCAATTAAACATGGACACAGAGACGGAATTAGAGAGAGCACTAAATGATATACAAAACACTGGTATAAGAAAGAAGGGTCAGGCCGGGCGCGGTGGCTCACGCTTGTAATCTCAGCACTTTGGGAGGCCGAGGCAGGCGGATCATGAAGTCAGGAGATCGAGACCACGGTGAAACCCCGTCTCTACTAAAAATACAAAAAATTAGCTGGGCACGGTGGCGGGCGCCTGTAGTCCCAGTTATTGGGGAGGCTGAGGCAGGAGAATAGCATGAACCCGGGAGGCGGAGCTTGCAGTGAGCTAAGATCACGCCACTGCACTCCAGCCTGGGTGACAGAGTGAGACTTTGTCTCAAAAAAAAAAAAAAAAAAAAAGAAAAAGAAAGAAGGGTCAAATATGGCTCTGAGAAAGCAACCATTTTTTATTGAGAGAGAACACAGAAAGAAAAGTATGCGTTGGAAGAGCAGTACAGTTGCTACACACACTGAGTTCCAGCTACTCAGGGACCACTAAGGTAGAGTGGTCCAGCAGACGATGTGGGCAAAAAAAATTCCCACACCTCCCTGAAGACACAACATGTCCCTCATTCCTGTACTCTGGAGCTAACGGTTAACAGACTGGTAATCACAGAGTTTGATTATTCAGTCATAGGCCCCAGCCACCATTTTATAAGCATTATTAGACACCTGCTATGGCAACTCTCTCTTGTGAATCAAAGTGAAAGCTGCAAGCTTCTCCTGGTAGAATTCCTGCTATATGCATTCTTATAATCCTAAATTATTGCGCTTAGTAGGCTAGATGGCACAATTTCTCCAAGGATGATTTCTAGTTACCTCAGCTATTATGAAGAATGTGGGGCACATCAAAGATAATACAGCTAAGAGAAGCTCTAGAAAGGAAAGGAAAAAAAGTACCAAATATGCAATGGCCTTTTGTGACCAGCATGCCAAGGTCTCAAAATAAAACTGACTTGAAAACAGCATCCCTAGAAGATTCTCTTGCAAAAGTAAGAAGGGGGAAACAAAACCCCTCAAACTATCTGAAACGTGTCCTCCTTATGCATCTAACATTATCATGCTTTAGCATCACCATCAGCACATATTCCTTTTGTTCTTCTCTATTCCCTCCCCAAAAATCCTAAATGAACTATCCTTTCCTAAGGTCTTCTCCCCCAAACAACCAATGACCTAATACTCATTTAAAATTGCTACAATGCTGATTCGAGTGGTAAGCCAACATAAACTGAATTAAGGCATGGTTTAAGGCTGAGCTAACAATTAAAGCCAACAGATAGCTAGAAGACTTAAAGACTGGGTGGCTATGGTGGCTCACAGGACTGCCTGAGGCCAGGAGTTCAAGACCATTCTGGGCAACATAGCAAGAAGCCATCTCCTCAAAAAAAAATTAAAAATTAGGTGGGTGTGATGGTGTGTGCCTGTAGTTTTAGGTACTTGGGAGGCTAAGGCTGGAAGATTGCTTGAGCCCAGGAGTTTAAAGTTTCAGTGAGGTACGACTGTGCCACTGCACTCCAGCCTGGGCAACAGAGTGAGATCCCACCCCTAATTTTTTTTTTTTTTTTTAAGGAAAAGACTTAAAAAAAAAAAAAAAAGGTAGGCCAGGCACAGTGGCTCACACCTGTAATCCCAGCCCTTTGGGAGGCCGAGACAGGTAGATCACTTGAGTCCCAGAGTTTGAGACCAGCCTGGGCAACACAGCAAAATCCCCTCTCTACAAAAAATACAAAATGTTAGCCAGGAGTGGTGGCACACACCTGGAGTCCCAGCTACTCAGGAGGCTGAGGTTGTAGTGAGCTGAGATCACACCACTGCACTCCAGCCTGGGCAACAGACTGAGCTCGAGTCTCCAAAAAACAAAAATACACCTAATAATAGTGACTAGAGTAAGAAAAATAGGGTTGGCCTGTAGTCCCAGCTACTCAAAAGTCTGAGGCAGGAGGACTGCTTGAGCCCAGGAGTTCAAGGCTGCAGGAGAGACCCTGAGTGGGAAGGAGAGAGAAAGCGAAGAGTGGAGGGGAGAGACATGAGAAATTGCCGTCAAGACTTTATACTGTGGAACAGACCCAAAGTTAGTATAATAAAAACCCAGCCTGTCTTCTTGTTCATAGGCTAAAACAAAATACGGGACTTATAAAATAAAATTAAAATGGAAAATTGCAAATTTGGACAATCTCCAACATGTAGCTAAAAGCATTCAAAGAACCTGAGAAAACTGACAAAATACGAACTAAAACAAACATACAATCCTTCGAATAAATCTAGCTATCAAAATAATTTTTAAAAAATCAAAAGATATTTTATCCTCTAAGAATTAAAGACCTACTCGTAAGATATTAGTAGATAAAGCAAGCAGAAAAATAAGAGGCTTTGTTCCGTATTAGCAAACAAAGAAGCAGGGGAAAAAAACAATGGCCAGAGCCTATCCAAATGATGCTGCTTTGAAGATGACTCTAGTTGTTGAATTTGAGGTGAACCATGTATAAATATAGATGGCCAGCTTCTTTGTAGATATTAGGTTAGTGCAAATTAATTGTGGTTTTTGCACTGTTGGAATTCACCATTTGATACTGGAATACATTCTTCAATGTGGTTATGTTATACATCATTTTAATGGGCATTTCTCACTTTATGTTTTTTTGCTAACGACTTGTTACTTGCTGTTCATTTTATGTTTATTTTAGACTATGGAAATGTTATTAGACAAAAAACAAATTTGAGTGATTTTCTTATTCGAGTTCAAAATGGTTCGTAAAGCAGTGGAGACTACTCGCAACATCGACACTGCATTCCACCCAGGAACTGCTAACGAACGTACAGGGCAGTGGTGGTCCAAGAAAGAAGTTCTGCAGGCTGGGTGCGGTGGCTCACGCCTGTAACCCCAGCACTTTGGGAGGCCAAGGAGGGTAGATTACCTGAGGTCAGGAGTTCAAGACCAACCTGGCCAACATGGCAAAACCCTGTCTCTACTAAAAAAAAAATAAAAAAATTAGCCAGGTATGGTGGCATGTGCCTGTAATCCCAGCTACTGGGGGGCTGAGGCAGGAGGATCGCTTGAACCTGGGAGGCAGAGGTTGCAGTGAGCCAAGATCGTGCCACTGCACTCCAGCCTGGGTAACAGAGCAAGACTCTGTCTTCAAAAAAAAAAAAAAAAAAAAAAGTTCTGCAGAGGAGACAAGAACCTTGAAGACGCGGAGCATAGTGACCAGCCAGCGGAAGTTGACAACGACCAACTGAGGACAATCATAGAAGCTGATCCTCTTATAACTACACTAGAAGTTACCAAATAACTCAATGTCTACCATTCTATGGTTGTAGCATTTTAAGCAAACTGGAAAGGTGAAAAAGCTCGATAAGTGGGTGTCTCATGAGCTGAGTGAAAATCAAAAATATCGCCATTTTTAAGTGTTGTCTTCTCTTATTCTATGCAACAACAATGAACCATTGGATTGCAACTTGCCACGAAAGTGGATTTTATTTGGTAACTAGTGACGACCCGCTCAGTGGTTGGACTGAAGCACTTCCAAAGCTCCAAAGCACTTCCCAACGGCAAACATGCACCAAAAAAAAGTCATGGTCACTGTTTGGTGGTCTGCTGCCGCTACAGCTTTCTGATCCACTACAGTTTTCTGAATCCCAGCAAAACCATTACATCTGAGAAATATGCTCAGCAAATCGAGATGCACCGAAAACTGCAATGCCCACGGCTGGCACTGATCAACAAAAAGGGCCCAATTCTTATCCACAACAATGCTCAAATGCACGTCACACAACCAACGCTTCAAAAGTTGACAGAGGCCAGGCACGGTGGCTCACACCTGTAATCCCAGCACTTCGGGAGGTTGGGGCAGGTGATCACCTGAGGTCAGGAGTTCAAGACCATCCTGGCCAACATGGTGAAACCGCCCCCCCCCACCCCACCCGTCTCTACTAAAAATACAAAAATTAGTCAGGCATGGTGGCACACACCTGTAATCCCAGCTACTCAGGAGGCTGAGGCAGGATAATCACTTGAACCCAGGAGGCAGACGTTGCAGTGAGCCAAGATTGCACCACTGTACTCCAGCCTGGGCAACAAGAGCGAAACTCCACCTCAAAAAAAAAAAAAAATTGATGGAATTAGGCTACAGTTTTGCCTCACCCACCATAGTCATCGGACCTCTCGCCAACCAACTACCACTTCTTCAAGCATCTTGACAACTTTTTGCAGGGAAGACACTTCCACAACTAGCAGGATGCAGAAAATACTTTCCAAGAGTTCATCGAATCCCAAAGCATGGATTTTTACACTACAGGAATAAACAAACTTATTTCTCATTGGCAAAAATGTGTTGACTGTAATGGTTCCTATTTTGATTAATAAAGATGTGTTTGAGCCTAGTTTTGATTATTTAAAATTCACAGTCCAAAACCGCAATTACTTTTGTACCAAACTAACACATGTGCCATTATTTCTAACATATATCCTAGATAGATCTTTCAGAGAACCAAAACTACTCAGGAGGAATTTCTAAAAATCCATTGGAGGGATTTCTAAGAATTCCAAATGCTAACCCATGTCCCAACCTGTAACTGTGACCCTAGGACTAATTATAAGCAGAACACTCCTTCTGCCTACTGAACGCTACCCTGGAAAATTAATAGGAACTATCAAATAAAACATTCTGCTGAAGTATTATATTTCTAGAGATATTAGTTATCTTGCACATAACCAAATTATATCTGATTTGGATATCTGTATTCCTGTGGCAAATAAGACTTAGGAGTGATTGACAAGTTAGTTGCATTTCCAGAATTTCCTGGTACCATTTGGAAAAACTACAATCTTCATGACTTTGCAGAATTTTCTAGTCTTCCTTATCTTTCTGTTAAGTCTGCATTACAATAATATGTTCTCTGGTATCTACAGTCTTAAATACTACCACATGGATGCTACCTTACCAGATAGTACAGCAGTTGATCCTGAGACCAAAAATAGGGGCAAAGTCTTGCAGACTGCCAAAATCATTATCTCAATTCTTATGAACATGTCACTGAACAGATATACTCTTGAGAATTAGTGTCTCTTTGCTTTAGATCAATATACATCTTCATTTAAATTTAATCTAAATTCACCCTGCCCCAAAATCGATTTAATCTTTTCTCTTCTGTTTAGTGAGAAGCTACATTTCTGCCTGTGGTTCCCCCTTGCCCAAGCCAAGAATGTGAAATACATTTAGCTTCTGTTTTTCAGATCTCAATGAAAAGTGATTTCAATGAACAATATCTGAGAGTCACCTATGTATAGATACTAACATATACACAGAGTAGACAAAGAGGAAAAGAACAAGAATGGATGGCCAAGATACAGTCTGAAAAGCTGAAGAGTAGAGTGGAAGCCAGCAAAGAAGATACGAAGTGAGGTGCCACACAAAATGATCTTAAGGATTTTTTCCAGTGACAAGAATGTGCTCCCTAGATCCCAACAGCCTAAAGATCCTTGTCAACACAACTGAACAAGATCTAGGTCTACTGGGGGCCTATCAAAAGACAAAATTATAACAAGTTTAAAGACACAATTGGCTTTTTTTTTTTTCTGAGACAGTCTCGCTCTTGTTGCCCAGGCTAGAGTGCAGTGGCGCGATCTCAGCTCACTGCAACCTCCACCTCCCGGGTTCAAGCAATTCTCCTGCCTCAGCCTCCTGAGTAGCTGGGACTACAAGGCGCCCAGCACCACACCTGGCTAATTTTTGTACTTTTAGTAGAGACGGGGTTTGCCATGTTGGCCAGGCTGGTCTCAAACTCCTGACCTCAGATGATCCGCCCACCTCAGCCTCCCAAAGTGCTGGGATTACAGGCGTGAGCCACCACAAGCAGCCCACAATTGGCTTTTATTTGGGCTCCTGGAATTGGACAACATCTCATTTTATAAAATAAAATGACTGTTCCAATGAGAGGAGAGGAGGTTGGCTTTAAAAGCAGAAAAAGGCTGAAGAAAGCAGAAACAGAACAAAAAGCAGACTGGTTGTTTCAAAGATGCTTTCCTTTAAAAGGTTAAAACAGGGAGGACTTCCTTATTACGAAGACTCAGGCTGACTATAATCTCCTATTTTCTAGAAAACTGACCTATTTCCAAGTTTGATTATGTGGCACTTAGGATAAGTGACTCCATTCTGGTTTGTTCTGGTCTGGTGGGGTCCAGTGCAAGAGGCTAGTCTAGAACAACAGCCTCCCAAAAATGTTGTTTCACAGGCCCAATTTCCAGTTACAGCTCATTAATTATACTTCTGAAAAAAAGATATATCCGAAACACCAGAAATGCTTCTATACAAAGTAGGTGCTCAAATTTGTGGAGAGAATGTATAAATGAAAAGTAAGCATTAGTCTGAATGAGATAACTTTAGCTGCATAGGCAGAAACAAAATAAATCCGAAAAAAAAAAAAAAAGAAAAGATCTAGTCATAGTAGACCGTGAAAGCTGGCAGCTCCAATAATCAAAGGGAAAATATCAATAAGATATTCAGAATGATCTTTTAGGGACTGCAACCTCTGCCTCCCGGGTTCAAGCGATTCTCCTGCCTCAGCCTCCCAAGTAGCTGGGATTACAGGTGCACACCACCATGCCTGGCAAATTTTTGTATTTTAGTAGAGACGAGGTTTCACCATGTTGGCTAGGCTGGTCTCGAACTCCTGACCTCAGGTGATCCGCCTGCCTTGGCCTCCCAAAGTGCTGGGATTACAGGCGTGAGCCACTACGCCTGGCGAATTTTTCTATTTTTAGTAGAGATGGGGTTTCACCATGTTGGCCAGGCTGGTCTCGAACTCCCAACCTCAGGTGATCCGCCCACCTCGGCCTCCCAAAGTGCTGGGATTTGTAAAATCCCAGCTGGAATGAGTGGAGGAGTGAGCCACTGCGCCAGGCCACCTTCATATTCATATGAAAGATCACTAAGTACATCACTCAGAAAGAATTACTGCTTACTAATGCTGATACTTTATGAGTTAAACTAGGGACCTTCAATCAAGGGGGAGAAGAGGAGCCATGTAAGATAGGGAAACCAAGGAATAACTTTCAAAATAGACATATTAGAGAAGGAAAGAAAGCAGGTCAGTGTGGCTAGTAAATAAAGGGGAACATTCACAAGAAGAGGTTACAGAGCTAAAGAGAAGCCAAGATGGTAATCTTCATAAGAATCAAGTAAGACTAATTTGGGGGCAAAAGACATGTTAGAATGGGTTGAAGAGGAAATCAAACTTGAAACTACATGATTGACTGATTTATGATGGAGTCTCACTTTGTCACCCAGGCTGGAATGCAGTGACAAGATTTCGGCTCACTGCAACCTCTGCCTCCCAGGTTCAAGCGATTCTCCAGCCTCAGTCTCCCAAGCAGCTGGGACTACAGGCACACACCACTACACCTGGCTAATTTCTGTATTTTTAGTAGAAACAGGGTTTCACCCATGTTGGCCGGGCTAGTCTCGAACCTCAAACCTCAGGTGATCCGCTGGCCTTGGCCTCCCAAAGTGCTGGGATTACAGGCGTGAGCCACCACGCCCGGCCCCTTACTTGTCCTTTATAAATGAATAAAACGAAAATACTACCTTATCACAATGTATGGTATATGTAGTGAGAGAAATGTCCCTTAGAAATATTTATAACCTGCAATTTTAAAATAATAAAACAATAATGACTGAAAAAAAACAATGAATCAGGCATTAGAAATTAGAAAATGAACCTAAACAAAGTAAAAGGGGAAAATAATCACTATAAAAGCTGAAATCAAACAACAACAGCCCAAAAAAAAAAAACAAAACAAAACAGATTTGCTCATGAAAGTACAATTTAGTTGTCAGGTACAGCCAATAATATAGCTAAATTTCTAGCCAAAAAAAAAAAAACAAAGTTAATTCCTAACAATTAAAAAACCACACATATGTACGGATATGAGATTTAAAAAATTAAGTCAGAGAACGTTATCTTCAACTCTGTACCAATAAATAAACTATTTCTAATAAAAGTCGTAATAAGTTAGAAATAAATAGAAACATTCTTAACCTCATGAAAAATCTACCGGAAGTCCCAAAACAATCAATGTTAAAACTTTTGACACATTCCTGTTAAAAAAGTCAGGAGCAAAATGAGACCACCCAACACTCTGCTGAAAGTCCTACGTCATGTTATGGTAGGAAAAAAAATAGAGAGGGAGGGAGAGAAGTAGGAGGGAGGGGGGAGGAGGATGGGGAGAGGAACATGGGAAAAGGAAGTGATCAAAGTATCAGTGCAAATAATGATAGCTAACTATAAAATCCAACAAAATCAAAAGCAAAACTATTAGAACTAATAAAAAGCAGTAACATGGTGGAATGAAGATAAAAAAAATGCCAAAAAGGCTACAGTTTTCCTATAAACTAGGAATTACCATTCAGAAATAAATTTTTTAAAAGATCCCATTCACGATAGCAACAAAATTTATAAAATCCTTAAAATAATTTCACAAAATATTGAAAAGACAAAACTCTACAACTTAACTGAAGTATATTAAAGAGGATCTGAACTGAATTAATGTACACATATGTATATAAATTCAATGCAATGCAATCCCAATCAAAATACCAGCAGACAAAATGATTCTAAGGTTTACCTGGAGGATGCAAAAAAAAATGCCCAGAGTATTTTTAAAGAAAAACAGGAGAGAGTTTACCTTAAAACAAACATTAAAGCTTAATAGAAAGCAACACTATGATCTCAAGAAAAAGAAAAACAGATCAATATAACAAAACAAAGGGCTCAAAAACAGATATGTGAATTTAGGGTATTTTAAAATCAGGGATGACAAAAAAAAAATTTAAACCCTTTTCAAATAAATCAGATACCTAAACAAATAAGTGAATTTTAAAATTCTGGAAGGATTAACATAAAAAAAAAAACCATAAAATAAGGCCGGGCGCAGTGGCTCACCCCTGTAATCCCAGCACTTTGGGAGGCCAAGGCAGGTGGATCACAAGGTCAGGAGATCGAGTCCTGGCTAACACGGTAAAATCCCGTCTCTACTAAAAATACAAAAAATTAGCCAGGCATGGAGGCACGCGCCTGTAGTCCCAGCTACTTGGGAGTCTGAGGCAGGAGAATCACTTAAAGCCAGGAGACGGAGGTTGCAGTGAGCCAAGATCGCGCCACTGCACTCCAGCCTGGGCGACAGAATGAGACTCTGTCTCAAAAAAAAAAAAAAAAAAAAAAAAAAAAAAAAAAAAAAAACAACCCATAAAAGATCTAGAAGAAAAGAAGGGCAGCCTAAAAGCAAGATACAATACCCAGAAGACTGAAAGGTTCATATTTCGCCTCACAAAATTTTAAATCCTGCATACAAAATCAACTAGAGACACCATGAGCAAATTTAAAAGATAAACAATAGCTAGGAAAAAAATATGTGCAACATATGTAAATTAACAAAGGCCAATAACGATAATATATACTGAGTACTACATCAAATCAATTTAAAAGACAATATAAGCAAAATGATGAGTAATTAACACAATACATAACCAATAAAATTAAACTGTGCTAAACTTCACTAATAATCAGTAAATTGCAAATCAAAACAATGCGTTCTATATAGGCTCTATTTTTTGTCTGTGATATTGACAAAGATTAAGATGACTAATATTTAGTTGATATGGTTTAAGATTTGTGGCTTCGCCCAAATCTCATGTGGAATTATAATCCCCAGTGTTGGAGGAGGGGCCTGGTGGGAGGTGACTGGATCATGGGAGTGGATTTCCCCCTTGCTGTTCTCGTGTTAATGAGTTCTCACAAGAGCTGATTGTTTAGAAGTGTCTAGTATCTCCCACTGCTCTCTCTTCCTCCTGCTCCAGACATGTAGGACCTGCCTGCTCACCCTTCACCTTCCACCATGAATGTAAGTTTCCTGAGGCCTCCCCCAGCCATGCTTCCTGTACAGCCTTGCAGAACCTTGAGCCAACTAAACCTCTTTTCTCTATAAATTATCCGGTCTCAGGGAGTTACACAGCAATGCAAGAACACTAGTGTTTAAAAGTGTGTGCAGAAACAGGAATTGTCGAACCATTGGCAAAGTTCTGGGGAACAGAACAATTTGGCAGTTAAGGCATAATTACAGTATTTCGCATAAGGAATGTATTTCTTGAAATGGAAAATGGTTGAATCAAGCTATATGGGGCCATTACAGAATCTCTATGGACATGCTGTAAGAAATACACAATACAGTAGCTCATGTCTGTAATCCCAGCACTTTGGGAGGCCGAGGCGGGGGGATCACCTGAGGTCAGAAGTTCGAAACCAGCCTGGCCAACACGGCGAAAACCCGTCTCTACTAAAAATAAAAAAATTAGCCAGGTGTGGTGATGGGTGCCTGTAATCCAGCTACTAGGGAGGCTAAGGCAGGAGAATGGCTTGAACCCGGAAGGTGTAGGTTGCAGTGAGCTGAGATCACGCCACTCACTCCAGCCTGGGCGACAGAGCAAGGCTCCATCTCAAAAATAAATAAATAACACACACACACACACGGAACTATATATAGTCGTCCCTCAGTATCCAAGGGGGATTGGTTCCAGGACACCCTCTGAGCTCCCCCTCCCCGATACCAAAATCCATGGATACTCAAGTCCCTTATATAAAAAGACACAGCATTTGCATATAACTTACACATACCCTCCTCCTGTGTACTTTAAATCATCTCTAGATTACTTACAATACTCAATACAATGTAAACGCTATGTAAATAATTGTTATATGGTATTGTTTAGAGAATAATGACACGAGAAAAAAAATCTGTACACGTTCAGATGCAACCATACCATTTTTTTTCCCTAATATTTTCAATCTGTAGTTGGTTGAAACCACTGATACAGGAAGGCAGACTGTATCTGGTCTTTTTTTTTCTTTGTATTTGGTCTTAGTCCTTGGTTCCTGGCACAGATCATCTAAAACCTTTGGAATCCCTGAGTCATAAGGGTGAGAGGAGCCACTTTTCTTATTCATAGTAAGCCCCTTTCAACCATACCTAAGTTTATGCTAATATGGTTACTCTAGGTGGGCCCCTAGATAGATTCAGGACAGGGACTGGTTTTCAGGAGAACCAACCACAAGATTAGAGGGTCAGAACATTCAGTCCCATCCTACCCCTACAGTCCCATCCTACCCCTACCACTAAAGAGGGAAAAGAGTTTGGAGATCCAGCTAATTCCCAATGGCCAATGATTTAACCAGTCATGTCCATGTAATGGAATCTCCATTAAATTTTTAAATGATGGAACTCGTGGAAGGTCAGGGTGCCAGAAGGGTGATACACTCTAACTCCACAGGACAGGAGCTCCTATGGTTGGAACCCCAATGGACCTCACTCTCTCTACCTCTTAATATGCTGTATCTTTTATAATGTCCTTTATAACAAACTGATAAATGTAAGTAAAATGCTTTTCTGAGTTCTGTGAGCCATTCTAGCAAATTATCAAACCTGACAAGGGGATTGCGGAAATCCCCAACTTATAGCCAATTGGTCAGAAGTACATGAGGCATGGGCTTAATGGCATCTGAAGTGGAGGCAGTCTCTTGTGGGACTGATCCCTTAATGTGTGGGGTCTGGCACTCACTCTGAGTAGCGTAACCACTGAACTGAATCAACTGTTGGACACCCAGTTGGTGACTAAAGAGTTGGAGAATTGTTAGTGTAGCAAAAAACCACATATTTAGTGTCAGAAATGTTGTGAGAAGAAACAGATTACAGAAGTAGATGCATTTCCCTTTTATTATCTTTGATTGACATACAATAAAAATGTACTGGCTGATGTAATTGTCTTACCTGCATTCCTTGTAAGTAACAGTAGACACATCAGCCCTTAGAACCACAGTATAATATGCATTTTAACATACACAGGTACCTTAAACTATAAAACAATCACATTTATGTGTCCTTTTAAAAAACTCAAAAAATTAACTGCTGTAGATCAAAAGACAGTATCTGAAAAATAGATGCCAATGAAAGAGAATACACTAAAAGAACAGACTGGAATACTCTCTAAAAATTGCTAAGTATCTCTGCTCTTTGGCTGAATAAAAGAATAACAGTCACTCTACTGTCTTAGCTGAATCCTCACCTCTCAAAGCAGCCTGTGTCTGTCAAATGGCTCCTAAGTTTTGATATTGTAATAACTCTCTTAATAAATTTACCCAGCAAAAAAATTTTAAAAAATTAAAAATAAAAAGAAATTTACCCAGCACAAATTCTCACACAGGGATAGAATAAGCATATGCATAAGAATGGTCATCACAGCATTATTTGTAGTAGCAAAAAACCCATAAAAATCTATGTCAATAAAAAAATGGCTAATTAGGAAATGTCCATAGTATAGAATACTACGTAGCTATAAACACTGACACAGAACTCAATATATGTATACAACACACATTAAGTAAAAAAAAAAAAAAAAGCAAGTCGTAGAGCAAAATGTGTAATTTCATCCTATTTAAGCAATTAAAAAAGAAATCTAAACAACCTAAACACATGTCATTCTGAGTTCTGTTCACTATGTTTTTTTGTTTGTTTTTTTGAGACAGAGTCTCATTCTGTTGCCCAGACTGGAGTGCAGTGGCACAATCTCGGCTCACTGCAACTTCCATCTCGTGGGTTCAAGCGATTCTCCTGCCTCAGACTCCCAAGTAGCTGGGACTACAGGCGCGTGCCACTATGCCCGCCTGATTTTTTGTATTTTTATTAGAGATGGGGTTTCACTGTGTTAGCCAGGATGGTCTCGATCTCCTGACCTCATGATCCGCCCGCCTCAGCCTCCCAAAGTGCTGGGATTACAGGCATGAGCTGTTCAGTATGTTTTAGCCACATCTGCCATCTTTCTCTTCATCAGTCTTGCAAAGATCATTCTCATTTTAGAGTCCTTCCACTAGCTAGTCCTTCTGCTTGGAAAGGAATGATTTCTTCCCCCCAAGATTTTCCCATAGCTAGCTCCCTCATGCATTCTAAAGAAATTCTAACCTTGTAATTCTTTATCTCACGTTCTCTCTTTTCTTAACCATAGCACTTTTATAGCCTCTAAGATTTTTAAGAGTAGTTATCTCTTATTTACCACAATATCCCCAATACCTTGCACTGTACCTGGCATATAGTAGTCATTCAATAAATATTTGCTTAAGAACTCATCAATGGTGATGAATAAATAAAAAGAGGAGTTCAAATTAGGCAACCTCAACATTTCACATTTTCATGCCTAAAAAAATAACCAAAAACCCCTCAACATGAGAGTCCAGATATTCTTCACAGTCACCTTGGTTTATTGCTTCAACTGTGCTTGGAACCCCCACCCTAGCCAGCACCTCAGAGTCAGCCCCCTGCTACCTCCTCACAGCACCCTCTAGCAGCCCCAAGGCTCCTGCCACCATTTCAGTGCTACCTCTTCTTAGCCACCTCCCATGATGACAGCAACCCCTACCACCATGACCATCAACTGCCAGATTAATCTCTAGCTTTGTCTCCACATCTACCTATTCATGTCTTACTACTTTGTCCACAATGATATGGCTTTGCCATGACATTTCTTCACCAATGTCATGAGGAGAGAAAATATAATGAGAAAGTGACAGAGCTGCACAACCAACAAAGAGGCCTAATATTCCTTCGGCATATCAAGAAACCAGACCATAATGAATGGGAGGGCAGGTTGAAGACAATGGAGCACGTATTATACTTGGAAAAAAGCATGAATCAGTCACTACTGAAAATGCATGAACTGGCCATTGACAAAACCACACACACTGTGTGACTTCATTGAGATGCATTACCTGAATGAGCAGGTGAAATCTATCAAAGAACTGGGTGACCATGTTCAACTTGTCCAAGATTGGCGGGGAGGTGGGTCTGAATCTAGCATGGCAGAGTAACTCTTTAACAAGTACATCCTGGAAGACAGTAATGATGTGAAAAGAAAATAGAATCTCGGGACTCTAAACGCACGATGCCAAAGGGGAAGTTAAGCTTAGGAACTAAGTAAGGCAATACTACTTTCCTTTTGTTCCCAAACAGATAGCTGTAATTTCACAACCAAGACATATGTAGCCTCATCCATAAGCCACATTCCCACAACAATAGAGGGTCACGTATCTCCCAAGATGGCTTCCCTCGTCTTAATCTTTCAGGATACATATCTTCCCTATAAACTAGCCCGGAAACTGAGTTCTGTTGAAGCTCACCTTAACAATGTCAATTACCAGCTTATCTTCACAGGTAGAAGACAAGGATAAAAACCAGAAATCATCCCTTGGCCTACCCTGAGATGAATGCGTAACTGACTTTTTCCTCTACTCCCTCTTTTCATATGTAAAGTATAGATTTACTGAGGCTAACCAGAGCCTTATAAGAATGTAACCATTTGCCTCACTGCCTACCCTCCCTCCTTTATTCCATCATTTCCACACAAATACTCACTTTGTATTACTTGGCAAACAAAGTATACTTATGCAGAGGTTCCCTAAAACACCATTTCTATCCCACTCTTAAGATACAATCCTTAAGTTAGTTGAGGGAATAAAAATACTGCAGTCTGGCCGGGTGCAGTGGCTCACGCCTGTAATCCCAAGCACTTTGGGAGGCCGAGGCGGGCGGATCACGAGGTCAGGAAATCGAGACCATCCCGGCTAATACGGTGAAACCCAGTCTCTACTAAAAATAAAAAAATGAGCCGGCGAGGTGGCGGGCACCTGCAGTCCCAGCTACTCGGGAGGCTGAAGCAGGAGAATGGTGTGAACCCGGGAGGCGGAACTTGCAGTGAGCTGAGATCGCGCCACTGCACTCCAGCCTGGGTGACACAGCAAGACTCGGTCTCAAAAAAAAAAAAAAAAAAGAAAAGAAAATACTGCAGTCTACAGAAGTTAGATGTAGCAAAGAATAAGGTTCATGTGAAAAAAACTGAGGATAATACTAATTGAGGTTCCCATTCAACTCTTTGAGATCCCAAGGCTCTCAAATAATCCTCTGACTGGGCCATACATTTGTTCCCAAGACCATTCAAGGAAAAACGGATCCATTAAACCATAAATTCCCCAAAGTAAAGGCAGAGAACTATTTTAGGGATCCCTTTATGTTATAAAACAACAAATGAGACAGTCAGAAAGCACAGTAAATGATCTTTGGAACTGGATCAGCTTGGATTTGCATCCTTGCTCTAGCAGTCACTAGCTGTGGATTCATAGGCAAATTTCTCAACCTCTTAAGGCTTTTTTTTAATCTGCAAAGTGATAAAAATTTTCAGGTTCACTAGCAAAACTGAATGAGATATTCATATGAAGTACCTGGCACATTCCATACATGACAATCATAAACTAGGTGATATCATCTTCTCTATTATTTCAATTTGAAGAAGCATTTCTATTTCCTAGTCCCCTAACATGTAAAAGACCAGGGAGAAAATTATTTAGCTACCCCCAACTTACTGAGAATTTTACATTAATACTCTGTCAAAAGAATAAGTTATTTTAGAGAAGAAAATACTGAAAGTACTAAAATCTTTGGTTAATGTGCCTCATAAGCAGAAAATCAATGGCTGATTCAAGACTACTCATTTAAGACTTATTCTATAACGAACAAAATTTGCCAGAAAGGGCAGATTTCTTTATTAGTTGTCAACTGTTAGTAATCTGTATGTGGCTAAATATTTGGTTCCTGGAAGCTTAAGGGAAAAAGAAGCATACTGAACAGAGATATTTCGGGCTTAAATTTCATTAGAAATTAGCAAATTATTTATAAAATGTCTCTTGGATTACCCTCCTCCCTAGCTCCAAACACATACCCAATCTTTGAGAGGATTAAGATATTATAGGCTAGGCACACTGCTGTCTGATGATTAAGAGTATAGGGCTAAAGTATACAGAATCTACATGGCCTTTACTCTTTGGTCAGACTCTCAATAAACCAGTCTCAAGTGAGACCCTAGCATGTGCTGGATCACTGTGAACTCATAGCTCAGCCCTTAGATAAATAGCCTCAAATGTGTATGTTCTGCATTTCTTTTTTTTTTTTTTTTTTTAGACAGGGTCTCACTCTTATCACCCTGGCTGAAGTGCAGTGATGCAATCATGGCTCACCACAGCCTTGACCTCCTGGGCTCAGGCAATCCTCCCGTCTTAGCCTCCCAAGTAGCTGAGACTACAGGCATGAACCACCATGCCAAGTTGGTTTTTGTGTGTATTTTTTGTAGAGACGGGGTTTCACCATGTTCCCCAGACTGGTTTCGAACTCCTGGGCTTAAGCAATCCGCCAACCTTGGCCTTGCAAAGTGCTGGGATTACAGGCATGAGCCACTCACCCAGCCAAATGTATATTTTCAATAGTATAGGTGAAAGAGGAATTCATAATAAATAGCACATTAACAGGCAAAAGAGCTTACACTATGTTGTAAAATTTTAGGAGCCTAAATTGTACTCTTACCAGAGTAGTTATGAGGGAGAAGGCAGCAATAAGGGAGCTTCCAAATTGGATGAAACATTTTACTCAAAAAAGGAACTTTAAATGTAACATTTTGAGCAAAACTGTCAAGAGTTCTGCACCTAAAAATGTTTAACAGCTGCTTTAATCGTAAAAATTTTCTGGTCTATACAGAGTATCTGAAATAAAGCTATAGTTTAATATGAGTGAGCTATAAATTATACTCCCCAAAAGGAGAAAGAGTTTAGGTAAACTGAGTTACTTAGAAATGTCCATTTACATTCTGAACAATGATTGCTATATTAGTTTTCTATGGCTACTGTAACATTATCACAAATTTGAAGGCTTATAACAACAGTAAGTTATTCTCTCACAGTTCTGAAGGCCAGAAGTCCTAATTCAATATCACTGGGCCAAAATAAAAGTACTGGCAGGATTGCACTTGGCTTCCAGAGGCCCTAGGGGAGAATCTGTTCCTTACCTCTTTCAGGTTGGGGCAAATGCCAGTATGCCTTGGCTTGTGACCATATCACTCCAATCTGCCTCTGTGGTCACACTGCTTCATGCTCTTCTGTGGCTGTAATCTCTCTCTGCCCCTTCTCTTATAAAGTTACATGTGGTAACATTTAAGGCCTACCTGGATAATCCAGGACAATCTCATCTCAATACCATTAACTTAATTACACATGCAAAGAACCTTTTTCAAAGTAAATTAACATTTACAGGTTCCAGAGACCAGAATGTAGATATCTTTTGGGGGACATTTTTCAGCCTACCACACTGACCAAAGTAAGAGTGACTATAACCCACCAATGAATATAACCAACTACCCACAGACAACACTTAAGTCTTTATCCTGCATACATGCTGTTTCCTTAATTTGTTTTTAAACAAATGTGAAATACATTTCAGAAAATGTAACCACTTTACAGGAGGCTGAGGCAGGAGAATCGCTTGAACCTGGGAGGCAGAGGTTGCAGCGAGCCGAGATCGTACCATTGCACTCCAGCGTGGGCAACAGTGCAAGACTCTGTCTCTAAAAAAAAAAAAGGCCGGGCGCTGTGGCTCATGCCTGTAATCCCAGCACTTTGGAAGGCCAAGGCGGGTGAATCATGAGGTCAAGAGCTCAAGACCATCCTGGCCAACACGGTGAAACCCCATCTGTATTAAAAATACAAAAATTAGCTGGGCGTGGTGGCAGGCGCCTGTAGTCCCAGCTACTCGAGAGGCTGAGGTAGGAGAATCGTTTGAACCCGGGAGGCAGAGGTTGCCGAGAGCCGAGATTGCATCACTGCACTCCAGCCTGGGCAACAGAGCAAGACTCCGTCTCAAAAAAAAAAAAAAAAAAAAGGATACTTTTAAATTACTTAATTATCCCATTTCCCTACAAAGCATTTTTTTCATTTGTTTGATATACACTTCCCTAAGCACTATGAAACAAAGAAAAACTAAGATGCCTTCTCTCTCTTTTAATGAGATATGTTTTTCTCTCATAGTTACTGTCCCTTCTGAACACAGTAAAATAAAGGTCACATCAAATTAACTCTCTCAATCTTTAGCATTTTTCTTTTCCTTTTATGTTATATTACACAAATGTAAATGAGCAAATAATTTCTTCCTTAATTAAAGCAATGCTTGCTTACAGGATACAGGTGTTATATTTTAGAAATTTACTCAAGACTAGGCAAATAATAAATTGTGAGTAAGCAATCCAACTGCCATCATAACACTGCCTGCGGTAACACCTCATAAAAACCACTTTCCGCAGTTCAATCTAAAACTACAGCTGTAAGACAGACGCTAATTTCTGTAAGCTTCTAAAGACACAAAGTGTTCTTTACTGAAAAGCTTGTCACTGTACTGAACATCTGGAATACTCATCTAAATTACTCTTGGTAGCCTAATAGCTTCTTTATTTAAAGAAGCAATATCAATTCCTAATTTGATTGTATCTTTTCCACAATATGGAACATACAACAGAAAGCACTTAAAGGTAATTTGCCAAATCTCCATTATCCGGTCTTAAGTTTTTGAATACTAGTAATAAACTTAACATTTCTAGACTCTCTATAACTAAGTTGTCTTACAAGGAAATGTTTTTAAGATTTTTAAAGCTTCCTTTAAAATGCAGATCTAGATAATTTAGTGTGATCTGTGCTTCCTACCACATTTCTCCCATCAGCCATCAATCACTATCTCATCTCCTCTAACACTACTACTACCCCTGCCCCCACCACAGACATAGATACTTTAATAGCCCAATTTAATCTGTTTTTAAGGTTTTAAGATACACCTATCAAGGTCTAATATGAGTCAACACTAATTATAACAGCAGCAGCCTTATTTTCTTTCTGTCCCTTTGCCTACCCATATTAGAAGCTAACAGATCCATAATGAAAACCAGTTGAGTTCAACCATTTAGGAAACATTTATTGAGCTATCATGTGATAGAAAATGAGAACCTCTAACAATGTATTGGCTACTGAGGCAGACAATCCTTGAACATGTTTTCAATATGATTTGATAAATGCTAAGAAGGCATAAATAAGCAGTCAAATGGGAGAGCAGAAATCAGAAAATGTTTCCTGGAGAAAGAGACTCATTCTTGGAGGAAGAGTTTAAGGTGAAGTGAAAGTTAACCAAGCGAGGAAAGAAAGCAGTCCTGAAGGACCAACATAATAAGGAAAGGTACACTCAGCATGGCATGTCTGGGAAACTCCAAGTAGTTCACTATTAAATGAGTGGAAAAGAAGGTGGGGAGTACAGCCTCAGCACAGGGTGAGGCTGAAAAATTTAAATGTGAACTAGATCAGTGAGGCCTAGTATGCAATACAAAGGTATCAAGAAAGATCCACAGTGCAATGACGAAGAGATCACCTTTGGCCAACAGTAAAGGATGGATCTGAGAAAATCAAGAATCCTAATCTGTGCAATAATCTGAAGAGATGAGAAAGGCCTACAGTAGAGCTGTTAATAAGAATAAATTAGAAAAGGCAGAGCTCAAAAATAACAATACATGGGATATAGGAAATGACAAAGGAAGGAAAGAAAAGGACTCCTAAGCTTGTGGCTGTGTAGATGCTGATACTAAAAAAAAAAAAATGAGACAGTATAGCAGAAAGTAGTATTTTTATCACTTCTATTCAACATACTAGTGGAAGTTCTAGCTAGAGCAAGTAGGGGGGAAAAAAAGGAAACAGAAATAAAAAGCATCCAAATTGTAAAGGAAGTAAAACAGTATCTTTGTAGATGACATTGTGTCCAGAGTTTATGCCTTCCAGTGGTTTCTTGCTCTCGCTGACTTCAAGAACGAAGCCGCAGAACTTCACAGTGAGTGTTACAGCTCTTAAAGATGGTGTGTCCGGAATTTGTTCCTTCAGAGGTGTCTAGGAGTTTCTTCCTTCCGGTGAGTTAGTGGTCTCGCTGACTTCAGGAGTGAAGCTGTGGACCTTCGCAGTGAGTGTTACAGCTCTTAAAGGTGGCGCGTCTGGAGTTGTTTGGCCCTCCTGGTGGGTTCATGGTCTGGCTGACTTCAGGAATGAAGCTGCAGACCCTGATGGTGAGTGTTACAGCTCATAAAGGTAGTAGTGCCGACCCAAAGAGTGAGCAGCAGCAAGATTTATTGTGAGGAGCAAAACAACAAAGCTTCCACAGCATAGAAGTGGACCAGAGAAGGCTGCCACTGGGGCCTTCGGTGGCCAGCTTTTATTCCCTTATTTGGCCCTGCCCACATCCTACTGATTGGTCCATTTTACAGAGTGCTGATTGGTCCATTTTTTCACAGTGCTGACTGGTGCATTTACAATCCTTTAGCTAGACACAGAGCACTGATTGGTGCATTTTTAGAGTGCTGACTGGTGCATTTACAATCCTTTAGCTAGACACAGAGGGCTGATTGGTAAATTTACAATCCTTTAGCTAGACAAAGAGGGCTGATTGGTGCGTTTTTACAGAGTGCTGACTGGTGCATCTTACAATCCTTTAGCTAGACAGAAAAGTTCTCCAAGTCCCCACCCGACCCAGAAGTCCAGCTGGCTTCATCTCTCAACATGATCTTATATGCAGAAAGCCCTGAAGACTCCACACATACACACAAAACTGTAAAAAGCTGAATAAATGAATTCAGCAACGTTGCAAGAAAAAAACAAAACAATCAGTTTCATTCATATACACTAACAATGAACAACCTGAAAAGGAAATTAAAAAAAAATTCCATATACAACAACATAAAATAATAATGCTTAGGAATAAACTTAAGCCAAGGAGGCACAAGACTTGCATAATGAAAATTACAAAACATTCTGAAAGGTATTACAGACATAAATAAATGGAAAGACATCCCATGTTCATGGATTTGAAGACAAAATATTATTAAGATAACAATAAAGATGCTCGTTGACCTACATGGGGTTACATCCCAATAAACCTATCAAAAATTGAAAATATCTTAAGTCTAAAGTGAAACCACAGTAAGTTGAAAATATAAGCTTAAAGTGTTTTCAACTTTCAATGTTTTCAATTTAAGATGGGTTATCCAGATGCAGCCCCATCACAAGTCAAGGAGCATGCTGAATGCATATTGCTTTTGTACCACTGTAAAGTTGAAAAATCGTAAGTCGAACCACTGTAAATTGGAGACCATCTAGACTATCCAAAGCATTACCAAAAAAATCAGAGTATGAAATCCTGCCAGTGTTGAAATAAAGTACCTATTCTGTAGGATTCTATGAAGAATAAACAATAGCTATTATTATTGGTGCAATAAGACTAGCTATCCTATCCTATCCAACCTACATTCCTAAGAATAAAGTAGAAATTGAAGATTGTTCCTGAGGTAATAAACATTAATCATAACTTACTATATAGAAGCTAATTTATTTAGGGCTAGAATATGATATAAATTTAAGACAGATTGAAATATTCCATTTGTTAATTTTAAATGCCCTTCTGAATTAAGTCTCTAACTATGGCAGTGTGAATAATAGGTCCCCAAAGGTGTCCACGTCCTAATCCCCAGAATTTGTGCATGTTAACCTTACATGGCAAAATGGACTTTGCCAATACAATTAAATTACAGCTCTTAAGATGGGGAGATTATCCTGGATTATCCAGGTTTGGCACAATGTAACTGCAAAGGTCCTTAAGAGGCAGACAAAGCGATGTGATGTGAGAAGCAGAGTCAAAGAAGCTGTGATGAAGTAGGCCAGGGTAGTAGTCCAAGAGAGCAATCTAAGACACTGGGAAGCTGGCCTGAAGATGGAAGAAGGGGCTGCAAATTAGAATGCAGGTAACCTCCAGAAGTTAGAAAATGAAAGAAAATGAATTCTCCCCTAGAGACTCCAGAAACGTCACAGACCTTCCAACACCTTAATTTCAATCCCGTAAGACTCATTTTGGACTTCTTACTGCCAGAACTGTAAAATAGTAAGTTTGTGTTGTTTCAAATTACTACATTTTGGTAATTTGTTACAGCAACTATATGAAACTTATACACCAGTTGAACCCTAATTACCAGAAGATGGTAAGAGTGGGAGAAGGTGACAAAAAATGCGAACTTCGGTTTATTTGCTCAATAGTCTTATCTTCTGCCAAAAGAAAACTAAATGCACTCACAGGAAAAGAGTCTTCCTCTAGAGAAGTAGTTCTCAAATCTGGCTATATATAAGGAATCATCTTTCATCTGGATGAAATTTTAAACAATTCTGATACCAAGGTTGCATTTCAGACTCACTGAATCAGTATCTTTACCCCTCATCCACCCCCAGTTTAAAAGCCAGCCAAATGGTTTTTATGTGCAGCCAGTTTTGAGAACCACTATTCTACGTATTCTGTGTAAAAATTACTGTTTCAGTGACCTAAGAAACATCTGGCATTTCCAAATGGTACTTCCCCAAATAAAGACATTGCTCAGAATTCACTCATTTACAGTTACAGGTTTAGTGTATATTTTGCTAACTTTAACAGTAAGAAGTTACCCTTGGCAAAAAGTTGTCCAGGACAAATTCCTAGAAGTGGAATTACTGGATCAAAGGGCAAGTACATTTTTTTATTCTGACAAATACTGCTAAATTATTATACCAACTTACATTTCTACCAATTAGGGAAGAGCAACATTTTTTTAAAAAACCCTGCCCAATCTGATAAGTGGGAGGGAAATGATACTTCTTTGTTGTTTTAATTGGCAAGCCTCAATCATGAGTGAAACAGTATCTTTTCACAGCTTTATTGGCCTTTTTTTGGGGGGGGGGAGGTCTACCAATTATTTATATCCATTTCTGTCAGGTTTTTTTTTTAAGTTAACTTGTAAGAACTCCTTCTTTTAAGGAAATTGACCTTTTGTCTGTCATGAGTGTTAATTTTCCCCAGTTTGCTGCTTTGTCTTTTGTCTTTGACTTCTTCAGTACATAACTTTTATCTTTTATATATTTTTAATGTACTTTTCTTCTATGGCATCTTTGGAAGCCATACTCTAAAATTATAAAAAACAACCACCTATACTTTCTTGCAATTTTTTTTTACATGTAAAGAGGATAGGTTCTAGCTACTCCATTCCATGTAATGGGCAAGTTTCCCAACATCATTGTTTAGTTCTCTCTTCTCCACTGATAAGTTAGCATGCTATCTTCTAATTCATGACAAAGATGGGAAAAGAGAGAGAAATATGTGTATATGTGAATATATACACATATATTTTATGTGTATATAATATGCATGTGTGTCTATCTGAAAACTGTAAAACATGAGCTTAATACACTATAACTTCCTACACTGTCAACAATAAATGATTGCCTGATTCAGGTATACACAGTGTATAAATTCCTTAATAAGGTTACAAAATATGAACATGGCAATGAGAACACTATCCCCACAGCTGCCTTTGAAAAAGCAACACAACTGTCACAAAGCTACCTGCCTCTTTCTTCCTCAAAAGCAGTTAAAAGTTCTCCCTAGCAGTTTTCTTCCATGTTTGTACTCAGCCTTGTAAAATATTTGCTGCTACAAGGTGGAGATAACTTGATTACAGGAATACTGGTTACTGAAACAGGAGTAAGCACAAATTTTCTATTATACAAATACACGTGAATGGTAAAGAAGCACTGCTTCTAGATTCTTGGGTGAACCACAGGGCTGGTCACTTATAGCTGAGGGTCCAGTTTCCTCATTTGTAAATTTAAACCTTTATGTTAAGTAGCATCAAGAGCTCTCTAAACTGTAATATTCTGTGGATCAAAGCATGCTAAATGTTTCTGACAGTACATTGCCTAAAAACAGTCTTGTTCTCCTGAGCTAAGAAAATACTCTACCTTTAGCAATGTCTTTCAACTTGAATACTTCAGCCAGCAACCAGTTGTTTCCTCTAATCTTTTATCTTCTAAGTCAAAAAGAGGTATACTGCATATTAAAATTCACACATCTAGCTTCCCCCAAGTCATAGCTAATGATTCCTGCCGTTTTTTTCCCACTCTGTCTTAAAGAGAATAGCTAGTTCCATACTTCTCCACATCCACCTGCCATAATTGCATATGTATTTGAAACAATGAGCTAGCTATCGTTTTCCTCTATACTGTTGGCCTTGGTGCTAAAGGCTGCACATTCGGGGTTTTGTGATCTTGTGTGTTTTTTTTTGTTTGGTGGGTTGGTTTCTGCCTGAGATCAGAAGCTTTCATTTCTGTTTCCCTTTTTTTTTCCCCTTTTAAGAGATAGGGTCTTGAGACCATCCTGGCTAACATGGTGAAACCCCGTCTCTACTAAAAATACAAAAAATTAGCCGGGCATGGTGGCGGGCGCCTGTAGTCCCAGCTACTCGGGAGGCTGAGGCAGGAGAATGGCGTGAACCCGGGAGGCAGAGCTTGCAGTGAGCCGAGATCCCGCCACTGCACTCCAGCCTGGGCGTCAGAGCGAGATTCCGTCTCAAAAAAAAAAAAAAAAAGAGAGAGAGAAATAGGGTCTCACTCCAGCACCCAGAGTGGAGTGCAGTGGCTCAGTGACTCATGGCTCACTGTAACCTCAAACTCCTAGGCTCAAGCGATCCTCCCATGTCAGCCTCCCAAGCAGCTAGGACTACAGACTCATGACCACGCTCAGCTACTTTTTTAACTTTTCATAAAGATGGGATCTCGCTATGTTGCCCAGGCTGGTATTGAACTCCTGGCCTCAAGTGATCTTCCTACCTCAGCCTCCCAAAACACTGGGATTACAGGTGTGGGCCACCTTGCCCAGCCTGTTTCCTCAATTCTTAACTGTCTGTCCCTCTGACAAGACATATTCCTTACACTGGTACTCATTCCTCCTGGTTCTCATCTGCCAGGCTAGATTTTTTCATCTTCTCCAAGGATGTTTCAACCTCTGCTTGCCAAAGGGTTTCCAGTCTACTGATTCATCCAATTTATTTAAATCTAGTGACCCATTAGTCAACTAAACCTCAGACTTTGGCATAACCCAGGCTCTCAGTCCTGAACACATATCAACTCTACACTAAATTCATCACATTCTTATAAAGGACTACCTTTAATTCTCCGAGTGCCCTCAGACCAAGAGAAACAAAGAATGTCAATAATTTCCTAAGCAGAACAGAAAAATTTTGAGTCCTTAAGTGAGCAAGGGAAACTACCAACTTCAGTTCATATCCCTACTCAGATAATAGGAACCTCTAAACAAGGGAGTATACTTATGTGGTGGCAGTATCCAGGTTACTACTGACTGTTGACTGCCACTCTATGCTGACACCACACATGACTGGCCCCAATAAATAAACCTGTAGACTTAATGATACAGATCAGTTATCTGTATCTTTGTGAGGGATATGTGAAACACAACTAAGGCATAAAGCAAAGCTAAAAGATTTACACAGATCTGAATTAAAGACAAACCAAAAAGAGAAGTCTAACTACTGACTCTTAGTCCAGGGCCTCATATGCCACAGCATAAGTCAGCAGCTTCTGCAAAGTGGTATATTCCAAGATTGTTATCCTTTCCTGGGTAGAGAAATGTTCATCAAGTTCCAATGTTAGCTTTAGCAAGTGGCAACGCAAGAAGTCACAGTAACATTCCCTTGTGTCAATGGAAATATACTAACAAGTTCTACTTTTCTGGGAAGGCCACAGTCTGTTGGCAAATTAAATCTGTGGTCAGGTAGAGACCTAAGAAAATAATCAGATTCAGAAAGATGAGAGAGAAAAGTTGAAGGCTAATACCTCTACACTCTTCTAACAGGAACTGGAATAACCCATTCAAAAACCAGCTAAGGAATTCATTTCTAGAGATAAAAATATAATTTTCATATTCTTTGTCCAAGTAATCCCAGTTGTGGAAAATAATGCTATTAACGTGCTTAATGGTCTCATAGTAAATGTCAGAGGCAAGACTCAAACCCAGGTCTGAGTGAGAAGGCCATGCTCTTAGCCCCCAACCAAACATATGATTATTACTACTGCTACTACAACAATAATGCCATTAACATGAAGATGTCTG